>NC_000005.10:60109807-60734807 GCF_000001405.40 Homo sapiens
CAATGAGAACACATGGACACAGGAAGGGGAACATCACACTCTGGGGACTGTTGTGAGGTGAGGGGACGGGGGAGGGATAGCATTAGGAGATATACCTAATGCTAAATGATGAGTTAATGGGTGCAGCACACCAGCATGGCACATGTATACATATGTAACTAACCTGCACATTGTGCACATGTACCCTAAAACTTAAAGTATAATAATAATTAAAAAAAAATTAAAAACCTATTCTTTTGGTTGGGTGGTTGCTTTTCTGGAATGAGCGAAGTGGTACTCAAATGCCAAAGCTATTTGAAGGAAATAAAAACTATTTGGCTAAGACTTCAGAGGCACAGTCAACAAAAACGAAAATAGTCAAATGGGACTATATTAAACTAAAAAGTTTCTGTACAGAAAAGAAAACAATCAACAGTGTGAAGAGACAACCTGTAGAATGGGAGAAAATATTTGCAAACTATTCACCTGACAATGGACTAATATCCAGAATATACAAGGAACTCAAACAATTCAACAGAAAAAAACAAATAAGGTGATTCAAAAGTGGGCAAAATATCTGAATAGACACTTTTCAAAAGACTTGCAAATGGCCAACAGGTATATGAGAAAATGCTGAACATCACTAATCATCAAAACCACAATGAGATATTATCTCACCCCAGTTAGAATGGCCATTATGAAAAAGAAAAAATAACAAATGATGGCAAAGATGCAGAGAAAAGGCAACTTTTATACATTGTTGGTGCAAATGTAAATTAGTATAGCCATTATGGAAAACAATCTGGAAATTTCTTTAAAAACTAAAAATAGAACTAACATATGATGTAGCAATCCCATTACTGGGTATCTATCCAAAGGAAAGGAAACCAATATATCAGAGGGATACCTCTACCATCATGTTTATTGCGGCACTACTTATAACAGCTAAGATATGGAATCAACCTTAATGTCTACCAACAGACAAATAGATAAAGAAAATGTGGTATATACACACAATGAAATACTATTCAGCCACAAAAAGATAATGAAATCCTGTCATTCTCAGCAATGTGGATGAACCTGGAGGATATTATGTTAAGTGAAATAAGTCAGGCACAGAAAGATAAATACCGCACATTCTCACTCATAAGAGGGAGCTAAAATAAAAAATTCAGCTCATGGTAGTAAAGTAGAATTGTGGGTATTAGAGATTGGGAAGGATGGGGGAAGAGGAGGATGGGAAGGAGTTGGTTAACAGATATAAAATTATAGCTAGATGAGAGGAATGAGTTCTGGTGTTCTGTAGCTCTGTTGGGTAAACATGGTTAGCTATAATCCATTGTGTATTTTCAAAAACTAGAGGAGAGGATTTTCAATGTTCAAAACACAAAGAAATGACAAATGTTTGAGGTGATGTATACGCTAATTACCCTGATTTGATCATTACACATTGTATACGCATATTGAAATATCATTCTGTACCCCATAAATATGTACAATGATTATGAATCAGCTAAAAAAGAAAAAACCTATCTGACCAGGATATTTTTGGTTATTATTATATGTCAACAATAATATTAATGATACTATAAGTACTGAGCACAATGATCCCCAGGAAATTAGTTTGAACATTCACCCAGAAAACAAAAGTATCATATATTTGTTAAACATCTTACCTAGAAATTCTTTATTTGGAAATATTCCTGGGCATTATACAATGTTGAAGATACACATTTATTAGTCATCATCATTGGAATGGTTTTCACTACGATGTCCTATTAAGAGCAAATATTCTGGACATACATCTTCCCCCATTTAACTAATTAGCATAAGAATTAAAATATAAATTTTATATATTTCACTCATCTCTTATAGTAGCATGCATTTTTCCAGATGGGTATATCTGTGATTAATCTATTCAGTCACACAGGAATGTTACTAGGTTTTCTACAAAGACATATAATAAAGAAAAATATACCTTGTGATAAAGTAAATAAAAATGATGTTATTTAATACAATAAAAACCTAAAGTTAATAAAATTATTAGTTTTGTTCTCATTTGATATGGGAATGACAAATACTTTATTCCCAGACTATTTTATCCTTTTATAAAGATTTTTGTCTTTGCCAAACATCTAGATTTAATTCATGATTTGAACCTTAACAGTTATTTAATTTAACTTACTTGATTAAAAGCTATTTTTATCTCATCTTAATGTTTTGATATCTGCATCGATTATATGGCTTTTAAAAAAAACCTGACTTATGGAAAATTCCTGACCCTAAAGTTGGTTTCTTCATGCTTTACAAGTAGAATCCAAATGAACCAGGTAAAGCCTTCAATCAATCCAGCTGCCTCAGGAAACTTCACTAATAGAAGAGCTGCCATTATATTTCTGTATATTTCATTAAAAAACTGATTAATTATACTTTTTAAAAAGCTTGATAATCCAAAGAGTGTGTCAATTTTCATTCTGAACATTATTCACCAACAAAACTAAATGCTTATGTGCCCAATTTCAGACATCATAACCAATGTATTATTCCTTTTACTTTTGACATCTTCTCCATGGAGTGAGTAACCACTACTGTTTTGAACTGTGTGGGGTCGTATGGGGTTGTATTATACAAAATTTATAAAAACAGTATGATAAACAACATGACTCACTTCTGGTTTAGTATCATGTTATTTGGTCACCTTGATTCCATAAGGACCATCCGAACTTTCAGTCACAACTTGAATGACTTATTTTATTGGGTATTCTACTTAGTCAAAATAGCATATGCCTGATCTCATTATTTTGAAAACTATACTTCAGGGCAAACTTAACACTAAACTCTGGCTAAGAGGTAACTAAGAAATGTTACTTTGGTCTTGTCATAAAACCATCTGAATAGATTCTCTCCTCAAGGTCACTCTCTCAGGAGGGCCATAACACCCTCTGCCGACTATGAGTCAACCGAGGATCCTTAGTTCCTGGCTATATCCTACACTATACAAGGTCCAAGTAGAGAACACAGAGGAGAATGGCTCTGGGATCTTTAATCCAAGAAAAGAGAAGAAGGTAACTTTATTTTTGCCTCATTCTGTAACGCCATCCAAAATTTCCAGAAGAGAGAAGGTTCATGAGGGTTCTGCTTCTGTTTGCCCTGAGTTATCCACAAGCTGCTTTCAAGGGTGAGGGTTGGGCATCCAATCCAGGGAGATGAGACGTACGTCAACTTCATTTGAAGAGGATGTTCCATGGGCTTACTTTGAATTATTGTATGAAAAAGTCCAGTCATGTACTTTTTAGCCTCCATAATAATATAAAATTTTATACTCCAATAATCAGGGCCTCTGTCACTTTCACATTATGCATTAAATAATGTAACTCTGTGTTCACCATTTAAAAGAAGGGCAAGTCCTAAGCAGGAGAGTCAAGTTGGCATCATGCCCCCTCCATCCTATCACCTCCTTCCTTAAGAAAATAGAAGAAACTTAAGAAACTGTAACTTTTTTGAACATAATAAATACCATAAACTTATTTGAGATCAACAATATGCAAGATTGAGAAGGATGCAACAAAGATCACAAAAGTGAACACAGATGGACTTTACCCTCAAGAAGCTTTTAAAATCACCTTTTCCTTAACCCTTACATTGCCATCATTTTAGTCTTTGTGTTGCTCCCTATTAAGGAATCATGGCAGCTTCTCACCTAGGGGTCACGTGGAGGCCTCGGAGCTGGACATTTCCTAACATGCCTCCCTTCATCCTACCATAGTTGCTCACCATGTGTCCAGTCCTTTGGGGGCCATACATGGTTACAGACCCCCTGAGTCTCTATGTTCCCCCATGACATTGGAAGAAATATTGTTCTCCTGATAGAAGGTCAGTTCCTAAATCTGTTCTCTTCGACCCATTCACTTCTGCCTAGCCAGAGACCTTGCCATAACAATCAGCTCTTATCTCTCTTGTGTCTTCAACCACTCCCTCTAAGTTGGCTCTTTTACATGAGCATTTAAATGTACTCACAGTATTAAACAACAAGAACAAAAAAAATTTCTCCCTTGACCCTATAACGTCTAGAGGCCACCTAAAACTGCCAGGTTTACAGGTGATCCCTCACAGCACCAGTAGTACCTCCACATAGTTCAACTCCAAAGATATGCCTGGTTGTCCAAAAATTGTTCTGCAACATGGTGGCAATATTTACTGGAATGTAGAGTGGCAGTACCTAATAACAGTGGAAAATGTTTAACTAAACTCTGTTGAAATAAATTATACAACCAAAGCTATGATATAAGAAATGGGTAACCTATGTGGATAATAAAGTTGATGCTCCACCCGATTCGGTGAATCTCACATTTTCATAGTAACTAGTAGTATTTCATAGACTCAGTACACAATGGATGTTCACATTAGGTATTAACTGATATCACTTGTAAATGATATCCATGTATTTATTTTTACAAGATGGCAACTTAGTTTTTAAAATATAAGTGAAGTGGTAGGGCAATCATGTTTTAAATGTAATAAAACATCTGTATCGGTACTTAGAAAATATAAAGCATTATTGAAAAAAATTCTCTCACTTGTAATTGGTCATTATGTGCTTTCTAAAGTTTTAATGGCTAAGACTATCTAATTCAGATTAGTCAAATGCAGAATAAAGACATCCTCAATTTACTTGACCCTGCAGAACCTCACAAAATACAATCAGCATCTCTCAGGAAATATGTTGTTTCAGAGCTGGAGGTCAAGACATTATGATGAGTACAAACCAGAGAACATAATTACTGAATCTGGTTCCCAATGGTGGACAGGATATACTAAAGAAAAACCAAATGATTCATTCCACAAGTTTATCCCTGATGTTGCCCCAAAATGCTTTGCTTTACATGAAGTAAAAATCTCACCAGGCTGCAAAGGAACTCTCATCCATCATCACTTTGCTTGTTAAATCTTACTGAAATAACATAGAATGTCACAGTGGATGAGAAACAATAAGTAAGGCAATATTACCACTTTAAAAATCCATACTTCAGGCTGATAAAGACATTATATGTATATGTGTGTATAAATACATATAACTATGTGTGTATGTATGTGTGTGTATATATATATGTATGAATAAGCTCTACACATATAATCACATAGATTAGATAGATACATGGATGGATGGATGGATGGATGGATGGATGGATGGATGGCTAGATAATACTTAGGATGCCTCACAACAGTTCCTAAAAGCCATTATATAGAAAAAAACGGACAGTATTCAGTAGATTGAAGTGGCAGATCATATTTTCTATTACCAGAAATCTACACAGTCCAGAGATATTTTGAAAAAACTTCCCCAGTGTACTGACAGAATGTGGTTCTCCTATTCTTGTGTGGGGTACACTGTTAACATAAAAGAATTTCCAAGGTCTCCCTCTGGAAGTAGCCATCTTTGTGTGTCACCGTCCTTTAATTGATCCATTTCATAGGCAGTGCTGGAATGGTTATGAGTCACTGCTGTGTTTGGCATCACCAGGGTAAGATTCGCCACCATGTTCCTTCCTCATCATGAGGTCTCTGAGTGAATCTGACACAGAAACACCTTCAGGGTGTCATGAACAAAAAATTAATTGCATTTATTATCATAATGGACTATGTAAGAAGGTCATTGAAGACACCAAATAATGAGGATAATTATTTTTAAAAAACTAGTAATTTTGAGCACCTACTATGTACCAGATACAGGGCAAAGAACTATATGTTCACTATCTTGTGTCTTTCACAATATAATGCTATAATCTATGTATTATCTCTATTTTTCAGTGAGAAGCCTGGATTTACACAGCTTAAATAAAACACTCAAATTAAACAGCCAGTTAGTGACAGAATTGCTATTTAAATTCACGACTCTTTGTGTATTTTTTCTCTGTATTTCCAGATTCAGGCTGTTTAGTCACTTGAGATCTAGAAATAAGGGTACTAGGTAGACACAATTCCATTGTATTATAATACCAACATCAATATAATATTCAGTGCTTTTAAAAAAGAATATGTTTCTTCTTAGGTGAAATAAGTGAATTATTGACCAGTTTACTGATTCAGTAACTGAATCACATACTCATTCACATAAGATTTTACGTGAATGGAGGGGAAAGGAGTAACCTAGATCTTGCTGTTGTGTGCTCAATTCTTTGCTCACAACTTAGTATAGAAGATTTAAGTTGGAGGTTATGCTTTGTAGTAAACAACATTATTTACAGATAAGACATGAAACTATTAAAGAATGGCTCCTGCCACAATGCTTGGACTACGTATCTTTAACTCATCTCCAGAAAGGTCTTCTACATAGCATGAGTCCCAGCCTGGTTGTCATAATTCAAGTCTATGGGAGGGCAAACGATGGATTATAGTGAGGGCCTGAGAAACAGCACAGAATCCACAGTCTCTCTTACATCTTCAGCAGCCATGTGCAACACAGACCAACCTAGATGGTGTTGTGCATGTGAACTTTTGCCCACAGACAAAAGGTTGAGACCCAGAGTTCTATAGGAGGAGCAATAGCATATAAAAATTACATAGATTTAATTCTGAGCTTCCAAAGATGTTAATAAGGGTAACCCCCTTATGCCTACTGACACCCCCCATTGCCATATAGTGCCACCAGTACAACATAATCCTTTGGAAGTCTCCCATTCTAAAGCCACTCATAACAGAAATTTGACCAACGTGTTGTCCCAGATAAAGAGCAGAGGAGAAAATGTACATTCTTAATTCTGTCAGCTTTATAAATACCTCATAATGCAGAAACTGATAGTCTATAATTAGGTTAATTATTTATGGGAAAATAATTGGGTTAATGAGATATTTCTTTATGGGAAAATTCGGTTGGTGCTGCTAAATAGAAAAAAAAATCAAAGATCTTAAAGACATCAGAAACGAGAGCAGGAAAAAATTAAATTCTTACATTTGGGAAATTGCAAACTCATTGCCCATAGGAAATGACATCTGGAATGCAAAAATAATATATTATAATCAACTGAACACCAGTTTGCATCTATCATGTTAATAAGTATAGCTACCTATGCAGAACGGTATAAAGCAAGCAACATTTTTGTTAATCCCTTTGCAACAACCCATTCAAAAGATCTGAGATTATGAGATCTGAATAAAACACCTTACTTTCATAAGCTAATGTTAGCTATACTTAGATTTTTTCTGCAAAAATTATTATGAAGAAGAAAAATAATTTGACATTACCCAAAATTGCATATTTCTAAAAAAAAAAATATTTCCTTCCAACTCTTATCCACAACATAAGTAATTTTAAATAATTATAATTATAGTGTTGATATAACTTTATATTCTCCTTTTCAGTTAATGTTGTATTTTGTTTTGGCATTAAATTATTTAAGAGTAACTAACACTTTTTCCAAACAAAGGAATGGTTCTAGTAACAACAGCCATATTGATCTGTCATTTTTTCACTTTTATCCCTTAAGAGCTATGAATCCATTTTCTCCTATAAGGCCTACTGGCCCTTTGTTTTTCTTTAGTATCTTTAGATACTAGATATATTCCAGATTACCACTCACAAGTCTATATCAAACACATTCCTGATAAACTCAACCCTACACTTAAAGTTTTCACTTTCTTTTCTTTATCCTACCACCTCAAAAACATAATGCCAACATTTTATAAATCAGCTCATATTAGACTACAATCTATAAATATGCAACTATTACCTTCCCTTTATATTCCCTTTTTAAGAGAATTAATTAACTACAATAAAATATGAATGTACTGTCTTACTTCATGGCCCTGAAATTTGATTTATATTAACTCTAAAGAGACCCTGATCCCACAACACATGATCCATCATCAATCATCACCTTACTCCTCGCCATCTTGAATAGTTACTATTCTTTCTGGTTCCTTTCCTTTTCTCACCATACATGAAGAGAAGACCTCTGGCTCATAAAAATATTCTACTCTGATTACCCCTGCAGCTACCAACCCTCTTTCCTTTTTGCTACTAAACACAAACACACACACATACACACACACACACACACCACAGAGAGACTGTTGAACCTTTGATGACTTCATTTCTTCATCTCTTAATCATTTCTTCCACCCCCTCAATCTGACTTCTGTTCACACCACTCTGCTGAAATCTCTCACAAAGATGACATGAGCACCAACTTGCCAAACAATTGATCTTTTCTTTATCTTCATGTTGTTTGACATTTGTATATCTTGTGGCAATTTAACCACATTCTCCTGAAAATCACTCCTTTTGTTGTTGTTGTTTCTAGGCCACTGCATAGATTTCAAGTTTCCTATCAGCTCTGTTGACTGTCTTTTCTCTATTTTCTAAAAGTGAGCATTACCCAAACAAGTTTCTGTCATTAACTCTCATAGTTTCTTACTTTAAGCAGTCCTATCCTGAACTGATCACTGCAAGAGACTCAGTCAACCCATTTCCCTAGGCGGCTTATCTGGTGACCTCTGGCTCCTTGAGACTGTTTAAGTTGAGGTTTACTTATGCTGACTGTCATGCTTCCGCTTTTGTTCCAGTTACTCTACTTCACACTTGAGGGTTTGATGAAGTTTTTCTCAGGAATCCCATGCACTTGCTTTTCTTGAATGCTTTTCAATTTGTGCCTGGGTTTTTAAGCTGATGGTTTCTTTCCTCAGCTTGGTCCTCCAGGCACTATATATGGCAGATATACGTCACAGTTTTTGACCTCTGCATGGAAACCTTTCCTGTTTTTCAGGATGGATGTAGGTTGTGTGTGTGTGTGTGTGTGTGTGTGTGTGTGTGTTTACTGAGAATCTGCAATAAATAAATAAATAAAACATGTGGGCTCAAATGGCCATTCAGAATTGAAATTCCACCTCTTACTTTCCAACTATCCTACTTTTGACCATTTTTGCCTGACACTTACATCAATTCCACAGCCACTAGATCAGTGTTTCTCAAACAACCTGCATTATCATCTTCAAGAGTGGTGTTTATGAAAATGCAGCTCACTGCCTTTTAAATCCATTTCCACTGAAACAAAATCTCTGAAGACGGAGTCCTGGTATGAAGCCCTCCCAGGATATTATAACATGTTTCCCCAAGAGATTCTGATACACACTAAAGTTGGAGAACCACAGCACCAGACTGTAAGACCCCTAAAGTGAGTGCACTCAAGGTCTGTGCATGCTCTACTATCCAGGAACTACACACACAGGCCCAACTGATTCTTCCTGAAACATGGTCTGAAGCTCATGGCAAACTCCTGGTACAAAAAATTATTACTACCAACAGCAAGATAAAGTCCTTAAACCTTGTTGGTCTGCCCTTTAAGGTATTCCACAATCTGACTTTCATCCATCATTTTAGCCTTATCACCAGTTACTTGATGATATTAACCTTATGCTCACATGTTCCACCTGTGATTGAGAGGCCTTGGTTAACGTTCATATGAAAACTATGATGGACACTATTCATATAATAGTTTACAATTTGACTGAACACCTAAGAAAGTTCTGTAAGTTTCAGGAACTCACAAAAATCAATGAGCAAGTAACTGTAAACCAAATATGAGCCTTCTGAGAGCATGCCTTCTCTGTAACCAAAGGCTGGATATCTTTCCTCCAGTGAATGTGCTTGCTGAAGCAGAGATTCAAATAAAGAATTGAAATAATCCTTACAGGCTTTCACCTTGTTGGATTGCATGATGTTTGGAAAATGGTTGTCCTCTGGAATTAGATTTTCTGGATTTAAATCTCAGCTCCTTCATTGACCTTGGATAAGTTACTTAATCCCTTGGCTTCAGTTTCTTCATTTATTATAAGGACATAATGAGAAGACTTAACTCATAAGGCTGTTTGGGGAATTAATGAGTTAATAGATATGAAACATATAGGACAATGCCTAACACACATAGTAAGTATATGTGGTACACACACTCATACTCACACTCACACATGCATATACATAAGTGGGTATGAGAAATATTAAACTTTTATATTTAAGAAATTTAAAATACTAGGGGTACATTCAGATGTAAATAAAAATCTGTGACTCAGAAAGTTTGGTCTTTGGTCATTCAAGAAGAGATTTGGGTGTCATCAGTATATACATGGGACCTGAAGCCACAGATTCATATGAGCTCACACTGAGAGATGTAAAGGTAAAGAATATGAGAAACTTCAGGATAGAAGCTAAAAACAGAAACTTAGTGGACTTGGCACTTCATCAATTATTTCCAAGCATTCTTTACAGGTCTAAAAGAATAATCTACAAGCACAGAAAAACATCTTCTTATGGAAAAAAGCATTGTTATGCATTCCAGAGGTTACATGTAGAGCCATGAAAATTATTTATACTATTGCTTTTTTTAGCTGTTCATCAAATTCTTCTCCAATATGTCCATTGCATTAGAACAAATTCATGTTTTCAAGACAAGTGAAGCAGAGCTTACTGTACTTTGTGAAGAGCATAGATGCACTAACAGGAGAGGTAGTGGGTCTGAGTAACTCCAGATAGGAGTTAGTTGCTACAAACTTTGTGTACCTATGGAGGATGCTTACCATGTGCTCAAAGTGAGGAGGTCCACTTGGCAGAAGGGCAGGAAGCCACATATGTTGCACCAAGGTATTGACAATGCAAGGACAGCTCTTCAGAAACAAGAGCTGTGTAGACAGTGGGTGATCTGCAGAGTCAGACTCACATACCTTTTAAGTGGGCATTCTCTAGAGTAACTCTTCCCCTGGGATAATGATGGGAAAGAACCCTGCAGAACTTCACTCCCATGGACAGTCTTGTGTCAGGTGGGCAGCTGGGTTTTGAGGTTTGGTTTGGCCCATAAAGCTGTCCAGTTCCTAAGAGAGTATTGCAGCCCTGCTCATGTATTATATACCTATATTACTGCCTGGCGAAGTTTATACTCCCACATCTTCCCACCACATCTTCCTACTCATTGCTGCATCAACCTGCAGCAACGGTTGGGTTGCCTAGTAATGGCTTTTACCCACTGCGATAGTTAACACTGAGTGTCAACTTGATTAGATTGAAGGATGCAAAGTATTGATCCTGGGTGTGTCTGTGAGGGTGTTGCCAAAGGAGATTAACATTTGAGTCAGTGGGCTGGGAAAGGCAGACCCACCCTTAATCTGAGTGGGCACTATCTAATCAGCTACCAGCACAGCTAGAATATAAAGCAGGCAGAAGAATGTGAAAACATGAGACTGGCCTAGACTCCCACTCTACATCTTTCTCCCATGCTGGATGCTTCCTGCCCTTGAAAATTGGACTCCAAGTTCAGTTTTGGGACTCGGAATGGCTCTCCTTGTTCCTCAGCTTGCAGAAGGCCTATTGTGGGACCATGTGATCATGTGAGTTAATACTATATATATATAGGATATATAGGAGATATATATATATATATCTCCTATTAGTTTTGTCCCTCTAGAGAACCCTGACTAACACACCCACTTTAGGGGATGAGGAATAAGATGCATTTTTAAAAGCCCAGAAAAGGTAGGGAAATTCTCAGCAAGTGTTACTTTTAGAGGAATTATTTCTAACTCATAGAATAACCTTGTATTAGTCTGTTTTCATGTGGCGATAAAGACATACCCAAGACTGGGAAGAAAAAGAGGTTTAATTGGACTTACACTTCCATGTGTCTGGGGAGGCCTCACAATCATGGCAGGAGGCAAAAGGCACTTCTTACAAGTTGGTGGCAAGAGAAAATGAGGAAGATACAAAAGTGGAAACCCCTGATAAAACCATCAGATCTTGTGAGACTTATTCACGACCACGAGAACAGTGTGGAGGAAACTGCCCCATGATTCTAATTATCTCCCACCAAATGCCTCCCACAACATGTGGGAATTATGGGAGTACAATTCAAGATGAGATTTGGGTGGGGACACGGAGCTAAACCATATAATTCCCCCCTGGGCCCTCCAAATCTCACGTCCTCACATTTCAAAACCAATCATGCCTTCCCAATAGTCCCTGAAAGTCTTAACTCATTTCAGCATTAACCCAAAAGTCAACAGTCCAAAGTCTCATCTGAGACAAGGCAAGTTCCTTCCACCTATGAGCCCGTAAAATCAAAAGCAAGCTAGTTACTTCCTAGAGACAATGCAGGTACAGGTAGTGGGTAAATGCAGCCATTCCAAATGGGAGAAATTGGCCAAAACGAAGTGGTTACAGGGCCCATGCAAGCTCAAAATCCAGCAGGGCAGTCAAATTTTAGAGCCCCAAAATGATCTCCTTTGACTCCATGTCTCACATCCAGGTCACATTGATGCAAGAGGTGGGTTCCCATGGTCTTGGGCACCTCTGCTGCTTTGGTTTTGCAGGGTGCAGCCTCCCACTGGCTGCTTTCATGGGCTGGCGTTGAGTATCTGTGGCTTTTCCAGGCACATGCTTCAAGCTGTCATTGGATCTACCATTCTGGGGTCTGAAGGCTGTGGCCCTCTTCTCATAGCTCCACTAGGCAGTGCCCCAGTAGGGACTCTGTGTGGAGGCTCCAACCCCACATTTCCCTTCCACACTTCCCTAGCAGAGGTTTTCCATGAGGGCCCTGCCCCTGCAGCAAACTTCTGCCTGGGCATCCAGGCATTTCCATACATCTTCTGAAATATAGGCGGAGGTTCCCGAACTTCAATTCTTGACTTCTGTGCATCTGCAGGCTGAACACCACATGGAAGATGCCAAGGCTTAGGGCTGCTGCCCTCTGAAGCCATAGCACGAGCTGTACTTTGGCCCCTTTTAGTCACAGCTGGAGTGGCTGGGATGCAGGGCACCTGGTCACTAGACTGCACACAGCACGGGGACCCTGGGCCTGGCCCACAAAACCATTTTCTCCTAGGCTTCCAGGCCTGTGATGGGAGGGGCTGCTGTGAAGACCTCTGAGATACTCTGGAGACATTTTCCTCATCGTCTTGAAGGCTTAACATTCGGCCTCTCGTTACTTATGCAAATTTCTGCAGCCAGCTTCAATTTCTCCTCAGAAAATAGGTTTTTCTTTTCTATCACATTGTCAGGCTACAAAATTTTTTAAACTTTTCTGCTCTGCTTCTCTTATAAAACTGAGTGCCTTTAACAGCACTCAAGTCACCTCTTGAATACTTTGCTGCTTAGAAATTTCTTCCACCAGATACCCTAAATCATCTCTCAAGTTCAAAGTTCCACAAATTTCTAGGGCATGGCAAAATGCTGTGAGTCTCTTTGCTAAAACATAATAAGAATCACCTTTGCTACAGTTCCCAACAAGTTCCTTATCTCCATCTGAGAGCACCTCAGCTTGGATCTTATTGTCCATATTGCTAGCAGGCTTTGGGTCAAAGCCATTTAACAAGTCTCTAGGAAGCTCCATACTTTCCCACATTATTCTGTCTTCTTCTGAGCTCTCCAAACTGTTTCAACCTCTGCCTGTTGGGCAATTCCAAAGTCGCTTCCACATTTCAGGTATCTTTTCATCAACACTCCACTCTATTGGTACCAATTTACTGTATTAGTCCATTTTCACATTGCTTATAAAGACATACCCGAGACTGGGAAGAAAAAGTGGTTTAATTGGACTTACACTTCCACATGGCTGGGAAGGCCTCACAATTATGGCAGGAGGCAAAAGGTACTTCTTACACGTCAGTGGCAAGAGAAAATGAGGAAGATGCAAAAGCAGAAACCCCTGATAAAACCATCAGATCTTGTGACACTTATTCACTACCATGAGAGCAGTATGGGGGAAAGTTTACCCCATGATTCAAATTATCTCCCACCGAGTCCCTCCCACAACATTTGGGAATTATGGGAGTACAATTCAAGATGAGATTTGGGTGGGGACACAGAGCCAAACCGTATCAAACCTCAATGTCAAAGTCTTCTTGATATGCAGTGACCAGGGAAAGAAGGAACAGATGTTAAATACATGAGGAATTTTCCAGTTATTTTATAAATAAATATACCTAATGACAGGAAGAAAACCCTAATTTCCAGTCCCATTTGACCTTTCTCATTTTACTCTGAAGCCATTAGATCAGCATTTGAATTTGACCACAAAATAAAATGTGGCTAAGCAAAAGCACTATAAAATTCCAAATAAATTAAACAATTACCCCACAACCAAATAATACTGCATGGAAATCTTTCACTTTGATAATTAAGAGGTAAAATTAAAATATTACATGATAATATCCCAGTACAAATGGTCGCATTTTCAAATTCCCATGGTGGTACAATATATTTATCATTTATCAAAATTTGAACGTAACACTTAATTATATAATTAAACTATGGGGTCTTATATAAAGAAACTATTGGGTCTGATTGGCCCTAGTCTATTTTGAAACATCATAATGCATATAACATCTTTTTAGTTTAATTTTCCAAAATTAGTTTTATTTAATACTATGACAATTGCCAAGTTGGTATCTGTTTTTCCCATGTTCTTTGTGATTGTTTTAATAAAATGCTCCCCCTAACCTCAACTGTCTAAGTACTCAGAACTTCCTCAGATTATTTCTTACAATATTTCAGCTCTCAGGGCTGTCCAGAAATATTACTACATCTTCCTAGTTCATTCACACTCCTGCTTACAGATGATTATTTCACAACTCTCCTTAAATTTTTAACAGCTTCTGCTCTATCCTCACACTCAGTTGATAGCCTATTTCTTTGAAAAAAATAATAGCAAATCAGAAAACAATTTTTCTCTGCAGCCCCCATCACATTTATCAAATCCTCCATTTATGTGCCTGATATCATCTCTTTTCTCCTCTTCAAGTATATCACTCCAGTTATTACTGTCTCTGTTGCATCACTAATTTCCTCCTCTTCTCTGGATTCTTCCCATTTACATAGCAACCTGCCATAATATGTCCAATTTAAGTCTTAACTACTATATATCTTATTTCTCTGCCTAAATTCTTTAAAGTAAAACTCCTCAAAAGAGTTTTCCAAACTCATGATATTCAGTTCTTGCCCTCCCACCATTTCTTCTTGAATGTACTCCTATGTTTTTGTTTATAGTACTCCACTGAAACAGCTCTTCTCAAGATCATCCAAGGTCTTCTCAGTGCTAAATTCATTTGTCAATTCTCAGTTCTCACTTAAGTAATCAGCAGCATTCACAATTAATCATGCATTCCTTTGTAAAACACTATCTTCATTGACTTCCAAGCCTTTCCTCACTCTAGGTTGTATTTCTGCCTCACCAGCTGCTCCTTCTCAAAAGCTCCATTTCCTTTTGAATTTCCAACTTCAAAACATTAGAGTGGCTTTTCCTATTTATCTATGGTAACTCCTCAGTTTTAAAATCATCAATACCCAAATTAGATTTGTAAAACCAACCTGAACTCAAGACTACCATAACCAACTGCCTATCTTTCCACTGATATATCTGAATGAATGTACCAAATTTAACATGAAAATCTTGATCTCTCCCTTTCCATTTCAGTAAACAGTATCTCTATTTGCACAGTTTCTCAGACCAGAATTTATATAGTCATTTTTGACTTTCCTTTTCCTTGCAACTGATCTCAATCAAGCAGCAAACTTGTGAAATCTACCTTAGAAATATATCCAGATCTTATCTTTCTCACCGTAAACACAGCTACCACCCTAGTCCAAGCCATCATAATCTCCTGCCTGGAATACTGCATTTATCTTCTATAGTAGATGCTACTGACGGTCTTCTCAGATCCCCTTTATTGGGCAGGTACACCCATCTTCCAGAGGTTGTACTGACTGCTAAACAGCTCATAGCTGTACTCCTGCAGAAATGTCTTTGAAAGACCCAAGCGGGGAGACAAAGAGAGAAAGACAGAGAGAGAGAGAGAGAAGAGTGATTCAATTAGATAGATAGATAATTATTTATTACCTATCTTTCAGAATGTAAGCTCTGTGAGGATAGAAATGTTATTTGTTCACTGATAAATTCCCAGTACCTAGAAGAATTTCTGGTACACAATTGGAATCAAAATATATTTGCTGAATTAAGGAATCATCTAGTTTATCCTGCTCAATGCTCACCTTATCTTGGCTCTCTGCCAATATCCAAATGAGAAACAGAATTTCATTTACGGAAAAGGTAAGTGCTCAGAATTAAATGTTAAAGACCGTCTTCCTAAATAAGAAGATGAGGGCTATGGTTTTGCTATTTTGAGTTAAAAGAGCCCTTTAATATCCCAAATATCCTAGCCTGAAAGAAGCAATAGTTTGAGAAAGAGAAATAGTTGGGGGCATGGTTCTTTTGAGTTAAAAGGGCGTTTGACTATGATTTTACCTCCATTAGCTTCAGAAGATTTGGTGCTCAATTTAATAAAGCTTCAAGAACAGCCTAAATTGTAATACATATTCAACATTTGACTCGAATAGTGAATTGCATCTATCAGATCATCCAGACATTTAGAGTTTTGCTAAAAAAAAAAAAAAGGTTGTTGACTTACTCTCCCAAATCCAGCTATCTTCAGACAATAAAAACCAAACTTAAACCCGAGGTCATTAGCACAAGTCACAGATGCCAAAACAACACTCTAAATATCAAGCAGAAAATATTTTACTTTTATTCTGCCATAATCTACTTATTTTTTTTCATAGTAAGTGCTGAAGATTACATAGAAATTTTATTACATAGATTTTTTATCTGAGTATTTATTACCACTTCTACCAAATCTTTGTTCCTTTAGAAACAAACAGATGGCTAAAAAATGAAATGGGAATAAATTAACTTGATATGTTCAAGGCAGTCTTAATATATCAATAAAAACCCTCCTTCTAAATAGCAACCTTATGTGTCTGTCTGAAACAAAATGGCACACTTGTATTTTTTATTGGGAGTCAAACTGGGCTGGCCAACAAGGCAATTTTGTGAAATATGTCTTTCAAATGAATATATTTAAACACTAGCCATTAACAGCCACTTCAACTAAATAAATACTTATTTAGACTCTCTCTGTGCTAGGTGGTAGGGTAGGGCTTAAGATTAAAAAACGAGGAGCTGCCGAGAACAAAGATGCTTATTGGATTCAATTGTGTGTGAGACATTGTTCTAGGTACTACTGATGCAGTGATGAGCAAATAGACATTATTCAGTGAATAAAAGAGACTAACAATTTAATCACATTTACATTAAATTATACATTTACTCATATCTGATAAGTACAGTGAAAGAAGTATGCAGCGTATGTATACTTCTGCAGCATATATAGAAGATAGTTCTGACAATATAACAGTCCAGAGAAGTCTTCTAAACTGAAGTGAATTTACAAAGATGGGAAGGATGAGGAGGGATTCACTAGGTAAAGGGGAGAGAAAAGCAGAAGCATGTGTTCCTGGCAGAGAGAACAGCATGAGAAAGTGCCCTGAGGCACTGGGTGGAAAGTCGGTGTACAAGAAGCTGAGGGAGTGAAACAGGCAGGGGATACTTCAGGATAAGGCAGAAAGGAGGCTGGAGACAAGGTGTGATTCAGATTATTGAGCCCCTGGACAATCACACAAAAATGACGTTAATAGTCTTAAGAACAATGGGAAACCGCTAACTGGTTTTAAGGCAAGGGTGTGTGGTGAGTGATAAGGTTGGACTTCTGTTTCAAACAGGTGACTGACTGCAATATGGAGAACAGATTGGATGAGGGGCAAGAGCAGATGCCAGGAAATGGATCAAGGCAGCTATCACTGTGGTTCAGGAAACAGGTAATGCCAGCACAGACAGGCCGGCCCCGGGAAAGATGAAGAGAGAGGGATAGATGCAGCGCATAACTGGAAGGTGAAATCGACAGGCCTTAGTGATAGGGTACTTACAGCAACTGAGGGAGGAAGATGAAGGTGAAGAATTGGATGACTGTTGATATTCATAGTTTTAAGGGCCACAAGAGAAAAATCAGGTCGCAGTAAGCAGGCTGTGAGGGGAAAACAGAATTTCAGTTTTGGATATTTTGGATCTAAAATGCCTCTGAAACACTCAATGGAAGATATTGAAAAAGCGGTAGGATATACAGGTCTGAGTTCCAGAGGACAAATATGGGCTGAATATACAAATTGGCGAGTCCTTAGTATATAAGTGATCATTGAAATCAGAGGCATGGGAAGTATAGTGTAAGGCAATAAAAAGGAGGACCACGCCTGAGGCATTGCCAACACTTAATGGTCAAATAGAAGTTAAAAGGGAGATAAAGAAGGAGAAGCCAGAGATGAAAGAGGAAAACTGGGAGATAGTTGCAATACTGAACCAAGGAAGAGGTCCTGTGAGGACATGGTAGCAGGGAGAGACTATGTCCAAGTAGTAAGATTAGGAATGAGTTTACTTCTTACCTAGAAGTTGGAAAAGATCTGCAATAAGGCATATTAAACTCCTGAGATTGGGATAACTTATCCAAAACTGTAACCCTAAGTCAGTAAAGATGATCTTGGGATGTATCAGTCAAGAAGTCTACAGAATAATACTGTCCAAAAGAAACAGACATATGTTATAAATATAATATGGATGCAACACATTTGTTTTAAGGATTACAAAAAGAAATTGATTTGGATAGAGTGCAGTATCATCTGACCTTAAGCAGCGAGTGGCAGAGAGTCAATGAAATTCATTCCTTCTTCCCTGGGCCCATAGCTAGACCACATTTCTTTTGTATAGACATGTAGATGTAAGGTAAATGGAAGCAACATAAGCCACTTCTGGGCCTGCTCATAGGAAACATCTCTGGGTTCCCTATTCACATACTGATGGGAGAGAAGTCTGAAGTTTGAGAGGAAAATGAAGCCACAGGTGCATAGGAAGAAACCCAGGTGTCTGGGTGACCAGGTGGAAGGCAGCTGGTGAACCAGAAACATCAACTGACTTAGCATGAATGAGAGATAAACTTCAATTGTTTGAGCAACTGGGATTTGGGTATTTATCTGTTACAACAGTTAGTATTAACTACTCTAACTGATACACTGAAGCTGGCTACGTTGGAAGCAACTCAGAGGGGCAGCATTTATCTCACAGACCATGATCACCTTTTATCTCTCATTGATTCACTAGTGAACCATATTTCTATGATACAGACAGAATGATCAAAACCAAATAGCAGTTAATTTGCTACGATGCATTTTCTTAAATCTGAATGGGTTAGAATAATTCAAGGTGGTTCTGTTTTCCTGTCAAACAGTATAATGTTTTCAAGTAAATTACAGTTAAGCCATGCCTTAACAGAGGAGAAAAACAAAGTTCTATGTTATTTCTTTGATTGACAGTTTATTAAAAAGCAAACTCAAATTTTGTCATCAATATTGTGTTACAGTGATTTAAATAGTAATTAAGCAAAATGTAGTTCTCTCAAATTGAAACAGAAAACTCCAGATTTTTAAAATATGTGCTTTTTGCTTAGAACAGCACTAAAATTTATTTAAAATATGTGTTTTTATATAACAACATGCAAGTGCTCATATGACAGCTTGGCAGAGATGCCGAGGAATCTTTATAGAAAACCTGGTATGCATATTTCATATGCTTAATCATAACTTCTTCTTTAAGTCTTTGGAGGAGGAAACAAAGGGCCAACAATGGTATAATAATGGAACTTGAAAAGTTCTACAGGTAGAGAGAAGAGGCAGGAAAAAAGAAATGTCAAATGCATGAAAGTATTATTAACATGATTGAGAATTTCTCTGGGTTCTCAACATCTTTCAGGTTTAATTTCAGTATCTGATCAGTAATTTGATGACTGCAACTTAATTTTTAGCTCTCTCCCAGGTAGGACCAGCTACATGATGTAAGAGCCCATCTAGGTGTGGAACCCATGTGAATGTATAGTTTGTATATCCATGAAGCTGGGCCTGCACTCATGTCACTCTCAAAACAACAACAAAAAATTTCAAAATACCATAGACCTGAGGCCAAGTTTCAAGTGTGATGAATGGAAATATTTGATTGCTGCTGTTAGAGTTTTTGTATTAACTGTAGCCATTAATCAATGTTGTCCTATAAAAACTCTATTGAAGTATAAGATCTTAGGTTTCCTGACTTTCTTTTTTATTGTGTCATATAGATAATCAAAATGTAGCTAGAACAGAAAGGTCTCTAAAGCAAAATGATGCAATATTCTTTTTGACCTTGCTGCAGCCTGAATGTATTCCCCCAAAACTCATCTGCTGAAACCTAATCACCAATGTGATGATATTAGAAGGTAGGGCCTGGGGGGTGATTATATCATGAAGGAGGAACCTTCATGAATGAAATTAGTGCCCTTATAAAAGAGGCCCCAGAGACCTGACTTGTCTCCTTCCACCATGTGAGGACACAGGTAGAATGCACCATCTATAAGCCAGAAAGTGGGCCCTCATCAGACACCAAATTTGCTGGTGCTTTGACCTTGGCCTTCCCAGCTTCCAGAACTGTGAGAAATAAATTTCTGATACTTATAACTACCTAGTCTATGGCATTTTGTTGTAGCAGCTCAAATGGACTTAGACAGCTCTAAACTTAGACTGCACAAAACAGGATGGTGTGCACTGCTGATTGAGATGGGTTCCTATTCTAGAGATTACCAAATATTGGCAAGCTTACAGTAGAAAAGTATCCTGGTGAGAAAAAAGTTACTGGAATTTCTCAGGCAAGTTCAAAGGACATATTTTTTCATGTGAGATGCCCAATCTGTCTCCATGGGCAGGAGAGGACACATTTCCTTGACAGTCTTTGTAGATGAGAGTGATAAGAGAGATTAGATTTCTAAGACAGGGCTATGTCTATAAACAGAGACCATCCTTTTATTTGCTTTCCCATGAACTCAACTGATTCCACTGCACAAAGTCATAGGCAGGATGGCAAGAGACTCTTAAAAACAGCTTTGTGGTATCTGCAAAAAGTAAAGGGTGATGACTTGCACTGTCACTGAACATCCACTGAGCCTCTAGACCAGCTTACTTGTCTTGGGGCTACTATCATGGGGAAAGAGTATTAGTAAAAGATGACACAGTGGTTTGGCTAAATAGAGTCAAGACACAGACCATCACATTGAGCTTTAAATTTCAAAGATGTAAAAGATATGTCTGTGCCTATGGGTCCCAGGTTGGTGTTTTAATATTGTTAAGTTTGAAAACATTTACACTGATACACAGTTAAGACTTATATGACTTGTCTATGGAGCAATTCTAAAGTTGAAAACTATAAACAGGGTTTTCATTTTTATGACTATGTAAAGATTATTTTCTGCAAAGTGAAATAGTTAAGATTACATTTCCTTTTCTCTGATTCCTATGTCAGAATTAGTAGGCCACTCAGAGAAGGATGTTTCTAGCATCAATTTACACCCTCAAGGTTTTCCAAAACCTCATTCACACTCTCTAATCTATTAATATACTCTTTCCAAGAGATTTTCCTAAATATATTTTATCTATTTTCTTTCATTTAATGTTTTCATTAAATAAACTTTGTTTTGCTTTGTTTTCGCTTCTGTTGAAGTGATGGTAAATACCTGGCTTCATGCCACGTATTCTAGTATGGGGCTGAGAACAGATGTGGTAAGTAGAGAAGGATAAAGCTGGGCCCTCTACATTGTGTTAGACCCACAAATGCTCAAGATTTATACCTTCCCTGTATCCACCCTTTTGCAATGTGACTTTGTAGTTCTTCTCATCAACAAATAACAGTCTGTTGCGATATCCTTTGAATCTGGACTGGTCTTATAACCTAGTCAAGCAATGCAAGAATGAAGTTAATGTGTGCCAATTCTAAACCTAGACTTTAAGAGATCTTGCGTTTATATTATTTCTCTTATAATCCTGCTCCTCTACTAAGTGACAATCCCAAACTAGTCTGATGAGATTTGCAAGGCCTAGTGGCCCCTATCTTGCTAACTGACACCCAACCAACCTGCAGAAGCAGAGCTGATCAACTGATTGGTTGAGCAAAGACACAGGAATATGCCCATATAAGCCCAGCCAAAATGGCTGACTAGGCAGAATAGTAAACTAAATAAATGGTTGTTTTAAGCCATTATGATTTAAAGTGGCTCATTGGGCAGCAAAAACTAGTGCACATGCTCTTGATCAAAATGCTGATTACATCTATGTTTCTCATTTCAATGTCCATCAGCATTGGCTTATCTGAAACTGGAGCCTTGTTAGCTTCTGCCATGTTATTAGGGCTTCTTCTTGGGTGTAGCTCCCTCTACAAATATTCTCTGCAATAATTGACTTTGTTTTGCTTCAGTAATCAACACCACTCACTCATATTTCATCTTCCAGAAATTCGATAAAATCTCTTACCACTGATGGCCTTTTCCCCATTCTCTTTATTGTTGTGCATTATACAGATTTAGTTTTTCTACTATTTTAATGGGTATTAGGAAAAGTAAAGGAAAACAAAAACCATGTGTTCTGTCAACATCTTGAACTAAGTTAATGAGTATTTATTGAGCACCTATTGCATGTAGGCTATATAAAATATTAGAAACAACATTTGTTTATAAATAATGTTAAAAAGCATTCATTTTAGAAAAGCATGCTTCCTAAATTTCATACTCAGGAAAATTTGTTAGTGTAATCCCTGTATATTTTAGAAATTAATTTAACTGTTTTTATTTAAAAATTGTTTTCACACTTTTATTGCATATTCATTTATGTATTACCGTATTCCAGAAAGAATTTACATGTTGGTTTTTGAACTAATCTAGACAACTTCTTCCCTCATTGTTAACGAATGGTAAATTTAACTATAATTATATTTCAGTAAAAAATAATAGAATCAGTATATTGTAAATACCCAATTATTTGGTGTAAGTAGTGATTAAAGAAAACCAGACAATCATACTCAGTCATTCATGCATTAGATACTTTGTATTGACAATACACAAGATACTTTCTGGTAAAATAGATGAGGACATGGTTAAAAGAGCATATTTTTATTCATAATATAAATATTATCAAAGGCACAAATTTTAGTATTGGACAGTTCACTATGGTTACATTTAAAATATTACTCAAGTAGGGAGGCTGAGGCAGGAGAATCGCTTGAACCCAGGAGGCGGAGGTTGCAGTGAGCCGAGATCGCACCACTGCACTCCAGCCTGGGCAATAGAGCGAGACTATACCTCGAGAAAAAAAAAATTACTCAAGTAAATTTTGTGTTCATTGTGAATAAATGCATGACATGGGTAAAGGCACTTTCAGGCATATCCCTGTTGTCTAAATGAAATAGGAAATTACTATACACTCTGTTCCAAACCATAGTGTAGTCCATTGCCTCTCTCTTCAGGTTGTGTTCCACTTCCACCAGATGAAGAGCTAAATAATAAAAGCTCATGTTTCCACATAAAAAGGCATCAAAGTCCAATTTCTGGCTCTGCTATAAACTGTGTAACCTGGAGTAAGTCACCTAACTTCTTTGAGTTCTCAGTGTCCTCATATCTATCAAATAAAGAGGATGAACAAGGTGATCTCTAATTCTCTCACCAATCTCTCTCCTACATTATTATCAAAATATTCTCCAATTATAGGCTTTGGAGACACCTAGATATGGGTTAGAGTTCATACTCTGCCACTTATTGCCGTCAACTTATTTATTTATTTATTATTAATTTTTTTTAGACGGGGTCTCGTTCTGTTGTCCAGACTGGAGTGCAGTGGTGTGATCTTGGCTCATTCCAAACTCTGCCTCCTGGGTTCAAGTGATTCTCCTGCCTCAGCCTCCTGAGTAGCTGGGATTGCAGGCTATAGTCAACTTCTAACAAATATCAAAACCTAAATTGTATTATCTATGACACAGAGATAACCTGACGTAACTATCATGAAAAAAAAGACACAATGCAAAAATTGCTCCTAACCCAGTGCATAAAACACAGCAAGCACTCAGTAGATGCTAGCTAATATTAATTAGTGTTATACTACAACATCCTCAATATTTTTCTAGATGCTAACTGGACGTTTCCATTAACAGGTAGATCACTACTTTGTGAGAAAATCCTTTCATTCTAGGACATCTTAATTATTAAGGCTTTACATACACATAATACATATACTTAAAATGAGCTTAAATCTGACTCCTTGTAACTATATACTCTACCATTTAGTAGTTTTTAACCTGGAGTCCACAAAGAATTCAGGAGATTGGTAAACTTGTATGACAAGTTTACATCTGTATTTTTACTAACTTGTAACTGAAAAATACCATTTTCTTCAATTATGAATATAGTTACCAAACCACTGTAGTTTGTGACTTTGTTGCCAGTAAAAATCATAGATACCTTCTTATCTCATTAGACTTCTTGCAAGCACTTCAAAATTAAGTATGTTAGATATGTGATCTGCTGGATCTTATGATTTAATACATTAATAAAGATGCACATATATAACTATACCAAATTTTTATTTTAATATTTGTATAATTTGTTTTAATACAACTGGTTTCATTTTTAATTCTACAATTTTATTTTGTGCTTATAAACATTATACAGGCTGAGTGTGGTACCTCCTGCCTGTAATCCCAGCACTTTAGGAGGCCAAGGCAGGAGGATCACTTGAGGCCAGGAGTTTGAGACCTACCTAAGTGACATCTCTTTTGTAGAGACCCCATCTCCACAAAAACAAAATTTTAAATGATCCAGGTGGTGGCCCACACATGTGGTCCTAACTACTAGGGAGGCTGAGACAGGAGGATCGCTTGAGACTGCGAGTTTAAGGCTGCACTGAGCTACAATCACACCACTACAGTCCAGCCTGGGTGATATAGCAGACCCTGTCTCCAAAAACAAACTAAAAACAACAAAAAACTATTATACAGTTGTCCCACAGTATTCGTGGGAGATTACTTCCAGGACCTCTGGCAGACGCCAAAATCCATGGATGCTCAAGCCCCTGATAGGAAATGGCATAGTGTTTGCCTATAACCCATTCACATCCTCTCATATATTTTAAATCATCTCTAGATTTGTTGTAATGCCTAGTATAACGTAAATGTTATGTAAGTAATTGTTATAATGTATTGCTTAGGAAATAATGACAAGAAAAAAACATCCGTAAATGTCCAGTGCAAACTTTTCTCTTAAGTTTTTGATCCATGGTTAGTTAAATCCCAGGATGCAGAACCCATGGGTACAGAGGGCCAAGTGTACTGAGAAGGCATTCATAGGTGTACCCTTCTTACTGAAAGGATTCAGGATTTACACCCACTCCATACACACACATAGAAGATTAGTAAACTCTGCTCTGAAGTAAGCTCACATAATTCTACTCCTCCTCCCTGACGAAACTCTTAACCACTGAAAAACAAATAAGACCTTGGAATGCTCTAAATGTTTGTGTCCCTTCAAAATGTATATTCTAAGACCTAATCACTAATGTGATAATATTTTGAGATGGGGCACTTGAGATGTCATTAGTGGCCCTATAAAAGAGGTCCAAGAGAGACCCTTCGCCCCTTTAACCATGTAGACACAACTATAAGGTGCCAACTATGAACCAGAAAGCACACCCTCACCAGACATCAAATCTTCTGGCACCTTGATCTTGGACTTCCCAGCCTCCATAACTTTGGGAGATAAATTTCTATTGTTCGTAAGCTACTGAGTGTATGCTATTTTGTTATAACAGCCAGAATGGATAAAGTCAGATCTAATTGCCAGATGTCTTTCTTTTCTTTCTGCCTCTACTTAACATCTCTAGTTGTGCATGCCTACAGGCATATCTCATGGAAGACTAACGTGCAAGATGAGCTATGAAAAAAAGTAGTCTATCGTTCAAAAATGGGGGAAGGGAAAAGGAAAAACCATCGAATACCAGAAGCAGTAACAGGAAGGGTAAAAAAAGAAGGTAGCTGGATGGAGAAGCAAAGTTAAAATGATTTTTATCAGACAGAGCAAATGCATTTGTAGAAAGAAGTTAGGAGCCACTGGAGAAGAAAATAATCAAAATAGAGAGAAGTGATGAAGAGAGGACCATAGTGCTGGAAGAAAGGTCAGGGGATGAAAGTAAAAAGTAAATAGCTATAGAGGAGTGCATATCCTTTCAGGACACTAAGGTGGGACATTTCTCTTCAGGCTTCCTTAATGGCCTCCTGTCTTGGACAGCTGCAATGCATATTGGTATATTAAAGACCATGAAAAGTACTGCTCAAAAGACACCTTTTGCTTAACAACTCATCCTTTCCAAGCTTCTTTGACAATAGACCTTCCCTTCTCATAATAATCATTAATGTTCTAAGAGCTACTGCTCTGAAGAACACACTCTGGGAAACTTGTAATTTTTCATTGTACAGGATATTCCATAGGTGGTCTGACAATTGTTTGAGCACAATGAACTACTGCTACCTTTCTTGTCTGAGCAATAATATTTCAATTAATGTTGATTTTCTTTCCCTCAAGAAAGATTCAATTTAGAAGATTTTTAGATAGACTTATCACATATTTGATACAGTACTTGCAATTAACTACCATTTTTATGAGAATGAGGTCTTTCTGTACTTGCGCTACTGCTTTTTAAAATTTTTTTCTTAAAGCCTAAATAAGAAATTAACCTTTCTTTCCTGTTAGATTGTGTCTTGTTATTTCTGGACTATCTTTTTTTTTTTTAATTTTTGAGATGAAGTCTTGCTCTGTTGTCCAGGCTGGAGTGCACTGGCATGATCTCAGCTCACTGCAACCTCTTCCTTCCAGGTACAAGTAATTTCTGCCTCAGCCTCCCAAGTAGCTGGGATTACAGGTGTCTGCCACCATGCCCAGCTAATTTTTGTATTTTTAGTGGAGTCAAGGTTCCACTATATTGGCCAGGCTAGTCTCGAACTCCTGACCTCAAGTGATCCACCCTCCTTGGCCTACCAAAGTGCTGGGTATCATGTTATTTTTAAACCATAGCATTGTCACACATTCCTTTTTTATTATATCTGCTCGATTCAGTCTGACAAAGACTACTATTAGGTATCCACCCAATATCCATTCTTTTCTTATTCCTTGCTAAACAAAAACACCTATGTTATTGGGGCTGGGAGTGTGCTCAGTTAATATAAATTTTTTTCAGATTAACTTGCATCTAGACAAGTTCTTTTCTTCTTACTTTACAACTTTAAGTTCATGGGTACATGTGCGGGATGTGCAGGTTTGTTACATAGGTAAATTGTGCCATGGTGGTTTGCTGCATAGATCATCCCATTACCCAGGTATTAAGCCCAGCATCCATTGGCTATTCTCTTGATCCTCTCCCTCCTCTCACCCTCCTACCCTCTGAAAGGCCCCAGTGTGTATTGTTTCCCCACTCCCAATGTGTCCATGCGTTCTGATCATCACTTATAAGTGAGAACATGTGGTATTTGGTTTTCTGTTCCTACATTAATTTGCTAAGGATAGTGGCCTCCAGCCCTATCTATGTTCCCACAAAAGACAGGATCTCATTCTTTATTTATGGCTGCATAATTCCATGGTGTATATGTACCACATTTTCTTTACCAAATCTGTCATTGATAGGCATTTAGATGTCTTTGCTATTGTGAACAGTGCTGCAATGAACATACACGTGCATGTGTCTTTATGACAGAATGATTTATATTCCTTTGGGTATATACCCAGTAATGGGACTTCTGGGTTAAATGATATTTCTGCCTCTAGGTCTTTAAGGAATTGCCACACTGTCTTCCACAATAGTTGAACTAATTTACACTTTCACCAACAGAGTAAAAGCATTCGTTTTTCTCCATAAGCAGCATCTGTTGTTTTTTGACTTCTTAATCACAGCCATTCTGACTGGTGTGAGATGGTATCTCATTGTGGTTTTGATTTGGGTTTCTCTAAAGATCAGTGATTTTTTTTTTCATATGTTTGTTGGCCACATGAATGTCTTCTTTTGAGAAGTGTCTGTTCATGTATTTTGCCCACTTTTTAATGGGGTTGTATTTTTCTTGTAAATTTATTTAAGTTCCTTATAAATGCTGTATATTAGACCTTTGTCAGCTGGATAGATTGCAACAATTTTCTGCCATTCTGTAGGCTGTTTACTCTGTTAATATTTTCTTTTCCTGTGCAGAAGCTCTTTAGTTTAATTAGATCCCATTTGTCAATTTTTGCTTTTTTTTGCAATTGCTTTTGTCATTTTTGTCATGAAATCTTTGCCTGTGCCTATGTCCTGAATGGTATTGCCCAGATTTTCTTCCAGGATTTTTAGAGTTTTGGTTTTTATATTGAATTCTTTAATCTACCTTGAGTTTATTTTTGTATATGGTGTAAGGAAGGGGTCCAGTTTCAGTTTTCTGCATATGGCTAGCCCGTTGTCCCAGCACCATTTATTGAATAGGGAATGATTTCCCCATTGCTTGTTTTTATCAGGTTTGTCAAAGAACAGATGGTTGTGGGTATGCAGTCTTGTTTCTGGGTTCTCTATTCTTTTTCTCTGGTCTATGTGTTTGTTCTTGTACCAGTAACATGCTGTTTTGGTTACTGTATTCCTGTAGCATGTAGTTTGAAGTTGGGTAGCATGATGCCTCTAGCTTTGTTCTTTTTGCTTAGCATTTCTTTTAACTTTAAATATTTTTCAGGAGTTGATCAGCATCACTCTGTTTTGATGCAACCCCTTGTTAAAATATTGGGCAGAACACAGCCAAAGGAAGAATGCTGTGGCATATCAATGCTTTGGAGTAGGTTTATTCAATCAATCTTCTATCTATATAATTTCACTGAACTATTTACCAAGATTTTCCACAACACTTAGATTGCTAGTAGCCCTGTAATTCCAAATATATTATTTCCATGGTTTTTATTTTTCCCTTTTTTTTGAATCTGGAAATGTCTTTCATTATTGTAAAGAATAATTTTCCTGCTGCTAACACTGAGGCAGACTGAAACATACATAGAAGTTTAAATCATTGCTTATGTTATTCTTTGAATTATATACGTTCTCACTGAACTTAAGTGTGTGTGTGTTCTCAAAGATGATATTTCTGAAGTGCCTACAAATGTGAACCAAACTTCACTAAACCATGCTATGTGACTTCTGTGGCCACTATTAAAAAGCCACAGTCATTAATATCAGTATAAATGGTAAATATATATACTGATATATAACTACTATAAATAATTGCCTCCAATTATTAGTCATAATTGCAATATTGGTATCTACATTCACATTGTTTATAATCAATGAAATAAAATTGCGTTCAGGATAGTGAAATTGTGTCATAAAGGGCTGTTTGGTTTTTTGGGGTTTTTTTGTTTTTAGCTGAAAGCAGGATTATATTTTAACTCAGTAATCCCATTTTTGGAAATTAGCAATCTCTCCATCCTGGTACAACTCTGCTCACTCCAGTACTCACAGTGAGATCTCGGAAGCTAGGATGGTTCTAAGATCCCTGAAGGTAGAATTTTAAAATTCCAAAATGATGAAGTTGCTGCTGTACACTGCTACAGTTGCTTCCTAATGTTTGGCTCCTTAAGTAGGAAATACAGTTCACCGCTAAGCCAAAGCGGTTCCTAAATAGACTAATTCATTCACAATAATGGAAGCTTAGGTTCATTACATGAAGGATTAGTTACAAAATGGCAATGCTACACTCATCAGGTTTTTCTCAAGATCTATAAAGAAAGCAATGAACAAATGATTAACTGTAACTTATAACTCTTTTAATGTGCATATTCCAAGTTCATAATAGGAGGCATTATATGTTAATCATATACAGTAGTTTCAATGAAAATCCCTTAAAACTATTCTCAAGGGATATAATGCAGTCAGGTAAGTTTAAACCTATAAAAGGACCACTGCCATTGACTTCTACAAAATTTGAGTGTCAAACTTACTGCTATCAAAGATATGTAATGCCACAGAATACAAAAGCCAACGAGAGAATAACTCAATATATAACCCAATAATAATGCATGTAAGCACGTGAGCAATAGAGGAAAAGGAAGGGAAAAATAGGCTACTCGTTGGAAACATATATAGTATCTAGGTTCAGATAGGTCTGTTTTTCTCAAACTATAAGATACTGAGTAGTCTAAGAAGAAAAATTACCAACAACATTGTTTCTTATAAAATATATTTAATATATTTAAACACACATCTATAATTGTTATTATGCAAGAATCCACATTGAAATAATTGCAAAACAAGTGATTGGGTGTATCATGAATGCATGAAGTAGAATTAAATGTCAAAGCTTCATATAAATATTAATTTTAATGTCAATGCTAAGTATCTATTAGTAGTATTTACCAACTAATTTTACTGGTATACACTGCCTCTTAATCATCACTGCTCCATGTTATGCAACTTGTCATCATTTCATCCATTTTTGTCTTTTTTATGTACTTAATAAAAATAAAATGACTTAATCTATTTAATTTGTATTATTGTTTTGGTCCTGTAATTAAGTTAGAATATGAATGAATTTTTTAATCATTTCTTGAAGCAATTAATTGTTGCAGACCATTTTTTTGTATTCTTTAATCAAAGTGCATATTATATCCATGAACTATCGTATATGTTCTACCAATATATAATTATTTAAAAAGTATTCCATGGTCAAATAAATTTGGGAAATGTGTATTTCAAAAAATTTTCTAGTAATTTCTATAATTACATGGTATATTTCAGAATGGTGATGGAATAATTGAATTATAGAATTTGCAAGCTAGGTGGAACTCGGGTATAGTCTCCTCACTTAAGGGTAAAAGTGAAGCCAGGAGAAATGAGATGACTAGGACTCAGTTTTCTGGTTTCTAATTCTGTGCTCTTCTACCTGGCTCTTTATATCCTGATATCACAAACATTTAAAAGAAAGAAAGAGAGAGAAAAGGAGGAAGGAATAAAAGGAGAAAAAAAAAAAAAGAAAGAAATTGTATCCACCAAGAATAAAAATGTTGCCCAGTAGTACTGTTGTGGAATTGAAAGATTAGATGAAATGTGTTTGCTACTCAGCCAAAGTATTTAACGCATCATGAAATTCCATAAATAATCAGTTATACAGAAGAGACATTAAGGACTATGAAATGTACCCTAGAGGTAAACTGTAGAACCTAACAAAGAATGGATAATGGGTCCTCAGCACAGATTAGTGACCCAGCTTAAGCAAAAGCAAATTAAGGCTGAATTTCGAGAATAGTTTAAAAATTAATTAACTCTCACACTTAGGAGATTGTTTGAATGTATAAAACTCACTCATGTGGGCTTAGGCCTTTATTAAACCTTTATTAAAAGGTTATAGGACTATTTTATAGACGCCAAAGCTAGGAAGGCAACTAAGCCCCTTGCGGGATTAGAACCCATCTAGAAAGCTACCAAGAATGAAGACAATTATAATTATCAGCTCTTTTTTCGTGGAGTTCATAGATTCTCATCGTGTGTCTCTTTGGATATCAGTTTCATACTCTTTTTTATAGGAAAATTGGCCCCCCTATTTCAAGCTCCAGTAAAGAGAGACTGGAATCAATGTGCCCCAAATCAAAATTCCTCAGAGACAACCTGTTCTTCCATCTTGGGGGTGGGTGACAGAAAGCAATGTAGTGGCAGGACCTTCTGCCCCTTCCACAGCAATTACGAAAGTAGGCTGTCTTGAATGACGTCATCAGGGGATTCTCTAAGAGTGTAACAGGATGCAGAGAGCAAGCTTTGGCAAAGACACCTGTGGCTTCTTTAAAACTGAGTATCTCTTGGAAAGAAGGAAACTTCCAGCAACAGAACAAGTAAGAAAACATGGAAAATATACTGAGGCAGAGAGTAGAAGGGAGAAATCCACACTTGGCTCTTGAAGGATTATAGACTTGTTCCAATCCTTAGGTTGCAGCCACAGCAAGCTTTGCTTTAGGACTCTTCGGTGAGCCCAGGGTAAGTACATATGGGCTAATAACAAGAGCTTGCTTACCCCCTTTACTCTCTGGACGTGCTTCACCTGATCCTGGTCACCCTTTTCAGAATTCCTGCTCAGCAACTTACTGCTAAGTCTACTTCTTGCCTTCCTGTGGACCTAGGACATTGATATTATCTGCAATAACTGCCATTTAAATAGACATAATCTTGGAGATAATCTAACCAATCCTGATAAGCTGAAACAATATATGTTTTCACATGGGAGAGGCCTTGGTTTGAATCCTTAACTGATGCTTAGAAGACATCTAACCAAAATAAATTTACTTAACCTGACTCTTGATTTCTCATCAAGATAATGATTTGCTCAATGAGTTTTTAACCTAAAAATATAGGATAATTTAAGTAATAATAATAACTCAAAACAACAACTAGATTTCTGGTCTATATCTCCTCTCCTAAACCCTGATCATCATTTGTACAGCAAGTCATGAATTTTGGGTCCTTTCACTTAAAACATGTACCTTTACATTGAGTACCTACACATGCAAAGCATTAGCCTAGAAACTGCATGGAAAACAAAAATTTACCAATCACAGGATCCTGCCCAAAAGGAAATTACAAAGTTATAATGGACAATACATAGAAGGAAGGATGGAAGGAAGGACGGATGGGAGGGAGAGAGGGAGGGAGGGAGGGAAGAAGGAAGGAAAGAAGGAAGGAAAGGAGAGAGAAGAAAGAAAGATTTGAAAATTGTCTACTGCGCACTATGCTTTGTACACACATAATCATACTCTTCACAAGCAGTCTTTTAGGTAGGTATTATTGTTCTCATTTTATGAATAAAAGAACAGAGGCTCAGAAAGATTAAGTGACTCTGGGGAAATATTTTTAAAATGGTTCAGATAATGTGCTGCGATGTGATTACAGTAGAAAAAACATTACTTTTAACTCTGTAGTTCAGGGCTTTGTGAAGCAGATGAAATCTGAGCCCTCTATACTGGGTGGGATTTAGGCATTGGCAGAAACACCAGCATGAGCCAGGGTTCTGACAGCAGAAAGAACATAGCCATGTCCAGGACTACCAAACAGTTAGATCATTTCATAGTATTATACACAAAGGGGAGAAGTCTTGGGAATAAGGTTGGGGCCAGATGACGGAGAACCTGAATGCCCAGCTAATGTTTTGTAAAATTACTGTGGGTAGCAGAGAACCACTGAAGATGAGTGAAAAACATGATGCCATCAGATCTTTGGCCAGAGGCAATGTCTGAGAAAAAATTTGCATGGGGAGCATATGACAATTACCAAGGCAGGAGGTAACAGGGAGTTTGATTTAGGATTGTGGCCACAAAAATGGACAAATGATGAAGGTGTGAAAGAAAATTTGCAGAGGTAGAATCAACAGATCTTGATAGTCTTTAAATATATTTTTAAATTTTAACTACTTTTATTTTGAATTATTATAGTTACATGACATTAGATTAGACAGTCAAGAGAAGAAAAAGTCAAAGATGTCCTGGATTTGGGCAATAAGACACCCTCACGGTAGCTGGGAGTGAATAAGGAACCAGACCCTTTTCTCTTCTACTCTATGGGCTTTCTGTTTAACAGGAAGCTAATTTTGTTACTTTTTATGTGAACAAATAATGAAGCATATTGTTTTCATAAACCTTTGTAAAATCTGCTGCATTCTCTGACATGTTTGCAAATAATGCCACATTCTCCAGACAGTTTATGTGCAACATGCTTCACATTACTAACAGAGAAACATCACTAAAATAATATTCTATAACAAAATTTTGAAGGTCATTCCTTAAAATATGATTTTTAAAATGGAAATACATTGTTGAGAAATGTTAATAATTTGAGACTTACACATTAGACACACATATATTTTTACTCACTACCAATCTGGATTTTATTATTCATCTTCAAGACATTTGGAACAGTGGCTGTCAACTCCAGCGGCACATTAGAATCACCTGCAGAGCTTTAAAGAACGCCATTGCCTGAGTCCTAACCTGAGTTCTGGTATAAATGACCTAGGAGCAGCTTGGGAATTGTGTGTGTGTGTGTGTGTGTGTGTGTGTGTGTGTGTGTGTGTGTGTATGTGTGTGTGTTTTGGGGAGGGGGCGGTTAAGCTCGCTAGATGATTTTAATGCGAAACCATGGTTGAGAAACACCCAGCAATAAGAAAATTTATTGATTATGTTAGAGATAATTCACTAGTTTATCTTACCATCAAAAAGACTATTTGCTACATTTATATAAATTAGACACATAAGATCCCAAACTAGTCTTGCCCTAATATTAAATATGATAAAAGTTATATCAAGAAGGAGAGCTTGGTGGGCTCAGTGGTCAGAATAGAGGGAATAAATGAACAACAAGATGTGAAGCAGGCTGACTTCTGAAACACTTTGCTTATTCTTTTCGCTTGATTCAGCAGCAACTTCTGGACTATTACAGCAGTGAAAGCTCTCCTTTGCTCCTCCCTAGTCACTCTGCAAACACTCATTTGCTGGCTGGCTGACCCTATCATGTACATCCCAAGTTCCTCCACTCATCCTCCCAGCGGCAGCGGTGACCTCCAGGTGCAAAGGCCAAGATAAGGCTTTTGGTCACATTGGAACTCATAGAAACTGGGAGGGGAGAGCTAGCTGTCTGGCTCTGTTTCTCCATGTTTGCAGGAATGCTGAATGATCTGCTCATTCCCAGATCTCTTCTCTTTCCTGTCATACAATGAGTAAGGTGCTGATTAGCTAGCTCCATGGCTTAAGGCACTGTCAACAGAAATCCCATATTAAATGTGCCTGTTGCCTAGGCAGAGTGAAGCATTTCTTTCTATTGCTCATCATCGATAAAGAGAAAACTGCTACGCTTTCTGTAGCAGGCAGGACTGTGAGGGAATTGGACAAGGTAGCAGCCATGGGGAATATTTAGAGTGCACAGCAGTAAGATGATCTCTAGCTTTTCTGCATTGCTCACTGCTATTCCATTAAAAAGATTTTTTTCCAGCCTGGCTCTGGTCTTCATTCATTTTATTACTTTTCCATGGAGTCCTCCTCAATGTTCCAAGTAGAATTCTATCTATTTCTCAAAGCTTAGTTAAAATACTGTTTTACTTATCTGACCATACCAACTTAAATAATCTTTCTCTCCTCTCTCAGCTTTGGAATTAGATATTTTTGCACTTGTCATTCTTCTTCACTATACTTAAGCATCCCAAGACAGAATTTTGCCTTTGTCCAATGTATATACAACATGGCACCAATTGCCATCCAGTGCACATAACAGGTATTCAACAAATCTGATAAATGAATTAACTAATATAGATCACTCTAAATCTCATCAAATAATTCATGAACAACTGGAATTATTTCAGTATTGAAATAACTAGTAAGTTTGGACATGAGAGAGGTGAAAGGCTCAAGAGCCTCCCCTGGAATGGATATCTAAAGAGGTATTTAATTATTTGACATAAATAATGGACTTGTATCTGAAACAAATATGAATATTCTCACCTAACTTTATCTTATGGGATTGCAGTTGTTTTTTTCCAACTCTTTAATAGTAGCATATGTTCTTTTCTGAAACACTATTTAAATAAGCTTGATTTATGCAAGTCCCAGAAGTCACTCCTTGTAATTGTACCACTGAAATCACTATAATTCTTGGTTTAAAGAAGTTAATATATTTTCTGCCAGAGTGACAAGAGGGTCATCACTTATCTCTGAGCCCTCCATGTGGCACACTCAAGAATGACTTCTCCATCTCCAAGGACTGACAAGCTGTATGTTTATTTATGAGACCTTAATCCAAACTATCCTTGTTTCCTGATTGCTGGGGGAGCTATGAGGAAGAGATTTTAATTACCAAAGTCCTCAACAGTTCTAAGTTACTTAAGAGTCATCTTAACATTGCTTTCATTGCAACCCATGGGGTTTTAGCCTATTTAAAATTGCTTTGCTTTTACTTCACAAACCTTGTTTGACCCAAATCAACCTTGTTTCAGTTGATAAGTTTCACAAAATTTGAAGAAGTATTTGGAAACTTTTTTCATTTCCACACATCCTTTGAGGTTTTCCTACCCTACAAAGTACCTAGCAGAGAGCCTTTCAGATATCCAGTACTCAGGATACTTGGAGAAATAACAAATGAATGAGGGAATGGTCTTTACATTTTGCCAGTAGAAGTAATTGAGATCTGAATTTGAGATATGTTGGTATTTAGTTTCAAAAATGGAAACATGATGGAATTTTTGGCTGAAAAACTTCCTTTGAAATCTATCTAAACATCTTATAAATAAGATATGCCCTTGCCTTTGTTCATAGGTATCTTGTGATACATATGTCCAAATCTTTCAACTAGGTTATAAATTACTGAGGAGTCTGGGTGTGGTGGCGCACGCCTGTAATCTCAGCACTTTGGGAAGCTGAGGCAGGCGGGTCACCTGAGCTCAGTAGTTCAAGCCCACCCTGTGCAACACGGTGAAACCCCGTCTCCACTAAAATACAAAAAATTAGCCAGGTGTGGTGGCGTGCGCCTATAGTCCCAGCTGCTCAGGAGGCTGAGACATGAGAATCGCTTGAGCCTGAGAGGCGGAGGTTGCAGTGAGCCAAGCTCGCGCCACTGCACTCCAGCCTGGGCAACAAAGTGAGACTCCATCTCAAAAACAAAACAAACAAACAAAAATTACAGAGGAATTATGTTTATTGCTCAGCACAGAACCTAGCACCTGGTAGTAGATGTTCTATAAATGTGCATGGTTGATCTATTTCTACATCGTGCAATATTTCACCTTCAGACTTGTGTCTCCACCATCATATAGTCTCCTTCCAGATAGAACCTGCTGGATTGGAATTTAGTGTCCAAGATCAGACCAAGCTATTTACGCAAACATAATATCAAGACCAGCTCATTGGAAAATTGCAAAACAGCAAAGAATGTCCTCATTGACCCTTTTCCTCACAATTTTCTTCTTCTCCATCAGGTAATCATTGATCCCTTCTTGCTTTCATAAAGGATCTGATCTACTCAATACAAAGGTGTATTAAGAAACAAAAGCAAATGTACATAAATGGGAATGCATCGAACTAAAAGCTTACATCTGCACCACAAGAAAATAACCAACAGTATGAAGAAACAGCCTATACAATAACAAAAAATATTTGCATCCGATATGAATATTCGCACCTGATATGAAGTTAATATTCAAAATACAGAACTCAATAGCAAGAAAATAAATAACTCATTTTTTAAAAAGGTAAAGGATCGGAATAGACATTTCTTAAAAGACATACAAATGGCCAACAGATATATGAAAAAGTGGTCAACATCACTAATCATAGGAAAATGCAAATCAAAACCACAATATCACCTCATACCTGTTGAATGGCTATTATGAAGAAGAAAAAAAGATAATAAATATTGGGGAGGATATGGAGAAGAGGGAACCCTTGTACCCTGTTGGTGGGAGTGTAAATTAATACAAGCACCATTCAAATGAGCCACCATTTTAGCAAGTCACTACTGCAGCAAAACTAACAGCTGTAAAGTCTATCGGAGGACTATGAGCAGCCCTATAGGAAAAAAAAGAAAGCTACACTGGTACTTCCCCATTGATCACAGGCAAAGCGTGAACTCTCTGTTGAATTGATTTTGCTTAGAAGAAATACAAGAAAGGTTTCCCAGAACACCTTTGAAAGTTGGTGCCTTATAAATGGAAACAAAGAAATCACTTAAAAGAAAACTTGTTTGTTTCAACAGACAGGTCGTTAGGCTGCTTCTTGCTGTGTAGATCACAATGGTGACCAAGTGCTGGCGGTGAATGGGCCACGCTGCATTCATTATTTACCAACAAGATTAAAGGAATAGTGACTATGACATTATTATTTCAAACTCTAATTTTCTAGGATTAACAGGGAAGGTCAGCATTAAAAACACTTTATTTTCTTACATTCACTTTTCTTTTAATCATGACCAGTCAAGATAATGTGAATGAGATATCTATTTCTGTGTAATGAATTATCCCCAAATGTAGCATCTTAAAGCAACAAATATCTCTTACCTCACACAGTTTCTAAGGATCAAGAATTCAGGAGAGCTTAGGGTCTCTCAAGAGATTGCAGTCAAGCCGCCAGCTGAGGCTGCTGCTACTGCAAGTCTCAACTGGAGCTAGAGAAGCACTTCTCGAGTCACTCACATGGTTGTTGACTTGTCTCAGTTCCTTGCTGACTGTTGGCTGGAGGCCTCCATATTTTACCATGTGGCCTTCTTCCATAGGCTGCTTGAGTGTCTTTGTGAGTTGACAGCTAGCTGCCTCCAGAGTGAGTGATTGGAGAAAGAGAAACTGTAACCAAGACAGAAGCCACAGTTTTTATAACCTAACCTCCAAAGTGGCACATCATAACTCCTCCTGAATTTTCTTGGCCACAGAGATCAACCCTGATACAATTTGAAAGGAGATGACCCAAAAATCTGAATACCAGAAAGTGCAGATCACTGGAGGCCATCTTGGAAGCTGGTTACCACAGAATATTTCTTTAGATGCCAATTCTCTATGATGTATCTAAAGAATCTGATGTTCCAAGGATAGTTTATTACCCCCACCAAGCAGTAGTTCCTAACTTTTTTGGGGGTGGGGCAGGGGAGTAACATAGGTTCCTTTTAAGTCTCTAATGAAAGCTCTGAATATACTTCCCAAGAGAATGTACAGTTGACCCTCTATATTAGTAGGTTCTTCATCCACAATTTAACCAACTGGGGATTAAAAATATTCCACAAAAGTAACAATACAACCACAAAAATAATAATAAAAATCATTGTTTATAACAACTATTTACATAGAATTTACATATTATTAGTTATTAGCAGTATTCTAGAGATAAAGTGTATGGAAGAATATAGGTTAAATATTAACACTATACCATTTTATGTAAGGAACTTAAGCATCCACTGGGTTTTGTATCTGCAGTCTTGGTATTTGGCTCTGGAATCAATCCCCTACAGATTCCAAGGGATGACTGTACAAATGAGTCATTATAATTTTGTACATAATTTCCAAGAGTCCAAGGAGTCCCTAAAGATTTTCTAATAACTTCAGGTTCAGAAACACTGTCGTTAATAGTTAACCTTCATCTTGCAATCCCTAAGCACAAGGACATAGCTGCCATTGGGAACTTATAGTAGGACATACATTTAGATAATGAAAGATAGACTTATTTAATGAAAAAGGCATAGTTGGCATTTTTATTTAACCAGAAATTCAAAGAGTTTTGAATAGAACATGGCCATTTTCTAAGCCAGACTTGCAAAAAATTCCTGTATGGGAAACTCAAATGCTTATTTATATGTTGCCGTCTTTGAAAGATAAAGAATTCCTGGGGTGCTGATTTTTTCAGGGCAAAGTAAAGGGAGATGGAGGAATTCTGCTATGGAGAACTCCTATGAACAAAAATGTAGTGTTTCACCATAAGTGTTTGATAATATATGAGAGATATCTATGTTTAAGAAACTGTGGTCAATAAAATTGAGCCTAATTTGATATTTTTGTAAGACCTCTTCCCATTCTTTCTTTTTCAGGTTTTCATTTTGAAATCCAGACGTTAAACCACTGTCTTAGTCCACTTTCTGTTGCTATAACAGAATACTATAGGTTGAGTAACTTACAAAGAAAAGAAGTTTATTTAGCTTATGGTTCTGGAGGCTGTGAAGGCCAAGAGCATGGTATCAGCACCTGACAAAGGCACGGCAGAAAGCATCATACGGTGAGAGCACATGAAATAGAGAGAGCTTGCTTTTATGCCAAAGCCACTCTTGCAATAGCTAACCCACTCTCATGATAACAGCATTAATCTATTCATGATGGAAGAACTCTTATGACCTAATTACCTCTTAAAAGTTCCACTCTATCAGCACTGCTACATTGGGGATTAAGTTTCTAATACAGGAATTTTGGGAGATACACTCAAACCATAGCAAACATAGACACTCTGCTCCAGCCTACTAGCTACTTTTACTGAGTTATTATCTTTCTTTTCCACTAAAGGTAATTTTTAACCAAGTTCCCCAAACATGACCTTCCTCTTCCAACTGGCCATTTAGAATTTCAGTAGATCCTATGTTCTGGTATCATTTAATGAAAGACTTTGGACACAGAGTGAAAGTTTATGATACTCTAGGACTATGTTCCCTTCCTATGCATTCTCATAGCATCCTATATGTGTGTACATATATGTATATATAATTATATATACTAGTACTATATATATACAGATATATAGTATATGTAGATATAGTACTACATATATGTGTATATATGTAGATATAATTATATAACAAGTACATATTATATATACTAGTATATAATTTATATATAATCCTATATATACATATGTTATATATAGTATATATACTAGTATATATAATATATACATATATGTAATACATATGTGTATATAATTATATATATTAGTGTATATATACATACATATAGTATATATAATTCTATATACTAGTATATATGACTAGTATATAGAATTATATATACTAGTACTAGGATAGTACTATACAAATTAGACAATTTGTACAAAATGGACTATATAATATTCTAAATTAGTAATTATTATTCCATAGTTCTATATGGAAGGAAATACAACCATGAATCTTACAGGGCTGAAGTAAAATAGTAAGAGATCATGGACTGAGTTGGGAAGACTGGCTTTGATAGTTCTTAGCTGGGCAAACTAGGCTCAGTCTCTGGTCTGTTACCTCATCAGTTACCCCATACAAAATGGCATAATACATTATATGACCACTTTATAGAATTTTGGGGGGTCCAATGGGACAATTAATGTGGAAAATATCTTGTAAACCATGAAATACTAGACTTTTTATGTATTATCATTATTATTAAATGCACTGTTTAGTTGACAGAGCTGCTATGCAACAAGATAAATAGGTAATTTTTGTGTTTAAAAAGTGTCTCTCAGAGAGAAATCTATGCTCACTGGTCTGATGGTGTCAGAAAAAAAAAATACTTTCGCATGGTAAATAGCCATTTCTGTTCTGAAGGCTAAATTCTGTGTCCTCTGTCATTATAAAACCAGTTATTGATCTTGACAAGTACAGAAAGTACTTTGCAGAAAATAGATATGACAAGGTCCCTAAGTACTAGGTTTGCATCTAAACAGAGATAGAAGACTTGGCCTCAATAATAAAGCTCACCCACTTCCCTGAAAGTATGGCCTAACCCCGAAGGTTTGGAAATCTGTGAATACAGAATAAAAGGTAACTAGGCAAACTCATGAGTTTGTCTCTACACATGTCAGTAAAAACGTGGGTATACTCATGCATCACAGCCCCTTATCATAAATGGAAATTTGGAAATGGCTCATATAGACACTTTGTGGGATGTAGTAGCATTGACAAAAATAGAACCTATGTTTCTAGCCTTAAAACAATAAAAAGTAACTAATCTTTTACACAAGAGTCAACTTTCAGCAAGCCACAAGCTGAATTATGGGATAACACACTGATTATTTGATAAGTGTGCTGTTTTTATTCCCTCTAATCAAGTACAAAGATCTTGTTCAAATTCCCATCTCAATGTGATAAGTGTACTCAGCAAATAATTAAACATAGAGTAAACAAAAAACTTCATAAATCTCTTTTAGAAGCAACTTTACATTTTGTTCCCAAAATGATCTGCCTGCCTCAGTCTTCCAAAGTGCTGGGATTACAGGTGTGAGCCACCACACTTGGCTACCATTTGAATTTTCATAAGGATTGTATTGAATCTTTGGGTAGTATGGACATTTTAACAGTATTAAGTCTTCCCATCCATAAACACAAAACGTCTTTCAATTTATTTGCATCTTCTTTAATTTCTTTCATTAACGTTGTATAGTTTTCAGTCTTTCACCTTCTTGGTTATGTTTATTCCTAAATATTATATTTTTTGATGTTATTGTAGATAAATTTTTTTCTTAATTTCCTTTTCAGATAGTTCATTGTTAGTGTACAGATACAAAAGTGAGTTTAACATGTTGATTTCATATTCTGCAAGTTTACTGAATTTGCTTGTTTCAACAGATTTTTGTAGAAAGAGGGTTTTCTACATATAAGATCATGTAATCTGCCAAGAGAAATAGTTTTACTTCTTTCTTTCTGATTTGGATGCCTTTGCTTCTTTTTCTTGCCTAATTCCTTTGATTAGGACTTCCATTACTGTGTTGAACAAAAATGGCAAAAATGGATGTCCTTGCCTTGATTAAGACCTTATAGAAAAAGCTTTCAGCTTTTCATCACTGAGTATTCAGTTAGCTGTAGACTTGTCAAAAATATGGCCTCTATTATATGTAGGTAAATTCTTTCTATACCTAATGTATTTTAGAGTTTTTGTCATGAAAAGGTGTTGAATTTTTTCAAAAACTTTTATTAAGATGCATCTATTAAGATGATCATGTTATTTTTAATCCTACCATTAATGTGATGTAGTACATTAATTGATTTGAGCATGCTGAACCATCTTTGCATTCCAGGGATAAATCTCACTTGATCATAGTATATCATCCTTTTAGTATTTTTAGTACGCTGTTGAATTCAGTTTTCTAGTGTTTTGTTGAGGAGTTTTGCATCTATATTTATCAGAAATATTTATCAGTAATTTTCTTTCTTTGAGTGTCTTTTTCTGGCTTTAGAATCAAGGTAACATTGGCCTTAAAATGAATTTGGAAGTGTTCCCTCTTCTTCATTTTTTGGGAAGAGTTTAAGAAGGATTGGTGTTAATTCTTCTTTAAATGTTTGGTAGAATTTACCAATGAGGGGGCCAGGTGTGGTGGCTCATGCCTGTAATCCCAGTACTTTGGGAGGCTGAAGCGGGCAGATCACGAGGTCAGGAGATCGAGACCATCCTGCCTAACATGGTGAAACCCCATCTCTACTAAAAATACAAAAAATTAGCCTGGCGTGGTGGCAGGCGCCTGTAGTCCCAGCTACTCTGGAGACTGAGGCAGGAGAATAGTGTGAACCCAGGAGGCAGAGCTTGCAGTGAGCCGAGATTGCACCACTGCACTCCAGCCTGGGTGACAGAGCAAGACTCTGTCTCAAAAAAAAAAAAAAAAAGAAAAAATTTTTACCAATGAGGCCACCTGATTCTGGGTTTTCTTTGTTGGGAGGTTTTTTATTACTGATTTCAATCTCATTTGTTATTGGTCTATTAAGGTTTTCTATTTCTTCCTGATTCAATCTTTGGAGGTTGTGTGTTTCTAGGAATTTATTTCTTCTGGGTTATCCAATTTGTTGGTGTATAATTATTTATAGTAGTCCCTTATGATCCATTTGATTTCTGTAGCATCAATTGTACCATCTCTTTCATTTGTGATTTTATTTATTTGAGTTTTCTCTCTTTTTTCTTAGTCTTGACAATAATTTCTTGGATATGACATCAAAAGCACAAACAACAAAAGTGAAACTAGACAAGTGGGACTACATCAAACTAAAATGCAACCAGGAAGCGAAGGAAACAACACAGTGAAAAGGCAACCCATGGAATAGGAGAAAGTATTTGCAAACCATACATCTGATAAGAGTTTGGTATCCAAAATATATTTGGAACCCAAACAACTCAGTATCAAGAAAACACATAACCCTATTAAAATATTGACAAAGGATTTGAATAGACATTTCTCAAAAGAAGACATGCAAATGGCTAACATGTAGATAAAAAATGTTCAACATCACTAATCATCAGGGAAATGCAAATCAAAACCACAATATCACCTCACATCTATTAGAATAGCTGTTATCAAAAAGACAAAAGAAAAGAAGTGTTAGTAAGGATGTAAAGGAAAGAGAACACTTGTACACTGTTGGTGGAAATGTAAATTAGGACAGTCATTATGGAAAACTGTATGAAGCTTCCTCAAAAAATTAAAAATAGAACTACCATATGATCTGGAATTTCTACTTCGGGGCATATATCCAAAGGAAATAAAATCTGTATGTTGAAGAGATATTTGCATTCCATGTTCTTTGAAGCATTATTCGCAATAGCCAAGATATAGTATCAAACTACATGTTCATTGATAGGTGAATGGATAAAGAAAATGTAGTGGTTGTGTGTATACTATTCAGCCTTTAAAAAGAAGTTAATCCTGCCATATGCAACAACACGTTTGAACCTAGAGGACATTATGCTAAGTGAAATAAGCTAGTTACAGGGAAAAAAACATGGCATGATTCCACTTGATAAGAAATTAAAATAGTTAAACTCAGAGAAACAGAGTAAAACAGTGGTTGCCAGGGTCTGAGGAGGGGGAAATGAGGGATTGCTGTTAGATAAGTATGAAGTTTCAGTTATGTAAGACGAATAAGTCCTAGAGATTGTCAATACAATATTGTGCCTGTACTTTACAATACTGTATTGTCTACTTAAATTATTTTAAGATTGTAGATCTCAATTTAAATGTTCTTACCATAATAAAAAAACAAGCAAAAGCATTACAGCAGGTCAAAAATAACACTAAGATTTGTTTCAATAATAAATTCTGGTAAAATGTATTTGGCATTTTAATAAGTGAAACAGTGCTTTTTTTCAAAAAGACTTACTGCTTCCCATGGCATCATGAGATCATATCAGGAGATATTCTGGGGTTGCATTTATATGTATCACATGGTAAGCTCAATACCAGGATTTGGTAAGTTAATTGAAAAGAATGAAAAAATTCTATTAACTTCTTTTTTTTTTTGAGACAGAGTCTCAGTCTCTTGCCCAGGCTGGAGTGCAGTGGCACCATCTTGGCTCACTGAGAACTCTGTCTCCCAGGTTCAAGCAATTCTCCTGCCTCAGCCTCCTGAGTAGCTGGGATTACAGGTGTCTGCCACCACACCTGGCTAATTTTGTATTTTTAGTAGAGACGGGGTTGCACCATCTTGGCCAGGCTGGTCTGGAACTCCTGACCTTATGATCCATCCGCCTCAGCCCCCCAAAGTGCTGGGATTACAGGCATAAGCCACTGCACCCGGCCCTATTAACTTCTTATTGAAGAATAATATGTATACAAAAATTGCACGTAAGTGTAAACATCAATACATTTTTATAAAGAGTACACCACATAAGCAGCACCCTGATCAAAAAGCAGCATATTATCAGCACCCAGAAGTCCCCTATGTGCCCTCTTCTAGGCAGTAGCTCTCCTACTCCATAAGGGTAACAACTATCCTGATTTCTAAAACCAAAACAATACTTTTGCCTGTTTTTGCACTTTGTTTAAATGGAATCATATAGTATGCATTCTTTTGTGCCTGGCAACCTTATGTTGAGAGATTAATTAATCTTTTAAAATGTAGTTGCAACTACATGCTATCCATTCATTCTCACAGCTGATTAGTATTAGAGTTGTATTCTTAGGTTCTTGTGAATATATTACAATTTATTAGTTGGTTCTTTCTTTGATGGGCATTGGGTACTTTCCAGCTTTTGTCTGTTAATACTGGTGTTACCATGAAACACTCTTGTATAGTCTTTTATGAAAAGTTGCATGCAATTCTGTTTGAGATACATCTAGGACTAGAATTACTGGGTCATAGGTTATGCATTTGTTCAGCTTTAGTAGATACTGCCAAAGAGTTTTTCAAGCCAATTACCAATACACACTATCACAGGAAGTGATTGAGGGTTCTGGTTGCTCCACATTCTTGCCAACACTAGGCATTGTCTATCTTTTTTTATTGTAGCAATTTTTGTGGTGTGTACTTGTATTGAATTATGGGTTTGGTTTTCCTCAATGATTAGATTGAGCCCCTTTTTATATGCTTATTGACTATTTGGATTTCTTCTTTGGTGAAGGGCTTCTTGTTTAAGTCTTTTGCTCATTTTCCTAATGGGATGTGTGTCTCATTCTTATTGATTTGTACTAGTTCTTTATATATTCTGCATTCAAGTCTGGAGTTTTTGTATTCTTCAATCATTCATATGAGATGATATGGCTCCATTACATGAATGTATTAACAACAAAATTTAAGTATTTGAAATTCACTTGACAGATATTTATCAAGCATCTACTATATATGCTAGACACTGTGTGCTAGGCTTTGTGGAAATGACTTATAAACCTTGACTTAATAAATAAATAAATTATACGATGCTAGTTTATAACTGCAGAGGTTCAGGTAGAATAAATTTTCATGTTTCCTCTATCTCAACACCCAAGCTCATATAATTTCAGAGGCCTTCGACTTCTAAAGGTCTAAAAAACAGTCCAAGAATTAAGGTGTGTTCTTGAACCTATTACAATAGTTCACATAGCTTTTCATTAAATGAATCAAATTAATGGAAAGCCTTGTTATTAGAGGCTGTGCTTTGGCTTGCTGCCCTAGTATTCTGGATGTTTCACAGTCTCTTAACAAGGACATACATAATGAAAGAATGAGGAACTTGTGTGCTCAAGCTGCTCAATTTAGGTACCAGGGTTGCAGGGCCAAAGCCAGAAGTGGAAATGTGTCTAACAATCCAAGAATCAAGGGTACAGTCCTCAGAGTTACTAGGGTAAGAGGCCAGGAAGAACTTTCTGTCTGGAACCTGGGCTAGCCACAGGATAAAACCACAGTAATTGTTGCTACTACCACTTTCTGGGGGCCCTGCTGCCTTCTAAGCCCAGGTAGCTCGGGCCTCGCTACTGTTTGTTTATCGTGTTTGAATATCCTTTATTAGTCTGTGCCCAAGCTCACTCAGTGCCCATTTTTCACTAGTCCTAAAGGAGGAGAATGTATATCTGGTTATTAAATCCAAGTAACTCATGTCTTTTTTTGACTGGAATCCAAGATTGAAAACACATTTGAGAGCTTCCCCTAGAGTGAGCTTTCCTCCAGAAGTCCCAGTTACTTGCTTATATTAAACTTTACTCATAAATTCTTCAGTTACATGTATATTCCTAGATAATAAAAACAATACTAGACTATATTCATTTCTTCATATAAAGCCATAGTCTATTGTATAAAACATAATCACTTCTGGATTATCACTAGTATAATACAAAATCAGTTAAAATATTTAAAACTTTTTTTCATTATAAAAGTTTCATTCTGGAACACTTGAAAAATAAAAGTATAGAGAAGTATAAAACAAAATCACCCATAATCTTACCTGCCCTAGTTTCTGTTAATATTTTGGCACAATTTCTACCATTTTTTCTATGTATGCTTTTAAGATGTCATTTATTCCAATGTTTATGCTGTTTTTCAAATTAAATTTATTTCATTAGCATTTTTTTCATATTAAAAAAGCTCTTAGTAAACCTAACTCATGATGCTTATATAATATACCATGAAAGAGAGTTGTCATAATTCATTTAACTGTGCCCCTACCTTTGGAACTTAGAATTTTTTGAACTTCTTTCACTACAATAAATACTGTTGAAGCAAAGACTTTTGTGCAGCAAAAGATATTTTTTAATTATGGATTGCTTTCCTGAATATATTAATAGAATTAAAATATAGTATAGAAACATTTTTAAAGACACCATATTCACAAAGTACTTTCCAGCAAAGTGTTTTTCAATTTTGTAAGAATGTTTGTTTTGCTTCACCTTCATGAGCATTGGGTATATATCTTTTTGAATATGTTTAAATCATTGTTGGTAGATGAAAATACTAATTGCTTTTACCTATTTTTACTTCTGTTGGTTTTTAGCAAAGCAGAATATTTTAAATTACCTATTGGCCACATGAATTTTCTTATTTTACTTATACATTCATTCATTCAAATATTTATTGAACATCTACTAAGTACCATGCAGTGTTCTAGGTACAAGAAAATTATCAGTGAACAGAGCAGAGAAATTCCCTGTACCTATGAAGCTAGAGAGGGAAGACAGTCTACAAACAAACTACTGTGAAATGTGTCAGGTGGTAAGTTCTACAAAGAGAAAATAAAGCAGGTGAAGATTTAGAGAATGAGGAGGGTGCTATTTCAGACAGGCATTAAGGAAGACCTCTCCCTAATGAAATATCACTTAAGGAGAAATATTTGTAAATATTCTGTTCATTTCCTCAACCAATTCATTTAAAGGAATCTGTTCTCTTAAATTGTGATCCAAAAAAGATAGCCAACATTAACAGTATTTGGATCTAACGAAAACTAACTTCTTAAACTTCCTAGATTTCATGGTCTTTCTTCTCAGATAGTGCAATGATTTCAACTAATGGTGGTACGAACCTACATCACTGCTCCCAACTCAGTTAGCTTTTCCCAATAAATAATAATGTGATATTATTTAAATACAAACAGAAAATGAACCATTCTTTTCTTTTCTTTTTTCTTTTTTCTTTTCCTTTCCCTTTCTTTCCCTTCCTTCCTTCCTTCCTTCCTTCCTTCCTTCCCTCTCTTTCTCACCCTCTTCGTCTCTTTCTTTCTTTCCTCTAGCATTGAGGGTATGCTTGTGATAGAATATCCTATATCCTATTTCCCATGGAAAAAAATGGTGCTAATTGATAGTACTAAATTCATAAGGTTATTGTGAGGATTGCATGAGTTAATTGCATGCTTAGCTTGGTACCTAATACATATTAAGTACAGTCATGTGTCACTTAATAATTAAAATATGTTCTAAGATATCCATCATAAGTGATTACGTTGTTGTGTCAACATCACAGAGTATACCTACACAAACCTAGATGGTATAGCCTAACACACACACACCTAGACTATATTGTATAGCCTGTTTCTCCTAGGCTATAAACCTGTATGCCATGTTACTGTACTGAATACTGCAGGCAAGCATAACACAATGGTAAGTATTTGTGTATCTAAACATATAAAAAATAGGAAAGATACAGTAAAAATGTGGTAAAAGATAAAAATATACCTGTAGAAAACACCTACCGTGAATGGAGGCTACAAGATTGGAAGTTGCTCTGGGTGAGTCAATGAGTGAGTGGTGAGTATGCCTGGGACATTGCTGTCTACTAATGTAGACTTTATAAACACTGTACTCTTAAGCTATGCTAAATTTATTTATTTTTTATTTATTTTTTTGAGACAAAGTCTCGCCCTGTCGCCCAGGCTGGAGTGCAGTGGCGCAATCTCGGCTCACTGCAAGCTCCGCCTCCTGGGTTCACGCCATTCTCCTGCCTCAGCCTTCAGAGCAGCTGGGACCACAGGCCCCCGCCACCACTCCTGGCTAATTTTTTTAAATATATATTTTTAGTAGAGACGGGGTTTCACCGTGCTAGCCAGAATGGTCTGGATCTCCTGACCTCGTGATCCGCCCGCCTCGGCCTCCCAAAGTGCTGGGATTACAGGCGTGAGCCACCGCGCCAGGCCAAGCTGTGCTAAATTTATTTTTTACATTTTCTTTCTTCAATAATAACCTTAGTTTATTGTAACATGTTTATTTTATAAACGTTTTAATTTCTTTAAGCTTTTTGACTTTTTGTAATAATGCTCAGCTTAAAACACCAACATATTTTACAACTGTAGAAGAATATTTTCTTTCTTTATATCCTTATTCTGTAAGTTTTTTCTAGCTTTTTAAAATTAACTTTTTAAACTTTTTTGTTAAAAACTAAGACAGAAACCCATACATTAGCCTAGGCCTACACAGGATAAGGATCATCAACATCACTGTCTTCTACCTCCACATCTTGTCCCACTGGAAGGTCTTTAGGGGCAATAACACACATGGAGCTGTCATCTTCTATGATAGCAATGCCTTCTTCTGGAACACCTCCTCAAGAAACTCATTCCTGAAGTTGTTTTATGGTTAACTTTTTTTTTTGTAAGTAGGAGTACACACTAAAACAATGATTAAAAAGTATAGTATAGTAAATACATAAATCAGGGACGTAATCTATTATATTAAGTACTTAACAGTAACACTTATTATCAGTAATTCTTGTCATCAAGTATTATGTACTGTACATAACTGTATGTACTATCCTTTTATATCACCGGCCATGCAGTGAGTTTGTTTGCACCTGCATCACCATAAACATATGAGTAATATGTTATGCTACAACTTTATGATGGCTGTGATATCAGTAGAGCTGACAATAGGAATTTTTCAGCTCTATTATAATCTTATGAAACTACCATGGTAGGCCATCCATCACTGACCAAAATGTTACATGGTGAATGACTGTACTAAATAAATATTTCAATATTTTAATTATTAACATAATCATCACCATATAATATTCAGCTGAGCAAAGCTGCCCAAATTTGATTCTCACCTTCCTCTTGCATTGACTTCTTAGAAATCAAGGAATGAGATGTCAGGAGAATTTGTTCATGATGTTGGCTGCCATTTAAAATTATAGCTGCATATAAATCCTGTCTACTTCCAAATTTCTTTGTGTGAATGAGCGTCATTTGAAAAGTTAAAAGATTTACAGTTGATCCTTAAACAACATGGGCTTGAACTGCACAGGCCAACTTACATGCAGATTTTCTTCTGCCTCTGCCACCCCTGAGACAGCAAGATCAACCTGACCTCTTCTTTCTCCTCCTCAGCCTACTCAACATGAAGATGAAGAGGATGAAGGCCTTTATGATGATCCATTTCCACTTAATGAATGGTAAATATCTATTTTCACTTTCTTATGATTTTCTTAATAACATTTTCTTTTCTCTAGCTTACTTTATTGTAAGAATACGGTATATAATACAAAAACATAAAAATTATGTGTTAATTGACTTTGGTGAACAGTAGGCTATTAGTAGTTAACTTTTGGGAGAAGTCAAACATTACACACAGATTTTCAGCTGCACAGGGGTTGGTACCACTAACTCCCGTGATTTTCATGGGTCAATTCTATATTGAATTTAGTCTTTTCCCTATTTTGTAGTCCTCTGAAAAGCCATGCAAACTTGCTGGGAATCCAGAATTAATCAAATATAGAGCTCTGTGGATTGCAGGAACTTTTAACTATCTCACACAAAAACACTAACAAAATTTTTTTTAAAAGAGAAAAAAAAATAACTGGACCAGAGTGTGAAAAACACATATCATTTATTATTCAAGTATTTATTCAGTTGCTTTCTTTATTAGTCCTTCCTTTCTAATCTATCAAATCTCATTGGTTTGTCTCACAGAAAATCCCTTTGATATGAAATGTAAATTTCCAAATCTGCTGTTTCCTCAGTACTTTGACTATCATGGTTCTATGGACTCTTACTTTTAAGAATATACAACAGAAGTAACCAGAAATACTTCTTCTCTCACCTTTTCCCTAGTATTCCTGTCTTCCTCTCCACATCTCTTACTTTTTGTCCTAAATGTGGAAATTGACAAATGAAAATTTAAAGTCACTACCTTATAAAAGACTGATTTGAAGTTTTTCCATGTCATTTTTTTAATTCTAGGAAAACATCTTAAATTTATAAGTCAATAAAAACACTTCAAAACAGAGACCAGGTAACATTAGCCATCAAAATTCATCATGATGTGCTGGGCACAAAAGATTTTCTTAATGAATTATCGATTAAGATGTCAGATAAATTAATTGACATAGAATTTTCTAAAAGAAAGTAGAAGGAGAAGGAAATAGTTAAGTACCCCAGATGCTAAAGGAAATCAATAGACACTGAGAGAAGGGCCGCAATAACTCTCATGGCTCCTTTCCACTTTCTAGTGTTCCATAAACCTGGTATTTTGTTGTCTCTACCTCATACTATTTAATTGTTCTTCTGAAAAAGTAGACTGCATAAGTTGACTTCAGATCCATTTTGGCTTTTGAGTTCCAAATGGGAATTTACATTAATAATACAATCTGCAATATTACATTACATTAACTTTATCACCCATGTCCCCCTTCTTCCTCACCATCCAGAATTAATAAAGAAACTAATAATCTGGCCACTGAGAGTTTAGACTATATAAAAGGAAGTCTATTTTACCACTTACTTTCAGATGTTGTTGAGTATGAAACAACATACTCAAGCAAAACAACATTTCACTTGAAAACGGTCTTCCTACTCTTCAACTGCCCCACCTAATGGCAAGAGGTATGAATAACAGTGATATTCTGGATCCCCTAGTTGAAGAAACCCAACAGTAATTTTTCAGATCTGTGCAAACTTGTAGCCCTATGATTGAAACATGCATATTTTCCCCTCACCTTCACAGTACTGCACTACACTCATTTACAGTGCCTGAATTCATGCCACTTGCAAGCTTTTTAATATGTTTCTAATAATAACATTTTGTCGTTACAGATGAATTGTGGTAAAGTTTACTGAGATAACAAAGGCTTCGCACATTCTCATTCTATTTAGCATTAGAGAGGATCACAGAAATCATTCACTTACCACTATCCCTATTTTACAAAGGAGAAAACTGAGATGCAATGAGGTAAAATTATTTTTCTAGAAATCACATACATCTTTAGTGGCAGAACCCTGGTCTTCAAGAAAGATGCTTATTCATCAGACTGCTGCGTCCACCACCAAAAGCATCAACCTACCACCATTTTCTGATAACTAAATTCTTCCAATCTTTACTCTTAACAAGAGGAAAGTGATATTATGCCCTTTAATAAGCTCGAGGGAAAACAGTGGGGGTGGGGGCCTCTTTAAAAGTTAGAACTTGAATTAGAAAACACAAATTAGAATATATACCCAACAAAATTAAGTACATTATTGTAAAAGAGACGTTAGCAAAATAGATTTATCCAGCATGCCCCATATATGGAAGATTAGCATAGTGGGTAAAATTGTTAATGCTTTCCAGAGCCCAGGGTTTGGTATCCATAACTGAAATTAACCATGTTTCTTGGCAATGTTGTCCCTATTCTTCCATGTCAACTAAGAGTTGGCCTCTTTAAGTCTCCGCAGCTGAGACAAATTACATTGTATCTCTAAGGACCTATTTAAAACCTTTTGTTGGGTTTTGTTTGCTTTGAGCCATTTGCTTTGTTGTTACATCATTTGAGTTGTTTGGAGGTTTTGTGTATTTCTTTTATTCTTGGTAGTAATATTTGATCTACAAAATCCAAACTTACCTCCCAATTCTAAAAGGCAGCATTAGTCAGTGTGGCCTTCAGACCATCTACATCAGAATGACCTGGGGAGCTTGTTTAACTGTGGCAATTCCTGGAGCCCTTCCCAGAGATACTGAATCAAAAATCTCTTGGGATAAACTTCAAGAACATGTATTTTAAGCAATCATTCCTGATTATGTTAATGCATATTAAATTATGAGACTCGCTGCCAGGAAGAAAAAAAAAAGATGCTACCCAACCACAAATGGCAAAGGAAGAAATTAATTTTCCCTTATCCCAGAAAGCCCAACACTTGGCACCCCTTCTACCTGGTACCACAGACTTAGTTTGTAGAACTCCTTAAATTAATGAGAGGTTTCATTAGCAGAATTTAAAATGGTTCATTCCTAGTCCCTGTCCTGAGAACAAATTACACAGAACCACAAACAGATGGTTTTCAGTTATCTGTTTTTTAAACAATCTAAGTTAATTGAAAAGCACAATGTGATATTATCAAATAACAGCTGTACCAAAACCCTACCAAACTAAAACTCAAGGTCATTTTGAGGGAAAGAAAAAGAGGTATATGGGCTTATGCATCTCTTTTTAATTGAAAGCCTGGGCTAACTCCTGAGCTAGCTATGTTGTTTCATAAACTGCGTTGGTCAGTCACTACAACACATAAGCGTGTTTCCTCTTTCCCTTTCCCATTGTTATTCTCTCTCCACTTTTTCCATTTCTATCCCTATTTTCTTGCCTATTTATTACTCTATATTTTCATCTCTTGAGAAAGTTATTGAGTCCATTTCTACATATTTTTTTCACTGGGTAGGTTTAGCTACACACCATTTAGCTAAACACAAGTTTAGCTCACTTCCTCTGAGCAACTTGGTTTCCAGAGCAGCTGTTTCCAGCAGTCTTTCCTCTTTATAATAGGAAATGTGGTTTTACATTTACCCAAATGCAGAGGCACATGTGTGTCTGATCCTACAGACAGCAAAGGTAGTCTGACAAATAACTGGCTGATTCCAAATTATACAATATATGTTCTCTTCCGATGATTATCATACTTGTGCTCATCACTTCAGGGATGCACAAGGCTCAGTTGTAGCACTGCTCTGGAAACTAGTTAACCATATTGAGACTTCTTTATGGGGTGTGCCCTTAACTAGCACTGCCAAGTCTGTAAACTTATTTCCTCCAACCTTTCATTCAAGGAGGCACTATTTCTCACCATTCCCAACCTCCCCTACCACGCCAAGCCTTGAGTTAAACAAGAAAGGGGCAAGATTTGGAAAGAAAATATTGGCTTTGAATACAAATGAAAAGAAGAAGCCTGGCCCACTAGCCCCAGGACATCCCCATTGACTTTCTGGAAATCTGTACACACCACAAATGAGATGATGATATTGGAGAGGAGAGCATTCTAGCAGAAACCATCTGGTAAATGCTGATCTATCTGTCTAGGAATGAATGTATCATTTAAATATGTTAACCTCAAAATGCCACAGAGCTGTCTTTAATACCACTTAGCCTCTTAATAGCTATTTATTCTTCATTTTGTTCTATTAACCCTCTCTTTTATAACACTTTGTTTTTAAGGAAAATAATTTAATAAAAATAAATTCTTCTCAAACTCTCAATATGATGACAAATCAAGCAATAGATTGGGATATTAATGATAAAATTATTACTAAATTATCAATAATAATTCTAAATATCAGGTAAAGAGGAAAACCAAGGACACAGAGTAAAGAAATCCTTTATTTACAACTAACGGGAAAACTATTCAAAGGCACTGGTCAACAAATAAACCTGGATTAAAAATAGAAATTTTCCAGAAGTCTAAGTGGAATACTCCTTATGTTGCAAAAACCCAAAACCTAGTGAAATCTGAAAGTTAATTATTTTCCTTTTCTCCTTCCATTCTATTTAAGCAATCAAAAACTCATACTTCTAGAAAAAAAGATGGATTTTTTCAATAAATGGTGCAGAAACAAGAGGATACCAGTTTAGAAAAATATATGCGGCTGAATATCTGTGTCACTACTTATAAGCAAATATGTTGATTACTGAGTAAACATACTAAATGTTAAAAAATGAAAACTTGCTCACAGAATGATATAGCCAACATGGAACTGGCAGTCAAGGAAAATGTGATGGAAATTTTGGCTCTATTAATTATTCTGGGATTCCTAAATCATTGCAGGAGGACATGAGCTGGTTTTGTTTTGTTTCTTAATTGACATTCTGTCAATTAAGTATGCATTTATCAAATACAAAATGATGTTTTGAAGTATTCTACATTGTGGAATAGTTAAATCTAGCTAATTAACATATGCATCAACTTACATAGTTATCGCTTTGTGGGAGAGCATTTAATACCCGCTTTCCTAGCATTTCTCAATAATACAATATATTGCCATTAACTGTAGTCACCATGCTCAGAAATAAATCTCTTGAATTTATTCCTCCTATCTAAAATTTTGTATCCTTTGACCATTTGTCCAAGCCCCCTCCCCCAACCTGTCTAGCCTCTCTACCATTTACTTCTTTATTTCTATGAGATCAATGATTTTAGATTCTATATGAGTGTGGTCATACAGTGTTTCTCTTTTTGTGCCTGGCTTATTTAACCTAACATGAGGTTCTCCAGGTTCATCCATGTTGTTGCATGGATGATTGAGGTGATTCCATATCTTGGCTATCATAAAAATAGTGCTGCAATAAACATGGACTGCCCTTTCACCATTGTGTGTTCTTGGCACTTTTGACAAAACTCAGTTGGCTACAAATGTGTGAATTTATTTCCAGGCTCTGTATTCTGTTCCATTGGTCTATCTGTTTGTTTGTTTTTATGCTGATATCACGCTGCTTAGGCTAATTTAGCTTTGTAGAGTATTTTGAAGTCAGGTAGTGTGATGCCTCCAGCTTTGTGCTTTCTGCTCAATAATACTTTGGCTATTCAGGTTTTTTATAATTCTAATATTAATTTTAAAATTTCTTTACTTCTATGCAGGATGTCATTAATATTTTGGTAGGGATTGCACTGAAACTGTAGATCATTTGGGGTATTATGGAAATTTTAACAGTATTGATTATTTGAATCCATGAACATGAAATATCTTTCTATTTATTTGTGTGTTCAATTTTATATCTGTATAACATTATTATATATAAATATGTTTTTATATTATAGATAATTATATATAATATAATAACATTTAACCTTTGATCTATGTGTGTACTTACAGGTGAAGTGGGTCCCTTGAGGGCAGAATATGATTGGGTCTTTTTTTTAAATCTATTTTTCTGTCTTTTGATTGCAGAATTTAATCCATTTACATTCAGGGCTTATTTATGGGTAAGAACTTACTACTGCTATTTTGTTCACTGTTTTCTAGTTGTTTTGTAGAGTCTTTGTTTATTTCTCTCTTACTGCCCTTCTTTGTGGTTAAGTGATTTTCTCTAGTAGTGTATTCTGATTCCTTGCATTTTGTGTTGTGTGTACCAATAATAGGGTCTTCCTTTGTAGTTACCATGAGGCTTATAAAAAACACTTTATAAAATTTATTTATTTATTTATTTGAGACTGAGTCTTGCTCTGTCGCCCAGGCTGGAGTGCAGTGGCACGATCTCAGCTCCCTGCAAGCTCCACCTTCTGGGTTCACGCCATTCTCCTGCCTCAGCCTTCTGAGTAGCTGGGACTACAGGCGCCCGCCACCACGCCTGTCTAATTTTTTGTATTCTTAGTAGAGACGAGGTTTCCATAATTTTAACAAGTTATTTTTCCATTGTAGTTATCATGAGGCTTATAAAAGACACTTTTACTTTTAACAGGTTATTTTAAGCTGATAACAACTTAACATGGATTGCAAAATAAAAATTAAAAAACTCTAAACTTTTACCTCATTCTCCCAAACACATTTTGAATTTTGGTGTCACAATTTACATCTTATTATACTGCATGTCCTGTAACAAATTATTGTAGTTATTATTTTTACTAATTTAGTCTTTTAACCTTTCTTCTAAAGATATAAGTGATTTAAACACCACCATTACAATATTAGAGTATTCTAAATTTGACTATGTACTTTTACCAATGAGTTTTATATTTATAGATGTTTTGTGTTACTAGCATTAACACATGTTTTTGTATTATTAGCATTCTTTTATTCCAGCTTGAAGAACTCCATTAAGCATTTTTTTTAACACAGGTCTGGCAATGATAAACTTCTTCAGCTTTTGATTTTCTGGGAAAGTATTTATTTCTAAAAGATGGCTTTTCTGTGTATAGCATTCTTGGCTGGCATTTTTTTTTTCCTTCAGCACTTTTAATATATCACCAAGTCCCTCCTGATCTGTAAGGTTTCTGCTGAGAAGTTTGCTGATAGACATATTAAAATGCCCTTATGTGTTGTATGCTTATTTTCTCTTGTTGCTTTCAGGACCCTCTCTTTGTCTTTGATTTTTGAGAATTTTATCGTAATATGTATTGAATAGTCTTATTTTAACTGAATCTGATTGGAAATCTTTGACCTTCCTGACCTGAATACTTATTTCTTTCTCCAGATTTGGAAAGTTTTCTGATTTTATTTCTTCAAACAAACTTTCTACTCCTTTGTTTTTTTCTTCTTCTTGACACCAATGACTCAAACATTTGTTTTTTGATGCTGTCACATAAATCTCATATGCTTTCTTCCTTCCTTTCATTCTTTCCTCTCCTTGAACTGTGTATTTTCTTTTTTTTTTTTTTTTTTTTTGAGACGGAGTCTCGCTGTCGCCCAGGCTGGAGTGCAGTGGAGCAATCTCGGCTCACTGCAGGCTCCGCCCCCTGGGGTTCACGCCATTCTCCTGCCTCAGCCTCCCGAGTAGCTGGGACTACAGGCGCCCGCCACCTCGCCCGGCTAATTTTTTGTATTTTTAGTAGAGACGGGGTTTCACCGTGTTAGCCAGGATGGTCTCGATCTCCTGACCTCGTGATCCGCCCGCCTCGGCCTGAACTGTGTATTTTCAAATAACCCTGTGTTTAAGTTTACAGATTCTTTTTCTGCTTGATCAAGTCTGCTGTTGATGCTATTTCATTTTCATTTTGTTCATTGTATATTTTAGCTCTAGGATTTCTGTTTAATTTTAAAAATTGTTATTTCAATTTTTCTGTTTCTCATTGTGGGTCACTTAATGTTCTCCTTTTTTAAAAGAAATTGTTTATCTGTCTTTTCTCAACATTCACTGAGCTTTCTCAAACAGTTATTTTGAATTCTCTGTCAGGAAGTTCATGCATCTCCATCTCTTTAAGGTCAATCACTGGTGCTTTATTCTGTCCATTTGGTGTCATCATGTTTCCCTGATTATATCTGATGTTTGAGGACATGTATCAATATCTGCACATCTAAAGAAGTAAATACTTATTCCAGTCTTTACAGAATGGATTTGTCTAGGAATGGTCTTCAACAATAAATCTATCCAGAGATTCTGGGCAGACCTACTGGCATGATCCCCCTGTCCAAGACTACTGTGGCCATTGCAGCATTAAGGGGTACTCTTAGCCTGGGATTGCTACCTGTGCAATCAGGTACAAAGCCCTGAGATATAGATATTTTCTACTTTAGGTTGCAAACCACTCTGGCTATAACAAGATTTATTAATATTGATAAGTAAAGTGTGGACATAGTGAAAGAACAGCTAAAACCCAAAAGAGCTAATCAAGACTTATCAAAGTTAAAAGTAACATCTTTTGAAGAAGAATGTTTTCCTGGATAGGGGTTCAGAGCAGATTTTCCACTTGGCATAGTAATTTCAGGAGGAAGACTTTTAATGCCTCAGTTTTTCCAATTCCATAATCCCTGTTTTCTAATTCCTCACTGGAAATAAGTTATTGGCTATTTTCTAACTAACCATTCCACTGTAGGCTCCCCTCTCCCTCACAAGACATTATGAATCTCTCCATGCTGCCCCTTCTTCTGTGAACCCTCTTCTGAGTAGGTAGGCCGCATAGCCACATATATGTATATAGTTGTCCCTTGGTATCCGTGGGAGATTGGTTTCACAACTTCCAGTGAATACCACGGATGCTCATGTCCCTGATACAAAATGGCATAGTATTTGCATGTAACCTACGCACATCCTCTTGTGTACTTTAAACCACCTCAAGATTACTTACATTATCTAATACAATGTAAATACTATGTAAATAGTTACACTGTATTTTTTTAGGAAATAATGACAAGGAAAGTCTCTACATGCTTACTACAGATGATTAAAAAAGTATTTTAGATTTGCAATTGACTGAAACCACAGATGCAGAAATCATGAATATGAGGGCTGATTGTGTATGTCTAGGTATGTGTTAGTACATATTTATTCATATGGCTGTACCTCATGCAACATAATGATTGAAAATAAGAAAAAAGAACAAAAGAATGCAGTTGTTTCTCAGTATACCACTAGAGCTCTTGTTGTTGTACTTGTTATTACTACTTTTTTCATTTTGTTTATTGTATTTTTTAACTCTAGGATTTTGCCTTCTTTTCCTCTTCTATAAGATAACCTACCAGAATACGGATAAGACAGCTTGCCATGGAGAATTATTAATCTCCAAGAACTATTTCAAATAGCTATCCCTGAAGCATCTAGGACATTTGAAAGGAAGTTTGTTTGTCAAGGTTAGGGGAAAAGAGAAAAACCATAAGAATGTTCAAAAACATGGGCAAAATTATCCATAATCTTGCAGTAGAAAAGCCTCACTAAGCAAAACACAAAAATAAGGAAACATTAAAGAAAAAGATCAACTACATTTTTTACAACACAAAAGATGTACCTCCACTGTTTATTATTGTTTAAACTTTCATATATTTATATACTGTTTAGGAGTTTTCAAAATATCTTAAATGAATTTGCTCAGATTTTTTTCAACTGAAATATTTAATTCATCCTAATCTAACCTCTTCCCTCACAAAGAGCACAACAATTTTTTTGCTGGAGTTGGTTTCTAAATCTATCTATGAGATAGAATTCATTCCTACTGTAGAATGGACAAAGAGAAAAGCTGAATAAAGGCAAGAGATGAAGAAATAACGCACTATTTCTAACCCCATTTTTAATTCATTTATTAATCCACAATCAATTAATAATAATATAAAGTTTTCATTAAGTCCCCATTAGTTAAGACGTATTCATGTTGAGTGAGATATAAGCATGCAAGCATTCCAAGTCTAAATAAACTATTTTGGAATCCCACTTTTCCCTCTGTTCCCTTTATTACTGCAGAGACAGAGTCTTAAAAAATTGAGAGAATGCAATAACAATAATTTTTTAAATCCATTAATTTCCATTCTTCTTGATTTTAGCATAATTTTATATCATTTTACTTTTTGTGGACCTGCAAATTATATTTAGTTTGCATTATCGACATGAAAAGCCTAAGAAACTCAATTTCACAACAGTTCCCAGAAAATGGCTCAGTTTTTACTCTGTACTCTGCATTTTTCTTTCTTTTTTGATGCCATTTTTACCTCATAAATTATACTGACCATGACCTTTTTAGAGTCTAATTTGGATTAAGTATTATAATTATTTTAATTTCAGAAGAAAGAAAATTTACATAGCATTAAGGAATAGCCAACCTAGAATATTATGCCACCATATGGCATATGGATGGATAAAATGGTACTGTGTTAGACACTTTAACGTGCTTTGTCTCACTTAGTTTTCATAACAATCCTATGATGTAGTCATTATCACCTATATTACTTGGGATGAGTCAAATAAGGCTCAGCTTGGTAAAGTAATGGCTAGCAACTGATAGGCTAGCCTTTCACTATAGATCTACATAATTCCAAGGATACAGAGTAAAAGGGAACAAACTAAAAAAGAAGGAAAAGAGTGAACAGATCTCAGGTAAGGATTTGAAAATCTTCCATTTAAATGCCTCTCCATTACCTGATAAAAGTGTTTTCTTGTCTACAGATAATAATAATAATAACACAGCCTAATGTACAAGGTTGTTATGAGTTGCAAATAAGGTAATGTTTTTTAAGAGGACTTTGTAAACTGAAAAGCATCATACAAATGTTTTATATAGTATTATCATAATGAGGCCTCTGTACACAAAATAAAGAGCACTTGATTAGAGCATTAAAGTGATCCAGAAAAATCATGAAGAGAAACACGATAATGACATAGATGATATGTAATGACATAATAGATGAAACAACAGAAGAGAACATCTTATTAAATTACAATAAACTCTTCAGACAATTCTGAGAATACATATATCTCTGACTCTTTAATTTCTAGTATTGATAATGGAAATGATGAAACTTCCAATAGTTTACTTTTAAAGAGGAGAAAAAGCTGGGAAAGCTTAAGTGAAAATGGTAAACCATAAAATCTGTCAGATGAAAAGCATAATAATCTAACCATTGAAATATTTTCAAGTTTGGGATCAAAATATGTATCTGGCAGCACAGGGTTATGATTGTTGAAATAAAGAAACTATCTTCTAGATACTTCAAAATCACCTTACTTTCAGAAGTTAAAATATAGTGGAATTTTTATCAAATAATACTCCATGTACCAAAGATGGAATGACTACATTGTCATTTGTTGATGTGCACATCAGCCAGATAGCTAGTTAAGCAAAAATAGTATACACAAATCGAACTTTGTGGCTCCTTTGTAAATGCAAGGCAATAAACCATATGAGAGAATTTCAATTGTTTTTGGAGACAGAGAGAAATAAAACATATTTCTAGGTAGATACAGTTGATTCCTAAAATTATACTGTTCTGAATATGTACGGGGAGAGATACTCTTTACAGAAAGGGACCATTGATGAAGGCTGTTGTGCGTTTTCAGAATTCATCTTAGTTCTACTGAAGTGCAAAGTAGAGACAAATTGAAAATTGGTCATAGAAACAATGAAAGCTCAATTTAAACAAAGTATAAAACTTAGAGAAATGCATGGATCTGAGGTAGAAGGAAGGGTTAACACATCCAAGGAGAGACAGAATAAAAGCTCTTACTATTCTGAAACTCACATAGGCTTTATAAATATTTTTTCCAGAAAGGATTAAAACCTATCCCACTGTGGATTTAAATCCAGTGAAATCTGAATGACCATCCTCTAATCAGAAATGAAGTATTTGGGAAGACATGTTCAAAAGGTCATAAGGCCTGTATGGCCACTTATCTTGGAGAAATTGCTATTTGCATAGGTGTCTTCTTACAAGCTATTTAAAGTTATAAAAAAGAAACTGAATAATGTATTCCATACTCATATCCAGACAAGAGGTCTAAAGTTCACTCTTGAGCCAAATATTTCCATATACTAACTTTAAGGTTTTAAAATGATTCGACTTTTCAATTTTATTATTAAAACCTACATAAAATTTTGAGACTTTTTCCTCATATTCTCTTATTTCAAATATGTATGTTTTAGGTATTTTAGACGTAAGTATTGGCTCCTTTGTGTACTTTAGTTTGTTTATCCAAAAAATAGGAATAATAATCGTATCATAGAAAAGTTACATAAAATATTAGTGTCATAGAATAGTTTTGAGAACTAAATGAGTGAATATATATATATTATATTATATATATAATATAATATATATATATACACACACATGTTGGCATTTGGTGAGGTCCTCAATAAATTTTGATCACAGAATATTGCATCAACCAAATTACTTTATAAGTTAATTTGAAATAGCATAACCTTATGCCAAGTACTTCAATACACACACACACACACACACACACACACACACACAAATATGCAAAATATTTGAACGTATTCAGACTTCTGTGGGCAATACAATAAACAAAACCATCTCCCCACATAACAATGGGACATTTAGAGCCCTTCCCAGTATTTCTGGGAAATACCTCCAAAGGGACAGGTGCTTCACCAACCCTAATTATTTGTCACAGCTTCCTCTGCACAGTTGTTCCAATTCCACAGCAATCATTGCTTTCACTCTGCCCCTGCTACCTTTCTTCCCTGTTTTGTCTCTAGGAGGAACACAGCCCTTCTCTTCCCAGCTTGAGGCAAAATTGTTACAATGCTGTTGTGATTACAGAAAGTTTAAAGAAAGGGTTGAGGGGAGAAAAGAAACAGACAAATCTTTAAAACTGGTTACTAGAACTCATTCATTCTAAAGAGGCTTTAACCAGGCCATCTTTGCTACAGGGACAATTGGTAGTCCCTCTTCCTAAGCCCTGTCTGCTGCCATGTGGCTCTATCCCTGCAGAACTTTCTTATATCTATTCACTTACCAGAGTCCTCCAAAGTACTGCCGCTCCCCAAACTTCATCTCTTGAGCAGTCAGGGGACAAGTTTAAAAATCCTAATACTTTATTATGCAAAAGAGTTTACCTTCCTTGTGATTTAACAAAGGCTAATAGGGATCCCCAACAAGCCTCCATTCATAATTAAAATGTCTTCCTAAACAAAAAATCCACTTTCTGTCATAGAGTGCAAAAGTATCTAGAGTTTACAATATAACATTGTTATCCAACTGTGAGGATAGCTATAAATATAGATAATTGACTATAAATATGTTACAGTTTCTCTCCAGTAGGCACATGGTGTAACAGGTACATTAGTACATAAGTGATGCCTACAGTTACATTTGTGTGGCTCCAAGGTTTAGTGTCCAAAGTAAGGAATTTGGAATCAGAAGAACTGAAGTATATCTAGGATTCACCATTACTAGTTGTGCATCTTGGCTAACTCACCTAATCTGTCTAAGGCTCATAAAATGAGGATAAATATAACTGCCTTTCCTACCTGTAAGTTTTTATAAAGGAAAAAAACAAGAAAATGTTGTAATAGTATATGGAAACTTAAAAGCATTTTGCAATTCTAAATTATTATTGTTATTCTTATTAGTCACATTAACACATATATTAGACTTTAATTCCATTCGAATCTGGTATAATAAATAATCTAACATTTCATCTAATCAGTCTTTGCTATAATTATTCCTCACAAATAATGAATTATGAATGATGGCTGTAACAGAAATTACACACACACACACACACAATCAGATCCACCTTAATATGAATTTAGTATTTAAAGGCTATCTTAAACTGTAATCAAAAGAAGTTGTGAAAAGACATAGATTCAAAACACTTAGTACACTATTAATAGGAAAAAATAGAGTTGCCACAGAAACAGCTAATGGAGCAACAGTCAGCAGCTTCCATATATAATTTTACTACTTATCACTACTGTGGTATATTTTAATGAGAACCATCTTGGGGAGAAAAAATAAGGTGATCCCCAGGGCATTGGTGGAAAGGGAAGTCAAGCTGAGATGAGGACTCAGAAATATGTGCCCACAAATACATGCAGTAACACTTGTTGCTTGTTTAGATGTTGGGAGGGATGATGAGTCTGGAGCTGAGGAAGGTTCCCAGGGCTCTGCCTTAGGCAACTGGATAGCTGAGGCAGTAAATATAATAGAAAATATTTAGGATATGTAGCAGTATGTTTAAAGATGAGGAAGAATAATGGATGCATCTAGTTTGGGAAATGTTGTGTAGATGTTATGAATGTCCAGCAAGCACTTGGTTAGAGTTCTGTGACTAAAAGTAGAAATGGGAACTAAATATGGAAATTGAGAGATAATCAAATAGAAGATAGTTAAGACATGAAAGGAGATATCTTATGATCTTTCAGGTGTCTTCATACCTTAAAATATTACATGGGCCAATGACTGAATCTTGGGGAACAGCATTGTTTAAGGAACATGCAGTCTCAGAAGGAAATAGCAATAACTACTAGAAAGAAAAATATAAATACTAGAATTGTCAAAAGAGATATACATGGACGGGAGTGACAGAAAGGACTGGATGGTCTAGTTCATAAACTAAGGTAAAAAGGAGAAATAGAAGAGAGATTAGCTAAATTGCAATTGAGCCTATAGAGGGAGGAGGCAATTGACTAACCCTCTGAGGCAATAGAGGTGTTGGTCTTGAATAGAAGAAACAGCTTTACCCTCTCAGATTTGAAAAAGGAAAGACAAAATAAAATGAGGATATAGGTGCATATTACTTTGGGGACATCAGACAGAATAGGAACCTAAAAAGTTCAGTCAGAAAAATTTAAATTCCTGTTTTAACTGTATTATTATTGGGCATAGAATTCTGGGTTACTGGGTTTTGTTTTTCTTTCAATACTTTAAAGATGTCATTCCTTTTTCTTCTTGCTCACAACATTTCTGAGGAGAAATTTGCTGTAATTCTTATCCTTACTTCTCTTTAGGTAATTTATCATTCCCTCCCTCTGGTTGCCTTTAAGGTTTTCTCTATGTTGTTGATTTTTAGCAATTTCAATATAACATGACTCTGCACGTGTGTGTTTATTTTGGTATATATCTTGCTTGATATACTTGGAGATTTTGAGTCTGTGATTTGGTGTCCATCATCAATTTTGGAAATTTTTTCAGCGATTTTTTTCTTCAAACATTTCTTCTGCCTCTTTTTCTCTTTCCTCTCCTTCTGTCATTTCAATTATGGATATGTCATGCCACTTAATATTGTACCAGAGTTCTTGGATGCTCTGTTATGTTCTTTCTTTCTCCCTTTTATTTCCACTCTTTTTTCTGTTTGGGTAATTTCTACTGACTTATTTTCAAGTCCAGTGATTATTTCCTTAGCTGTCTCACGTCTACTAACAAGCCCAAAGACATTTTTTAATCTCTTTGACTATGTTTTTAATTTCTAGCATTTCCATTTGATTTTTCTTAGTTTCCATATCTCCTCTGAAATTACCTATCTGATCTCACATGTGGTCAACCTTTTCCTTTAGAACCTTTAAAATATTAATCATAGTTACTTTAAATTCCTTGTGTGATAATTTTTATATGTGTCCCATATATCACATGTTTATGTGTATTATCTCTTCGGAGTGCTTTCTCTTGCCTTTTCATATGGTCATAATATTTTGCTGAAAGCCGGATATCTTGTGTAGGACAGTAGATACTGAGATAGATACTTTTGGATTCTTAAAGAGGAATAGATTGTGAAATGGCTTGCCAGTTGTTATTTTCTTAATATTTGCTCCCCCTTTAGCTTTGGGTCTTCCCTTAATGCTGGGCCCTAAAGAGAATGTGTCTCTTGAATTTCTTCCATATTCAACCATATTCCCATATTATTTTTACTCAACACTTGTTAGGCTGTTGGTAGCAGGCCAGGGAGGAAGGGCATTCCTTGATGTTCTGATTAAGACTCAGTCTTAGGTAGGTAATGTGTACCTCTGTATCAGCAATGTGGCCTTCACAAGTGCTCCTGCAACTTTCTCCAATTGTTGTGCAAATCCTAGCATATATTCCATACCCCACCCCTGGGGATAGAGCATTACTTTTTTCTCTTCCCCTCACCACGATCATTCTTCCTACTGCCACCATCACCAATGGGTTTCCTCCAGTTCCCTAAGACAATGATTTTTGCTATTCTCTTTGCCAATTAACTCTTTTGTTCCACTGGGAAATGGTTGTGGGTTTGAAGGTGGCTGCTGTTCTCCCCAGTCTTTCCTGTGAGTGCCTGGTGGGGTTTGTGGAGGAAAAGCCTGCTATAGGATGCACTCCCTATATCTGCCACCTCCAGTGTGTCACATTTTCATGCTAGCCCATACTCAGCCTTAGCAATTCATTAAAATGTTTAGCTGAATCATCTTGCTGGTTTACATGACATCTGGTGGTGTCTACCCAAGGAAAAACAAATGATGCCATCCTCTTTCTTCTTGCAGGTGCCTGTCTCTTTCCAGATTTGGAGTTGTTTGGTTGCCCTACGACCTAAATTTGCTGGTGCTTTTTTTTAAATTAATGAATAGGTAGTTTGTATAGATTTTTCCTTATGGTAAGAATGAGAACGACACTCTGAAGCTCTCTGCATCTCTGAGCTTAAATCAGAAGCTAGAGAGTTTACTCTGGAATTTCTTAATTTACCAAAATAAAGAACTTGAGATTATTTACTGTGAGTTATAGAAATGATAAGGGTTTGGTGAGGATGATGATTGTTTGGATTCATTGATTTTTCCATGTCTTTAAATATTTTTATTAGAATGGGGGTACTCTTGGCTGATAACTGATCCCAGTATTTTCTAAAGTCTTAAATGAAAACATCTGGGAGTGTGAGACACGAAATGTTATTTTAAAAGAAAAGGTGTTATTCCAGCTTTGAGGAAAGATTGCTCTTTTAGTTTGACAAAAGACTGGTTAAGGTCTGTGTCTGGAACATAGATGTTCCAGTCTAAATGCCTTTGCATAACGCTGTAAAAGGAGTTTTTTGTTGTGGGCAGAGTTGTATCTTTGTAAATTATTATGTTTACTTGAACTTGGAATAAGGCGTTTCTCCTGGCTTTCCTGGAGTAAAGGGCCTGGAAACCATGTAGGATATAAGAAGAAAGACATTTCACTGTGGGAAGATAAGCAAAGCAACAGGGGGTAGGTCAGTAACTAAGCAGAAAGGACTGGGTTTGTCCTGTAATGCCAGAAATGATTATTTTTTTATATTCAGTCCTATAGTTTTCTTTCTACACTATGATTTTTTCCCATTATGTCCAGGACTCAGTAAAGTTCGGTTGCATGTTACCGCCTGGAACTGGTTATAATTCAGGAAAGTGAGGAAGAAACAACACTGTCCACATTTGGCACAACAATTCAGAGGTCTCTGTTAATGGAAAAACAGACAGGCTTGGTGGGACAACAGGTGAAATGCAGGGGTCAAAATGGTAGTTTTCAGAAGAGAGCTGGTCGCTGGTCAAAGCTGCTGTCATTGGAATACAAAGCAAAAGGATTCAGATTTCTTCAAAGCACAACCATTCAAAATATTACAGCTCTTATCAGCAACATATATGGGTAAATTAAGAAAATTAATGTTTAAAGCAGCAAAAAATTTAAATAATTAATTCTCTGAGGTCCCAGTAAAATGAGGTTATTTTCAATTCCATCAATTCTTAGAGGCAATGAATGTCCGACAAACAGAGGCAGTGATTTTGCATACTTGGCAGAGATTCTTTGAACTCAATTTATTAATCAGGATCCTGTTTATACTTTGGGTGGAAAGGATAGTCATTTGTTAGGTTAAGAAGAACCTATTCTTTGACTGCAAAGTTCATAATGTGAAAAATTATTATTGAGCCTGTTCTAAGAAGTACACAATCTTGAAAATACATTGTCATAGCTTTGGAGTTGAAAGAAATCTTTTCGTTTATTTAATCTACTCCTCTCATGTTACACATGAGTGATATAGACACCGGTGAGGTCATTCACCCAAAGTCATGTAACGGTAAGAATTTGTAAAGCTAAGCCACAAGATAATTTAATGAATGACGTGTATTACTGTAATGAAAGTATACAACTTTAGTTTTAAATGAGCAGATGCCAATTAACATATATGTTCATCTTCCTCATGAATGTCTACATATGCACAAATTATATACACATTTATAAATATAATAGTGAGAAGTTAAAGATTATAAACTAAAATGTTTAAATGTTTTATAATTCAGAGTATGATACTAACAATACAAATTTAAAGAACCATAAATATTTCATCAGATTGTTAAAAGATCTTGAAATAAGACCATTTTATAATTTCCTCAAAAAATACTGTCCCAGTGCTAGAAAACCCTGTCAGAAAGTTTTAACTTACGTCTATTCTGAGTCACTTTTACCAACATCTAATTGCATTTTATGGTGGTTGTTTTCAATTCTCCCTTCCTGCATTAGGACATTTTCAGCATTGTTTCAGGAAATCAAAACATGTAAATGCTTTCCAAATAGACAACAATACTACCCACTCAAGGATATGGTCTTCTTTGACTACTTGCCAATTATTTCATTTATGTTGGGTGAGGAATGCATGTTCTGAATCCCTGCATGAGCACTTGCAAAGAAAAAAAAACAATTGGAAACTTTTACTTTTTCAGCCCTTATATGCAGACATACTGGAGATCTCTCATCTTTTCCTCCAATCCCTTGTTTATTTTGAGACTACTGTTTCTGAGCAATGTCTAGGTCTCTTGGTATGTTCAAATAGAACCCTGCTGGCAAATCAATGCTATATAATGACCTCTTCTAGAAAAATAAAAGTTGGACATTTAATAATATTTTTAAGGACATACAATAAGCAGAGATGATGACATTTAAAGCTTGTTGTTTCTTGTTTTAAATTAATTTATAGAAAGGATTGTTTAGGTTGTGGTACTGTGGTGTTATCATTTGTTTTCAGTAATTTTAATACATTTATCTAAAAGCCAATATGATTTCATAAGCAAGATCCTCTGAAAATCTTAAAGCCCAACCTGGAAGTGAATTGGTGGTGTGTTAACTCTCTGAACTGCTGGGGTACCATTTGGTATACAGTTCCGTGGGATGTAACTGTCATAGTTTGGTCAAATAGTTGGTGAGGGCTTAACAAATATCGTAGATTGTATTAAATTCAGGATGTTGAGGGCTGCAAGTACAGTCAAATCCTTCTCACGGAAGCAATATTGCCAAAACAGAAGTCCAGACTACCTGAGTAGGAAGAATGGCAGTGGGAGGGGAATATTACCATAAAAGAGTTATAAGCTAAATGTCTTATTCTCAGTTCTTATGCTATAAGTAGGGCGGTATCCCTACCCCCATGTGTGTGGCGTATGACATATCCTGGGTAATAGGAAGAACAAGAAAGCAGGGTCAGGGTCTCTCTAACTATATACCAACGAACCATTCTTGGCCTTGCTGTCATGGCTTTTAATTTGCACAAGTTAGGGAAACTTGTGAACTGACAAGAGTGACATTTTTCAACAATAAAAGTAAAGTTGTTATCTGCTTATTGATGGACTAATTCCATTTAGGAAAGCTTTAAGACTTAAAGGTTTTGGCGCAGAAGTATTGAACACAATTGATTATTGTATAGCATTTTTAAAATGATTTCTGCTTGATGATTTGGTTTGGATTTTTTGTTTGCTTTATTTTTTAATGTGATTTCAATGCTGTTTTTCTCATTTTACCCTTGAAAAAAATTATGCAAGCTATTGGAAGCATTTGATAATAAAACTAATTACTTATGGTTCTCTTACTCCCACTTCTTCTACCAAGACATAGATGCACAGATGCAAAGCCAGAACTATAACTCAGGGACAATTCCAGTTCTGCCCTTGAAAGTGCTGACCATGGGAAACAATGTAAACACACTAATAATTTTAATTGAAGTCAATTTTTTAGTTTTCAAAACATTTGCCATTTCAATAGTGAAAAAAAGCTAAACAAAATTTTAAAAGAAAATTACCTTCAGTTAAAAATAAGCAGCCATTATAAACATTTTTCTAGAGCAAATACTACTGATAGAAAACTCCACCAGTTATGCTTTTCTTCAAAATTTCACTTTGTTATAGAGAGATTTTGTCTGTAAGAATAATTTTTTAATATTCATTAACAATGCAACAAGATTTCTCTCCATTTTTTTGTATCTGTGGTGTTTACACTGGTAAGTACAATATATGCAATTATTTCTTGGACGTAATCATTTGTAATTCAACTTCAACTTGAAATTGTCCAAAAATGAAATAGCAAACACATCACAGTACAGAAAAAAGTGGAACTTTTTCCAAGATGACAATTTAATGATTGGCTTTGGCCACTAAAACAGTCATGTGACATGTGATTGATTTAAAGCAAATGGTTGCTGATCAGTCGCTGTTCTTTCAGACCTTTCCTGTCATTCTCACATTTATTTATACTCTTGGCTATTCTTATACTATTGTTGATTATCTGAGAAAAATTCTTTTTATCTACTCTGAAATAATCTATGTTTCTGCAACAATGAGCATAATTGTCAATTATAGCACATTATTCACAGCTCAAAATATCCCTACTAAACAGGGTGCCCACAACGTGATGAAGTGCAAATACAGAGAGACTTCAGAGAGATACAGAACTTCAGCCTTCCTAAAAAGAATTAAAGATTAAAATGGGATACAGTTAGGTGATCAGGGTTAGGGAGACAGGGTGGTGAAATAATTTTAACAAATTGTAAAAATTATAAATTTAGTTATCAGATATGCTCTATGAGGGTAGAGAGAACATGTATCTTACATTGGATACTCAGAGCCTAACACACAGTAGCCATTCAGTAAATATTTGTAGAACTTTGTAAAGAAGGAGAACAAGCTGGAAGGCAGGTATAAGGACCAAAGGAGTGAAATCTCTAAAACTACAACTTCTCATATCAATTTGTTGTGAATAAAGACACAAGCAGGAACTTGGTTTTGTTTTGTATTTTGTGCTTTTCAAAGGATTTTACCTACAGCATCTCCCGTGACCTTCTTGGACCCTGCTGAGTGAATACCAGTGAAAAAAATCAGTTTATACATCCTTAACTTTATTAGGATTCTAAGCTGCAACAGCTTTGTCAATCTCGTAGCTTAGGTGGGGTTGAATATAGTAGAGAATTGAAGCCCATCTAGGAAGGAATTTGTTATTTTTACTTTAACCATACAAATAAAAAATACTCTATCTTACAGGGTAATTGTGAGGAAAAATGAATGCAGATAGCTCTGAAGTGCCATAACAAAATGTACCATCTTTTCTAAATTTATTTTTTGGCTGCCCACTCCAGGAAGACACTAAAAAATGCAGATAAAATGGCATAAATAACTCACCCTGGGTCATTAGGTGAGTGACTGCTTCTAAAAACTCAGCAATGTAAAGGTACAGATGGAAAAAAATATATATTTTCTTAAGAATAAAATCACTTTAGTTTACCAAGTTTGTACAATTTTTTAAAGTCTTCCATGAAAATAAGCAATATTCTAGGGAGCCTACTGGGAAAAATTTCACCAGATGGGCTCCTAGCCCCCAGACTCAAAACTGACAGCCTATTTAGGTGGGCTTTAAATTCATTATGAAAGAATGTGCCAGATACCCTATGTCTTCCAAACACCAAGGAGTTGCTTCCAGTTTTGAATGAACACTGAACAACAATTCTATCAAAAAAGAACAAGGAACATCAAAGACATCTGGTGAGTGACAAATTTATCCAAAAGTAGAACATCCATAAGAATCCTAAGTCAAATAAAGGGCAATTTCATCAAGAAAATTAACAAATCCAATTAAGTAGATGACATCTTGAATATCTTCAAACTGGTAGGAAGAAAATGATTCAGTGTACTAGAAAATTGGGAATTTAATGCAAAAGACTACAAGAAAGTTTAGAATTTAATACACAAGAAAATTTATTAATGAATAAGAATTAAAATTTATCTAGTTTATTCTCCAGATGAGAAGATTTATAAAACTTCATGAGTTTGGAGAATAACAGGGATATTATAAAGAAAAGAAAATGCTAAAATTTTTACTTTAACTCCTGATTTTAAAATATATAATTACAACAAAAATTTTTATATCCTGTTCTCTTGTCTGTACCTTTCCTTCCCTCCCCTGATTAGCTAAAAGCCAGTAAGAAAGCAGGCATTAGCAGAGGGAAGAAGGGTAACTGAGATAGTCAGTTCTGAAATATATAAACATCTGAAAAGTTAAATAGTAAATCCATTGATAGGACAAGATACTTCAGAGACCTGTCATTGGATTAGATGTTAAGAAAGAACAATATAAAATAAGCAAACTAAGAATAGTGAAGAAAGGGGAAAATCATTTTCAGTAAAATTAAAATTAGCTTCTAGGTCTATGAAGTGATTATTAGACTTCAAAAATCATTGGTAAGAATGTCCCTAACATAAAATTTAGAAAATAAGAAATGAAGAGAAAGATGTTGACCAGATCATTTTCAGTGTTACCAAATTGGGAAAACATACAGATTCCATTATACTAGTCACTACCCTTTGGGCTTAAACAAGACAGTGACTTATTAAATCAATCATCCCTTAAGAATATCAAATTCACCTGAGACCAGCCTGACCAACATGGTGAAACCCTGTCTCTACTAATAAGACAAAATTAGCCAGGTGTGATGGCGCATGCCTCTAATCCCAGCTACTCAGGAGGCTGAGACAGGAGAATGGCTTGAACTTGGGAGGCAGAGGTTGCAGTGAGCTGAGATCCCGGCATTGCACTCCAGCGCCGTGGCTCATGCCTGTAATCCCAGCACTTTGGGAAGCCGAGGCGGGCGGATCACGAGGTCGGGAGATTGAGACCATCCTGGCTAACATGGTGAAACCCTGTCTCTACTAAAAATGCCAAAAAAATTAGCCGAGCGTGGTGGCGGGCACGTGTAGTCCCTGCTACTCGGGAGGCTGAGGCAGGAGAATGGCGTGAACCAGGGAGGCGGAGCTTGCAGTGAGCCGAGATCGCGCCACTGCGCTCCAGCCTAGGCAACAGAGCAAGACTCCGTCTCAGAAAAAAAAAAAAAAAAGAATATCAAACTCTCTTATGGACCAAATGTTTGTGTCCCCCTGAAATACATTTGTTGAAGCCCTAACCCCCAATGTGATGGTTTTTGGAGGTGGGGTCTTTGGGAGGTAATTAGTGTTAGATGAATTCATGAAGGTGGGGCCCTAATGATGGGATTAGTGACCTTAAAAGAAGCAGCAGCAGAGATCTTGCTTTCTCTCTCTGCCATGTGAGGACCCAGGGAAAAAGTAGCTTTCGGCAAGCCATCAGCAAACCAGGACGAGAGAGCTTACCAGGAACAAAATTGGTTGGCATTTTGATCTTGAACTTCCCAGCCTGCAGAATTGTGATAAAATACTTTTCTGTTTAAGCCACCTAGTCTATGGTATATTGTAGCCCAAGCTGATTAATATACTCTGTTTGCCCTGATGCCTTGATTTTATATTTATTTGGGAACTGGTCTTTGATTCAACTTACGAATGAGCACAACATGGTATAGAATCATAGAAATTCATAACTGGTAGGAAACAGAACACTCACATAGTTTAACCACCCATCTTATGCCTGAATTGTTTGAGTTGAAGAGTGACTAAATGGTCTTCCAAGACACACTGGAACCCCTCTCATGAGAGGAACTCACTAAGTAAGGTGATCGTTTAAGGATGATCTTTTTTCTACCTCTTTTGTATGCCTTAAATTTTCACAATGAAAGATGCAAGACCTACAAGAGAGGCATGTAGGGAGGAACAGAGACTGTTTTAAATTTCGAACATTTTCTTTGGATTTCCAAATGTCAGAATGCCAAAGATAAACATCCTCAGATTCTAAAGAGAACTAATTCTTTAAACTTTCTTCATCAAAACCAGGAAAAATCTACCTCTAAGTATACAATTTTGGATTATATTATGGCAAAAACGTAAGCGTTGGAGGGTTATATGCTCAGACCAGAGCAAAATAAAATTTTATAGCCCTAAAGTGACAACTTCTAACTAGGCAATAAGTCTGGCTCTTTTTTTCTGATAAACATTAACTTCTGCTTAGAGTCATTTAATTAAGTGGAAGCATTTTCTTTATGCCAGTGGATTCTCAAGAAGCTAGGAAGCAGTGAAATGAGAGTTCTACTGTTTACATTTTGACAAATGTAGGCAACTCAGGTTCTCTTAATCTGGAAAGCTTGAGCCTTTCCACCAAGATAAAATTTTTTGCATTAAACAAATACAAATAGGAAGTCTCCTAGCATCATTAAGTAGTCTCAGTTCCTTAAAGTCACCGCTCAGTTAATCATTTGCTTTTACAATGTTTTCCTCCAAGAATAGGGAAATGTTTAATGACATTTGTAATTATTCAAAATATCCTCCCTTTTGCCTTTACACATTTTTTTTTCAGATCTCATGTCTCTGAAATTCAATAACAGAAAACATTATATGAATAGTTTGCTTTCATATTTAATTTATAATAAGAAAACTCAGTAAGAGAAAGATGTGTTTGCAGTTTGGTAGTTTGTATGCAGGTCACCTCCTATTACAGTGAGTGACTTTGTATGATGATAAAAGGAATTCCAGGCTCAAATCCATGGCCCCTTCTTTTATGCAATAATCCATACAACCAAACACCAACCAGTAAAACACATAAATTTGAACAATTCCTCAGAGTTTGTTGAATTTACTTGGTTGGTTATTAAACACGGTATTCAGTCAAAGGATTGGCATATCTCTCAGCATATCCTCATTTTTTAACAAACACAGTTGGGCATACTATACTTTATCTGCACATACTCATGCCTCACCCTTAAAAGCTGGATGGTAACTCCATAGAAAGAATGAAAGATGGCCTTGGGCCACCACAATAGAATCACTGGTTATAACACAAAGTGTTCCCATACTAGAGAAATGTGTTTGCATTTGTGGTTTTTCTGATGCCTTCAAATTAATGTTCCTACGTCACAAGTACATCTGTTTGGATGCCTTATCCCCCTTGGGTAAATGAACAAAGGGATGTGTTCTTAGCGCTTGCTTGATGGAAATTAATAGTCTGCTTTCATCCTTTCCTTGTGTGGCTTTCTTTGAGTTGCTCTATTTGCTTTTTTCCATACACTAATATAAATTTAAAAAGTATCATGACTGTGGTACCTTAAGAACACTACATAATTGGAAATAAGGTTTAACCTTCAGTAGAGCCCTGAGGATGTTCAATTTAAAATGTTTTTAAAAAAAGATTAAAAGAAGAAATTAGAGATATATGCCAGGGTAGAAAGCTCATAGAAGGGAAGAACTTTCAGAATGTGACTGGTTGAAGTAACTAATAACATAAGTATAATTTATGCTTTTAGACTTGCCCAGAAGGTTTCATATTCAAGACATAAATTCCCTATATTTTGACTTTTAATCATATATTTTCTGCATGCACTCAAAAATTAGAGTGTTCAACATCAGGCTTGTAGACGTATATGAATGAATGGTAAGATATAAACTAGCTGAAAGAATTCTCATCAAATGCTAACAGGTCACACAGACAAACTAGTCTTTGTTTGTTAATAAGCTGTGTACAGTCAGAGAACTGAAAGTTGACTAAACGTTTCCCACAAGCCTAATCATGATAGCATAGCATTAAAATCCAAAACCAAAACTAAAATGTTATATGTACATGTGTTTAGAAAATAGATGAAAACAAAAGTTACTTACACTTTTGCTCCGAGAAAGCAAATCACAGGTATTTCTTTTCATCGTGGTGTTTTAAGTAATTAAAATGGGAACTAGTGTTTCCAGTGTCAATGATCTCACTGCACGTATCCACTCAAAAGCCAACTGGAATGCTGAAAAGAAAAGGAAGGAAATGTTTAATCAAGTTATGATTAACACTTGCACTTTGAAATGCTGTCTTAGACTGGGACAGTTAATTCTTAAATAATTCATCGGAACAGGCTAAAACGGTGCTGTGTTTAAAGCAATAAAAAAGTATACATAAGCAACATTTCCAAAACAGCTTTTGTTAAATGTAAGTTAGAGATTTCAAGCACCATCTGTTTTCCATTAAATATTCAACTCTACAGTTTTAGTGGCTGAAAAAAAAAAAAAACAGATATGATAGCCATAACCTAAAGTTACATGTATAAAATGAAGATGCAAACTGAATTGTGTATATGTTGATTCTTGTTGGGACAGCTAAGGATTCGACAATTTTTCACTAAGGGATCACTAAGGTGATCCACTGCTGGAGGAATCTTACTTACATGTGAAGAAAAGAGCCCTCTGAGCAACTGCATCATTGCGTCTTGTTTCACTGACAATAATCAATAGTACCTTGAAGCCAATCCAATGACTCTTCAGTAAATTTAGTGAGTTATCTACCCCTTTAGTTCTTAGTGGTTGTAAGGAATACTTGAGAAGATGAGAACAAAAAGTATAAGCAATAACTGTTAAGTAAGCAGTAACTGTTATTTCAAGGAATATTCCAGAGTAATTGCCACTTGAATGACATTGACATCCTCATTACCTAACTAATCTTTGCTTTCTCCTAGACACTACAGTGGAGATTCTCCATTTTGAGTTTTGAAGAAAGAACAAATCGAATAGCTATATGTGCTGTGTTCATTTATGATATTCTGCTACATCAGGACACAACCTACATATTTATAAGATATATTTGCATGTGGGCTGATATTTTCTTTCTGGGAAAGAACTTACTGTAAGGGAAAGAGGATAAAAGGCTTGGTCAAACCACAAAAACTCTGATATTGCAGGTTTAGGCTAATAGTGTAGGTGTAGGCTGATGCTAACAGCAGCATGTAGTTCTATCATTTGGGTTTGTTGTAAGCTTCTCAAAAAACATGTGTCTGAGACTTAAGGAAAAGAGTAACAGTGATTAAGGTCTGAAGGAGCTGGTTTTGCTAAAATGATTGACAATATTAAAGTACAAAGTAGTATGAATTATACATTTAAAAGATAAAAAACAAAGTAACTATGTATCATTTTTTAAAAAAACATACAAAATGAAAGCAGAGAAGCCTGCAAGGAACACAGCCTTTTTAAAGGCTGAAAATACTTGTTTGGAATATATGTGAGTCACCCTCTCAAGTCTTCTCAAAATAAAAGGAAGACACTTTGCGGGAGGTAAGAGGTCCCGTAACAGCAAAGTAGAGGTAGAAACAGAGAAGTAAGGTTCACTGTGGCTAAGAATATCTCTGGATGCAACTTGGGGACTCAAAGGGAAACAAGGGACAAAGCCTTCTTCCAAGGTTGATAGAAATGCTTGCCTGAAGATTAAAGAAAAATGCACAATCAAATGTGAGTTGCTAAGATAAATACTGTTTCTCTGAGTGTGTATGGATTTTTTCTAAAGGAGTAGGATTTGAAGGGAGGAGCTGATCCACAATGGAAAGTTCTCAGCTAGTACACCTCCAGGAATTGAATCACCTTTACAAATTAGCATCCTATAGGTCCCAGAAAATGCAGAATTATGTTACTCATGTAATTTAGGAATTGGACAGAAATTAATACAAACTGAATGAAATATTCCATATCTAGGGAGAAAAAACTTTAGATAACAGCCGTAGGAAACATATATTATCAGAGAAAAACTTATTCAAAATATTTAATTATTCATCCAGGATTTAATGAGTAGCCTTAGGGACAACCATGGAATAGTTGCCCTACTGGGCTAGTGACTCAATGGTAACAAATCAGTCAAATCAGACAAATAATGGATTTGACCTGATAAGCTTTGCTGAATTAACCAGGTTTTTAAAAAATTTGCCTTGAAATCATTTAAAGACCATCATTAAGAGATACTTTCCTATGGGAATTTAGAACTTAGAGAAATTTCAATAGGCAGAGAGATTCAGTTGAAAACTGACTGCTGATGGAATGGCTCTTCTCACCCTGTATAGCTAGGAGGCACCTAGCGTCAGTAAAAGGGTATAGACTTTGGAACCAAATAGGTATAGGTTGGAATTTCAGCTCTCCACTGGCATTCTATGTAGCTTTTAGGTACATTATTTGATTTATCTGAACTTTTTCCAGATCTACAAAAGAAAGATAATAATACACATATGTGTTTTCAAAATGAATGAGGTAAAAAGTATTGTCTAGGAGAATGTTTGGCTCATAGGAGGTATTTGGGTCTCACCATCATCATATCTTTATCATCATCCATCATCACTACCTTCTTTTTCTCTTAGTATCAAATGGCAAGTAAAAACAGCCCATTCTTGTTTTTTCTTCTATAAGTGCTAACCTCTCTCAAATAATACATATGTAGGCAGATCTACTTTCCACTAACCAGTATGAATAATCTACCAGTTGAAGGTCCAAGAATAAACAGACAGCATACTTTTATTAGGATCATTTACAGCAGGTTCAACAAAGAGACTCTTTAAGGAGATGTTGGTAGGGTAGAGGAATCCACAAAGGATGGCACAGTACCTGGAACTAGCAACAGCGAAGTTTTCACCCTAGGAGGGATGGGTTGCCCATACCTAGGAAAAAGCATCACACAGAGTGGGCTGCCTTGAAAAGGGAAGTTGCTCTCTGGGACACAGCTAGACCCTAAAAAGAAGAAGACAACCAGTTGCACGCAGTCTCATTTTCCTTTCTCCATCTGTCTCCTCCTAGGACTCCCCACTAACCAAATGCAAGCAAGCAGGAGGGCAAAGGAGGAAGAAGTACATCTGACTGGTCAGCCTTCCAGGGTTCAAAGCCCCCCAAGGTAGGGCAGGGAGGAGAGTGGAGATGGAGGGGAAATGGTAGATGTGCTCTGCAGTCTATGAAGAGGATTGCATGTTCTGCTACCTCATTTATCCTTAAAAAAATCTCTATAATGTATCATTAAACTTTCCAATACTCCTGTGAGGTAGACATTGTTAATATGTTTTCCCATGGCACAAACGAGGAAATCAGCAGCAACGAATGAAGTAAATTGCCCAGGAATGGCAGAACCAGTATTCACACCTGATTTGTCTGCCTCAAAATCCACGTTTTTGTCTACTCTTCCATAGTGCTTTGCTGCCAATAGCATGAACCAGTGCATTTTAATTATGAACAAGTGGTAACCTCTGCAAAAATCAAAGCTGTGCCTAAACTAAAGAATGTTTGATGAAAAGGTTGACTCTCAGGAAGGCAGTTATCTTAGTTCCTGCAAGTTTCTCTCTCAGCAAAGATAATGTGGTGAGACTGCAGAAAAGCTTTCTCCCTCCAGGTGCACTAAAAAGAAAGCCAGGCGAGAGAACACTCACACGTGCAATTTCGTTACGATAGGAGTTTCCACATAAAGTTAATTAGAAAGAAGGAAGAGTCAGCTCCTGCAGGGAGAACACTTTAGAAATAAAAATGAATAGAGGAGGTGGATAAGACAGATAGTGCTGGAATATTCAGAGATGGAATTAGATGGACCACCTATATACATTTTGCTGTGTCAATGCAAAGGGAATTAAGACAGTTTCTATCCTAGAGATTAAAGATTTATATAGCAGAAAATGTCTTGAACTGGTCATCAGATGAAATAAGTTCTACTTTCATTGCTACGTCATATACACAAACTGTATGGTATTAGGAAAATCCCTTCCCTTTTTTCCCCTCATATCTCCACAACCCACCTCACAGCGTTGTTATGGGGATTAATCAGATAATATCTCAGAAAAATTTCCGGGGACTTTAAGTTCCCTGCAAATATAAATCTATGTATTGAAACAGCAAATGTCCCCATACATAATGACATCCTTAAATATGAGTGAAAAGGGATTCCAATCATCCACAAAATATTAGAGAAGCTACTGAACAGGACATGTTTTATATATGTAAGAAGAATTCTTTAATCTCCTCTTTTTGAACTAATACTTTTTTCTTCTACATAGTAAGTCAGTTCATACAGTAACTGCTGAATTATAAAGCCACTCAGATGCATTGGTTTTAAAAAGTTTATTGAGCACCTTATATGTGCCAGGCACAGTACTAAGCTCTCAGATAAACAACAAACTTTCTTGATGCAAAGGGAAAGAATTGTTTGGGTACAGTTGCCTCTGAGTGATCAAGGTGTAATGGATTAGCTCTGTCTCTAACTTACTGTTGTCTCCAACTCATCAAAAGATATATTTTTCTAGGGTTGCATAAATGAAACCAAACTTGGCAGTTTATTCCCTTGATTAGATTCTCATCTAAATGAAGAATGAATACATGTGGCATGTATAAAAAGAGAAGCTTGATCACAATCAAAGACAACTCCAAAGGAATATAATAAAAACAGGCTTAATTTATCAAGGTTTACTCACCAAAGTATCTGCAGGAAGGAAATTAGGAGGAGGCAACACAAGAATTAAATACTCAAAAAGTTAAAAGAAAAGAAACATACAAGGATGGAATAACAGATTTTTCATGGGAATGGTTGAATTATTGCCTTGGGCTCTTAAATGTCCACTAATTTGCCCTCTACACACGTAAGATAGATAATGTGAACATCTGCTTCAGTTGGCCCTCTGCTACATTGGTAGCAGAAACAAGGGAAGAAAGTTCTGGATATCTCCTCATACCTTCTAAAATTGTGAATTAAAAGAAAGGACTTCTTATTCCAGATCTAAAGATGACAATAGAGATTTCCTGCTATTTACATTTTCTCTCTTTTCTCTAGAGTGCTGTTTATCTGAAGCTATGCTTTATCTGAGCTCCTGCTAGAGGCTATAGAATCTGAGATTTAGAAAGAACGTAGAGTACAAATAGGGTAATTGAAGTATAGGGAACATAAGTAGTCTGCCTAAGGTCATAGAACTGCCTGGGACAACACAATAATGAGAGGACCCTGTATTCCATGGCCATTGCTGTGGCTAGCTGATAATATTGCCCTGTGCATGCATTTTCCTAAAACTAGTTTTATCTGTCAACCCATCTTGTAGTCTTCCCAGCACAGTTTAACATCTTGAAACTTGCCAAAGTCAGTGCAATCTACCTGTAACCACAAGGATGGCTTTATATAATCAGGTTGTAGCTTATGCTCAGTAGGAACTCCAGAGTGATGTGTTTCAACTAGAAGAGTCAAGTGATCTGTGATTTGCATGCTTAATTTGGCCTTACCTCACACTGTATCTCCCAACACCAGCCCTCTACCCTCCAGGCTGGTCTCATCTCTGCCGCACCTGAGACACATCCATTTCTACCTCTTGGCCTTAGATTCATGCCCTTTAATTTTTGTTCTCTTCATTTTACAGAACTCTTCCTATTCAAAGTCCAACAAAAGCCCTTCTTTCTAATAACAACTTCCCCTACTGCGCCAAGTCACATAGATTTCTACTGACTCTGAGGTCCAATAACAAAAAGTATGTTGTACCACAAACTCATCTACTAGCTAACATTTTTTTTTCAATAATTGTTTTATGGGTTTAATCTTTGCTTCTTCAACTGGGGCATTGATATGGTTTGGCTGTGTCCCTACCCAAAATCTCGTCTTGAATTATAATCCCCATAATCCCCACGTGACAAGGGAGAAACCAAATGGAGGTAATGGAATCATGGAGGCTGTTTTCCCCATGCTGATCTCATGATAGTGGGTGAGTTCTCATGAGATCTGATGGTTTTATAAGTATTTGGTAGTTCCTCCTGTGTTCATTCTCCTTCCTGCCTCCTTGTGAAGAAGGTGTCTTGCTTCCCCTTCGCCTTTCAACATGATTGTAAGTTTCCTGAGACCTCCCCAGCCATGCAGAACTGTAAGCCAATTAAACCTCTTACCTTTATAAATTGCCCAGTCTTGAGCAGTTCTTTATAGCAGTATGAAAACAAACTAATAATACAGGGTTGAATAAGGTACATTGTAAAGTCTCTTCCATACTGCAAGTTGTATGATTAAAAAATATAACTTCTACCAGGCACAGTGGCTCGTGCCTGTCATCCCAGCACTTTGGGAGACCAAGGCAGGTGGATCACCTGAGGTCAGGAGTGTGAGACCAGCCTGGCCAACATGGTGAAACTCTGTCTCCATTAAAAAAAAATACAAAAATTAGCTGGGCATGGTGGCAGGCACCTGTAACCCAGCTACTCAAGAGGCTGAGGCAGGAGAATCGCTTGAACTCAGGAGGCAGAGGTTGCAGTGAGCTGAGATTGCACCATTGCACTCCAGGCTGGGTGGCAGAGTGAGACTCCATCTCAAAAAATATATATATATTTAAGTTTGAAAGCAATTCATTATCATTCTTTTGCCTTTGCCATAGTATTAATATGTAACATACATTGTACCATTTACAAAATATGTTAAAAATTAGAGGTATAAATCTACAAAAATGAATGTTTTAATTAATAAGTAGAAATTTTGCAAAATTGGAAATAAAATTATATCAAAATATGGGGTATATTCAATCTCACTATTAATAAAATGAAAATTAAAATCTCAAGATTTGTCTTGCTTAAAAATTATTTTACTTTTAAAAATAAAATACTTGAAAATGGTGTATATATAATTAGATATGCATTTCATATATTGCTGATCAACTTTCCAAATGACATAAGTCTTTGGATAGGAATTTGATAATAAGTACCAAAAGCTTTAATGGTATTATACACTTTTATATCATAATTCAGGAAGTAACTTGAAATATGGAAAGTGCTTTGTATGCAGAAACATTCCAGCAGTGCTACTTAAAATAATGAAAATCTGGAAACAATTTAGATGTCAAATAGTAAAGGAATTGCTAAATAAAATATGAGAACCTTCATGATGTACTATGTAATTAAAATCATATATTTTGCAAGATATTTCAATTATATGAGAAAAAGCTTGTGTTATAATATTAAGTGAAAAAGGCAGGATTAAAGTTGTATGTGTAATATTATCCTATAAAAAGTTATGCACAGAGAAAAGACTGAAAAAGTTAGCAAAATATTAGTAGTTATATTTAGGTACAGTATTATGGGTAGTTCTGTCTCATTTCTATGTTTCTTGGCTTCTCAAATTTTCAACACTTAGAAAAAATACTTAAAAGTTGGATTAAAAGAAAGTATTTGAGTGAATACAAAAGTTACTCATCTCTTCTTACTTCAGAGGACATACAAAAGTGCTAGTTTTTTGTTCGTGGAATTGTTAGATTGCTTTCTCATTTGTTTGTTTTTCAGTGCTCAAGTTTGCTATTTCGTACCCAATGTTAGACTTTGTTTTTGGGAATCTATAGACTGAGAAAAGCCAAGTTGGAAAACAGATGGCTAAAATTAAGTTCTCTCTTCCTGACTCTACTATTTTCATCCTCCATTTGGGTGTCAATTAACTTACCTCTTTCTTTCAGATCTAGTAATGGTGTCTATAAAAGGAAAATCTTCAGGTTCCACTTCACCTAGGAAATAAATTAGGTGTTGAGGCCTCCCTGCCTGTGCTAGTTTCCGGGAATGCAAAACACATGGAACATGAGACAAATGCAAATAAACAACTGAATCAGCAAGCAAGAGATTTGGGTTTTATAGGACCAACAGGAGCTCAATCTACAAAATAGGTTCATATTATTATAAGTTAGAAAATAAATGCAATATGGGTGGAAAAAGCTGTCACAGGCCGGGCGCAGTGGCTCACGCCTGTAATCCCAGCACTTTGGGAGGCCGAGGCGGGTGGATCACGAGGTCAGGAGATCGAGACCATCCTGGCTAACAAGATGAAACCCCGTCTCTACTAAAAATACAAAAAATTAGCCGGGCGAGGTGGCGGGCGCCTGTAGTCCCAGCTACTCGGGAGGCTGAGGCAGGAGAATGGCGTGAACCCCCAGGGGGCGGAGCCTGCAGTGAGCCGAGATTGCGCCACTGCACTCCAGCCTGGGCGACAGCGAGACTCCGTCTCAAAAAAAAAAAAAAAAAAAAAAAGAAAGAAAAAGAAAAAAAGAAAAGAAAAAGCTGTCACAATTTTCAAGAAAAATATTTTTAAAATAGTAAGTTAACAATAGGGCTCTTTACCTAGGTTTAGTTTCAACCAGCTTTGTACCCTTTCAACTATTTGAGCCTCTTAATGTCTCTCTGAACATCCCATCAAAAATTATGCCTCAGCTTCCTTCCTCACCCAGCTTACTCTCCCTTACCTCCTTTCCCGCTGTCTGAGAGGATGAGTGAGGTGTTTCTCCTCCTATGAGGAGTCCTGTCTTCTACCTATGCCTGTCTTTCCTCCTCCATCTGCTCTAGTTCTAACTGGTTCTCTCCCCTCAAGATCTAAATACTCTCTTGAGTCTCTCCTCTTGTAAAAAGTAAATTATCCTTATAACCCTATGTTCTCCCTCCTCAAGATATCATTCTCTTTCTCTTCAAAATCAAGCTATTTGAAAAAAAATGTCTGTTATCTTTCTTTACCTCCTTATTCCCACTGTCTACCCCTCAACCCAATGCAAGCAAGTTTTACTCCTTCCACACTTAAACTACTTTCTCTAAAGATCCTAGACCTCCATATCACAAAATCTAACAAACTTTTCACAAATTATCTGACTAGAACTCTCTGCTATCACATTGTTTTGCCTTCTAGAAAATCCCTCTTCCTCTGTCTTCTGCTGGTTCTCCAACTGACTGCTCAACTTCTTGCTACTTCACGGGGTCTTCTTATTTTGTCTACATCTAAAATATGAGTGATACCATTGATATTATTTTTATCAGCATTTCCCAAACATGACTGCATATCAAAATTAGCTAGGGAATGCCATAAAATGCAGATGGCTGACTCTCCACCAATGAATCAGAACTTTGAGGACAGGTACTCAGGAATCTACTTTTGACCAATACCCCAGATAATAATCATGAAGGGTGAAGAGCACCACCACTTTTGATTGGCACTTGGGAGCCTCTGTTCTAGATTATATTTCTTGATAATCCACTAGTTTTCATTGTTTTAGCTGCCATGTGTATACTTTAACCCGCCACATACATATCTCATACACTAAGAGGGGTCTACCACTACCACAGTCTTCCAGAGTTTTATCTACACAAATTCAGGCACTTTCTAATGTTCTTCTTGTCACCAATACTGCCTACTTCAAGTCCACCTTAAAATCTATCAATAGCTGCCTATCCCCTACAGCATAAAGTCCAAATAAATCTCCTTTACATGGTAAGTAGGAGTCCCCCTGTCTGCTGTTTGCAGTATCATCCCTTGACCTCCCACACAGCATTGTTTCACTCACTTGCTATAGGGAACCACTTGTAATTCTTTGCATACGCCATACGGTTTCTCACCTCCCTGTCCTCTGTCTTGGACTTTTTCCCCTCTTCCTTTACCCCATAGCCATGCTCTTCTTCCTTTGTTTGGGAATGTCTTGCTTCAAGACTCAACTCAGGTGTCATCTCCTCCTGGAAGAGTTTCCTGATTCTCCCAATATCCCAGCCCCATTCCCACTGCCAGCCTGACCTAACATCCCTTTTTACTCCCTCCATAATGCCTCCTGAATGCCTCCCACAGTATATTTGTCAAATTACATCAAAATGATCTGTTTAATTGTACGTCACTGCCAACCTTGCCCTGGACTCTAAGTCCCTTGAGGTTAGAAAACATTTCATGTTTATATATACAATTACAACATAAAATATGCTTAGTAAATGTTTACTGATTTCTGCTGAATTGAACAGAGAATTAAGAGAAGAAAAGCACATTTTGTCTCCAGACTGAAAAGAATCAAATCATTTCCTTTGTAGTTTATGTCCATATAAAACCATCATTCTATTCCCTTCTCTTCCTCCAAAATGATAACAGCAATCTATTTTACTAATTCATTCACCAGACATTTACTGGACACTTGTGGTATGCAATGAACTGTGCTCTAGGGTCCAGGGATGCAGAGATAAATACGATAAAAATCTCTCTCCACGTGGAACTCTCATTCTAGTGGGGGACAGAGACAAATAACACAATACACTAAGTGCTCTGACAGAATCTCAGAATAGCTGGTGTGGGACCCCCGAGGAGGCAGTAAATGATTCATACACCTAATGGCTTCAAAGCCTGTTCCGAGTTATTCTGCTCTTGTGAACACTTCTCTTTAAGTTATTCAAATGCCATTTCATATACTGATGTTTTTCCCCACGTAGAGGGAAAGGAACATGAAAGTAGACATTGACGGTTCTTTTCATCTCCTTTGTGCATCTAGTCAGAACTTTGTCCCTGTAGAAAAGGCATCTGTAGAATTCCACACCTATAAAGTATGCTGTAAATGACCATTGAATGAATAATATGCAGGCGGTCACACTTACATAGAGAACACAAGCCACTTTTTATTTCAGCACAAATTTATTACAAAATAAATGACATTTTTGGAAATACAAGCATATCATTTGGCTCCCCAAATAGCCTAATTCTTCACTCCCAAGGGTATGGAAATGCCAGAGTACCCACTCTTTCAACGCTCACCTTGACCAGTATTTCAAAATGGCACAGTTCAGTCATTGAGCTATAAATTAATTACTTTTCTCCCAGGATTCCATTTCCTCCCACCTAAAATAATTTCAGCTCTCTAAAACACAACTCTCCACCCTAATTAAAAGTCCAGGGACCTTCTCATTAATATTGCATAAATGTAGGGTCTGTTGCTTGATAATACTTTGCTTTGGTGTTAGCCTCCTGCAGCAGAGAAGAAAGTTACAACAAAAGCTTCCTTTTAGCAACTTTCCTAGCCATACACCCTCCCACTGCCTCATTATGGTGCCCTTCCTGCCTGGGCAGTGGGAGGTGTCTAGAGCAGTTTCGTCCTGTGAATCATAGGACAGCATGGTGCGTAGTTTGCTGGCCTGAGGCCCAATATGGAATGAGCCTCTGAGATGTGTCATCATCAGCTTGACTATAACAGATCCATTGAGAGCCTCAGGATAAAATTCCCTGAGTCATCATGAGGAAAATAAAATGATAGCAAGATGATCCCCATAAAATCTCTGGTGCAAGCTGCTTACTAGCTACAAAGAAAAGTGGAGTTCATCAAGGCACTGAGCCTTTTATTCTTTTTAATGTTTTTTTGTCCCATATTAAAGTAAAATCTGCTGTCTGAATACTTGTAAATTTGAGAAGTATTAGAAATGGCATTTCACTGAGGGTTGTAGAATGTATGTAGAGACTGCTGTCTACAAATCATTAATTACAAATCATAGTCTGTACTTTGTATCATGAGACCAACTAGGTTCTAAAACATGAACCATTCTGCCTCTCTGGCAAAAACAAGATAGGCAGATAGATAGATAGATAGATAGATAGATAGATAGATAGATAGATAGATAGATAGACAGTTAGATAGATAGATAGATAGATAGATAGATAGATAGATAGATAGATAGATTAGATAGGAATAGGTAGCTGAAAGAGAGAAGGAAAGGTGAGAGTGAGGAATAGTGAGAAATTGAGAAAGACAATCCATGTTATAGATCCTGCATTATATTATGTATAGCTTTCTCAATCTGAGCTATAGAACCAAAATTATTATCTCTGGGTAATTATGAGCCAGATACCTTCAGAAGTTCCTTTTTAAAATCAACATACCCTTTGGTTCTTTAGTTGCTTTTATTTAGTCAATCAGCCGTGAATTCTAATTTTTATTTTCCCACAAAATCTACTGTGAATAGCCTCCTTAAGAAAAATACAAGTGAATTATTTTAAGACCTAATAATACTCTTGGTTTAGATTATTTGGGACACAATGAGAATTTAAATAAAATAAACCAGAGTTAAAGTAAAGATCAAAGAGACAAAAGGGAATTGGTAGAGCATCATGCAGATCTTACTTGAGGTAGGTACATAAAAGTTGTTCTAATGCGGCTTCAGTAGAACAACTTTTATCCTAGCACCAAGTAAGTCAGGAAGTACCCTCAAGCTATCATTTCTCCCTAATTAACAAGTGCTACCCAAGGAGTCATTGCCGGCAGACTGTACAAACAGAAGAAAAGCAAGGCATAAAATGAAGAAACTCAATGTTAATTAAAAGAAACATAAACAAGGAAAATAACAGAGCCAAGAAACCAAAGACTATGAGTAGAAACCAAAACCTCTCAATCCTCTGTCTCTTAGGAAGCAACAGCCCGTTAGCGCCCTTGCAAGGGAATGAGCCCACTGTGGTGGAGTCATTAACACCCACAAATTGAAAACTGTACATGCCCCTTAGTTTGGAGCAAATTTCTAACGAATGATAAAGAGCAGTTGGCTTTTTTACATTAAAAATAAAATAACAGCAGAAAAAAAAGTGGGCAAAGAATTTGGATTTTTTTTTTTTTTGCTTTTCAAGAGTTTTACTGTTTTACCAATTTATTATAGACATTAAAAATAACAAGCAACAAAATCAAGATCTAGTACAGCATAAATTATAATATTTTTCTGCCATTAGAGAATCATTTTCAATATACTCTTTTTCTTTCATATTCAGTGTATATGTGGTAGATAAAATAAACTCCTTCAATGTAGTGCCTTGTTTTAATTCCTTTGTTCTTAAGGAGATATTTTTTTCTCACTCCATTATAAAACAAGAACTCTAAGATATCCCCTAAACAAAAGTAATTTATGTAAGAGATGTTGATTCGGAGAGATGAAGAGACAAAACTAATCAGTGGAATATTAGGTTTTGGAATCAGTCATATTCCATATTCCAAAGAATTTGGAGTCAAATTCTGTTTTGGCCATTTTCTAATTTTATGGCCATGAGAAACTACTTAACCCTTTTGCATGTCAATGTCAGGATCAAGATAAATGTAGATACTGAAACTCACATTTCAAGGCTACTACTGTGTAAACTAAATGATGAACTTACATGTCAGCGTATATAACCACTGTACCTAACTCTAAGAAGGCACTCCTTAAATGTAAGCTTTTTATTACTTTGTCCCCTGATATGTCTTTAACACCAAGAGCCTCAGCGAGCTCTAAGAATCAAGGTAAATTACAGTTAGAATTAATCCTTCGAAATGTAGGATAGGGGAGCTCAAAATTTATTGTATAACCTGGTGGCATAGTGAGAAGCCTTGAATTTGGCTTATCCTTCTCATCTTAGAGTAAGCAAGCATTGGGTTTTTTAGGAGATCTGGATTTTACTAACCCTGCAAAAATGTTTCATTAAAAATGCACTCTTCCCAGGATTGTTAGTCTGCTGTTACACTGCCACAAAATGAGAGAAGCCTGTACTAATTCTAGAGACACTCAATTATAGTACAAGATTTAACCTTCAGTTTCTGTGTCCAAGCCTAGGCTTTTCCACAGCCATCAGTGAGGTCAAATGAACATTTCAAACCTTATACTCAGAGATTTGAAATCCTTTTCATTTTGATGCTTCCTTCTTCAAGGACTCATTCAATGAGCCTCAAAATGAACCCATCACTTTTCCAGCAAGATGTGAATTGTGACACCAACTCTTAACTGCTAGGACAAAGCAGATACCAAGCTTCATAGCAAATTCAAAGGCTCTGAATATAGAGAAAGAACAAGTGGAGGACCTGACACACAGAAGAAAATTCACCTCAGTTCACCAAGATCTCCTGATTATCCAAATAGCTGTTCAGAGCTTGGTATCTGTAACTGGAGCCTGTGCTGAATCATTGCCATTTGTGTGGCACCCATCTGGCACCTGGAATTAGATTTTGCTCTCTCTTCATTCAAAATGGTGATAAGGGATGAATGAGGGATTGCACAACAGCAAAATCTCATAAATATTATTGTGCTAATAGATGAATTTCTTAGTGAAAATGGAAAATGGCAATTTCTTTTCTAAGGATCGGCTACGCTTTAATCATCTCAGGGCTTATTAGTTCAATTTTTCAGAAGGACAATGATGCTTGAGAAGCTAGAATTTTCTCTTTAAAAATCTCTTTAATTCACTAAAGAAGTAATATAAGCGAAAGCATATAAATGAAAAAGTAAAACCAAATTTAATATCTGAAGTAGAAGTAGCTGAATGAAAGAAACTTAGTATTAAAATGGTCTTTCAGTTTCTAACTCATCCAAACTCTGCTAAGATGAAGATGATGTCACAACATATCATACCATACCAAGATATTGTTACAGATTATCTCATTCATAAATATTACTAAGGAAAGAGACCCCATATTCCCAGCAAGAGTTGGGTGCCAACCTAGTTGGCAAAAACAGATGTAATTCCTATTCTTTGCTTATGGCAAGAGAACAGAATTAGAGTATTAAACCAGCTTCAGATACTTCAAAGTGGAGGCAGGAGAGACAGACACCAAATCATCCCAAGAGCACTCAATTGGAAAATGGCACATGAACCAAAGTCCACTTCACTCCTAACACTATGAGAACAATCATAATTTTATATTATAATTACAAACGCTTATGGGGCATTTGCTATGTACCAGGAAATGTTCTAATCACTTAAAATATATTAACTAATTCAATTCCCACAAAATTCTGTAAAATAGTTGTCATTTTAATATCCAATTTGCAGATGAAGAAATCAAGGTAGAGAAAGCTGAAATAATCATCACAAGATTACATGGCTAGTAAGTATAAATCCAGGATATGTATGTTTTCTCCTGCACCCAGAAGTTATTTTATGTTTTAGGGAAGACATCAGAAGTCATTGAAGAGGAGAAAAACAGTTCTGATATATAGCTCAACTTTCAATTATTTACATACTGACCCAAAAGAAACTATTCTAATCCCGAAATGAATTAAAGTTTGGGTGTTTTTCCCCACCTCATTAATGGGAACAATGGCTCTACAGCTAGAATCTAGAGCTAGAAAATTTGCTATAAGAAATAAAAGCCACATTCTTTAACCATAGCTGAATTTCAGTCAGTACATTTGACTCTACTGTAGATGACAGTCAATGCAAGTATGCCAGACTTCCAGTATAAGATAGAAATTTCAGTCCATTTATTTCACTCTCCTTGCTCCCAAATTCACTTAGAAGCAAGAAACAATAGAAAACTCATGGAGAAATGCCATCAATTTAGGGAATTTCTGTAAGACAGTACACAAGATCCATATTATTCATGAGTTTACACACTCTGGAATGTGAGAAGAGTTTAATAGTAAGAAACCTATTAATATAACTCATTAAAGTAATAGACCAAGGGAAAAGAAAAACACATAATCCTTTCTAAGAATGTCTAAAATGCATGTGAAAACACTTAACACTGAATCCTGATTTTTAAGATTTAATAAAACGGGACCAAAAGTCATATCTTTCTCAAATAGCCAATGTCTTGCTTAGTGATCAAAGATGGAAGACATTCTCATTAAAGCCGGGAGCAGCAGAAAAATACCCACTACCACCACCCTCAGTTGCCAATGTGTTTAAAGTGCTAGCTAATAAATCCCATAAAGGAGAATCATAAATATTGAAAATGATGAGGCAAGTCTATCACTATAGGAAGACCACAGGATTCTCTACTTGAAAAACCTCCCAAAAAGAAAGCAAAAAAAAAAAAAAAGAAAGAAATAGAGTTTTTTTTTTTAAGTTAAGTAACTGGGTTGATTACAAATCAAGGTTTTCCTATATACCAACAATTTGAAATATAATTGCTACACACACACACACAACTTAAAAACTAGGCATGAAGAAGCTTTCTTAGGTTTTGTATGCTTGTTTGTTTAGAAAGGTAGAGGGACTATATAAAGAAATGAACTACAAAACTTCATTGAAGTACATAAAAGGAGACTTTTTTTAAAAAACATGTTTCTAAAGAGGAAAGCATGTGCAATTCCAATTACATGCAGTTCCGATCTGAATTATTTACCTAATTATTTATATAAAGTTTTGTTATCGTCACTTTCACACATACATGCAAGCAGAGTAAATAGGATCATGAGTCCCACATTCCCATCACACAGCTACAACAATATCAACATTTTTCCAAACTTGCTTTATTTACCCCCAATTGCAATTCCCCCTTGTCTCCCATTGCTTGTGTATTTTAAGACCTCATATAAATAAATGTAAATATATCCAGAACATTTCTGAAAGACAATATTAACAAAGGAGTAATTTCTGTAATAATTATAATAATTGATACTGGCACCAGACTAGAAGAGAATCCAATAGAACTGAACAGAAACACCAAAGAGATACAACTATACATAAGAATTTGATATTTGACAGAGTTAACATTTTTTATCAGCATATGGAACACAGGATAATCAATTATACTGGGACAACTTGATAATCATTTGGGAAAATAAGCCTTAAGACTTATATTATGCCAGAATAAAGTCCAGATGAATTCAAACTTTAAATATGAAAAAGGAAGCTATGGAAATACTCAAAGAAAATATATGTGAACGTTTTATTTCTCTAAGGGTGAGGAAGATCTTTCTGAGCACTATATATGCCAGATGCTTTTCTAAGTGCATAAACTATGAATAAAATGATTTCATTAATTTTATTTATCTATTTATTTGTTTTTGAGACAGGGTTTGGCTCTGTCACCCAGACTGGAGTGCAGTGGTGCAATCAAACCTGTTGCCTGGGCTCAAGTGATCCTCCCACCTCAGCCTCCCTAGTAGCTGGGACTACAGGTGCAGGCCACCATACTGGGCTAATTTTTTTAAAAAAATTTTGTAAAGATAGAGTTTCCTCATGGATCCCAGGCTAGTCACAAATTTCTGGGCTCAAGTAATCTGCCTGCCTTGGCCTCCCAAAGTACTGGGATTACAGGTGTGAGTCACCATCCCCAGCCTGTGATTTAATCAATTTTAAAACAAAAACTTCTATATATCAAAAAATTTTAATATACAATACAACCTGGGAAAATATTACATATTACATATTTTATAGTTAAAGAGGTACAACATGGAGAACTCTTAAAAATCAGTAAGGAAAATAAATATGTCCCAGTAGAGAGAGAGAAAATAATCATGAATTTACAAAAAAGGATAAATTAAAAATTTTAAATTAATGATATGGAAAAATCAACCATGCGAGAAAACAAATGAATAAAAAATAAAATAAGGAGATGCCTATTTTGTCTATCAGATGGTACATGAAAAGAAAAAAAAATACAGTTTTGAGGCACTCATTTATTGCCAGAGGGAGTATAGTCAGCATGCTATTTCTAGATATTTGATGTATTTGGCAAATACATCAAAAGCCTGATAAACACACATGCCCCTTGAATCAGTATGAAAAAAAGACACATGGATGTGCAAAGATGACAGTCAAAGCCTTGTTCATAATAATAAAAACAATGTGAATAATTTTTTGAGACAGAGTTTCACTCTTGTTGCCCAGGCTGGAGTGCAGTGGCGCAATCTTGGCTCACCGCAACTTCTGCCTCCCAGGTTCAAGTGATTCTTCTGCCTAGCCTGCTGAGTAGCTGGGATTACAGGCACCCACCACTACGCTCGACTAATTTTTATATTTTTAGTAGAGACGGGTTTCATCATGTTGGCCAGGCTGGTCTCGAACTCCTGATCTCAGGTGATCTACCCGCCTCCACCTCCCAAAGTGCAGGGATTACAGGCATGAGCCACCATGCCCGGCCTAGTGAATAAATTAAATACTTAACAATAGCAGATTACCTAAATTAGTATCGCTATAAAAATGCAATGGAATGAGGCTACTACAGATGATAATGTATATGAATATACAGGTGTTTATTGTAATAAATAGCTGACTGAGGAGCACAGATTACAAAACTGTATGTAGAGTGTGATCCCATTTCTGTACTATGCCTCAACATCTATGGAAAATAATCTGGAAGGATATACCTCAAAATTTGATACTATTTAGTACTGGAATTATGGGTGGCTTTTCTCCTTTAATTTCTGTGCCTAATGTAATCTAATTTTTCTACAGCGAACACGTGGGCTATTTCTATCAAATATGTTTTTAAGTACAGAAAAAGTATATACAGTAATAGCTTTAAATGTAATTCGTAGCTAAAGATCCAAAAAAGTTGTAGGTGGAAAGAATGATCATGAAATTTTATAGTCAGAATTGTGTTGATGCTTCTCATATGAAAGATGGTGCAGGTATCCATGCCTTAACTGGAGATAGGATGTAATATTTATGCCCTAGCCACCATCCTATGCAAGGTAGGCTTTGAAATTCAAGCATAATTATAGAAATTCAAACTTAGAATCATTTCAGTCAGTTCTGAGTACTAACAAAGTTAATGAACACAAAAAATCTTGAAAGCAAAAGATTAACATGTTTATAAAAATGAATAATTTTTAAATTTGCCAATTATTGTTCCTGAAGTGAGCATTAGTTTACATCTTTAAGATGCAAAGTTTCATTGATTGAATTAACTGTATACAAAAGCACTTGCCAGCACATTTTTCTGTAAATTAAAAGAAGAAAGCACCACATTGTTTAAGGGTAAGCAGGCAGGAAACAGCCAGGTGCTGTCTCACCTCTCACTATAGCCTGTGGTGTCTTTTATCTGTCTGTCTGTCTATCTATCTATCTAGCTAGCTAGCTATCTCTCTATCTCTCTGTCATCTATCTAATCTATATCTCTCTATCTCTCTGTCATCTATCTATCTATCTGTCTCTATCTGTCATCTATCTATCTATCTATCTATTCTTCTTTTCACAAGGGTTGAAACCTGTGGCTTCCCTAATTATCTCAAGCTTAGCCCAGACTTGTGCCCTGGAATAATCCTATTTCCAATCGGAAGTAACTGAAAGAGCTCTATACGAATGGGCATTTAGAGAATGAAAGCAAGCAGATATTTGTTGAGTGGCAGCTTCTTGCCAGATGAAGTCTAATTAGCTTGTATCTATTATTTCACTTAGTTCTTCAAAATCAATGGGCTGGATGGCATTTCCCGCATTCTACATATGATATAGCAAATCTAAGATAATCACATGATTTTCCCAAAATGTCAGAAATAACAAGTGGTAGAGGTGAGATCCAAATCCTTATCTCTCTAGCTCAAAGCTTTTGCCCTTTCCAATAAACTGTAAAGACTCAATTTATTTTGTATCACCTTTTAGTACTTGAAGGTGGGATAGCCTGGAGGATAAACACACAGACTTTTTAACCCAGAATGCTTGGATTAAGATGTCTATTCTACCACTAATTAGATGTGTAGCTCTGCAATGCTATTCCACCTTACTGGGACTCAGTTTACTCCCCCATAAGGTGGGGATGATAGCAGTACCAGCCTTTAAGGATTGATAGAGTTAAAATGTGTGAAGGACCTGGGACATTTTCTGACATATAGTAAGCATCAATAAGTGTTAGCTATCTTTATTATTATTATCTGTGGGGATTATTATTATTTTTGTAGCCACGTGTGCCCCGTTTTCAGCAGCTGGTCCTTATCATACTCCCCCACCTTCCTTGTCTTCCAGGTTTCTGCCTGAGAGCTCCTTTAAGCCTGCAACTCTGATCCCCAGCTCAAAGGCTAGGTCCGCTGTCAGCTGCCAGGCCTACTTGAGCCCAGCTTCATGACCCACTGCCTGGAGCACCACAAACTGGCCACACTCAGGCTCTGTCTTCCTGTGATGGGCCGGCCCATGGGGTGCCACCTGTGAGACTTTGCAGGACTTTGCCCAGTGACAGCTGGCTTAGATGTGCAACTTTGCACTTAGCACTCCTCTTTCAGTACATTGCACTCTGCTTGCAAACTGGCAAAACATCCTTTTGTCTCTACCAGTGGGACCTGCCCCTACCCTTGGAGCAGATCTTGTTTTCAAATTCTGATACCACAAAATCTAAAAATGCACCCAGCCTGATCCACCTATTATCCACTGAACTGAAGCCAGCATTCAAAGGGACACTAAAGAGAAAGCTTCTAAAGATAGAGAATGTGGATCCTCCCCAACCTTCAGAACACTCCAAAAACTTTCCTGAAAAGGCAATAGGGTGGGGCATGGTGGCTCACGCCTGTAATCTCAGCACTTTGGGAGGCCAAGGCGGGTGGATCACCTGAGGTCATGAGTTTGAGACCAACCTGACCAATATGGTGAAACCCCGTCTCTACTAAAAGTACAAAAAAAAAAAAATTAGCCAGGCGTGGTGATGTGTGCCTGTAGTACTCGGGAGGCTGAGACAGGAGAGTTGTTCAAACCTGGGAGGCGGGGGTTGCAGTGAGCGGAGATCACCCCACTGCACTCCAACCTGGGCAGCAAATTGAGACCCTATCTCAAGGAATAAAACAAAAAAAGAAAAGGCAATAAATATGCATGACAGGGAAAAATCATAAATGTACTTCATTTTGAAAATTGGACAAACTGCACAGTATTCAACTAATGTCATTAAGTGAGGTATCTCCAGACATGGTACAGTTCCACACAAAGAAATTCTATCCCAGTGTTTCTTGAAAAAATGCTGACTTCTGCATCCTGACCCTCTCAGCTTCTTTTCTTGCCACCAAAACACATTCACTGGCACTTTGACTTATCTCATCCAAAAGACGGACTTGCAATGTAACCCCTGATTTGAAGTCACCTGTAGATCATCCCTAGCTTTTGCCACCTTTAATCTGATGTTAAAAAATGCTTAACACTGTCTCAGAAATTCAAAGCCTTCCCGATTACCTTTATTGCTACAGGCATATCCTCAAGGAAACAGCACAGGGCTAAAGAGAAAAATATACATACTCTAAGGCTTCAAAGGACAGATTTCCCAACCTTTTCTAGTGCTCTAGAAATGGAATGATGAATTATTTGGCCTTGCAATATACCCAAAATTTCCCATGCTTTGTTTTGAAATTTCTAAATATTTGCATTTTCATTTTGCTTTTTGAAGATGCATACTTTGTACTTATACTACACCTTTCATCTAAAGTTCTCAAAAGTGTTCATGCAAACATTTCACAATGTGGAAGTTTGGTGTTCAAATTTCAAATATAACAGAAGCAAAATCTTCCAGTGACTTTCTGAAAATATGTGTGCTCATAAAATGCATAAAACTAATATCAGATTGGAAGGATCTGCTGCTGGATAAACCACATTTTACTATCTATCCTAAAATGATGTCATTGTTTCTATTAATAGCAGGACTCATACCTATACAGGATGAAAAGCCAAGTATTTGTAGGGCATCTCTTAATAAAACAACCTCTACTCTACAAAGTATAGGCGGGAAAGTATAAGACATAAATCTCTTTAAGCACTTACAATCTTGTTTAGAGAGCAAGGCTAACACTAGAAACAATTATAGAATGCTACAGTCTGTAATTAAATAAGGATTAATAAATTGTGTGGTACACCTGATAAGTTCAAAAGTAATTAAGAAAAGAAAAATGAGAGAGATTATTTGTTGTAGGCTAGGGACATGAAAACAAAGTGTGTAATTTACAGGTGGATCTTACAGATAGGTCCATAAGGTGTATGGATAAGCAGGAAAAAAAGAATGACATTCATGCCTGAAAGGAACATCAGAGAAGAAATAAGAAGTCCCTGAAGCAGGGCAGACTAGTAAACGGGTGCCTAACGCAGGAGGGGTGGCTAATAAGGAGGAAGGAAGAAAAGAAGAAGAGAAACTTCTTGACTAGAGCAGAGGATTTGTTACAGGCAGCTGAGGTAAATAACCTAAGATGGTTAAGGGGAAATGAGACTATATGAGGCTTTGAGTGCCTTGCTTGGCACTTGAGTGCCTTAGCTTGGATTTGATCCAGTAGGAAACCAATGCAGACTCTTAGCAGGAGAATGGCATGGCAGGGCCCTACTTTAAGACGAATATTCAGCTAACAGAGGATGAATAACATGGAGGGTAGTCTAATCATTTATTTGTTGTTTTCTAACAGAAGTCCTTATTTTACAGCATAACTTGAAAAGATCATAACCTTCTCTCATAATTTGTGAAACCTTGAGTAATTAAAAAGATGTTCAGAATTTCAGTTCAAATAGGAATAATGTATTTTTACACTGTTTTTATAAGAATTAAAATAGATCATATATAAGAAGTGATTGAGATATAGTAAACATTCTCTCCCCAATAAACTCCTTCAATATTCTAAAAATATTCAGTGATGAGGTATAAATGAGATTCTGAGATTTAGACAGAGCTGTTACATGAAGTGTTCAGAAAGTTATAGAACAATCACATTTAGTATTGAATCAATCAATGGTCTGCTCTTATTTCAGTGTGATCGACATAGACCTAGGACTCTTACTCATTCCAAATGACTTCATTAATAAGTCAGTATACTGAATTTTGACCCAAACTTAAATGGGGCAAGTCATTATAGCATTTCTGCTGCTGTGGGTATAAACCAGATTAAGAAATAAATGTATCGGGCTTCTAACTGTTCATTTGTTCTTTCAGATACTTATTAAGCACCTATTAAGTGACAGGCATTGTTCCATGCATGCAAAATACAGCAGTGAACAAAAAGAAAAACCTCTATATTCATTTACCTTATATTCTACAGAGGGAGGACAGATACTAAGTTAATAAGTAAATATAAGTAAAATGTGTAAGTGATTAGTGAGTAAAATACATTCTGTGAGATGGTGATATGTGCAAAGACAAAAATAGAGTGTATTAGCAGTAGGGATTGCAATTTTAGATAGCATGCCCAGAAAGAGATTCTTTGAAAAGACGACATTTGAGTAACAGCTTAATGGAGGGGCAGGAGTGAAGCCTGTAAGTGTCTGGAAGTACCTTGGTGTGTCTGAAGCACAGCTGGGGCCAAGTGAGCAGGGAAGAGAGGAGTAGAGAAGAGTTCAGAGATATCACAGGGTGTATGTAGGGTTGAACTGTGTAGTTACGGTCTTGTAAGTTTTGGCTACAGCAAATCTATGGGTGCACAGCCCCTTAAAAAGAAAGCCAAAGAGAATAGCAGGACAATGGCTCCCCCTTAGAGGTGTCATGAAAAAGGCAGAAAAGGGCACCAAGCTCCAACCTGGCAGCACCAGGTATGCTTTCCCGCCAGTGCTGCCAGATTTTAAATGGCTTCCCCCAGCACCCAGCCTCAGAATCCTGTCTCCCATTGTATTCTTATAAGCAGCAACAATGATCAGTATAACAAAGTAAAAATATAGTCACTGTGGTATTAAACATCATTAATGCATCAAAGTGCAGTCTATCTGTGGACTAGCAATGGCACCAGGCTGCCCTTTGAGAACCGTTATCCTAGACCTGACGGGACACTATCCAGCATGCAGAAGTTGCCAACAAGGGCAAGGGATGCCAGCAAGTGCAGGAGGTGCCGGCAAGACAGATGGGATCTACAGGAAACCTGCCTCACTTGGGTTAGGCAGCCAGTGACAAGCATGAAAAGGTGAAGGAAAAAGCAACTCAAAGCTGATAAATTAAAACCAGATTTCTGAGATCTTTGCCTTTCTATCAACTGATTTAAAGCCAGGCTGCCTGGACTCTTATTTTCACTGAGCTGGAAGAGAAATCTGTGCTGGAAACCTCTATGTACAGTCAAATAACATTGCCAGCAAGCCCTTAGAAATCCTGCTTGTCCCCAAGGAAAGTATTTTTTCTTTTTTTCTTTTTTTTTTTTTTTTTTTTTTAGTGTTAATGAGCAGGTCGCCTGGGTTGCTCCCTGTATAGCACTAGAACCCTTATACTTTAGGAAATTAATCAGGAAATTCCTAATGATACGTAGCTTCCCGTTTTCCAGAGACAAAGAAAATTATGCTGTTGAAATGTTAAAAACATTGCTATGTCATTCTTTTCTCTCTGGATAACAATGGAGATTTTGGAAAAGCTTCCTGTTGGCAATTCTGCCATTCATCTAAAAAACAAACACACTAGAATTTTAGCAACACTTCAATCCAGCAAAGGGCCTATTGTTGTATGGCATTAAATAAAATAGAGGAAGAATCAATAATGATAATGTCACAGGATGGTAAAATGTCATCATTATCTTATGGCAATTTTTGCAACATCATTCTAGTGTGGGATTTTTTTCCTAGTTTGGGCATAGTATTCATCTTCTGAGATAAGGTTAAGAAGTTATTACACTTACGCTGGCAGAGAGATGAGAAAGAGAGCCGGAGGGAGGAGAGTGGGAGGAGAGGAAAAGAGGGAGAAAGAGGGAGGGGGAGAAAAGGAGGGAGAGGGAAGGAGGGAGACAGAAAGATCATGAAGGCAAGTATAAAATGGTTGTGTTTTTTAATTATCTTGAACCTAATGAAGTGTTTGCTTTAAGTTGGGAAATTCTCTGCAATAATTATCTTAGTTGAGAATTTAATAAAAGCTACCATCAGAAACCTTGCTAAGTAAGTAAATTACTTATTTTTAAGTAATTACTTTTCTATTTATGCAGCTATAAGGCAAAATACATTGAAAAGAAAGGAAAATACACAGCAGCTCAGTCTTATTTCCCTCAATGTGAATTGAAAGCACAAATTTTGAGATCCATACTAACTTAGAATCTACAAATGTCAATGTAGATTCTAAATTGGGAAAAAAATAATACTGCCAGTTTCCTTAACTACTTAACAAATGTACTAAATCTAATATATTAACTCAAAATAAAAGCAAAGCTTTAGTAAAACTGCTATTTGTGACAATTTTTAGTAATTGTCCAGGTTTTTAAAAAATCCATTAATGTTGGCAAAGATAAACTGAGAATTGAAAAAATTATATATAAATCCTCAAGCTTTTGATTTTTTGATTTACCTCAAAAAAGAGATGTCTCATTTGTTTTTTTTTTAAAAAAACAACTTTTAAAACCACATGCTAAAATAAAGAAAGCAGCCTCATTAAATTATAAAATCAAATTTAACTTTTGAAACAGCAAAGTAATCAATACATAGATGCATTCAATCCTTAAAACAAGGAAAATAAAGCTGCATTCCACCAGGAAGCGAATTAAATTATTCCAGACCAACTCCTTGCTTATTTAGCAAAAGATAGTAAAGGCTTTCCCAAAAAGGAAACAAAAATATCTCTGAAGTAAAAAAGGATACACCCCCCTCCCCAATTTTTTTAACCTGGAAGCTCTTTGATGTCTAAGAAACCATGTTAATTAACTGTTTTAAAACCTATTTCAAACCTCACTGTTTATGTAAATACTCATGGCACGGTATTATTTTTATAGGGTTTCCTAATTTTTTTTTTTTTTTCAGAAATATTAGATTACAGCCCAGGTAGTTCTGGTAGGCTACAATGTAGGGGAAGATGACCAGGTGGCCTCAGGGACCAAGAACAGTTTCACTTTGGTGCTTCTATTTCTAACAGCTGCGTTTCCATCCTAATGGTGGATGCTCTTTTATGGCAGGCCAGGCCACTGCAAATGGCCCAAGCTGAGAAGCGGCACAGCCACAGCTGGCGGGGGCGGAGAGCCTGGCGCTGAGCCTGCATGGGACTGGGGCGGACTGAGGGGCGCGACAGGAGCCGGCCAAGCCCCTCAGCCGCTTTCTCTCCACCTGGGCGCTGGAATCATTGAGCCCTGTCACTCTGCTGAAATGACAGAGGTGTCCTCCGAGCTCGGTGACGCTCAGTAGACCAAGAACGAAACCGTCATTCCGGAAACACAGCTCCTAATACATTTCTCTGCACCCAGGGACCCTCACATTAGCTCGTAGATGCCATTTCTGTCCCTGGAGGTTGAAGGAGTTTGTGTGGACTTTAACCAGTTCCCAGGAGGCGGAAAGAAAACGGGTCAAGCAACATCCATTTTGCAGATTGGGGAGCTAATGTACAGAGCAACCCTTCACAGGGCACTGGGGACGGGTCCAGATCCCATTTCATATGGCACAGGTCTCTAAGCTGTCCTCAAGAGAAAGCTACTTGCTTTAAGAATCTTGGGGGGGTGGGGTAGGGAATATATATATGTATATACAAATATATATATAGATATATATGTATAATGTATATATACAAATGTTTATTTGTATATATGTTTTATATATTGTGTTTATTACGCGTTTTATTTGTATATTTTTATTTATATTATATGAATAACATTTTTATATATTTTTTCTCATTTAATGTTTCCATATTTGTTGTCTATGCATCATATGCATATTAAAAATGAAAAACAGAAAAGAGAGAACTAGAAAAAAATTAAAAGAAGATGTTACTTGTGAAACTGTGTGTGCTTCCCTACCCCTACCCTCATTTTCGTGGTTTATTTTGGTTTTTAAATTAGCTATTTGGGTGGTAGCAAATCACCCACCTGAAGGTACAGTATTTACTGGTACTCTATATACTGAATGAAAATGTCTTAAAATATTTCCTGAGCATGTCTTTATGTAAGAACACCTGAAATTGTGCATAGGCTACTTTTTGAATCCATGATTAACTTAATTTCAAGGCAAGAAATCTGTGTTTTGGAGGCTTCAGAGTGACTGAAAGAGGCTCATAAATCTAGAAGCTCCCCAAGCATTACTTGCAAAAGGAAGATATCGTTGCATATATATGTAATTTTTAAATGTACATAGCAGCTGTTATCATGAATTTTAGAAATTTATTTTAAGTGTCACTAAATTCATAGTAGCTCTTTGTCATTATATATATATTTTTTTTCTCAAGTAACACATTCTAAATATGTAATTATTCTTATGTGGAACTGTCACAGACTGGTAAATTTGCCTGCTTAGCATCCATTTTCTATTTTCTCTTTTTATAATAGAAAAATCATAACTTTCTGTGATTCTCATGGAAAAATCCTTTCCATGTTTTGGGTGTGACTGACAAGATTCCCTCCACCAGCAGGATGGGCATGTAACCCAGATTTAGCCAATTGGAGCACTCTATGCTTACAGCCTGCAAGTGATTGGTGCAGTGAAAGGCACCTGACCTAAGCCAGGCCAATCAATCTCTTCCCTAAGATTTGACCTGGGGATACTAGAAGAGAGAAAGTTCTCTTCTTTTGGGATCAGAAGTTGTAAGCAATATGTAGGTCTGGTTTCCAGAGTTCAGTTTTTCCTAGTTTCATGGAAAAAGCCTGCCTAACAATGACGCCAATACAGAGGGCAGACAAGCAAAGCAAAAGAGGGAGAGAGAAAGGTTTAACCCGATTGCACCACTTAAGCAGCTAATGCTAGATCTGTCCCCACTGCACTTAAAGTTGTATGTGTCAATAAATTCATTTTTTGCATAAATGACTTTAAGTTGATTTTCTGTAACAAAGTCTTGCCTAATACTAGGGGTACACAGAATTTTTGTTACTGAAAAGATGTCATACTACAAAAATTGATAACTGCTGCACTACAGCATTTTCCCATTATTATCCACTTCCTTCTTCCTAAACTTTTGTTCTTCTTTGGTTGCCATAATGCTACATTTTCCTGCGTTCTTCCCTTGACCCCGTGACCATTCATCCTTAGTCTCCTCAATTGTCCCTTGAATGTTCATGTTCTCAGGTGCTTCTCTTCTCTATAGATTTCCTTATCCATGTCATCCATCTTTTGTCTAGTATATATGATGAATTGGTCCTCAACATTAATTTCTCCCTTCTTCCAGAGAGCTCACCTGTATTGTGGAGTCTGGAAAGGCAAAAACTACAATTATCAGACTACTTTGCGATAAGAGTTTCAAATACATATTAGATTCCACCAGTTTCATGTGCTCTAGTGAGACAGCTGGCAGACAGAAGCGAAGCAGGGGCTATTTTCCTATTGCTTTGGTTATTGTTGCTGGCAAATAGGGGTGTGGAAATATTAGGTTTGGGGCAGCAATGGCCCTGTGTGGAGTCACTGACACCATGGTGTCTGAAGAATTGTAGCAGCCATGTTGGTGGCAGCCTCCTGTTCCCAGGATTTCCATCATACTATACGTTCTTGAACTCCAAAGGTTCACGGGCAGCCTTCTGGGATGATTCTCTTGAGACCAGTCGGATGGTCTTGTTCTGGGAGTCATTTCTGGAAGCCTACCTCTTCTCCCCTCCCGATTCTTTTCGCAATTCTCTGTAAAAGCTAGGAAAGTTTGCCATTCCATTTCTTCAAAATTCTCTTCCCCCGTTGACAACAGAATAAATTTTTTTTAAACTTTTTTTATAGTCAATAAGGCCAGGCATTATGGAGCCACTGCTTCCAAGAGTAGCCTTGGCTGCTGCGTTTCTGCTACACCTTTACACAATGACAAGCCAGTCTTCCTTTATGCCTCTGTCATTGGCACCTGTCCTCCATTTTCCTAGACCTCCCTCTGGCCCTCAATTGCCCTGTAAATCTATGCAGCCTTCTCAGACTCGTCCAGCGAGATTAGGTGTCTGTAGGCACCATAGGACTTTATGCTGAATGCTTTTAGAATAATCATCTTAATGTATTATAATTTTGTTTTAATGTTTCTTTCACTATAATTGAAATTAATTGAGGTCATGGGAAGTGAATTTTTCTTGGTTTCCCCTGAGCCTATCATAGTACATGATACTTAAATGAACAAGGTGGGAATTAAACCTTCCCTCAATTTACGAACCATTGCAGACGCTCAACTTCCATATCATCTCCTTGAGAGAGATGCTAAGATCACAAATAAAATGTTTTCTCTTTGAGAAGAGAGTACATACATATGAAAACTTTATTAGTATCACTTCTCATGTAGCCTCCAGAAAGTTTTCTACCACCAGGCACCATTCTAAATCATTTAAAGCCAAGGAAACGTCAACGGTGTCCTGAAATACACACAAACTCAATTCTGCTCATGACCTAGTCCACTTTTCTATTTTCTCCAGCAAATTCATAGAAAGGAGACAGGATACTTTGACAATCTTTCTCTTGTGTTATCTTCAATACTTTCTAGTTTGTGTGTTTACATAACTTATAGAATATTTTTTAAACTTGATTTAAATGAAGATGCCCCATGTTTGTTACCTACGAGTAAGGTGGTGAACACAGGCACTGTTAATGAACTTAATAAAAATGAATTTAGTATAACTACTAGATACCAATTTAATAATATTATTTATCTTAATACTTGAAGAAGAATTAAAGATTACTTGTTAGGGCAGAATTAGAAACTGCAAAGTATGAAATAGTGATGTTAGCAGGCATACCACACTATCATGACATATTATGGACAAGTATTTTAACCATGGTGCATGGTCCTTCAGAAACTGAACAGAGGACAGAGGCCCTTATTGATTCTTAATACTTACTTAGAATAGAGAAAATACCATACTCCAAACAGGAGTTTGTCCTAAAAGGAGACATTTAAACCTAAAGTGTTCAAGGAAGAAAGAAAGCTTCTAAAGTGGAATCTCTGTGCCCCAGAAGTCCTTGAGCCACTCAATACTTAAAGTTCCATCATCTGAAATGTAACAGGTGAAGAAAAATATCACCTGATACAGTTATTATTGCAGAATCTGTATTCTTCCTCTCTCCCATGCTACTCTCAGAATCATCTCTTGTATGTCAGTACTGATGCAACGTTGCTACCAAAAAAATTCTTGCTCCCAGATTTTAATTTATGAGGTAGGCTAACTGAAATTATTGGCCATGACTGATAGAAAGAGAGCAGTATGATTCACTCCTCTGTAGCGATTTCTATGATTCATTTGGCGACCAAATCTGGAACTGACAGAATTTAGAATCAGACCTTTTTAATCCCAATTGGAAATACTACTTAAAGACATTTGGTATCTGGTATATACACAACAAGAACACGTAAATAAAAGAAAAATCAACCAACCACAAAATCTGATTAGGCTGAACAGATAAAAAAACTGTAGAGCAGAGGTTAAGGCTACTTGCAATGGGATAAAAAACTATCCTTGTGTTTTAAAAAATGCTACTTATGAGGATTTTTTTCCCTTCTGCAAGATGCATGGCCTCCAAGAAATTAATCTGATATATGAATCTATCTCTTACCCCAACCCTCAAGCAAATCAAAATTGCAAAATTAATTGAGGAGCAAATATTTTCATTTTTATAATAAAGGCTCTTTATTTTCCAAAGAAAATACAGTTTCTTTTAATTGAAAGTTTCCCTAATGAGACAAAATATGATGTATAAAGGACTTATTCATGTTAATATGTTTAGGGACGTATCTTTTATCTACTTCTTAAAGTGTGATCCCTGGACAAGCAACAGCAGCATCACTAGGAGCTTGTTAAATGTTGGGGCCCTATCCCAGACCTATGTTATCATAAACTCTGAGAGATTTGGCCCAGCAATCTATATCTTAACCAGCCGTCCAGATGATTTGTACACATGTTAAAGTTTGAGAATCACATATCCCAATATAAATAAGATAGAAATAAGAATTGAATAGAGTTCCCTAAGAAGTGCTTATTGCTACAGAGTTAATACTAGAAGTAGCAATTATTCAAAAGCAACTATGTTGTTTATCTGTCACAGTTATCAATTATCTAAATGCTGTTGTAGCCATAAGAATTTTATACTCATGTTGGAGAAACTTAGGAAGGAAAGGGAATTAAACATGAATTACTAACACAAGATCTTTTAAGGGTGATAATTTGGGAGATTCTGGGGCCCCTATTTTACCAACAGGAGCATCTCCTTGGAACCAGTAAGAGAAAATCAGATAGCGCTTTATTCTGATGGATGTAATATAGGGATCCACCTTTGGCCTTAAAACCCCATGAAAGTGACTTCCAAGTAAGAGTCTGGAATTGCATCTTGTATTTCTATTTTGCTTAGGCCTGCAGTGATCCTCTATAGAGCCCCAGTTCTGAGAGCCAGAGACTTTCAACAACCAGCTCACATGAGTCAAGCATTTTTATTTCCTTTGTAATAGACATCTATTATTTGTGTCTGCCCAGCACCTTATTTCCCTTCTCTTGGTAGTGGCATACCTACTTCTTTGAGGAAATTGCTTCCTTCTTTATTTCAACCTGTGATTACATACTTTAAATGTAAATGGATTAAATTTTCCAATCAAATGACAAATTGGCAGCATAGATTAAAAAACAGAATCCAACAATACGCTATCTACAAGAAACTCACTTTAGATCCAAAGACACAGATAGATTAAAAATAAAACGATGAAACAAATATTCCATGTAAAGAGTTAACCAAAAGAGAGCAGGAGTGGTTATGCTAATATAAGACAAAATAAACTTTAAATCAAAAAAACTGCAAGAGACAAAGAAAGACATATTACATATTAGTAACAGTTTCAGTACATCAAGAAATATAACCATTTTAAACATTTATGCCACCAATAGGACAATAAAAATATGAAGCAAAAACTGACAGAACTGAGAAGAAAAATAGACAGTTCTATAATAATAGTTGGATACTTTAATACTCTGCTTTCATTAATGGATAGAACAATCAGACAGAAAATCAAGTAAGAAAATGAAAGACAACACAATAACCAATTTGATCTAATAGACAGGTATGGAACACTACCCAACAATAACATCATATACATTCTTCTCAATGCACATGGGACATTTTTCAGGATAGACAAACATGGTAAGCCAGAATTTAAGTCACAGTATGTTATATACATACAATGGAATATTATTCAGCCTTAAAAAGGAAGGAAATTCTAACATATTCTACAGCATGGATAAATCTTGAGGACATTATACCAAGTGCACAGAAGACAAATATTGTATAATTCCTCTTATATTACATACTTAGAGTAGTCAAAATCATAGGGACAGAAAATTGGCAGGGGGTTGCCAGACAATGGGGACAAGGAGGAATGGGGAGTTGTTGTTTAATGAATACAGAGTTTTGGTTTTATAAAATAAAAAGAGTTCTGGAGATGGGTAATGATTATGGTTTTACAACATTATGAATGTTTTTATTAACACTAAACTTTATACTTAAAAATGGCCAAGATGGTAAATTTTATGTATGTGAATATTACAATTTTTTTAATGGGGAAAGAAACAAACCTAGCATCTGTCAATTTGAATGCATTTTGTGGTGACTGGATTTTCAAATCACATAGTAAAACACAACGCAAAAAGCATGAACAATCACAGAAAATAGTGATAAATTAGACTTCCTTAAAATTAATAACTTATGTTCATCAAAATAAATTATTAATAAAAAACTAGCAGGACACAGACTGGAATCAGATACTTGTTAATTTGATTTTTTTACATATTTATCAGAATACATAAAGAACAAATCAAAAACAAAAAAAGACAATTAAAGGAAAATAGCTAAAAAATTTGAATAGTATTTCATATAACAGGTTCCCAGAAGGCCAGTAAGCATATGAAAAGGCATAGGATATTATTATTAATTAGAGAAATAAAATTTAAAACCACAGTGAGATACTACCACACATCCACCAGAATCATTAAAATGAAAAACACTGACAATATCACATATGGGCACAAATGCAGAGGAACTAGGGCTCTCATACATCACTGGTAGAAATAGAAGTTAGTACTATCACTTTGTAAAATCCTTTGGCAGCATTTACTAAAGCTGAATTATGTCTACCCTACAAACCAGCCATGTTAACTCTAGCTATGTCAACTAAAAAATGAATGAGTAGATGTATTCATCAAAAATCACAACAGACATTCATAACTGAAAAATGAAAATAAAGATCTATCAAGAGTAAAATGAAATCTCCATAGAGTATTACATCACAGTAAAAATGAAGCTAATGATTATTTATTATACCATAGGCAAGAATACACATGAATCTCACAAACACAATATTGAGCAAAAGAAAGCAAATATAAGGTATCATTCCATTTCTATGAAGAACAAGAACAGGCAAAATCAAGTTATGGTGCTTGAAGTCAAAATGGTGGTAACTTCTAAATGGAGGAAAATTAACTGGGAAGGGATGAGAAGAGATTTTTTAAATCTTGCTTTATATCTTGGTTCAAGTGGTAGTTATACTAGTGTACACATATGTAAAAATTCATTGGGTTGTATACTTAAGATCAATATACTTTCCTATCTGTGTATTATACCTCACTTAAGGAAAAAAAAGAATAAATTTTAAAAATGCCACACAGATGTCCTAATTCCCCATGTTTTTATGAGGATTCAAAAGTGTAAGAGCCCAGAAGAGAATGGAATTGAGAATCATTTCAAATGGAAAGTCTGTGATATGACTGTGAAGTCCACATTTCTTCCTAGATAAGTTGAGCAACAAAAGAGTCTAAAAAATATTGAACTATTTTAGGGTTGTTTGGGGACAAGATGTGACAAACTGATGAGCAGAAATGATTTACATATGTTAAAATCATCTTTCTTGATCCACAAGATCACACCAAAATGCATTTACATGCTCCTTGAAAATCAGGGAAAATAAAACTCATTCAGTGCCACAAACCCTCTCTATGAACCATGTATACTGGTGAATTCTGTCTTGAGAAGTATTGTGTTATTAAATTACTATTTAATTTTATAAACATATCCACCTCTTCTAAAAGCACCCTCAAATAATTATATTTTCTCTGTATTTTCAAATTACCTTCGAAAAACCCATACATGACACAGCATTAATAAAATAGCATATACAGCAGCCTTATTATTTCTAGCTAATCATTAAAGTACAATAAACTTGACAAAAAGCATGTCTAGGCAAATATACACACTCACAAATATTATCCAATCTCTTTCCAAAGCTCCTGCATGTTGACCTTATCAACCTAATTAGATGGTTACCCATTTCCAAAGCAAAGTTAAAAGCAGTAAACATATCCTTATGAAAAACAGGCAAAGGTTAGCTTCCTGGAGAATTGTTGTTACAATAGATGTATGACTTTTGTCAATTTGTTTTGAGAAGTGACAATTGCTACTGGAATAATCTGTTTTATGTTTGTTTCACTGACATAATCTAGTAGCTCTTGTTGAACATAACATTTTAGAACTGAAAGAGACCTTAGGAATAATGTAGTTCATTTTCCTCATTCAAGAAGTGAGAAAACTGAGCACCAGAAAGTTTTCAATACTTGCTCCACGTCAGATACGTGGGATACACCTAAGTTACCTTACAAATATAATTTAGAATCAGTCTATGAGCTATGAAGTCTACAGTAAATAACACATATCTCACAAAGAGAATTTCAGTTTACAAATTCTGAGGAAGCTACCATCTCCATTGAAATATTGGCATGGTTCTTGAGTTACGTTTTGAAATGCAAACCAGTGGTTCTAAACCTCAAAACTAATGGGCATCTAAACTAAGGCCGGGACCTTAGATATGGCAAGAAAAGGATATTTTAAAAATGAGTTCACTGCTGCAGAGCACGCAAAGTGTGGTTTGCAGATCCTTGGTCTGTGTCACTGGTCCATGATGAAATAAGATGCTTGCAGCTAAGTCAGTAAGTCCACTATTTACTTCAGCTGACCTTTCTTTCATAGAAACATTTCTTTGTGAAGGAAGCAGCATACAGATTTATGTTCTGGCACAAGCTCATCTTGTCCTAGATAACAAGGCAAAGTTTGCATATTGGCTACTTGAATGGACTAGTATAGTTCACATGTCAGAATTATCTTGATTAGGAAAGAGGAAGCTGGATTACTTATATCATATCATCAGCAATCATTGCTTCAGGCCTATGTCCTGGGGGTGTGGAGAAAAAACTCCCAGGTCTCCAGGCTTGTGGGTGGCAGTGGGGGCGGTTTGCTTGCAGCCTGTCCACAAGATCAGGTGCTAGTTGTTGGTTGGGAGTAATGCACACTGCATGAGTGCATGAAAAAGGTAAAGGACTCCAAGATGATAAGAAAGGGACACTAACCTAACAGCATTTGCTAATTTGCCCAGGAAGTATACAATTTATCCTAGAGCATTGTGTCTTGCTACATATGGTCTTCATCTCTTCTGTTTCATCTCTAATGGCAACCTATCCCATTTCACCTCACTCTATACCACTGGTTTCACATTTTGCTTACAGATTGTAATCACCTGGGGACTTTTAGAAACTACTGATGCCTGAGTTCTTCACCCAACTATCCTGATTTTATTGGTCTAGTAAGGCCTAGATATTGGAGATTTTTACATTCTCCCTCAGGTGATCCTATTGTGCAGCCAAGACTGAGAACAACTGCTCTAAGCTTTTATACTAAATGACTTACAATTCCATGAGGTTGACATGGAATGACTTTGTTTGCCATGCCATGAACATTGCAGAAAAAACCTTCCCCATCTTTGCCTTCAATTGATATTTAAAATGCTATTCATTCTTTAAGGCTCAATTCAGCCATTTTTCTCAATTACAATGGTTAATAAACACATGAACAAAGTGTTCACTATGCTTATCAAAGCATAGTGAAATACCTACTTCACTTACCTATTAAAATAAGTCCTTTAATAGACTACTGGTAAATGTGTATAATAATTTAAACCCTGTAGAAAGCAATATGAAAATGTGAAACATATTCTTTGATCTAGAACGTTTTGGAAACCCTAGCCCAAGGAAATAATCCTCAACACTAAAGATCACCCTTTATGAACAACTCCACTGCATTATTTAAATAATGAGAAACAACCTAAAGGTCTATCAGTAACAGAACGGTTACATAAATTATAAATAGTCTTACAATGGAATATAACAATTGAAAGTGATGCTTAAAAATAGTCTTTAATAATTTGGAGGACTGTTTATACTGTAAGGCCAACCACACATACACACACACATTTACACACACAAACACAATCAATTTACAAAATCTCAAATACCAAACGTTCTTATTTATTTTTTAAATGCATGAAAAAAGACTGGGAAGTACATCAAAATAAAATAAATCAACAATTATTCCAGAAGTGGAGATTATAAATATAAAAATAAGATATTATTAAAATTATCTACAATTACCATGTGTTTACTTATTTGAAAAATATATGTACCTTAGTTTCTCCTTTTAATATTTTCCCTTCTGTATTAATTTCTCTCTTATCAATTATATGGCTTATTTGTCTTTCATGTTCCTTGGATTATGCCTTGTATTTTTTATCAGGGTATAATTTACATATAATCTTCAGAACATAAGTGTACTGTTGAGTTGATTTTGATAAATTTGATGGAATATTTCCATTACCCCAAAAGTTTCCTTTTACCCACTCCCAGTAAATCTGCCTACTATCCCTGTGAGAAGCAATGACACATAGGATTTCTATCACCTACAGTTCTGCCTGTTCTAGGATTGCATACAAGTCGAATAATATGGTATATATTATCTTTTTCTTCTTTCACTCAGAATAATATTTCTGAAATTTATTAACTTTATTGCATTCATTAGTAGTTCTCTTTTATCACTGAGGCATTTCCAATGTGTGAATATACTACAGTTTGTTTATCCAGACTCCTGTGAACATCCGGGCTGTTACCTAGTTTGGCTATTATAAATAAAGCTGCTATGAACATTCTTGTACAAGGTTTTGAGGGACTTTCATTCCATTTCCCTGGGATAAATACCTGTGTGGTAGCCAGACTCCAAAAACAGCATGCAATAGTCCTTGCTTCCTTATCTCAATGCTCTTGCATAGCCACACCCTTCTCCCCGCACATACATACATCATACACTCAATAGGACTAATTTATGAAATTAATAGGATATTTCACAAAACTATGGAGTATGACTTTTGAAGTGAGGTCATAAAAGCTTCCACCTTGCTCTCTATTGAATCATTCACTCCAGGGCACGTCAGCTTCCAGGAGGACACTCACGCAGCAGTATATGGGATCCACATGGCAAGGAACTGAGGTCTCTGGCCAACTGTCATCCTCAATTTGTTAGTCATATGAGTAACCTGTATTGGAAGCAGAGCCTCCAGCCCCAGTCAAGCTTTCAGGGGACTGGAGACCTGGCCAACATATTACCTGAAATCTCATGAAAGACTCTGAGTCCAAACCACCTAAACCCTCATCTGAATTACTGATTCCCCAGAAATTGAAATGATACGTGTTTATTCTTGTTATAAGCCATTAACATTGTGCTAATTTGTTATCCAGATGACTAATACAATTTAGGAATAGAATTTATAGATCATAGGGTAGATGTACATTCAACTCTTTAAGGGATACTGAACGTTTTCCGAGTTGGGTATGCCATTTCCATTACCAGAGTTATAATTGCTCCATATCTATCTTTGCTAATACATGGCATAGTTAGTCTTTTTCATTTTAGCCATTCTCATAAATGTATAGTGGTATCTCAATGAGGTTTAAATTTATATCTCTCTGATGACTAATAAAAGTAAACATTTCATATGTTTATTATGGGCCTTGTGGTTTATATATTTTTAATATTCCTTTCACAGGACTGTTAATAAGCATTAACCATGGAACTTGGTACTAATTAGGGATTAATGAATGTTTGATGAAGAAATGAACAGGTTTTTGCTGTCAAAACTTACAAATAGAGGTAACTGTGAGCTCTTTTAAAGATATGAATTGTAAATTGCACAATATAAGCTATAACTCAATTACTGGGTGGTAGATATTTATAATGAGATGTTAAAAGTTTTCCTTCTTTTCATTTCCTAAGCAAAAATATGTAAATGCTTCCTCTTTCTTATTTACTGGGATCCTTCTTGTTAAGTGTGGTTGGCACTGCACTGAATGTCTTGCAGGACAGGGTGGGAATAGAGTGACCCTTAGTACATGGAGGCAACAGTGAGATACTCAGGACTCTGAGTTAAATTAGGAAAATCAACATATAACAAATGAAATCTGATCTCTGAGGAGATCCTTGAAAGACGCCATATTACAAAGTCCCAAACAAGCTTTGAGTATACCTAATTAACAGTATAAACATACCTATCGATTAAGTTTGTCATTACTTGTGGAATGGTCACATTAGAAGGAAATCAATGGTAACCAGGAAGCCAGAATCTGCTATAATTTATTTAGCACGTATGGAAGAGAACAATACTGAATGAGGGCATGGGACACCACAAGAATTCTAAGCACCAAAGAGCTGTTCTCTATTGTAAGGCAGAAGTGGTTCATCAGGCTCATGATGACCCACAAGACAGAGCTTCTCCTATTACCTTTGTTCAGAACTTCTGATGACTGAATGGCCTGATGACTAATTTATCCTCCTAGCATGAGTACATACTGGAGCAGACACAATGGTTCTGATCACAACCGAAAAACCATTCCCACTGTAAAAGAATAAATGGACACAGGAAGAGATGAGCTAATCAGATAATGGGGATTTTCTAATTGGCTTACCGGCTGTACTTCACATATTTAATTACTATGGTAGATATTGATCTCACAAGCTGCAAACTCAATTGTGCTAAAAAATAACTGTTTCATTTTTCTATTACTATTCTTAATTCTCAAACTCCATTTTTTCCTACTGGCAAATAACCAACTTAGTTCAAGATGATAGTCTTCAGACAAATCACAGTTTCTTCTGCCATATGAGGATATTCCCAGTGAAATGAAGGTTCCTCACCATCCCCCCTTTTTCCTGGGTAGTGTCTAAGACTTAGAGAGTAAGTGGGTGGCTAGCAAGGCTGCAGTGTTGTACAACTCCAATGATACCAATCATGGCAGTATTGTTTGCTTCTCTGTCAACATTTGTCCATGCTAATGCCCACTGCTGATGTGCAAATGAATGAGTTTTCCTGTTCAAACTTAAAAAAAGAGGCTCCCCTGAGGTCCTTTTAAGGTAGATATTGCATAATTACAAAATATAATCTATAGCATTGTTCCCAAGTGTTCCCTTGGGAGTCAGTTTGTGAGTTCTTCTCTGACCAAAAGACTTCTTGAGGTTGAAGTTAGACAACTCTGTCTATTGCAGCCCTCTTCTAAGAGCACATGAAGAGCTATGACCTGGTTATCTATTGTGGGGAAGTAAACCATCCAAAACTTAATGGCCACAACAATAATTATTTTTATAATGTTCATGCCCCACGGGTCATATTTTTAAGAACTGGGTTGTGTGATTCTGCTTCCCTTGGGTCACTTGGTGGTGTTTCACTGTGGCTGAACTGGTTTGGAAATCCAAGATGGCTTCATTCACATGCCAGTCATCTTGGTGAGATGGATGGAAGACAGGACTTAACTGAGCTCCTCCCTCTCCCCTACAGGCAGTCTCAGCACCTCCCCAGGTAGGCTCTCCAGCAGCATGGTCAGACTTGTTATGTGACAGCTGGCTTTCTTTGTGGGGAGCATTCTAAGAAATCTAAGTGAAAGCTGCAAAACTTCTTGTTATCTAGCCTTGGAAGTCACAGATGCTCATTTATGCTGCATTCTATTCATCAATTAAGCCACCAGGCTAGCCCACATTCAAGGGGAGAGGAATTAGACTCTGTCCCTTCATGGGAGGTAGAAAGAATTCGTGGCCATTTTTAATCTGGGGGAGGCGGGGAGAGGGAAAGAGCAAGCCACTCTAGGGATCATAAGAAACTCAGTGAAGTTAACTTAGGCTTTCTTGGCCCAAGATACCACATCATGCTGTATTATAGCATCACCCCTATTCAACTGGTGTCATACTATCCCAGGATATGACAAAATTCCAGCATCTGGGTATTTTCCCAGGTACCACCTGGGAAGCAAGGGACAGGTCCTTCTGCTCTTGGAGCCTCAAATTCATTTCAGACTATTATCGCTGCCTCCTCAGGGATCTCGGTTTTGCAGTGGGGTGCAGGGCAGAGAACTTTTCAGGGACCAACATCTGCATTTACTTCATTTTCATCTTCCCTAGTTCCTTTGTTCTACCCATGTCAAGAGGATCTTCATCATTAGTCAACAGGCAGAGCAAACAGGGCTTGACTGAATGAATTTTCTTACTTGCCTCGTATTTATACCAGGGCTTTAGAATTTCAAACTCAAAGACCATTAATAAACGTTTTTTTCCTCCATTAGATTTTAGTCTAATAAAATCTCCCTTCTCTGAGGCACAGAGACTGAGATCTAGATTGAAGAGGCAAACAGAACTACAGGTAAAAGGGATTGCATGAAAAAAAAAAATCACCTCAGTAATTGTTTCAAAATATTTTCCTGTCACTTTTATAAATGGAGCTTCTGTCTCTTACATTAGTCACTATTAGGTTCATTTGTTCAATCATCTGAGAGACTGTGAGATGATTAAATCTGGGATCACTGATAAAACTGAATTGCTCAACCTGCAAAGCTGAGAACCCAACTCCTCACTTTGCTGAATTCTAACATGGGAACTCTCTGGGGTTCCACTTTATAATAATGGTAACTAAAAGCTACCTTTTGTTTAATGGGTACCTAACACTCTACTAAGTGCTGTACAGTACATATATTACCTCATTTAAATAGAATAAAAATCTTATGAGATAGATCATATTACTATTTATATTTTACAGATAGAAAAACTGAGGCACAGAATGATTAAGCAACTTGGAGAAGGTCACATAGTGACAGAATCAGAATTTATACCTTGGTAATCTCATTTTAGAGTTCATGCTCCTAACGACTGGGCTACTGACACATTAATTTTTGTTTTGAAACTGTAACAAAATATTAAATCAATAAGTATATGGATATGCAGGTTAAATATAGCTAGAACAAAAAGCATAATAGCAAACCTAGAGAATATAATGGATATATAAAGGTACAATAGTCTAAATCCTGTCAACTTTGTTATTTGAATATAAACCTCAAAAATATTTTAATAAATCAAAGTATTTGGATATTTCTTGAAAGGAAAGTAACAACCTGTAAATTGACCATTAAGTGCTTCTTATTGACATGAAAAGGGTTCTTTAAAGTGACTGTGCTAAGAAATCTTTCTTTATATCCATGTCACATATGGTGACAGCTGAGGTTAACTTCCTAATTCCCAGTTGTGAACTATAAAAACAAAGTACTAGACTTCAAGAGATTAGAACTATAATATTACAGTGACAATCAATCCTAAATCACAGCTGCTCAAATAAATCAAACAGGGTGCCCCAGAGAACCAAAGAAAAAACCCAGTTGGAATGAACCTTCACAAAAATAATGTAAGCCTTAATGCATGTGCCTTGACTCCAGATAGTTTTATAAATGTAGAAAAGATGCCTTGAAATGCAGACATTTAATTTTTTATTTGAAAAACAGCGTTATTTTTTAAGTGCATTTTTAACAACCTCTTTCTTTTAATGCTGCAAGGAAGGTCAACTGTAGGCAAAAGCTAAAAGAAAGCAGGCTGGAATCAGAAGAAACAAGAGTTAAGGCTACCCTAAACTGGAATGTGGTTTCAAGAGTGGTACTGGTTTCTTCTTCTGTTCTCATTTTTCCCCAAACTCTTTGTCATCAATGCCATCTGACACTTCCAGTCCCAAGCCATCCTTCTTTACTCAGGTGTCTTTGTTAATTTCTACACATCACACACACACACACACACACACCACCTGGATATTAATATTTTAAATGGTATTAAACTAACTTCACCATCCCAACCCATAATCTTGATTAATTCTAACCTCGCCATCCCAAATTCTAACCTTGAAGATGAGTCTGTCATCTTCAGTCTATATTAAAATAATTTCCAATCAGTCTTTGAACAAACCACCTATTTTTTGACAGAGGGAAAAATATACAAACAGATAGATATATAGATAGATACACATACACACATATGCACATAGTGCATAAACACATAATTATACCTAACTTCTTGAATATTTAAAGTTTCCCCAATCAGTCACAAAAACAAAATATGTTTCTACAATCAGAATTTAAATGGGACAGTCAGAATCACAGTAAGCCATTAGTTATTAAATAACATAACATAGGTGGATATGCCTAATATATGATTGGCATTTGGTAATTATTAGTACCCTTTCCCTTTCAGTTGTGCATAAAATATAAAGATTAGAGAACTGACTGTATGTAAAAAGGATAGTGAGAAATATTTCATACGATTCCCAGAATGTAAGTTCCATGAGGTCAGGGACTTTGTTTTGTTCATTGATAGATCCTTAGCACCCGGATGAGTCCCTGGCTACAGCAGCATTCCAGAAGTATATATTGAACAAATGATTGTGTGATAGGAAAGAGGGAAATAAGGGTAGAAGGGAGGGAAGGGAGGAGGAGAGGAAGGGTAGAAGGGAGGGAAGGGAGGAGGAGAGGAAAGGAGGAAGGGGGAGAGAGGGAGGGAGGGAGGAAAGGGAAGGAGGGAGGGAGGGAGGGAGGAAGGAACGAAGGAAAGAAGGAAGGAAGGGTTTTACTTTTGTAAAAACCTCCTAATTAGTCTTTGCACATTCACTCTTGGCCTCTTAAATTGGTTCTCCACACAAAGGATAGATTTATTTTTACAAATTGTCAGTCTTGTTATTTGCCATGATCTTCAGCTGATCTCTTAAATATTTCAGTGCTATTCTATTGTTCTTACAAATTCTTATCATAGCCAGTAAGTCCCTATGTGCTCTGGCTCCCATTTTTTCATTGCAGTCGCACGTCACATCACTTTTTCCCTAACTTCCTGCACTATAATCACATTGTCTACATTCATTTCCTCAAACACCCTTCTCCCCTCAATGTCATGCTCTCTCGCACCTCAAGGTCGCCTGCTGGAATGCATCTCTCCCATTGCCCATCACTTTACTCTTCTACTCTACTCTCCTTGCCCTTTAAATAATTCAAACACACATCTCTTTCTCAGGGAATATTATCCTGACTTCCCTTTCCTAATATTCATGTACTCTCGTGGCACCCTATACTTTCCCTCTACCATTTATAATATAGTTTATAACTATAAACACACACATGAACACATATATTTATTTAGTTATTTGATTATATCTGCCTCTCCTCATAAACTGTCACCTCTGCAAATCAAGGTCATGTCTGCTTGATATACAGAAGATATTTTTCAGAGATTAGCAAAGGCTATGCAAAGCCCTACTAATAGGAACTAGGTCTAACTAAATCCATCTATCCACGACACAACAGAGTATATGGGTAACTAGTATTTCTCATAATGAACAGAGAAATATCACATGCCATTTGAATGAATCAATAAATGATCATGCAGGAGATGATTACTTGGGTGCCCCCCAATGAGCTGTGCTTCCCAGCATTCACATCCTTGTATCCTCCTCTCTCCTTGAATCTGGGTTGGCACTGTGACTTCCTTTAACCAATAAATAGAATGCTGCAAAAGCAAGCTGTGCCAATTCTGGGTTTAAGGATTAAGAAGGCCTGGAAATTTTTATTTTTGTATTTTTGGGTACCCTGAGCTGCTGTGTAAGAAGCTAAACTACCAAAAAAAACAAAAAACAAAAAACAAAAAAACAAAAAGCCACATGGAATGACTATGTGAAAAGAGAGAGGCCCAGAAACTATACAGAGAGCGAGAAGTCATCCCAGCATCCCAACTGAGCCTAGCTCCAGCTCACTGCAAACCTGCCTGCTAAATACAGCCGTGAGTGACTGCCAGCCACAAAACTACCCAGCTGGGCCCATGTCAGATTAAAGAATCATGACAAATAGTGAGAATGGCTATGGTTTTAAGCCATTAAATTTTAGGGCATTTGTTATGCAGCAATATATAAGGTAACGGCTGGGAACTAAGAATAGTTAGGGATCAATTTAAAACAATTTCAATATAAGTCTGCTGATACATCTAGATTTTGAAATATCAATATTCTCTTCTTTCTGCACGTAATAAGAAGCCAAGCATTGGAAAGCTGAAAATTTTGAGACACTGTAAGACTATAATTTAATAGTAGAAGTATATGTGGCTCACCATTCATAAAAAATAAACATCCTGGCACTTCAATATATTCACTTCAGAACTTTGGTCCTCTTTTAAGAGCAATCTTTAGCCAGTATTATGTTTTCAGCTTATGATGTATTATTTGCATTTTAAAACGACAACCACAAGATCAAGTCATTCCTCTCACAAGGTTAACATATCTATTTTTCTTATAAAGCATTGTTTTTGTCAGTCACAATGTTTTATCCTGAGATTAGCCTAAGATGCTTGATCACAATGTTCTTAAAGATTGCTAAAGTTTTTTACGCTAAAGAATAAAAGAAAAATATTTAAATCTTGAACTAGTTTTCAGAATATTTCAGAGAAGCTAGGAAAATATAAGTATCATCATCCTTAATTTGTAAATGGTCTCCTGAGTTCTGAAGGATGGTATTATTTGCCAAATGCCAATGGAAAACTCCATGCTATCAAGACAGGTCTCCTTCAACAGTTGTCATAACAACTGATATGTTCATGTCCTAGATTCTGGCCCACTTACTATCATCAAAAGTAAATTCCTGTACAATCAGTTTCTTTGAACAATCACTTGGGTTTAGCTTTTAGAACTGCAGTTTAGAAGTAGTAGATCAATTGGCAAGAATCAGCACTTGATTTTGAATACTTCCACAGCTGCAAGCATAGCAGTTATTCAGCAAGGTTTCATTAGAGAAATCTGGAATTCAGCCCAATCAGTTTGGATAAAAAATAGTCTTACATAACTCTTCTTCATTCTAATGGCAGTTTAGCCTCCTCACAGAAGAAACTATTTCTGCTGAAGGGGCATTTTCACTCAATCACATTAATTGTTTGGATAGTGCTGACCACATAACACCCAAGCTCTTCAAAAGAAAGGACACATCAAAATAGGGCAACAAGCATCTGGGAGGCTGTGCTGGATTACAACTGGGATTTTATGCTTATTGTTGATTTTGTTTTCAATTAGCAATAAATTATGAAAGGCTTAAATTCAATTTTAAAAAACAATGATTTTAAAGTGAGAAACTAAAATGTGAATCTAGAAACTCTTTAAAAACATCTTGAGGGCTTTATTGATTTTCAAATGAGTTTTTAATTATTTTGAAATAGTGGAGTTTTTGAAGAAATCATTCAATAAAATTACTAGACTAGAGGTTCTGAAGAAAAAACAAGTCCCCATTCTTGAACACTGCTACCTAGACAAAAGTGGGCAAATGTGATGTCCTTTGCAAAGTGGAAACTTATTCTAGTTGGATTTTTCATTCCTTGCAAACCACCCATATCCCGAGTGGGTGAATTATTCTAGATTCTCTCTCTGCCACTAGAAGAGGGACTTTCACCACCAATGTAATTCATTCTTGTTTTGGCAAAAACAACTGTGGACTACTGATTTTAACTGAGGTTGACATAACACTTTTAGGAAAGGAGAAGCTGGGCCTTCTTTCAATATTACAAAAGTATTCCATGATCTTTGACACAATGATGTTTGGCTAAAGAGAACTTTGAGTCAATGATAGAGGAAAAGTGCTAGACTAAATGAATATGATGACATAAGTAAAGGTCTCAACCACTATTTTGTTTACACAATCTTCATTGAGGAGTTTTCTAAAATCATTTGGCAGCCTAAAGTGAAGTGGAGCTTAGGATGCAATGGAAATTTAAACATCATCCATCAGAAATAGGTAGGCTTTGGCATAAACTCTAGAAGATGTCAGTTGAAACCCTTAGTTCTGGCAGGAACAGGGGTTAAGGTTTGCTTTCTTCGCTGATCTCTCATTATTCTTACTGTTCACATGGAGAATGCAGTGATGACCTGGGGAATGTTAAAGGTAGAAGTTTGTTACAGAGGAAAGAAAATGTGTGTTCACGCATAAAAGAAAAAGAAATATAATTGGGAATACTTCATAAAGTAGAAAGAAATTAAAACTATGTATTTTTGTTGGGTGGGGAGAACAGATTCATTCTTCCATTTTCTGATAGTGACAGCATGATCTTCCTTGGTGAATCCACACTTCTCATCTCTCATCTCAGGCAGTCTTGGTGCACGACACTGTCCTAGCTATAGTGATTAGTTCAATTGGGGTCATATGACCTGCATCAGTCTTGTGAGATGCAATCCTGAGACTTTTATTTAAAACAAATAGAGAAGCTATTGTTCTATTGAGGTTGCTGAAACAATAAGATATAAACTTTGTGGCAAATTATTTATGTTGGTGACAGGGTTGTAGGAGTAAAGTCTACTTGAATGAAGCCAATAAAGAGAAAAACTGAGCTGTGCAATGGAAAAAAAAATGATCTTAATGATATTTTTCTAGCCTGGGATCCAGATCTAACCCTAGAATTTTCAATGATAGGATCCATTTAAGTTGGATTATCATCACTTGCAACCAGTATGTCCAATAAAAATCCATGCCTTGAACAATACACGGGAACATCTCAAAGAGACAAAGTAACTGAAAATTCTATGAAAAAAATACACATTCAAAGGGCTGCAGTAAATTATTCAAATAAGACAGTTGTAATCCTATATAACCATTCCCTGCTATGTAACTAAACATGACCTCTCAGGACAATGACCTCAAATTCTTCGTCTTGAGCTCCTAAGATGTTGTCACCTCTGTCCTTGACACTATTAGGGCTGGTATAAAATCAAGATCACAGTTTAGCTGTGGAGAGGAGCTATTAATATTTGAAACAGTTGCATAATAGTTGTATGCCAAAAATGAGTTAAACAGACAATAAATGTTGGAGACATCCCGCTGTGAGCTGACATAGTATAGAGGGAGGGGGACCGCCTTAGTCAATTTTTTAATAAATTCCCTCTAATCATTCTCATTAGCCTTGTTCAAGGCTTTTTATTTTCACAGATAAGATCTACAACCAACTGTTTGTAACTTTGTAATCTATAAAAAAGAACCACTATCACATGTTAGTGCTTCACACACAAAGTGGCTCAGTAGGATATGTAAATTTAAATTGCTTCAATTAAAGCAGTTCTAAGCAATTGCAATATAAAGTTTAGTAACATTAAGACACAATGAAATACTGTGGGAAATGCTTTAAAACAGCAGCAGATATTAAGCAATACTGTGGTTATCATTATGGTTCTGTTCTCTTAAGACAATAATTTAGATGCTTACAGGGGTGCAAGTAGGTTATACTAAGCCTTTTTGAGTCAAGGAATAAACCTACTTCTTGCAACTTTAAATGCTTTAATTCTCTGGTCAGTTCTTCTTGGATTATGATCAGTAATAATTCTCCTGGCACTGCAGCATCAGTCTCTCACATGTTGGTAAATCTAGACTTGGGAAGCAAAATCAATGGTATGTTTTTGAGACATCAAGAAAGATGTGACAGCGCCTCAGATCCTATGCACTGAACTACTGTCCCACACTGCAATGAAAAAGGCTATAGATGTTTCTCAATAACTTGTGTACTAAATTGAGTAAAGCAGGTTATTTCACAAGGATCCAGGAAGCATAATTATTACTAAGCATTTTCATAGCAGTCAGTGTGGTTCTAACTGTTCACAAAACATAAAGAAGCCTTACATCCAGGCTATGGAATACAAAAGGTAAACTGAAACGTGCTCTATGGAGCTAAAATATTTTCAAGTTTCTCTTAAAGATATTAAAAGTGCCAACACAGAGGGTGAGACAGACCAAATAAAATTATTTAAATAGTCTGCAGAAACTAGGAAGAAAAATAAAAATGTAATAGAAATTGGAAATAAAAATAGTGAACACATGCAAACATAGCAGCAGCCATACTACTAATAGAAAACATTACAGAAAAATTGGGGAGGGGTATTAAATAATCCCAATTATCCCTTAATACTTTGAGGATTGGATTCTAAAACTTAGCTGCAAGATTAGAATCCATATAAATACCTCAAAGTGAAATCTCATGGGAATAAGGTTAGCAGAAACATGCAAACTCAAGCATATCAGATATAACTATACAGACTTTAGGATACCAGTAGAAAGAGGTCGTTGTCACACACACACACACATACACACACACACACACACACTGAGCAAGTCACACACTTATGATCCATTCTTGTCATTCATTCCAATGCACATTCATTAACATCTCCTATATGATAAGTATTTTTCTAGGTAGCTGAATATCTGTAATACTCTTCTAATGTTAAAACTTGAATGGTTATTAATTTTTTGAGCCATCTGGTTCCAAAGGCCACTGAACAAAGACATAGTTATAGAACTGTGGTTCTCTAATTTAAGATTTCATGGAAAAGTACAATTTCAAAAAATATTTTTAAAATTACTTTGAGATCAATATAGAAGTGCCAACTGTTCCTTTAGCAAATTAAAGATATTACAAAATAACTGCCATCTACTGTAACTAACATTTCCTTTTTTTTTTTACAAAGGGAAATTTTAACATAATAGAATAGGAAGATCAAACTCTTGAAATAAAAGGTAATTTTCCAAGAAACAAATATTGTAGTCTTCCTATATTTATTTATTTCTCAAACACTTATATAGTGCTTATGTTGTGCCACATACTGTTTTAAATGCTTTTCAAATATTAGCTCATTTAATGTTAAAGATGACACCATGATAAAGGCACTATTATTATGCTTACAGGTGAGGAAACTGAGACACAGAGAAATTAAGAAAGCTGTAAGTTCCCACAACTGTTATGGTGAGGTTGACCTTAGGCACTCTGACCCAAGTTGATGATCTTAACCACTCCCCTGCATAACTTCTACATACCATGCTATCTCAACATACATATTCACATTACTTTTAAAAAACAGTTTTCTTGAGATATAATTCACATACCATTTGAAGTGTACAATTCAGTCGTTTCTACAATATTCAAAGTTATGCAACCATCAACACAATCAAATCAATAACATTTAAAACAACAGGTCCATTAACAATCACTCCCTCTTGTCCCAAACCTCCCAGCTGTCGGAAGACACTAATCAACTTTCATAGATTTGTCTATTCTGGACACTTCATATAAATTGAGTCATACAAGAAGTAGTCTTTTGTGACTTGCTTCCTTTACTAAGCATAATATTTTCAAGGTTCATCCATGTTGTAGCATATATCAATACTTTATTTCTTTTTATTTCTCAATAATACCTCACCGTATGGATATATCACATTTTGATTGTCACCTCACTTGTTGATAGGCATTTGGGTTGTTTCTATTTTCTGCTATTATAAATAATGCTACTATGATCATTTGGGTAAAAGTTTTCTTGTAGATATATGGTATTTCTCTTGGATATATACTAGGGAGTACAAAAACTGCTGGGTCATATGCAGCTCTAGAATTAATGTTTTCAGAAACTGCCAAATAGCTTTCCAAAGAGACTGCGCTATTTTATATTACCACCAACAATGAATGAAAATTCCAATTTCTCTCTTTCTGGAAGGAACTTGTGAAGGATTTGTGGTCATTCTTATTTAAATTTTTGTTAGAATGCACGAGTAAAGCCATTTGGGCCTGGGACTTTCTTTGTGGGAAATTTTAAAATTAGTAATTCAATCTGTTTACTTGTTGTAGGTCTATTTGGAATTTCTACTTCTTATTGGGTCATTTTTGGTAGTTTCTATCTTTCCAGAAATTTGTACATTTCATGTAAGTTATCAAATTTGTTGGCATATGATGGATGAAGTTTGTAATCCTTTATTATTTTATTGATGCCAAAATTACTGATAGAAAAAAATTCTGCTACTAGCCAGAAGAAGTAAACAAAGAAGACGAAATTGACGTCCTGTTGCTAATTTCTTGCTCTAGCCCTTCTCAAAATGCCTTCTGTCATGATGAAACCAGAAAATATAAACTGTGTTCTAGATAACAGGCTTAAAGTCATAGCCATAAAGAAAATCAGAAACTCTTTTCTAATTAAAATATAACAGCTAAATTATCAATTAAAATGTGTATGATAAATATTTTCTCATAATCATTTTACAATGTGTTTATTTCTAAGAAGACTGTAAGTGCTCCTTAGAGGGTTAAACTCCTATTTGGAATTCTGCTGACTAAACCTCTAGGACTCTTATACATTGTATTTTCTTATTTATATTTCAGACTTATTTATAAATTGTAAATCAGATCCCAAGAAGCATCATATAGTGACCCCATTATGAAATCCAGAAGAAGTGTGTGAGGTATTTATAAGAAACTACAATGATATCTTCTATAGTATAATGATTATTACAGGTATAATAAAACCTCCCGAAGTAGTTTGAAAAAGAGGGCTTGCTCCCAACCACTATGAACCTGTAGTTAATTAGGCAGCCTCTACCTGGAAATATAAACAGTGTCTCATCTTTAGGCTGTAAACCAGAATGACAGCCTAGATCCCGCTCCACATCTCTTACTCTAAACTCAACAATGAGAAGCATCACATACTATGTGAGCATGCAAATGTCAAAAGACTCCAGGGGTCTCCTAGTTCAGCCCTCTCAGTTCACAAAAAAAAAATAAAACTGAAGCCCAGAGAGGCCAGTAACCTTATCAATATCATACAGCTATTAGTCTCCAATCCACTGTGATCAACATCTCACTATAGCATTACCCACTTTCTTAATATTTTCAGAGTTTGAGGGTGCAAATGCCTCCTTATTACGTTATTGATTTTAAAATATTTCAATATAACAGAAAAATATAAAAAACAACACATGACTATGCCCTTAGCCTTATTAGACTTTAATAGTTTATTGTATTTCCTCTTTTCATTAAGGAATGAAACAATTCATCCCCACACAAATACAGCCAATTTATTTTTAACATCAGTGGAAAAGCAGTTCTGTAGAGAAAGGATAGTCTTTTCAGCAAGTGGTGCTGGAGCAATGCATACAGACATTCACAGACAAATTAAATAGATAAAATAAATCTCAACTTGCACCTCACTATTTATACAAAAATTACTCGAAATGGGTGGTAGAATTAAATATAAAACTATAAAACTTCTAGAAGACAGGAGAAAAATGTTAGGACTTAGTGCTTGGTGATGAGTTCTTATACAGAATGACAACAAAAGCATAATTTACTTTTAAAAATCAATGAATTGGACTTCATCAAAATTAAAAACTTTTGTTTTGTGAATGGCCCCTGCTAAGGGATTGAAAAGACAAGCTATAGACTGAAAGAAAATATTTGTAAAACAAATATTATAGAGGACTTATATCTACAACAAAAAAAATTTAAACCCTCAAAACTCAATACTAATAAAACAAACAATCCAATTTGAAAATGGCAAAAAGACATAGACATTTTACTGAAGAAGACATATGGATGGCAAATAAGCACATGAAAAGATGTTCAACATATCTACCTATGATAGGCAGAACAATGGCTCCCTAAAAATGTCTACACCCAATCCTCAGAACCAGTTATTCTGGCATGGCAAAGGGGGCTGTGGTTGCAGATGGAATTAAGATTGCCAATTAGCTGACCTTAAAATACAGCCATTATTTCAGATTATTTGGTTGGGGCTACTTTAATCACAGGGGTTCTGAAAAGTGGAAGACCCAGGCAGAAGAGGTAAGAATGATATGATATGAGGACTGAACCCACAAATGCTGGATTTGAAGACAGAGGAAGGGGAGCCATGAGCCGAGGAATATGAGTAGAGCCTAGGAGTTAGACAAGATGAGGAAACAAATTCTCCCTTACAACCTGCAGAAAGGAATACCAACACTTTGATTTCAGTCTGGTGAAAACTGTGTTAGACTTCTGACCTACAGAACTGTAAAATCGTAAGTTTATGTTGTTTTAAGCCACTAAGTTTACAGTTATTTGTTACAGCATCAATAGAAAACTAGTACATTATCCATCAGAGAAATGCAAATTAAGACTATGATAAGACATCACTACACACCTCTTTGAACTGCTAAAATAAAATACAGTGACAATACCAAATGCTTACAAAGATGGAGAGAACTGGATCTCTCACATGTCATTAAGGGAACAACAACATATGGCTGTACCATAAAATGGTACAGCAACTCTGGAAAATAGTTTGAAAACTCTGGAAAATAGCTTTAATTTTCTTTAAAAACTAAATATGCATTTACCATATGACCCCATAATTCACTCTGAAGCATTTATCCCAGAGAAAAAGAATTATGATCGCAGCAAAACTTATATGCAGTTGTTTGTAGTAGCCAAAAATTGAAAAGACTAAAATGTCCCACAATAGGTGAATAGTTTAAAAACTGTTACATCCATATCATGGAATACTACTCAGCAATAAAAAGGAATGGATTACAGATTCATACAACAGCTTGGAGGATCTCAAGGATCAAAGACATTATGCTGTGTAGAAAAAGAGCCAATTTCAAAAAGTCACACTATATGGTTTAATTTATATAACAGTCTCAAAAAGACAATATTTTATAGAGATGAAGAACATATTAGGTGGTTACCAGGGATTAGATATGGTGGCAAAGGAGTGTGGCTGTGACTATAAAAGCATAGCACAAGGGAGATCATTGTAGTGATTGGGGCTGTTCTGAATCTTGATTGAAGTGGTGATTACACAAATCTACACATGTAACAAAATGACATAGAGCTACACAAACACATGAGATCAATGTCAAATTCATGACTATAATAACTATAGTAATGCAAGGCATAATCATTGGGGGAAACTGGGTGAATGGTACACAGGACATATCTGTACAATTTTTGCAACTTCCTATGAATCTTTAATTATTATCAAATAAAATGTTGGGGAAAAAAACAAACAATTCCGTTAGATTTGAAAGCCCAGTGTATCCTTCCCTCTCTGAGCCCATTTACCTCCTTCCCTACCTCCCTTCACAGAAAAATCCTACAATTGGTGTTTAGGATTTCCACCCTCTTTTAATTATTTTACTGCCTATGGATGTATTCTTTAAAAACATAAAATATTGTTTTGAATGTCCTAAAACTTCCTAGAAATGGCATCAAATAATATTAATCCCTCTGCAAGTTGTTTTTGTTTTTGCTTAAATTTATGTTGCTATTATGTTGTTTATTAAATTTATTAACATTACCCATGTTAATGTATCTCATGGAATTTATACATTTCATCTACTATGCTGTAAGTCCATTGCACAAATATCCCAGTTTTTATTTGTACTTTCTTCTGTTGATAGAAATACAGAATTTTATTTTTGAGTATCATGCTATTTCAAAATAATGCTAGAATAAACATCCTTGTGCATGTCCCCTGGCAAACACATCCAATCATGTTTCTAGATATATGCCTAGAAGTGGAATTCCTCCTTCAAGATATGCAAATGTTTAACTTTACTAAGTAAAGTCAAACTGACTTTTCCAATTGGTTTTACCAATTTATTCTTATTTGGCACTTTCACACTTTAATTCTTAAAACTGGTTGGTATGAAATAAAATTTTCCTTTTTTTAATTTGCATTTACTTGATTACTAGTGAGCTAAAGCAAATATTTGTGTGTTTATCAGCCATTTTTTTCTGTCGATTGTTTGTTCATATCTTTCACCTATTTTTCCATTGGATTGAATTTTTAAATATTTATTTGAAAGATTCCTTCATACAAAATGCATATTAATTTTTGTTGGTTGTATATACTATAAATATCTCCTATTCTGAAGTTTTTTAAAAATGTTGTTGGTGTTATTTGCTATTCAAAAATGTTTGTTTTAATATATTCAACCTATTATTATTTTTCTTTATAGTTTGTCTTTTAACCCACTTATGCCTGAGGTTGCAATTTTTTTGAATTTTTGCAATCAGGCCTTGGCGATGATCTTGAGCAGTAGGATAATAAATAACTCTCACATGCTTAGCATTCCAATAATGGAACACTAGGCGTAAATGGGTTTTAGTCTTAAGAAATCCTTCCCTGCCCACTGGCCACAAAGATATTTCATACATTTTCTTCTAAAAAACATAAAATCTTTACTATTCTTTTCACCTTTACACCTACATTCCACATGGGATTTAATTATTATATGTTGTAAGAAAGGGTACTTATTATTTTATTTCCCCATGTGAATAATTATATCTCCTAGCATCATTTATTGTATCCTTACCACACTGATTTGTAATACATCCTTAGGGACACATGAGTCTATTTCTAAACCTAGTATATTTATTTATTGCTGCTCCAATATCCCAATGTCTTAATCACTATACTTTTACAGTAGCTGTTGACATGTGGTAGGGCTAATCTTCCCGACTTCTTCAAAATTGTGTTGGTTATGACTGACGCTTAGCTCTTTGTATACATTTTGGAATCAGATTGATCAGATTGTCAAGTTCCTGAAAACAACCAACAAAACCACTCTTGTGTGAGCTCTTATTAGAATTTATAAATGAATACAGAAAGAATTGAAATCTTTCTGATACTGAGTCATTCTGCTTTAAGTATAGTATATCTTTCTATTTATCATCTTCTTTGTGTCTTACCTTAAAATTTTGTAATTTTATTTGTAAAGATTTCTAAAAATCCTTTGTTAGATTTATTACTACATGTTTCTAATTTTTGCTGTATTCATGGTATCTGCTTTTAAACTGAATTTTCTAATTGTCTTTTGCTGGGTTACACAAAGGTAGTTTACAGAATTTTCTAATTGTCTTTTGCTGGGTTACACAAAGGTGGTTTACTTTATATCTAGCAATTTTCCTGAACTTTTGTATTATTTTCTAATAGTTTTTCAATGAAGTCTCTTTACTAATAACAATTAGGTTTCTCTCTTTTCTATCTACCTTTTATTTATTTCTTTTACCTACAATGCTGGCTAGAACAACCAATTAAACATAAGCAGAACCCGAAGTCATTCTTCTCTTGTTCCAGATGTACAGGGATTATTTCCAATATACTAGTAGCTGTAATGTTTCCAGTGGTTTCCTTACTCAAACATGCCATGTTAACCTATTTATTAGTCTTTTCAGGGCTTTCAGTTTTGTTTTATATATTATTAATACACACATTTTTCTTTTATTATACTTTATATTTGCTTTGCCTACTCTCTAAGTTCTTGAATTGGATGCTGATCTTATTATTAATAATATTTACTCCTTTGGGAGCAAGATGGTGGAATAGAAGGCCCCACTGATTGTCCCCCCACCCCACAGGAACACCAAATGTAACAACTATCTAGGCAAAAATCACACCTTCAGAAGAACCAAAAATCAGGTACCAGCTCAGCTATGGTGGGTTAGGGCAACAAGCAGACTCTTGGGGTCCCCAGTTCCAAGGCTTGACTCTTGAATGGCATTTCTGGACCTGCCCTGAGCCAGAAGGGATGAGTCTCAGACTTGGCTGCATTCACCACAAGCTGACTGAAGAGTCCTTGGGCCTTAAGTGAACAGTACCTTAAGTACGGCCAGGTATCTAGGGCCTTGCCAGATAGTGGTTACAGCAGGCCTTGGACAAGACCCAGTGCTATGCTGGCTTCAAGTCTGACCCAACGCAGTCTCAGTGCAACAGGCACGCTTCTGTCACCCCACCCCTAGCCCTAGGTGGTTAGCTCAACATAGAGAGAGATTCTGTGTTTGGGAGAAAGTAACGGAAGAGAACAATAATCTCTCCCTGGTAATCCAGATGATTCTTCTGGATCTTATGCAAGAATACCAAGGCAGTACCTCTATGATTCTGCAAGAACCACAGCATTACTAGGTTTGTGGTACCCCCGATGCAGATATGGCTTAGATCATAATACCCAAGTACTTTTGAATACCTGGAAAGTCTTCCCAAGAAGAATGGGTATGAAGAATCCCAGACTGTGAAGATGACAATACCTAACTCTTCAATGTCCAGACACTGACAAACATCAACGAGCATTAAGACCATCCAGCAAAACATGACCTCACCAAACAATCTAATTAAGGCATGAGAAACCAAACCTGGGAAACAGATATATGTGACCTTTCAGACAGAGAATTCAAAATAACTGTTTTGAGTCAACCCAAAGAAATTCAAGATAATACAAAGAAGGAATTTAGAATAATATCAGATAAATTTCACAAAAAGATTGAAATAATTAACAAGAATCAAATAGAAATTCTGGAGTTGAAAAATGCAATTGATATACTGAAGAATACATCAGAGTCTCTCTCTCTCTCTCTCTTTTTTTTTTTTTTTTTTTTCAGATGCAGTCTTACTCTGTCACCCAGGCTGGAGGGTAGTGGTGTGATCTCAGCTCACTGCCACCTCTGCCTCCAGGGTTCAAGCAATTCTCCTGCCTCAGCCTCCCAAGTAGCTGGGATTACAGGCACACGCCACCACACTTGGCTAATTTTTGTATTTTTAGTAGAGACGTGGTTTCACCATGTTGGCCAGGCTGGTCTCAAACTCCTGAACTCAGGTGATCTGTCCGCCTTGGCCTCCCAAAGTGCTGTGCCCAGCTGGAGTCTCTTAATAGCAGAATTGATCCAGCAGAAGAAAAAATTAGTGAGCTAGAAGACAGGCTATTTGCAAATACACAGGCAGAGAAGACAAAATAAAAAAGAATAAAGCATGCCTACAAGATCTAGAAAATAGCCTCAAAAGGGCAGATCTTAGAGTTATTGGCCATGAAGAGGAGGTAGAAAGTTTATTCAAAGGGATCATAACAAAGAACTTCCCAAACCTAGAAAAGAGTATCAATATCCAAGTATAAGAAAATTATAGAACACCAAGCAGATTTAACCCGAAGAAGACTAATGCAGGTGTTTAATAATCAAACTCCCAAAAGCTATGGAGAAAGAAATAATCCTAAAAGCAGCAAGAGAAAAGAAACACATAACACAATGGAGCTCCAATATGTCTGTCAGCAGACTTTTCAGTGAAACCTTAAAGACCAGGAGAGAGTGACATGACACATTTACAGGGCATAAAGAAAAAACTTTTACCCTAGAATAGTATATCTGGTGCTAATATCCTTCAAACATACATTGCCTATAATAAACACACTTCACCTATAAACACACACAGACTGAAACTAAAAGGGTGGAAAAAGATATTCCATGCCAATGGAAACAAAAAGAGCAGGAGTAGCTATACTTAGACAAAATAGACTTCAACACAAAAACTGTAAGAAAAGAAAAAGAAGGTCATTATATAATGATAAAAGGTTCAATTCAGGAAGAGGGTATAACAATTATAAATAGGTGTAACCAATATTGGAGCACCCAGATATAAAAAGCAAATATTATTAGAGATAAAGAAACAGACCTCAGGAAAATAACAGCTGGAGAGTTCAACAGCCCACTTTCGTCATAGGACAGATCTCCCATATAGAAAATCAACAAAGAAACATCAGACTTAATATGCACTATAGACCAAATGATCCCGATAGATATTTACAGGACATTTCATCCAATGGCTGCAGAATACACAGAATACACATTCTTTTCCTCAGCACATGGATCATTCTCAAGGACAGACCACATGTTAGGTCACAAAACAAGTTTTAAAACATTCAAAAAATTTGAAATAATATCAACTATCTCCTCCAACCACAATGGAAGAAAACTAGAAATTAAAACAAGAGGAATTTTGGAAACTAAACAGACACATAGAAATTAAACAATATGCTCCTGAATGACCAACGGGTCATGAAGAAATTAAGAGGGAAATTATAAAATTTCTTGAAACAAATGATAATGGAAACACAACATACCAAAACCTATGGGATACAGCAAAAGCAGTACTAAAAGGGAAACTTATAGTTTTAAGTGCCCACATCAAAAAAGAATTAAAACTTCAAATAAAAAAACCCAATAGTGTGTCTTAAAGAACTAGGAAAGGAAAGCAAGAGCAAACCAAACCCAAAACTAGTAGAAGAAAAAATAATAAAGTTCAGAGCAGAAATAAATGAAATTGAAACAAGGAAAATACAAAAGATCCATTAAAAAGTTTGCTTCTTGAAAAGACAAAATAGATTAACCTTTAGCCAGATTAAGAAAAAAGAGAGAAGACACAAATAAATAAAATAGAGATGAAAAGGGAGACATTACAACTGAGACTGTAGAAATTCAAAGGATCGTTAGTGGCTACTATGAGCAACTAAATCCCAGTAAATTAAAAAATCTGGAATAAATGAACAAATTCCTAGACACATACAACCTACAATGGCTGAACCAGGAACAAATCCAAACCCTGAACAGACCAATAATAAGCAACAAGATCAAAACTATAATAAAGAAATCTCGCAGTAAAGAAAGGCTGTGTACCTGATGGCTTCACTGCTGAATTCTACCAGGCATTTAAAGAAGAACTAATAACAATGTTACTATTTTGAAAAATAGAGGAGGAAATACTTCCAAACTCATTCTACGATGCCAGTATTACCCTGATACCAAAACCAGACAAAGACACATCAAGAAAAGAAAACTGCAGGCCAATATCACTGATGAATATTGATACAAAAATCCTCAACAAAATACTAACAAACCAAATTCAACAACACATTAAAAATATAATTCCTCATGACCAAGTGGGGTTTATCCCAGGGAAGCAAGGATAGTTCAACATGTGCAACTCAATCAATGTGATAGATCATATCAACAGAATGAAGAACAAAAACCATTTCAATTGATGCTGAAAAAGCATTTGATAAAATTTCACATCCCTTTATGGTAAAAATCCTCAAAAACCTATGTATAGAAGGAACATACCTCAACACAATAAAGCCATATACAAAAGACATATACCTAGTATCACACTAAAGGAAGAAACACTGAAAGCCTTTTCTCTAAGATCAGGAACATGATAAGGAAGCCCATTTTTACCACTGTTACTCAGCATGGTACTGAAAGTCCTAGCTAGATCAGTAAGACAAGAGAAAAAAACACAGGGTATCCGAATTAGAAAGGAAGGAGTCAAATTACCCTTGTTTGCAGATGATATGATCTCATATTTGGAAAAACCTAAAGACTCTCTCAAAAAAATATTAGAACTGGTAAGCAAATTCAGTAAATTTACAGGATACAAAATCAATATAGAAAAATTAGTAGCATTTCTAAATGCCAAGAGTGAACAATCTGAAAAAGAAATCAAGAAAGTAGTACCATTTATGATAGCTACAAATTAAATAAAATACCTAGAAATTAACCAAAAAAGTGAAAGATTTCTACAATGAAAACTATAAAACACTGGTGCAAGAAATTGAAGAGGACACAAAAAGATGGAACGATATCCCATGTTCATGGACTGGAAGAATGAATATTGTTAAAATGTCCATACTATCCAAAGCAATCTACAGATTCAATGCACTCCCTATCAAAATACTGATGACATTCTTTACAGAAATAGAAAAAAAATCCTAAAATTTATATGGAATCACAAAATGCCCAGAATAGCCAAATCTATCCTAATCAAAAGGAACAAAACTGGAGGAATCACATTACCTGACTTCCAAATTATACTATAGAGCTATAGTAACAAAAACAGCATGGTATTGGCATAAAGGCAGACACATAGACCAGTGGAATAGAATACAGAACCTAGAAATAAATCCGTACATCTACAGGGAACTCATTTTCAACAACAATGCCAAGAACATACATTAGGGAAAGGATGATTTCTTCTATAAATGGTGCTGGAAAAACTGGATATCCATATGCAAAAGAGTGAAACCCAATCCCTATCTCTCACCATATACAAAACCAAAATGGATGAAAGACTTAAATCTAAGACCTCAAACTATGAAACTACTGAAAGAAAACATTGGGGAAACTCTCCAGGACACTGGACTGGGCAAAAATTTCTTGAGTAATGCTCCACAAGCACAGGCAACCAAAACAGAAGTGGACAAATGAGATCACATCAAGTTAAAAAGCTTCTGCACAGTAAAGGAAACAGTCAACAAAGCAAAGAGAAAACCCACAGAATGGGAGAAAATATTTGCAAACTATCCATCTGATAAGGGATTAATAACCAGAACATATAAGGAGCACAAACAACACTATTAAATCTAATAATCTAATTTAAAAATGGGTGAAAGAGTTGAGTAAAAAATTCTCAAAAGAAGACATACAAATGGAAAACAGATATATGAAAAGGTGCTCAACATCATTGAGAAATGCATATCAAAACTACAATGAGATATCATCTCACTCTCATTAAAATGGCTTTTATCCAAAAGACAGGCAACAACAAATGCTGGCGAGGATGTGAAGAAAATGGAACCCTTGTATGCTGTTGGTGGGAATGTAAATTAGTACAACCACTGTGGAGAACAGTTTGGAGGTTCCTCAAAAAATTAAAAATAGCACTACCATATGACCCAGCAATCCCACTCCTAGGTATATACCCAAAAGAAAGGAAATCAGTATATCAAAGAGATATCTACACTCCCGTGTTTATTGTAGCACTAGTCACAATAGCCAGGAATTGGTAGCAATCCATTAGCAGATTAATGGATAAAGAAAACGGGTTACATATACAAAATGGAGTATTATTAAACCATTAAAAAGAATGAGATTCTGTTATTTACAACAGTGTGGATGGAACTAGAGGTCATTGTGTTAAGTTAAATAAGCCAGACACAGAAAGACAAACTTTGCATGTTTTCACTTATTTGTGGGAGCTAAAAATTAAAACAATTGAACTCATGGAGATAGATGGTAAAGGGATGGTTACCATAGGCTTGTAAGGGTAGTGGAGGAGGGAGGGAAGTGGGGATGGTTAATGAGTACAAAAAAAATAGAAAGAATGAATAAGACCTAAGGTTTGCTAGCCCAACAGGGTGACTATAGTCAAAAATAATTCAATTGTACAGTTTTAAATAACTAAAAGAGTATAATTGGATTGTTTGTAACACAAAAAATAAATGCTTGAGGTGACAGACACCCCATTTACACCCCATGTGATTATGATACATTGCATGCCTGTACCCCATGCCTGTACAAAATATCTCATGTACCCCATAAATATATACATCTACTATGTAGCCAAAAAAATTAAAAGTTAATTTTTTTTAATTTGTACCTTTTTTCATTTTCTTATATAGGCATTTAAAGCTATAACTTTCTAACTATAACTTTCATTGCTTCTCATACAATATTTAATGGATGAATTTAATTAATATTAACATTCAGTTTTAAATATTTTCTAATTTTCATTATTTTTTTGCTTGACTCATGAGTTGTTTAGACGTGTGTTGATTTAATTTCAAATCCATGTGGGATTCTTTTTGTTGTCTTTTAATTTAAATTATTAATTTAATTGCATTATAGTCAGATACTGCCTCTTCCCAAATCTTCCTGTGCTCTCCTTCTAGAAGGCCTATGAAACATATATTGAATCTTATGCTCTCCAACATGTCTCTTAACTTCTTTTTCATATCTTCTATCATTTTCTTTTCAGTGCCTTCTGGTTGATTTCTTCAAATTATATTACAGTCTACTAATTTTCTCTCCAGCTATATCTAATTTGTTTAACCTATGATAAATTATTAATTTCAATTACTTTAGTTTTCACCTTTATAAAGTGTGTTCTTTTTTTAACCTTATTTTTTCTTATATTTATAATTCATTTATGTCTCTATCATTTTCAATATTCATTTTTCATAGTCTATGTGATAGTTCCATCACTTTTAGGTCTTATTCTAATCCTGCTCTTTGTGTTTGCTAACTCTCACTTGTGGGGGATTTTGTTCTTATGTTTTATAGTTTGAGGTTGTGAGTTAATCTTTAGAAGATATTTATGTTTAGGAATCTTGTGAAACTTGGTTGAATGGTATCTTTCTCCTAAGAAGTTTGTAACAGATTCTGCCAGGTGCTTTAGAAGTATCAGTAATCTGGGCTCTCTGTAGTTAATTTTTCAAGTTGTGATTTTTCCATACTACACAAGTAGTACAAATTCAATTCCCAAACCTAAATGAGGTACAAATCCATAGAGATGTGTTTTTGAAGGAGACATTCTTTTTCTAAGACACAGCTTCCTTGTCTCTTCTGTTCTGATGATTTTTTTTCAGTCCTTTCCATTCCAAGGTCACAACTTTGTACTGAAGATCTCTGTTCCAACCCACAGAACCTCAATTTTCCATTTCATATCTCAAGCCCTTTGTTAGTGAGACTAATAATACTGTCCCAAAGGCAGCCACAGTATCAATTCAAGTGTTTATCCCTGGAGTTTTCAATTCAACCTTTACTTCTGACCCATAGTAATGATTTTATTTCCTTTCAAGATTAGACATGCAGTATTTCTAAGCATCCGTAGCAGGGATGATAGTAAGATTATTAGCCATGTTTCTAGAACTGTTAGTAAAAAGTAACTTATTTTCTCTAGTAAAAATCAACTTACAGCACAATTGGCAAGCTGAATCCTTGTAATTTACCAATTATGAAACTTTTTCAGTTCACAATTATATTATCCAAAGCTTGTTTGATCCCACTTGGTCCCAGTTTCAGAAAACCACATGGAAAAAAATATATAATAATTATAGGTGCATACATAGCCCCTAGCTACAACTAGAAACATTACACTGAACTTTACATGGATCCAAATAAATCCTTTAATTTTCTGGATTCCCTCTGAAGCCCATCCCATCACCTTTTTCTAGAGTCCTCTAGTGCTTCCTCTCTCTCCTCTCCCTCTCTCTCACACACACACACAAGACAGAGACAGAGAAAGGGAGAGAGATCATTTTTCATATAAGTGTTCACTGCTTACTGTCAACAAGTTATATGGCTTTTCTTCTTCCTTTCCATTAATTCAATACAACTTGTCTAAGTTCCTGCTGTGCTCTAGACATTGGAGATGTTGCCAAAAACAAAACAAAACCTTTGACCCACAGGGTTTCAATCATAGTATAGAAGAAATACAAATAATAAACAAATTAATAAATATATTTTAGTTTGAACCAAATGAAATGGCCAATATTCAGCTGTTCTTGATCCACCCAAAAGCAATTTCATATGGTTCAACTTGATAGAATATGACAGGTGGTGCTACGTGCTGTGAAGAAGATAGGGTAAGTGGAGAGAAAGTCATGGGTGCATGTGAGTGTGCTATTTTAGATAGCATGGCCACAGAACCTCTCTTTTTAAGTGCTATTTGAACAGATGATAATGGAGTGAGAAAGTGTGTAATACGGATATCTGGGGGAAGAATATTCTAATCAGAAATGAAGGTGGAAAGGCCCTGAGGAGGGATGGCATATAAAAGAGCAGCAAGGAAACAGAGGGACCTGAAGGGAGCGAGTGACAGTAAGAGTGGTGCAAGATAAGGACAGAGAAGGTCAGGGCCAGGCCCAAGAATGCCATGTCAGCCATGGCAAGACATTTGATCTCACTCCTCATGAGTTGGGAAGCTGTTGGCAGGTTTGGGCAGAGGAGAGGCAAAATCAGACTTGTATTTTCAAGGATGTGGAGGCCAGCCTCCAAGGAGCAAGATGAACAGAAGGGGCTTAGGTAGGAGATGACTGCTTTCATGCAAGAGTGAGACCATGGTAACAGACTCAGGTGGTAGCAAAGGAAATAGGACAGACTGGACCTTCACAATTCTTTCATGACCTCTCTTATCTTTCTTTTTAAAAAGTATATTTGTCTTATCAATTTCTTATTCCCAAACAAGTATATTTCCAAGCTTCCACTTCTTGCCCTTGGTTGGTATTGGTGTCAAAATCATTTTGCCTGCCTGCTTCGATAGCCTGCTTTCCAACAGGAAACTTCTAAATCTCTTTACATTCAGTGCTCCAAAAATATACATTTGCACTTCCCATAGCCTGACACATCTGCATCATCCCTTTTGTTCCTAATCACTCTCAGAACAACAGCAGCATACCTGATTGAGGAGCAGCTGGCATTCACTGCGCAAAGAGCACCATCAAAAATTGAGCATGTGGCTCCAAGAGCCACCACTGTTTCCTTCTGTTTCTTGCCAAAGACTGTAACTTGTGGGTAGGCTGGGCCTGAGTGATAGCAGGAAATGGCCCACTGCCATGCAAAGTGGCTCCTCTGAAAAAACTTTTAACCATATCCCTGCAGCTGGACCCCTTCCTCTGAAGTTTCTAGATATTGCAACTCCCCAAAGAGGAAGTTGTCTAAGGGAGGTACAATGCTTTAGGGAGAAACTGACCACAGCTTAATGGCTTGTGAATGCAACCACTGCAACTTCTGGGCCCATTTCCCTCTCATGCCCACACAGGGCTGGGTGTGTTCTATTAAACATTTAGGTAAAAGGAATAAGTAACTAGCTCAGCAATGTCAGCATCATGTCACCATGGCATGACAGAAACTCAGTTTTCTGACTCTTAGTGAAATGGATCATTCAAGAGTAAAGCATTAAAATGTTTATAAAATACAGTTGGTCCAAGAGGACAAGTTGTGTCAAAATCATTTTCCAAGACACCTCATGTTTTAAAAAATCCTAACATGTAGCCTGCATGCAATATGCAAACAGGCTGCTAAGGAGAGGACATGACATTAAAATGTCAGTAGAATTACTGCTCAGCTGTAAGAACTCACACACTTTAGATTTAACAGCAGTGAGTTTACATTGGGTCACAAGAAATAGGATTTAAATGAATATTCCAAACCTATTTTCTGAAAATGCATTTTGCAAAGATACAGGTAGGCATACCTACTTCTGAAAAAAAATTCATTTGCAATAGAAAATGGGATGAGAAAACAGAAATAAAATGTATTCATCACCCTTGTCACTCCTCTATTTTAAATAAAGCAGAAACCACACATAACATTCCAGGATATTAAGCTAGGTATGAAATGATGTTCAGACTACTAAGGCTAAAGATTACAGCCATAATTCAATCTGATATTAAATGCATTTATGATGCCATATAATGTGGGAGACATTTAAAATGACTACCAAAATTTCTACTAATATGACCTTTTCTTGAATTTTATTGTTAAAAATCCTTTTCTGCCAAAATGTCAAGGTTTCTCACAGTGCTTCTACATACACTGTAACCCCAGTAATAGAAAATGTATATTTTCTGTAGACACTGGGGCTATCATCAGACAAATTTATTCTGCTGAAACTGGAGTCAACATTAAAAGAGTTTTTTGCAGCATAGGTATTTTTTCACTTATAAGTTATTACTCATTTTTCCTAATACTGTGCAGATAATATAACAACAATATTGAAGGTTTTTTTTAATATTTGAAAATTCATTGCACATAAAAGCATGCTATGCTATTGTTCCTGTTTTAGGTCCCCAGTCCCTGATCAAAGATGATATACATCTCTAGAGGCAGCTAGGAGGTGTCTCTAAGCTGGTAATAGTCGGGGTTGGATTTGTCTCAAAGCAGCAAAAACTTGTAAAGATGGTTCTGCATCCCTAAGCCTTCTCTATCTGATAACTTTGATTATTTTCAAGTATAATCATGTGCCATATAATGACATTTAGGTCAACAATGGACCACATACTACAGTGGTCCCATTAGATTATAACGAAGCTGAAAAATTCCTATAGCCTAGTTATTAATATACCATAGGCATAGTAATGTCATAATGGAAAGCAGTACTTATATGTTTGTAGCAATGTTGGCATAAAAAACCTACTGTGCTGTCATTCATATAAATTAGAGCACACACAATTATGTGTACTACATAATACATGATAACAATAACAAATAATGGTTACTAATTTATGTGTTTACTATACTTTTTATCATTACTTTAGAGTGTGGTCCTTCTACTTATTAAAAAAATAGTTAACTGTAAAACAGCCTCAGGTAGGCATATCAAGAGGTATTCCATAAGAAGGCATGGTCATCAGAGACGATGGCAGCTCCTTGCATGTTATTGCCCCTGAAAATCTTCAGTAAGACAGGGTATGAAGGTGAAAGACAGTGATATTGTTGATACTGACTCTATGTAGGCCTAGACTAATATGTGTATTTGTATCTTAGTTGTTAAGAAAAAAGTTCAAAAAATAAAAGAGATAACTAGACATTTTTTAATAAGAAGCTTATATAATAAGGATACAGAGAAAGGAAAGAGAAAGGAAATATTTTTGTACAGCTATATGGTGCTTTACGTTTTAAGTAGTGTTATTACAGGAGTCAAAATTGTTAAAGATAAAAATTAGCTATTAATTTTTTATTGAAGAAAGAAATTTTCTTAACTTTTAAGTTTAGGGGTACATGTGCAGGTTTGTTATATAAGTAGACTCATGTCATGGGGGTTTGGTGTACAGATTATTTCATCACCAGGCATTAAGCCTGGTACCTGCTGGTTATTTTCCTGATCCTCTCCCCCTTCCCACTGTCCATCTTCTAGTCGGCCCCAGTGTTTGTTGTTCTCCTCTATGAGTCCATGTGTTCTCATCATTTAGCTCCCACTTGTAAGTGAGAACATGCAGTATTTGGTTTTCCGTTTCTGCATTAGTTTGTTAAGGATAATGGCTTCCAGCTCCATCTATATTCCCGCAAAGGACATGATCTCATTCTTTTGTATGGCTGCATAGTATTCCATGGTGTATATGTACCACTTTTTATTTATCCAATCTACTATTATCGATGGGCATTTAGGTTGATTCCATATCTTTGCTATTATGAATAGTGCTACAATGAACATATGACTACCTGTGTCTTTATGATATAATAGAATGATTTATATTCCTTTGGGTATATACTCAGTAATAGGATTGCTGGGCCGAATGGTAAAAAAGATATTTTTGTAAATTTAGTGTACCGTTAAGTGTACAGTGTTTATAAAGTCTATAGTAGTGTATAGTAATGTTCTGGGCCTTTATATTCATTCACCACTCACTCACTCAGAGCAGCTTCTACTCCTGCAAGCTTCATTCATGGTAAGTGTCCTATACAGAGGTCACTTTTTTTCCTCTTTTATTTTGTATTTTTACTGTGCTTTTTCTGTGTTTACATATGCTTAGATACAAAAATGCTTGCCATTGTGTTACAATTGCCCACAGTGTTCAGTGCAGTAGCAAGCTGTACAGGTTTGTAGTCTAGGAGCAATAGAATATACCATATAACCTAGGTGTATACTAAGCTATACCACCCAGGTGTATCTAAGTACACTCTACAATGTTTGCACAATGACAAAATTGCCTAATGATATATTTCTCAGATTGTATGCCTCTCATTAAGTGATGCATGACTGTATTTAGGTTAGATGGATATGTAAGCTAAAAATACATGGGGGTGGAGAATTTTGCATTAATGTACTTTTTAAACAAAGAAATATATATTTATCATTTATGGATGAAATAGTTTCTTTTTAAAAATGCCATTCCAATTGGCACAATTAATATTCAAAATTTCACAGCACACTTTTTTACTTTTTTTTTTTTTTTTGGTCAAACATTAGCTATAGACTCACTCCAGTTTATTTAGAGTCTTTCTAAATATGTTTTAAAATACCTGAAGTTCTACAAAAAGTGGGGAGCCTTTCAAATGCATGATAAACTAGGGTCAGTAGGTTTTGGAGAGTTGAAAGACATTTGAAAATATGGTAGTGGCAATGGCAGGGGTATGGGCTGATAATGAGACGGATAGAAATGAAGGATGCTACACCATTCAGGATTAAAATTCAACATTAGTTCAAGTTTTAAGACTTTTACTCCTATGGAAAGAGTGGGGAATTGGAGTAAAATCCAAGAGAGCAGGAACTGTCTAGAAGAAAATTAGCCTGCCCAATCTCTTTGGCTTGTTTCCTCCTCCTCATGGATCCCTCTCTATTGATAAATTTTAAGTAGTGCCTATACCACACATAGGCTCCATTTTCCATCCCATGCCACATCTCGAGGGAAGAGCTATAGGAATAATACACATAAACTAGAGTGGAATTTTGATTCCTACCACTTGGAACTTGACTAGAATGTTGAACAAACCAGATCCCATTTGGTGACTGTATACATTGGTGGAGGAAGTCAATGCTTTGAAAGGCCAATAATCACTGGACTGAAGAAACAATTTACCAGCAACGGTCACTATTAGTTATGGACAGCACAAAAAAGACCAAAGAACATCAGTACCCAAGGCCAATTTATGGAAACTAACTGAATGGCACAAAATCAACCAGAAGGAGCCCACGGTTCTGCTGACGGCAGTTGCTCTGCAGGTTTCAACCATTTAATTTTTGATCTGAGCTCCTACAGCACAGGCTCTTTGCACCTTGCCCTAGAGAATCTGAGTAAATGCGTTTTTATTTTTAGATGTTTTCTCTCTTGACATAGGGTTCCACAAATATGAAAGAGCAAGTCATCCCCCAGGCATGCTAGAAGTTGTTGTTGTCTCTTTTCTCTCCCTCTGTGGTCTCCTGCAATCACTTAAAATAATAATGTGCCAAGAAATGTTTTCCTACAGAACAGGCCACTTCTCTTGACTGGCCCTAAAATGTATGTGTGTTAAAAGGATTGAGTCTTCTTTGGAATATTAGGTTGTCCCTTTTTGATGAATTGAAAGGTGTTCCAGACTTGAGAGGCTATCTCAATTTTACAGTAAACAGCTATTTTATGAGAAAGGAAAAAAATTCCATGAGGTGTTTTTACCAAAAACGCGATTATTACCAGCCTAACAAAAGAATCCATTGTGAGGAGAAAAAGCACAGCCAACTTAATTAATATCATTTACAATCTTTACAGATGCTCACACAATGCCACATACTTCTCATGTCTACAATGAGTACTAAAGTCAAGAGTATGAAATCAAAAGGAGCTAAATGTCTTCACAGCTTCTAAAATAATAATTCAAAATGGGACTGTCGGTATTTCAGAAACTACATGTCCCAGATTAACCTATAATATTGGGACAGAGTAAAGGGAACCTGATTCAATGATAAATTACCCACAGAACTATGTGGTGTGATAAATTGCTAACTCAACAAAGCCATCAACATATTATACTTTAAGAAAGTTTCTTGTTTCTGAAAAGAATCATCAATCAACCTTGGTACTTAGAAGAGAGTATCTTAGATATACCTCTTCTTTCTATGCCCTTCTAAAATTATTTTTAGCTAGGGATGATAACCAAAAGATAATGTAGCACTGTCAAAGTGAAGACACTGATGTTTCTCAAAGGAGAGGCATTGCTATGTGGGAGACTACTTATGATCCCTTTGTTCTTGGGCTGTAGTCCCTTGTTGGCTGCAGAGTCCAGGGTTCAATCAGAGATGTTCACATTATACCAAGAGGCAAGAGATTTCTTTCCTTCATGGTTTCATGACACCTTTTAAGATGCTCAATTCATGCTTATGCCAGCAACCCTGGCCCCTAAAGAACACAATTAGAAATACGTTGTTCTGTTCATATTCAGTCAAAGATGCTATCTTGTCCAGCCCCTGCCTTTAAGCAAGTGAAGCATTATTCATTCCACTTAATAGCTGAAAGAAGTGGTTCCAAGAGCATATCTTTTGCCAGAATCCATTTGCCCTGATGCCCAATCCAATGTGTCTTCTGCTAAAGCAAAGCCAACAGCAATTAATAGACAGGGTTTTTATGGTGTCCCTTCATATAATCCTGTAGCCATAACTTGATTGAGTTTCAAAATCATCTAGGTAAACCATGAGCAAAATCGTGTGTAAAAATCATGTAGAATGCTTAAAGTGCAAAAAGCAGGAGAGAGTTGTTAATAGCGCAGACTATGTCATCATGATACTTAGACATCATCTGATTAAGCCAGTAATAAAATGTGTAATCTTAGAAAGTGATTTACCCTTTCTGTGCCTCAGGTTGCTAATCTATGACATGAGAATATTAATGGTATATACATCATAAGGTCATTGTAAAAATTAAATGAGAAAGCATGCAGTTAGCCCTAAGTGCTGTACCTGGCATATAATAAATGCTCAATTAATACAGCTATTAATATACAATGAGAGTGTTCATTAGCAAGTACTCTCATTCTCATAGCAAATACACTGAAAAATAGCATCATGGCTTAAATACTTCATAAAGAAGAATACTGCTGCCTCAGTTTACACTTTGCTTCCCCGGCTCAGAAGTGTCATATTTACACTTTTTCTTGCTTTGAGTTTAGTAACCATCTCTTCATATCAAGGGATGAAAATGACTATCATTGTTCAACCCATTCAGCTGAGATTAGAAAAAGATTTAACCAGGGATGATAAGCAAAAGAAAACGTACCATTGTCAAAGTGAAGACACTGATGTTTGTCAAAGGACAGACATCACTATGTGGGAGACTACCTATGATCCCTTTGTTCTTGGGCTATAATTTCTTGATGGCTGCAGAGTTCAGGGTTTAACCAGAAATGTTAACATTATACCAAGAGGCGACTTGACCAACACTACTAACTCATTGGAACTTCTCAGAATACACAAGGAATCCCTCTTTTATATGTCACAGTAACTATTCATGACTCATTTATTATATCCTAAAAAACTTTTCAGTATCTCAAAATATTGGTCTTTGGACTCAGTGAGAAGTGGGTTCAAATCCTAACTGCAGCTTACTAGCTATATAACCTAGGGCAACTCACATCTTCTCTATGAGCCTCAATTTTCCCATTTATAAATGGACATAAGTATAACATAGTATATTGTTATAAGAAGTAAATAACTCATTCATACTTAATTACTCTCTATCAACATCATCATTATCACCAACTACTCAAAAGTAAGTATGGCCAGGTGCAGTGGCTCACACCTTTAATCCAAGGTGGGAAGATCACTTAGCTCCAGGAGTTTGAGACCAGCCTGGGAAACATAGTGAGACTCTATCTCCACAACAACAACAACAACAACAACAAAGGAATAAGCTTAAGAAAACACTATGCAACATATTTTCCAATGTAACACTGGCAAATGATTCCTCAAACATTGTGTCTGTATATCTTTTTACATTTCTTCAACTTGATGGTGTCATTTGAATTATAACCTTGATGTTTAACAAGCTCATCATCTCCCTGGACACATTTGTTGTCAAAGAAAGAGCTCACAATTTCAGTATTGCATTTGGAATCTCAGAATTTAATTTTACAAATAAAAATCAGATGCATACAATTCCTCCATGTATCTTTACTAAGCCTTATATGGACTCTCTTGAGAGTTATCACCATCAGATTTTGCTGTTGCTCCAGGTGGCCAAAGTTGTCCTCTCTATTCCAAACTGTTGCCAGAAGTTGGTCTACATGCAGAGTTCCAAAATCACATAATCCCCAAACTCAAAGATATTACTTCAAACATCACCATCAGTACCACTACTTTATAATGGGTTTAATTATTTTTAAGCATGGCCTCATCAGAGGTTTTAAAATATCTTTAAAAGAAAATTTTGTGAAACCACTTATTTATTTAAAGATTAAGGGACAAACAAAAAATATAATCACAATCTATTTTATTTTATAAATCCTTAATTTGTGATTTTGTTTAAAATATGAAATCAATAACCCTAAACTCATGTGTCCTTCAATTACCTGGAAATATGATCACAATTTGAATCTCATGAATGTTTTAGAACGAAAGAGAATCAAACAACTGCATTTATTAGAAACACATTGCATAAAAAAAATTTCTAGTCAACACACTGGAAAACATAAAGAATGTAAAATTAGTCCTACCTTAAGGAAATAATACATAGACATACCCAAGAGGATTTGTAAGGCAACATATTTTGAATATGTGAGCTGACATCATGTGGAGGAGACAGAACTGAAGAAGAAAATTGAGGAGGCAAATGTCGAAAGAAGTAAAGCCTCCACTGACAAACAAGAATGGGTTTGCTTCTTGGGAAGAATGTATGTGCAAACATACTGAGGTAGAGACAAGAAAGTTTATTTCTAAAGTGTTTAACAATATTATAGAATCCAAAATTCATGTTGAATTTCACATACGTATATCTACACACACATACACACATGCACCCACATGGTAACTATGTAGAAGTGATAGATATGTTAATTAGCTGGAATGTAATCATTTCATAATAAATACATAGAATAAAACATCAAGTTGTACACTTTAAATATATACAATTTGTATATGTCAAGGATATCTCAATAAAGCTATTTTTAAAATAAAATAAAATTCACACAGAAAAGATGGCCAAAAAGAATTAAGATTTACTTCTGCATGTAATAAGAAGTTATTATAGAGTCAAAGAAAGAAAAAGAAAGAAAGAAAGAATGAATGAAAGAAAGAAAGAGAAAGAAAGAAAGAAAGAAAGAAAGAAAGAAAAGAAAAGAAAGAGAGAAAGAGAAAAAAGAAAACACAACAAAATCATATTTGGAAAAACCTCTTCTATCCTCAAATCATTTCTACACAAAACTTTCGCTATTAAGGTAAAAGAGCTATTATTTTCTTTGCTATAGGACAATTTTTGTGGCAGCGGCGATATCTGAACTATTTTCAAGTATTTCATGCAAGACAAAAAAAGTATTAAAAATAAAACTATCTGCATGCTTTGATGTAGTTTGTAAAGTGTCTGTCCTGTTTTCAAAGGAGCCCTTAGCTTATGATGTATCTGAAGGCATTTAGCATTTAGTTATCTGATAAAATGACAAAGGACTGAAATAGACTGCAGAGATCTTATATTGACTTTTGTTACATCCAGGGATTTGAGAGGTGAAGTCATGCTAGAGAAAGCACTTCTGCCAGTAGATGCTGACAGATTCAGCAGCTCCTCAGACAAAATGGACATTTCTCTGTCAATATGAGTCCTCAACTCTGTGAAGTGTCTCAAGCAATCCCAGCTGCAGAAGGATGTCTGCAGAAGGATGCCAAGTACAGACACAATCTGTCCCCTCTCCTAAAATGAGGTTGATTCTCATTATTCTTAAGGAGTCACAGACAAGCTGTTATCAATTTGCTCAAGTGAGGAGCAAACCATAGCGAGCTGTTGCGACACTTAACATCTAGGAAAGCAACATAAACCAAATGTGCCCACAGCCCCAACGTACCAGCAATTTCTGGACCTATCTAATAATAGTTGAGACAAAGGGAAGAATGAAGCCTGCCACACACACCTCACTCGCCAGGCCTTGCTTTTGCAATAATGAACTAACAGAAAGAGGGGACTGTTTAGTAACTCAGCTCCCTCCTCATTATTGCATTGCAAAACAGTCCACAGAACAAGCTACTCCAGCTGCCTGCCGATGGTGATTTTACCCTGTTTCATACACTATCCTTGGGCATCAGCAATGCAGTGGTGTGTGAATATACAGTCCCTGCAGGAAATAGCATGTTTTATGGAATGAAGCATTCATACAATTCAATAAGAAAAATAAATAGAAAGACATAAATGGACCATTCACAAAAGAACAAAAATGACAAGTATGAGAAAAGATTTGACCTCAGTAATAAGACCAAAAAATACCCTCAGAAATTAAACAAAATAATAAAGCATTTTCCCATTAAAATCAGTCAATATTTTAAAAAGTAAAAAAAATGTTCTTTGCTGGTGAACTTGCAATGAATTTGGAATGTTCATACATTGTTTGATATAGCAAATATTGACACATACTTTTGAAAAGCAGTTTGCCAATAAGTGTTTGATGCTTTGAAAATATTCAAAAGGAAAAATATAAAAATATTCCTGTTTAAAAATGTCTACTCCAGCTCTTGCATATAAATAAATAAATAATGAAGGCAAAACCTCATAAGAAACATAATAATAAAATAATAAATGTTTAAGGAAACCATGCAGAAACAATTAAAAATTCTGTTAGTGAAAACTATATTACTTAAGACTTCTATGATTTTAAAAATTTTATTGTAAAAATATTTCCTATATACAAAAGAGCAAATATAACTATCATAAACACTTTCTATAACATAGTTTCAAATGAAAAAAATCAGGACACAAAATTATATATACAATATGATTACAACTATACATAAAAATTATCTTTGCAGGAAATATGTCTAGAGAGAAATAACCTGAAGTCTTAACAATGGCTATTCTTTGGTAGTGAAATGATAGGGTTTTTTCCCCTACTTTCAAAACATTAATTTCTGCTACATATAAGCTCATCATATTTACTATCTCTATCTTCAGATGCTAAATTGGAAAAAATGTCTGAGCCACTATAGTCATCTTTTTATTTTTCAACATTTATTGAGTTCTTCCTATAATTATAAAACACTAGGTATCAATGGAGAAATAAATGTATATAAGACATATTTTATGCTTTCCAGAAGCTTATAAGAAATACAACAGGTAATGGAACAGCAAAGTAGAAAAACAAACTCATCATAAATTTAATGAATTGAATTTGTATGTACACAGTGGCATTGTACAAGGTGAACGATGAAGAAAATGTCGTGGCATTTTGTCCATTCCTCATATATTGGTAATCTGGACAAACTTCTCCAATTAATAATTTCACATTATCAGACAGAATCAAGGTAATAGGCAAATTTATCGAGACCAAAGAAAGAAGCCAGTAAGAACCACCTGCAAAGCTGTACTCTGCCCTTTTTTAACCTACCTGTGGTTATCTATGAGTAATTTTATTCTTATGTTATCTTTATAACCTTAGAAACTCACAGATTCCTGATCATAGATATCATCTTGACTACAGTTTCCACTCATTTCAAAAATTCACTCTATAATAACATTTTCTGTGATAGGGAAGCTGAAAACTTTCAAGGCAGTGCCTTCCACTTATGGACAGTTTGACTCATTCTACACATCTTCCAGGTATAAGCACAGGAATAGACCCTCTTTACACAAGGCAAATAAGGAAAGGCTCCTGCCCTCAAAGAGTTCATGATGCAGAAAGGTACACGTGGAATGCATAAACTCATCCACAGTCAAGAGCCCTGAGTGACCTCCTGGGTGTTTTACTGTATTTCTGGGATGGGCACCAAGGAAAGTGGCTACTTCTGCTTTGCAGATGAGCCTGGTCAAGGGTTAGCGGCACTAAAGCATTAAAAAGAGAAAAAAAAAGGAACTATAGTTGTATACTTTCAGGAAACGCCTCTTAAAGATCTGAAGATTTACAATTCTTTTTTTTTTAAGCCAAAATATGTGAAAGACTCACATGCTTCAGCAAAGAAATCTATTTAGGTTCATTTAATCTTTGCCTCCCCATCCCCTCCCAACCACCACCACCTATTTTTAAATGGGACCATTTTTCATGTTATATCTGTTAACATCCCATGGAAAACCCATTGGAAAAAGCTGCTCTGAATCTGGCCACACATCTGATAGTGATAAACTGAGGCTCAGAGGCCTCTGAGCTCAGTAAATTACCCGCCCAAAGTCATACCAGTAGCTGTGACAGAATCATGGTTGGAGCCCAGGATACTGAGTCATATCCATGCTAATCCTATGTCCTATACATCATAGACCCTGTCACACTTTTTATTTTTTAAAAAAATCACATATTTTGGATATTAACTGACAGAACCAGCATATTTTAACACAGAGCAGGGGAATACTAGCAATGCAAAGAGTAGGCAAAAAATATGAAGGTCTAAAGTGAATATAAGTCAACAACACAACATGAATTTATAATAAAAGAAACTTATAATCTCAATCTGGAAGAGAGAAGACCAACCAGTCACAATTAAGGGACTGAACTAATTGTTCCCTAAGGCGGTCATGTTCTCTAAATATCTGTCAATCTGCTCAAGTGCCATGTAAAATGACTTTACATGGATGCAGCGCTGTTTATATAAAGTTGATCATCCCTATGGAGAAGATGAACAATCAAAATAAACAACAGAGTCCTTCTCTGAAAACCCTCTAATTTCACAATGAGTTCCTAAGGGACCATGTGTCTTCTGTACTAGAAGTTTCATTTAAAAACAGGATAGATTAACATCTACTGGGAAAGGTATAAGAATAGTCTTGCCAAAAGGAAAAGAGATAGACTTGATAAAATTTCAAAGTCATTGCCAACCTTACAAGACAGCCTGTGAGTCAGAGGATGGCCATCCTGTTTATATGCCACCCAGAGACTGTCTCTCATTCTCCTTATTTTTCTCATATTTTGATCATTTTATTGTTTACTGGAATTTTGTCTACCCTATGGGAAGACATAAAAATGAAGGAAGACTGGAAACATTATTATATTGAATTCTTTGCTAGAGATATTTATTTTATTGAACATAGGATACAATAGGAGAAGGTAAAAATTACAGCTAAAATATGGTTTAGATTACATGTGCATTGTTCCATACCATTTCTTGATCAAATTAGAAACAACCTTGAATGTTTGGATGGTAATCACTGACCAGGTTATGTTTGAGAAGAGTTGCTTTAGTTAATTTTCCAAACTTAGATTTTCAGAATCAATTTTCCTACGCCAAATCAGACCTGAAAACAATTTGAACTGATTCTCCTTCTCCCTTATATCTTCCCCCTACATCTCTTTTTGTAATCTGCAACTAAAAGGAAGTACTTCTGAGAAGGCTTTAGAGGAATTTCAATATGTAATTAAATTGGTACCTTTCTATTCCATTTAACTTTTAATTAAAATAATATAAAAACAATCACAACACTAACATTTCTTTCATTTAAAATAAGAATATGTATGTTTTTGGCTTATCTGAATTAATTAGCACTGATGGTCTTTGATTACTTTTGCTCATAATGAAAGAAAGAGGTGGGCTGAGTTTAGCACTTACAACCTAAAGATAATGCCCAAGGTTTAAATTTTAATGATTTTTTAAAAAAATCAATTTGCATTGATCGGGCTTAAGTCCTCCTGTAAGTACTAGTCAAAAATAAAAGTCTCTTCAATTAAGTATTATCAGAAAGAAGAAATTACCAATCTCCTGGGCCACAAGTGTGCATGAAACAGATAAAAATGATGTTTCTGCAGTTTGTTATTTCCTTGAACATCCCCCAACCCTGTATCCTGCATCATATTGACCAGAGGAAGTGAAATCCCCCTGTGACCTGTTGGCACTAATCATGTCCCATAACTAGGCAGTTGACAGAACCAAATTTCAGTTTGTGTAATACTTGAGAACTTACCCCCAAGTCTTTCTAGTCTCTTCACCAACCTTCTACCTCAGCGTAAGAAAGAACAGGGGAGATTATAAGCAAGCTAAAGTCCTTCTAATCTACCCTCACCACCCACAAAGCCTACTATCACCTGGATTTGGCAATAACTATGACTGAATTACGGCCCTGAAATTGACCCCACGAAATAACACCAATGTAGAATGGTTAGTCAACTACACCTGAGTTGCTCCCGTCCCTCAAACACTGGAAAGAATGCTTGGTCTGATAACTAATTTAAATTATTTTTGTAGTTGGACCAAAAGACCTTGGGCAAACATAAATCAAAACATGAGCAAAACACAGCTTTTAAGAACAGAAACTTTTGGAATCAGGCAAACTTAAGTTCAAATCCTGACACTTACACTTGTTCTGGGACCTTAGACAAGTGTACTTCTGAGCCTCGGCTTCTTCCTGTAAAGCAGGGATCCTGGTAGTTCCTCACATGTCAGTACTTATTCAGTGGTAACTATTATCATCACTGTCTTCTTAGCAGAACATTCCCAGGACACAGAAAGCCTCTCTTTATTTTACACCCAATATCCTGCAGAGAAGGTGTTTCCTGCCCTGTGACTTAACCTTAAAATACAATGATTTAACAAAAGTACGTGATGAGACTAAGATCTCCATTTTCAGCATAATTGAAGTCACATTACAGAAACTAGAAATCACTTCATAAAATGCACTGATGATGTACATTTATTTTTCAACACTACTTTCTAGCTTTGTCAGCACAACCTCAGCGAGGGTTCCTCCCATATGACAGGGTATTGTTTCACACTAAGGGTGGGGATAGGGGAAGGGTTAGGGAGAATAGAGAGTGGAGAAAAATGCAGTTGGAATCAAAGTAAGGTTTGCCTCAACTTTCTAATTATCTGTACTTTGGGAACCACCACCTATTTGTGCAAGAAGGAAAGGCAGTTTGGATAGGGGAGGAAAAAGAGCAGCAAAGGAGAAATCACTACATATTATAAACAAAAACTCAGTCTTCACGATTGACAGCTTCTCATGGGACTTCCCTGGGGAGCCAATTAGTGCTGGTTGCTGAAGTGGGTTTGGTCCTATAAACCTCTGTGCTAACGCCCACCTGTGCTGCACCAACCTCCAATGGAGCCGCAAAGCCTCTGTTAATGAGGCTTAGGACCAATCATCCCACAGAGAGAGTTCTGCTAAGGGCTCCAAAGCAGATGTCTTAGGGTAACCGTCAGGGAATCTCCCTTAAATTCCATTGCCTGGTTGGAAACTAAGACATTTTAAAATAATGATTTGATTTATTCTTTCTGCACCTCTTTTTCTTTGTTCCTTAACACCTGAGACAACCGTGACCACAGCCTCCATGTAAATTCTAATCCATTGCCCGTCTAGCGGCTGGGTGACGCCACAAGGAGCAGAGAAGAAATCTAGGCAAAGAACAAGTGACAATTAGTAACATCTCTAGAATCATTGTCTCCAGTAGCAGTGGGAGATGCAGTTAAAACTAGCTCTACACAACAGTTAAAGCAGAGTTTAGCAACATCTGGGAAGTTGCCTGATTGCTCTTGCAATAAAATGCTTCATGGTTTCTGTTGCTTCAATACACAGAGCTCAGGAGGCCTTGTGAACCCGTTTAATGTAAGCTCAAACAAACTGACACCAGTTTTGTTATTTTGTCTCCTATGAACAACATTCACCCTTATAGAGGCATACCTACCTGGTTCCTGCTATCAAAAAATCAAGCAATGAAAACCTATTATGAAAAATAAACACCTATTATGAGCAGAGCACTGTATAAGGCACCCTGGAAAGAAAAGAAAATTCCTCAAAGTCCTTGGCTTTGAGAAGCAAAAATTAGTAAAATTAATACCAGTGACACTACATGTGAAAAAATAATAAACTAAATAAAAATAATATCACTACATGTGAAAAAATAATAAACTAAAAATAATAAATACCAGTGACACTACATGTGAAAAAATAATAAACTAAAATAAAAATAATAAAATAAATAATAAACTAAAAGGGATTTCTGAAAAGGAGACAAAAAGATAAATGAGGCAACAATTCCCCAGAAACCAGATGTGAACTTAACTTTTTAAATGGTGAGACTTAGATTGGAGGAATGGGCAAATATATGAAAACAAAGCTTTAGAAGTGGGAATGCACAAAATATGAAGCCTGAAACTATAAGACCCAATGATCTGAAAAATGCTCACATTCTCCTCAAGCTCAAATGTTCATGAAAATAAAGGGAAATAAAAGATAGTTTCCTAAACCTCATGTAGGCCAAATTTTTCCTGACACGACTTGAAGATGGCTGAGAAAAAAATGCCTGTTGATTAATTTGACTGCAATACAAACAGAATAGGACAGTACCTTGGCCTAGCTATAGCCAAAACAATCACAAAAACACTAGAATGAAAGCTCTCTGCCTCCCCAGGCCCCACGCTCTCATTGTTGCTGGTAACAGCCATCTACATCAACAAATCAGAATTGGAGAAGATAGCCCAGAGAACAAAAGAGGGAGGCACTAAAGTCCTTTCACATGTACTGGGTAAGTGGACTAGAATGTCTCAGAAGATGTGAAGTACAGTTGGTTGCCAAATTCAGCGACATCTGTCAATGTTTATCTCAAGAAAAGTACATCAATCTAACACTGAGATGGCACTGAACTGGGGGTGTGGGATACATCCTAAGGATCTGTTATTCTCTTTGGCTTGCTTGGGACACCTCTGAGGTTGGAAGAACCTGGAGAAGTTAGAGGTGACGTGCACACCCTGCTCACACCCCTCATTCCATCCCTGATTATGGAGTGACAACATTTTGCAAGTGAGAGGAGAAACTATTTAGTGGAATCTTTACTCAGAAAGAACCCTTGGAATTCACTCATTCATTTATCCAACAGATATTTATCAAGTGCCAGGGAACACTGTGCTGGACACCAAGGATATCATGATGAAAATTACAGGCATGTTTCCTTCTCTTTGTAGTGTATTACACGAGAGAGGGCAAGTGGTTGAAAAGTGGAAATATAGTTATACATGCTAGGAGGCTAGAAAAGCTGAATGCAGTGTCTTCTTTACCCCATTGGTGAGGGAGGAGTTCCCACCCTAGAAATATGGGGATGGCCAACCACATGACACTCAACCTTAACAGAGGAGATTAATAGCAGTTCGCTAGTCATATCTACTCACAGCCCAGGGGAGGACAATGCACCCCACACAGGCCACACAGGGGCCACACTCAGGAAAGGTGAACAGGCAGGGCCTATGTGAGGCTGGTTTTGAAGTAACAGAAGGGCAAGGTAGCCCTGGTCCCCACAAGAGGATGTGACTGGCTTGTTTGAATAATTCCACAGGCTGTGAGGGAACCAAAACCCACTCCTCAGGGATAAGCAGATACTGGGCCTGGTCCTCAAGATAAGGAAAGTCATTTGGCTAGGAGACCTCACCCACAGGAGCACAATGGAGAGGGAAATTTGTGGTCAGGCTGTCTGATGAGCTCTTGGTTTTACCTTTTACCTCTCTTGGAACCTTAATTCCAAGCCTTAACCTGACACAGTGGCAGAGCAGAGAATGATTTATAGGCTGCCTCAAGGTCCACCCTGGGATTACAGATGGCTCAATCAGGAGGCCTTAGCTGGTGGGACCCTAGACTAGAAAAAACCCTTTTTCTGTTCCACTCCCACTCTGTACCTGGCAAAACAGCTCAAGCACATAAAAGGGGCCAGAGTCACCTGCCATTAACACCTTGCTCCTTCAAAAAATGCTGTACTTGCTCTGAGACATCACACCTCCTGCCAAGCTGAGCCCCGAGTCAGGGCAGAGGAGAGCAAGGTGATTCTTTGAAGCAGCCTCTCTGACAATTGTATTCACTACAAAGTCAATAAAGACATAAAGCCCCATTTACATTAGTGAACATAAGTTCACAAGAACAGGACAGAAGCTACAGAACTGCAAAGAGCGTTGGTCCCTCCTGAGATGGCAGACAGCTTGGGAGAAGCAGCTGTCCACAGTAGAAGGAAGAAGGTGCTTTGCCTCACAGGGCTTGCTGAGACCTGGCAGAAGGCAGGAAACTAGATGCAGCGGGAAGAAGGAGCAGACATTTACAAGGGCTGGGTCCGCTGTTGTCACTCAAACAGGCAGCCAAATTTCTACCCTGAACACAATCTTATCATCAGTAAATGCAAGGGAGAAAGAGAGAGAGGGAAACTGATTAAATAAGTTAAATCTCTTGCAAGAAGTGCAAACAGTTTGCTTCCCCACAGCAGGATATTGGAAAGCCCCATGAAAGCAGGCTCTGGAGAGACATAGATAGTGGAATGAGAGTACTTTTTTAATATAATTTTTATAAAGAAGGAAACCTTGAAGTTCAAGAGTCTGGCAATCTAAAATTTTTGTAGAGAAAGAAAAGATTGGGTTCCAAATAGATAAGTGCTGGTGGGCATCTTTCTAATTTGCTCACTTTTCTTTCTTGGCATCCTATTACCATTGGCAGCTTCTCCAGGCTGCTGCTGCTTCACCCTTGGGCAGTCTGTGCCTGAGAGGATGCTTGCTGGTAATCTGCAAAGGGCAGGAGACTAGGCAATCTCCAGGCTTCTGTTTCCTGAGCTCTGACAGCACCCAAACATGGGTGTGCATACTGTAGGCATTAGTCTTCACTCTGGCCCAATTCTAGGTGGATATACAATCTAGTCAATAAGTTTCAAGAGTTTATTTCTAAGAGAGCAGGAGGAAGACACCCAAGTTATACCCATCTTTCTGTCTTCTCAGGGCTATCGGTGAAGTGGAAATAGAATGTCAGTAGACACATTTTCTCTTGCATTCCAGGCTCAACCAAATGACTTAACTATGTTCTCCTGTGCTATGGACAAAATGATAATGTCCCAACCATTTTCATCTTGAGCAGATGTAGAGGAGTGAAGAAAAGTGCACGTGTATTATCCCAAACCCATGTGTTTCTGCCCAGATTGTTCAGGGACTATGGTGCTCTTTCTGCTTTTCCTCTCATCAGGCAGATCTTATGAAGATGACAGTGGGGGAACACTAAACTATGTGCAGAATGAAGCGCTATGCAAAAAGTTATCGCCAATACATATAGAATAAGGACGTAAAACTGTCCGTGTGTTTCCGTTACATTTACATTAGAAATATGATTGGGAGGAAAGGATTGGAAAATATACAACAGCATATAAGCAAAGAGATGAGAGAGGAGAGGAAATCTTCATCAGGGCCAGTTATTATCTATCAGGGTCTACAAGCGGCTGTGGTTGGAGTAGAACTGTTTCATGTGAGGGTTGTGTGTGTGTTTATATCTTTCTGTATTTTCTAATTTTATTAATGAGATCATAGTATATAAATAAAAATATTTGAAACACATACACATAAAAGATAATTAGAGCACTTCAAAACCATGTGCTGTCATACAACCTATTTGTTATAGATGAGAAAGAGCTTGACTGGAAGCAGACATACTCAGTTTTGTCTCTAACTGTATACTTCAGCAAAATACGCTTTGGGCTTCAGTTTCCTCACCTGTAAAAATAAGACCACCACCACCTACTTCACAGGGTTTTCCTAGGATTCAATATTACATCTATGAAAGCACCTTGGCCAGTGCTGGTACTTGGAGGCATCAAAAAAGTTCATTTCCTTACCTTTTCCACAATTCCTCTGCTCAATTCAGGGATTCAATCCTCTGTTTTGATTCAGGGCTCTCCACAGAGATTAGACTGTAGAGGGCTTAACAACTTGCAAAAAAAGTATCAGACAGCTGTTTCCAGATCTGTGTTTGCTGTCTTTTTTGCACCAAAGAAAACACTTCTCCTTTATTTGTAAAATCTGCTGTCTGTGGCAAGATTTATCAGGGCGCTGTAGGAGTTTCTGACAAAGAAAGGGCACTCTTCCACGTTCATTCCCAGTCAAAGGCTGGCTCTGGGGTGCTGGTAGTGGTACTTTTCCCTCACTTACTAGCTAACTTAAGGCTATGAAAGAACAAAATCACTTAAAACCAGAGGAAATGAGACCTTTCCAAGCCCTAATCATGCAGGCTGTGCAGGCACCAGGTAGAGAGAACCGCTACAGCACCAAGCACAATGAAAAATTCTAGAGCAGACAGATGCCTCATTCCTGTTACCACCATAGTCAAGGTCATATAAGGAAAACTGCCAGATGATGGAAGAAAACAAACATTCTCAAGAAAAAAAGCCTTCATCATGCCTGTTTACAACAAAATCATCAAATCTGAGAGGAAATGTTTAAGAAAGTAATAGATACAAAATTCAGTAATGGGAGGCGCACATTTTATTTGCTTACTTCTAGGACCCACCACTGACTTAGAAGCCACTCCCCTAGGTCTCTCCAATAAAAGCTTATCTTTACCAAAAGGAAAAGCTTTGGCACTACTACAAAGAATAACATTAGTAACCACCATAGGGAGGACCCTCTTCGGGTGTGGACGGCTACCTCACAGGCTTAGCAACTTACAGAAGGTACCTCAGTAGCACATAATGAAGGGCATTGCAAAGTGATCTCAAGTCTCCTGGACAGCCTAGTTTCAAGGCAAAAGCTTAAAGTACTAAGAATTAGTTTTGCCTCTGCTCCCAGCCTCCTGTGGGAGAGCAGGCAGATCCTCTGGGTCCACCATCATCTCTTAAATGAGAGCATTGTGCTTACTATCAAAAAGCTCTTTGATCTGAGGCCCAAAATCCTACTGAAGTTCTATGCCATATTTTGTGTCTATGGGCAGATGTTCATTTTTCTGAGAGAAGTTCCATGTCATTTGTCAGATCCTCAAAGAGGCCCATGATCCAAAAATATATTAAGACCAACTAAACTAAATAACTTACAAGCTTTCTTACAGATACCAATCATTAGAGGAAGTTTTTCTGATTATAAAAACAATGCAATTTATTGTAGAAAAATTGAAAAGTGTAGGCAAAAAGAAAAATCTGCTGTTATTGAGCCACTCAGAAATAACCACTGCTAACATTCATATATACATAAATATTTCTTGGCCGGGCGCGGTGGCTCACACCTGTAATTCCAGCACTTTGGGAGGCCGAGGCGGGCGGATCACCTGAAGTCAGGAGTTCAAGACCAGCCTGGCCAACATGGTGAAACCCATCTCTACTAAAAATATTTTAAAAAATTAGCTGGGCGTGGTGGCACATGCCTGTAGTCCCAGCTACTCGGGAGGCCGAGGTAGGAGAATCGCTTGAACCCGGGAGGCAGAGGTTGCAGTGAGCCGAAATCGTGCCACTGCACTCCAGCCTGGGCAACAGAGCAAGACTCTGTCTCAAAAAAATACAAAAAACAACATAAATGTTTCTTGTATTTTGTATTTATATGGTATTAGGCTCTGCTACATTCCACATTTTCACACATTAAAAATTCTTCAAAAACAGCAACTTTAATGGTCACATTTTATCATAGGGATTTAATTACATTTTATCTAACTGTTTTCCTGTGGTTGGACACCTGTGTTGATACTAATGTTTTGCCATTATAAACAATGCTGCTGTGAACATTCTTAAAAGACCAATTTGGTTATATTTTTGTTGGTAATAGCTACTAACAATTTTTGGGCAAGAAAATAGCAAAATCTCCAGAACTAGGGATCTATTGTACACCATGGTGACTGCAATTAATAAAATGTATTGGACACTTAAAAACTGCTAAAAGAGTAGATCTCAAATGTTCTTACCACAAAAAAGTTATACATATGTAAGATGATGAATATATTGATTTGCTTGGTTTAATCATTTCACAATGTATACATGTATTACAACATCACGTTTATACCATCAGTATACACAATATTTATTTGTCATTTACATCTTAATAAAGCTGGAAGCAGAAACAAAAAGAGCAAAATCAATATTTATCTTATGATAGTACAGGAGATGAATTGAAATGGGGAAGACTAAAGGCTTGGGAAGACTAAAGGCAAACGGTTTTTATCTGAGAACTTGAACCAGGGGAGAGACAGTGAGACTGAACATGAAGGTCCAGATACGGAACACATGCTAAAGGGAAATTGCCATAAGTCAGTGGTTCAGAGGGAGACAGAAGAATCAAAGAGTCAGCTGACTTTCTACTTTCACAATTGAAAGAATGAGTATACCATGAACCAAGACAGGGAAAGAGATAGGAAGGTGAAGAGTCATTTCTAGAAGGTCACTGCAAGAAAGATAACTGCAAATGTCATGATCGAACTGCTTCTTTTTATCATAACAAAACATATCCCCAAAAAGCAACTGATAATCTAGGGTACTCATTTACAGTTACATAAACTAGAAAGTAGGAGACAAGGGAACCCGTTGGTGTAACATCTCTTTGCTCTTGAATGTTCAAATCTAATAAATTAGTTATTAATAATGATATCTTCTAAAGCATAAAAGCTGAGCAGTTTGTATCATTCAGACCAGAATAATATTTCATAATTATGACTATATACCTAGAATGGTAATTTTTAAAAATTATACCACATTTTTCATCTTTATCTCTATTGTTTTATTTTGCTTTTTATTTCTATAGGTTATTTTAATCAATTCTATTTCAAATAAATGAGGTAAGACCTATGGGAAAAAGAAAAGTCCAGAAATCAATGTCACTAACATATAAAACACCACCAGGAGGAAGTCAGCTAGAAAACTAATTCAGTGATGACATTTTGAGCTCTCCATGACATAGTAAAGCCAGTAGGAATGATAAAGTAGAGATTTTCTCAATGAAATCTCCGCTTATCATTCAGATGTCTGAATTCAGCTCTGAAACAGTAACCCTGGACTTAAATTTAAAATGTCATATTTTATTTAAATATTTACCATGTAAAAATTTCTATGTCATTCTTTATTATTGAAATACGTTCTTTCCAAAAACTTCAGATTGCCAAGCAAAGATGTAGCTGAATTTCTGATAAGATTCTTTGAAAACACCATTTTTACTGATTCCAGAATACTCAAGAGAATAAAAGATGCAGATAGTGGCCATCTAGCAGAGAGGAAGTTGATGTTCTCTTCATTTTAGTACGAGGTTACTATTATTTTCTATAGCCACCTTTCCTGGTATGATAAAGCTATTACATATGTATTTATTGGAAGCTGTTTTCACATGCCAGGCACTGGTACTAGGTGCTGATGATACCATCAGCACATTTTCACATTTTCACACATTAAAAATTCTTCAAAAACAGCAACTTTAATGGTCACATTTTATCATAAGGATTTAATTACATTTTATCTAACTGTTTTCCTGTGGTTGGACACCTGTGTTGATACTAATGTTTTGCCATTATAAACAATGCTGCTGTGAACATTCTTAAAAGTCCAATTTGGTTATATTTTTGTTGGTAATAGCTACTATTACATGAGATCAAGCCCATAGAAATGTAATTGATCTAATTCTTTTCTTGTAACTGGAAATTAAAGGAACAAAGAAGCTAACTAATTCCTTTTAACATTAATCCTATAATTTCACCTTCTAATTCTTTCTTTCACAGTCCCATAATAAGTGAGAGGAAAATTGACTGGTTACATGAGAGCCAGTGAGGTGTAATCCCCACCAAAGAAAAGGCCCTATATAGTCATTCTGAAAGCCAGAGAAAATATGAGGAGAAGGTTTTAATAGCTCCAAGACTTCCCTGCGCTAATCTGGTTTTCAGATAAGACAGTGAGAAATGTGGTAAAAACAGCTCCATGTGTCATTTCAAATGAAATACAGCATTTAAATTGCCTTAGTCTGAGTTACACGCTGCACTAAGCCATACTTTTCCATATAAAGTAAAAGATACAACCTCTGCTCCAAAGGAACATGAAGTAATTCAAAAGAATGGCACACAGTATTGAGAATGACAAAGCACCTAGAGACCATGATCTATTCCCTAATTGCAGGAAATGAAGCTTGAACTTTACAAAATAAGATTCAAAGAAACGGAGGAGATGAGGAAGAAGAAATGGATTCTAGAGCAATTCCTTTGTGGCAGTGCATAAGGAAAGGGACAGAAACAAGAATAAGCATACTAGCTCCCAAGATAAGCCTAGAGAGCAAGACTCCACTGGTATTCAGTGTGCCAGGCTCCTCCTACAGAAGAAACAGTGACATTAATTTGTGCTAGAATGTGGTCTATAAAGGGATCATCAACCCTCCACCTGGGAGACAGCATTAAAATTATGCTCTGCAGATTGCTAAAGAGGATGACCCCATACAACACAAATCAGGAGAACATGGTAAAACTAAGATGACCTTGAGGGTCCAAAATTCTAGTGAAACATTGGCAAAGGCCCTAGAGATGTTGGGCTGGAGTGTTTGTCATCAACCCGTATACTTATTCATTTGCTGTTCATTTAGTAAACTTCAGTTGATGTTACAAAATTTCCCTAGGCAAATATGCATGTAGGAAATGAACTGCAATCTTTTAAAACTGGTGTTTCCATCAAAGTTAGTTCTTACAGCTCCCTCGAAGAAGAGATCACACAGGTCTGCAGATCTTTTAGAATGGCATTGGTTTATCACTCAACAGAGAAGACTGCCAGCTCCACAACATGAAGGCAGTTTATTCTTCTCCAACCTAGTGCTGATTAGGTATAGACTGGGCAATCTACCACATACAACCCAGAAACTGAAAGAGAGAGAAGGCAAGGACTCAGAACGTGGAATTGTATCAGTTAGACAAAAATCCTCATCTAGTTCTGGAAGGAAATGAAACCTAGAAAAAAAGAACTGCTGCAAGGATATAAAGAATTTAATTGTTAACTGAGGCCCTTTAAAAATTATATTATAATACCTCGGCAGAAGGGAATATGTCATTCAACCTAATGACTTCTCCGCTTATTTTAGGTATACTTTTTCTAAATATCCTGGAACAAGAAACTGAGCACTGTGATAAACAGAGAAGCCACTATCTATAATGTGATTTGTGTATTTCTAACAGTTATACGACTACCTCAAAACCTCTCTCACACTTATTTACCATGGCAGGTTCCTTTCCTTACACTAACTGGGTATTTTGTTTATTAATAATTATTTAGCACAGACTATAATAGAGACATCAGGCTTGATGCTAAGGGCAGAGTGAAGAAGATAATCCCTTCTTAAGGAGCTACTGAGGAAGATAAACAAGTAAAGAGGGAACTGAAGGTCAGTGTGGTAATTTTAACACTAAGGATAAGAAGAGGGCATGTAACTCACCCTTGAGAGAGGCAGGGTCAAGGAAGTCATCTATTCAGAGGTAGTGTCTTAGCAAATAAAAAAAGAATAAGAACTAGGCAAATGGGAGAATGGAAAGACACTCCAAGCAGAGGCATCACCTCTTCAAAGGCTTAGAACCTACAGAGAAAATGGTACATACGGAAAATGCATCCAGTTCAAGGTGAAAAGAAGATCCTTGGAAGGTGAGCAAGCACCAGATAATTAATAATTTTTAAGTCATAATAAGGACTCTCAATTCTGAGAGCAATGGAGAGCTACTAAAGAGTTTTAGATCTAAGAAGTGGCAAGAATAAACATTCTCACTGCCATATGGAAAGTGGATTAGAGATGGACAGACAGACTAAAGGCAGGGAAATTAGTTAGGACACTGTAGCAGCAATTAAGCAAGAGATGGTGAAGACCTGCACCAGAGAAGTAGAGGCAAAATGGTGAAAAGTAGGTGGAATCAAGAGTGATAGAATCCACAGATCCTAACAACAAGTTCCATTTGGGGTGGAAAAGAGGGAAGGAGAATCAAAAATGCCCCCCAAGTTACTTATCACTGAAACAGAGAATGCAGGAGGAGACGCAGACATGGTAGGGAAGATGAGTTCTAGTCTGGGCACACTGAATTTGAGGTGACTTTGAGAAATCAAAAAAAAAATGTCCACTCAGTGACAAGCCAGAGAGAGATCTGGCCTGGCCACGGAGTGATCAATACATGAGTGTTTCTTGGGAACACTGGAATAGATGAGCATGCCCAGTCAGAATGCATGAAACAAGATGTGATGCTCTCAAGACATTGGTCTCAGGGCATCAGGAGATGGTGAAAGGATCCATGTTACCTTAAAAGGGAGGAAGCTGATCCTCTCCTGATACACTGGAATTATTTGTGCATCTCATCAGCTAATTTTTAGCTGAGTATGAAGAGGTAAACCTTGAAAGATGGTGAGTCAGGCAAATATTGATGATGGGGGTAGAGAAAAACAAGATGAAGTTAAAAAGCAGGGTGTTCAACATTAGTTCTAGACAATAAGGGATAAAACCATCACAACTGGGATTCTTAGGCAACTAAGGAGCCACTTAAAATCAGTGATCATCACTTTAGGTTTTATTTTGTTGTTATTTGTTTGGTTCTTGTCGTTGTTGTTGTTGTTGTTGTTGTTGTTGTTTTGAGACGGAGTCTTGCTCTGCTACCCAGGCTGGAGTGCAGAGTGCAGTGGTGCAATCTCGACTCACTGCAATTTCCACCTCCCGGGTTCAAGCGATTCTCCTGCCTCAGCCTCCCAAGTAGCTGAGATTACCGGCATGTGCCACCACGCCCAGCTAATTTTTGTATTTTCAGTAGAGACAGGTTTTCACCATGTTGGCCAGGCTGGTCATGAACTCCTGACCTCAAGTGATCCACCCGCCTCAGCCTCCCAAAGTGCTGGGATCACAGGCATGAGCCACCATGTCCAGCCGGATTATCACTTTAAAGAGAACAAGAAGTATGTGCTCTTCAGTGACTCTACAACCTCAGGTACAGAAAACCAAGCAGAGATCATTCAGATTGCTTGGGCTATTGGCAGTGTACCATAAAGCTATCTAGACCAGTTGTTTTCACCTTGGCTGCATTCCCACTTGGAAAATTTTTTAAAATGCAAATATCCAGATGTCCTATGGACCCTTGTAATTCAAATTATATTTTTGCTACCAGCAGTATTAGCATCTGTGACAGTGTGTAATATCCAGACCACAAATTAAAATCTGTATTTTCCTAAGATTCCCTGGGAGATGTGCATGCACATTAAAGCTTGAGACCTGCTGCCTCAGAATCACTTGAAGGAGTTGTTAAAACAGAGATTGCTAGATCAGGGATGGGGCTTGTGAATTTGCATTTCTAACAAGTTTCCAAGTGCTGCTGCTGCTGCTGAGAGGCTAATACTGTATTTTGAGAATTTCTGCCATAGAACAATTCAGAATCTCGCTGGATGGGACCCAGGCATCAGTATATTTTTAAGCTCCCTAAGTGATTCTGATTTCCAGCCAAGGTTGAGAACCACTGGTAAAAATATTTTTCTGCTCTTCATTACATAAGTAAGGAAATGACTATGAGAAGCAACTTAGCTATCCTCTAACACCAGCTTAAATTCATGACTAAACTGTTCTTTAATATAAGATAAAATATATTTAATATAATTTTGATTAATCAAAAGAGAAAGAAAGATGCTGCATCATCCTTAGTGACTCATTTCCAGAGATATGTTTGGTTATGATTGGAAAAAAGGTCACCACAAGTAACCATTATCTTAATCATTACAGTAACCATCAATCAATTTATTAATTTTAATTTCTGGTAATTTAATAGGGTATTGGCATTTTGAAGGCCACAATGTGTTTTTTGAACTCATGTTTTTTTTTTTAACAGAAGCAAGGTTGTATAAATTATTTTTCCCCAGTCAGCCTACAAAACCAATTCTTTTCTTCTGTGTGCTTTGGGTTTAATTTTACCTTCTTTTTTCTAGGTTCTTGAGGTAAAAGTTTAGGTTATTGATGGAGTCTTTTTCTCTTTTTTAATGTATGTATTTGGTACTATACATTTTTTTCTTGGCATGGCTTTAGTTGTGTCCCACAAATTTTATAGTGCATTTGTACTTTTGTTAAGCTTAACTTTTTTTTATTTCCCTTGAGAGTTTCTCTTTAATCCATGGATTTTTAGAAGTCTGTTGTTGTTTAGTTTCTAAATGTTTACAGATTTTTCTATTATCTTTCTCTTATTGATTTCTGGTTTGATTCCACTGTGGTCAAAGAACAAACACTCTGTATGATTTAATTGTTTTGAAATTGGTTGAGGTTCTTTACATGGCCTAATCATCTGTATTGTTATAAATTCTATAGACACTTGGGGAAAATGTGTATTTTGCTGTTATTGAAAGGAATGTTCTCTAAGTGTTGATTAGATCCAGTTGGTTGATGGTGCTGAGTTTTTCTATATCCTGGATGACTTATAGCCTAGTTGTTCTATCAATTGTTGAGAAAGAAGGGCTGGAGTCTTAACTGTAATTGAAGATTTGTCTATTTCTCCTTTCAGTTCCATCAGGTTTTGCTTGGATATTTTCAGCTCTGTTGTCTGCATATGCATTTAAGATTGCTAAATTTTCTTGGTGAAGTGACCCTTTTACCATGCCTAATTAAACTTGCCTAAAGCTGACTCCTTACACATTTTAAGTTAGGCCTGATGGTTTATATGTATATAGTGAACTGTAACCTAACAGGGTGTGTAAATAGACAGCAACCTACTCTTGTAAGTAGCAGAGTCTCAGCCAATCACAGCAGCCATACTTTAGCATTCACAGACAGCCAACTACTCAAACCTTGTTCAAATAAGACACCCAGCTGTAACCAATCCAGGTGTTTCAGTATCCCATTTCTATTTTCTGTACATCACTTTCTTTTTTCTTTCCACAAATTCTCTCTGACTACACAGCAGTGCCAGAGTTGCTCTGAATCTATTCTGGTTCTGGGGGTTGTTTAATTTGCGAATCATTCTTAGCTTGATTAAACTTGTTAAATTTAATTTGTCTAAAGTTTTTCTTTTAACACCATTTTATAATGTACCTCTTTGTCACTAGTATTTTTTTTTTGCTCTGAGGTCTACCTTATCAGATAGTATAACTATTTCTGCTTTTCTGTGATTAATATTTATATGATATACATTTTTATCTTTTTAATTTTGAACTTGCCTATATCATTATATTTGAAGTGAGTTGCTTCTAGACAGCATATAGTTAGGTCATATTTTTTATTCCATAATGCCAGTCTTTGTTTTTTGCTTTGTTTTGCTTTAAGTTTCTTCTGTTTGTTTTTTCCTTTACATCATGTGCCTTTATTTTTATTTTTTAATTGTATACATTTAAGGTATATAAAACAATATTTTATATACATATACATAATAAAATGATTACTACAGTCAAACAAAAGAAAATTAGCATATCCAATGGGGAAAAGCGGATTTTCCTCTAAAAGCCAGTACAAGACAAGGATCCTCACTCTCGCCACTTCTAGTCAACATAATACTGAAAGTTCTAGCAAAAGCATCTAGAGAGGAAACAGATTTAAAAATATATCCATATCAAAAAAGAAGAAGTAAAATTATTCCTAGTTGCAGATTACATGATACAAAATTCCACAAAAATCTGTTAGAATTAATAAATGAATTCAGTAAGGCTGCAGAATACACAACCAACATACCAGCATTTGCATTTCTTTACACCAATAATGATCTATCCAAACAAGAAATCAAGGAAACCATCCTGTGTACCATAGCATAATGCAGTTATATAGGATAAAGAATTCTAGAGATGTAATGTACTAGCATGAGGGCTGGAGTTCATAATATTACATCATATACTGAAATTTTGCTAAGAGAATAGATTTTATGTCTTCTTACCACAAAAAAAGGTAACAATCTGTTTTTTAATTGGTGCATTTGGACTATTTACAGCTACTGCAATAATTGGTATGCTAGGGCTTAACTCTACTGTTTTACTTTTTGTTTGTACAACTTTTTTAGTAGCTGCTCTAGGTATTACATCATATTTGTTTAATGTATCAAAGTCTATTGGTTTTGTCATTTTATCACTTAAAGTGAAGTATAGAAACCTTACCTCTTTGAACGTCCCTTTAACCCTCCACACTTATAATTCCCTTAAATATTTTCTCTACATACACTTAGAACCACACCAGAAAATGTTATAATTTTTGTCAACCATCAAACATAATTTAGAAAACTCAGGAGAAGGAAAGTCTATGGTATTTATACATATTTTTGCTTACCATGTTCTTTTGTCCTCCCTGATGTTCCAAGGTTCCTTTTTATGTTACTTCCTTTCTGCTTAGCTAACTTCCTTTAGCCATTCTTTTACAGCAGATCTCCTGGTGATAATCTGTTTTTATCTAAGTATGTCTTGATTTCCTCTTCATTCCTAAAGAGGGTGTTTTCACTCAGTATAGGTCACAATTCTTATCTTTCAGCACATAAAAAAAAATGTGTGTCACTTCTTTCTGGTCTCCATGGTTTCTGATGAGAAATCTACTGCCATTTCATTGATTTTCTTATATAAGTAAGGAATAATTTTTCTCTGGCTGCTTTCAAGATTTTCTTTGTGTCTTTCATTTTTGAAAGTTTAATTATGAAATGGTATGAATTTCTTTGGGTTTATCCTGTTTATGGTTCACTCAGGTTTATGTGTTTTACCAAATTTGGGAAGTTTGGGACCATTACTTCTTCAAGTAGTTTTTCATCCCATCCCTCTTTCTCGTCTCTTTCTGTACTCTGATGACATGAATGCTAGATCTTTTGTTATAATTACATGGGCCCATTAGGCTCTTGTTTTGTTTTGTTTTGTTTTTCCCATTTATTTTTTTTCTGTTGTTTAGGCTAGGTAATTTCTGTCTTCCATTTTATTATTTTTTTATCTCCTGTATTCTGCCCATCCACTAAGCTTTTTCTTTTAGTTATTGTATTTTTCAGTTCTAAAACTCCACGTGGCTCATCTTTTTCTCTTTTATTTCTTTGCTGAGGGCTTCTCTTTCCTTGTTCAGGTTCTCTACTTTTTCATTCATTCTAAAGGTGTTCAGATTTGCTCATTGAAGCGTTTTTATCATGACTATTTTAAAACTGTTGTCAAATAACTCTAACACCTCTGTCATCTCAGTGTTGGTATCTATTAATTGCAATTTTCCTTCATTTTGAGATCTAGTTCTTGGTATAAGAATAATTTATTAAAACCTGTTCATTTTTAAATTATGTTAAGAGATGCCATTTCTTATTTAAATCTTCTGTTTTAATTGGCTTTCTCTGACACTTCTCTGGCAGGTGAAGGGGCAGGTGGTACTGCCTCATGATTTCCACATGGATGCAAAGCCCAGATTCCCCATTCAGCATCTTAGGAAGAGGCTCCTTATTACTGCTGGGTGAAGGTGAGAATTCTAGGAGTTCCAACTCCCAGTTGGAACACTGTAATGAGGGTGGCCTTGTTATCATAGGGCAGTGGTGAAGGTCCTGAATATTGTCTAGGCCTCCACGGACACCAGCCCAGTCAGGAGAAGAAAGAGCACCCTATTACTTCCAGATGGCTTTGGAAGTCCAGAATTACCATGTGGTCTCCACTGACACTGAGAATAGAAATGGAGCTCAGTGATGATAAAACTCCTGGTTCCCTCCTTGCCTTTTCTGACACTATCCCAGTGTGGACATTGGGGTACTTCATCAGAATCTCAAAAAAGTAAAAACCTAAGCTCCCGACATGGCTTTTGCAGGTATAGATGTGACTGGGTCCACAATGCTTTTTCTGTTATTTACCTGGAATATGGTGGTTATTATCTAAAAGTTTTGTCTTGTTAGGTTGACCCTCTCTGGTCCTTTAATTATAGAAAGCATGCTTTTGTTAAGAATGTTTTTGCTTACCATGTAATGCATTGGTATTTTTGTGTTGTTGATTTCTTTTTTTTTTTTTTTCTTGAGACAGAGTCTCACACTATCCCCTGGGCTGGAGTGTAATGGCATGATCTGGGCTCACTGCATCCTCGACCTCCCGGGTTCACATGGTTCTGCCTCAGCCTCCTGAGTAGCTGGGACTACAGACACTGCCACGATGCCTGGCTAATTTTTTGTGTTTTTAGTAGAGATGGGGTTTCACTATATTGGCCAGGCTATTCTTGAACTCCTGACCTGATGATCCGCCCGCCTCGGCCTCCCAAAGTGCTGGGATTACAGGCGTGAGCCACCACACTCAGCCCATGTTGTTGATTTCTTAAGCTCCAAGTCTGGTATATATGAGAAAAAAAGAAAACCCAGGGCACTCCAGGCTGGGCAACAGAACAAGGCCCTGTCTCAAAAAGGAAAAGAAAAAAGGAGAGATACTCTATTTCTATATAAATAACATCGTTTTAAACAACATTACTCAACATATGCAACAAGTAAGTCATTATCATTCCTAGAGTAAGGAATCTAAATTGATTGAAACTCATGTGACACAGCAATTAATATGTTTTTCTTTTGGTCCCAAGGCCCCAAGCTAGTCTGCCTTCTGCCTTCTCTCCATATTTCAGAGTATTCCTCTATATACATACATATATATATATAAATATATATACACACATATATATAAAATATCCAAGATTTTTAGTTGTATTTAGCAGGAGGAATAGGGAAAGCTATGTATACTCCATCTTCCTGGAAGTCTCAATTCTTTAATAGGATGAATAATTAGTGAATATAATTAAATTTAACTTTTGCAGAATAGAAATTATCTGAAAACATTACTAAGTCACTAACAGTAGCTTAAATAAAACAAGAGAGTAAGAAACAAACCAGGAACAAGTACAAGCCAAAGTTATAGATATAATCTGAGGCAGGGAGAGCTACACTTCGTGGCCTCAGGTTCATATAACCAGATGTCAGAGGCTGCTGGAACAAACCCTCAGCACCTGATGCCTGAAAACAGGATGCATCATGGGCCTTGAGAAGTTACTTAACTCTTCATCAGTAAATAGCATCATTGTGAGAGCTAAGCAAGTTGGTAAACATAAATAATATATAGCAGGGCCAGGCTCACATTAAGGCTCTATAAATGTTAATTATTAACTTACTAATTAAAAATATGTTTATTATCTAAAATAAGGGCTGAGATAAAAATCTATCTGGTGTAATTCTTAGGCCACAAATCTCTAAGGCTTTGGAGGTCAATATAGCAGAGGACATTAAGTTCACCATTACTGAACTTAACATGTGAAACACACTGCCTGCTGACAAGGACGTTTCAATCATTTCAGGCACCTGCTTAAGTTCATAGGCAGCATTGTCAAACTAGTTTAGAAATAAATATTGAAAAAGAGATACATACAAGGTCAGGGGGAGCTAAGTCTACCCCTCCCTCTCTCTCTACTTTGTTTCAGTAGCAGACTTCGCTGTTAGATACTTTCTCCATACATACAAGGTCAGGGGAGCTAAGTCTACCCCTCCCTCTCACTCTACTTTGTTTCAGTAGCAGAATTCCCTGTTAGATACTTTCTCCAAACGTACAAGAAAGTACCTCAAAACCACACAAATCCAAAATCAAACTTCTTGTCGTTCCTGTGGAAATTTGCTCTTCCTTCAGATTTCCCTATTTCAGTAGGAAATATTAACCTCCAAGGAAACCAAAACAGAAATTACAATAATCCTTTATTTGCCATTCCTAAAAAGTCACTAAATGTACTGATTCTATATCCACACTACTTTAACTTTATTCCTGTCTCTCCCCACTGTCATTTCTGTAGTATACCAACTACGATGGCTGAAATCTATGAAATCTTTACAAAGAATTATTCTAAATGATAATAAATTTATGAAAGGAACAAGAATTTATTTCAATAGATAGTAGATCTTATTCAGGACAGTTTTAACATGACCAACCCTTTTTTTAAAAATTAAGCAAAAGAAATGTTAATTATTAACTTACTTAGTTAATAATAAACTTAGTAAAAGAAGTGAAAAATAATAGAAAAAGTAAGAATAAGAAAAGAAGGGGCCGAGCATGGTGGCTCAATCCTGTAATCCCAACACTTTGGGATTGCCTCCCTGAGGCAGGCAGATGGCTTGAGCACAGGAATTTGAGACCAGCCTGGGCAAGAGCAAAACCCTGTCTCTACAAAAACGTACAAAATTAGCCAGTCCTGTTGATGCATGCCTGTAGTCCCAGCTACCCAGGAGGCTGAGGTGGGAGGATCACTTGAGTCTGGGAGGTTGAGTCTACAGTGAGCTGTGATTGTAGCACTGCACTCCAGACTGGCCAACAGGAAAAAAGGAAAAAAAAATGAGAGATACTCTATTTCAATAGAAATAACATCGTTTTAAACAACATTACTCAACATATAAAACAAGTAAGTCATTATCATTCCTAGTGTACAGAATCTAAAAGGATTCTGTGATACAGAAATTCATGTGATACAGAAATTAATCTTTAAAGAACAAGAGAGAAATAAACATATATATATATATATATATATATATATATTTCTCAAAATGAGCTCTATTTGTCAGGCAAGACTATTCAGGGAAAAAAGGATTATACGGTAAAAAAAAATCTGGAATATGCTACATTTGATCAATGAAGATTGAAGAGTGCATTAGCATATTGTAGGTTGGAAGTCCTGTGGTAACTTGTTTAATTTGGTCTAATATGAAGATCCCAAGGTTTCAGTGACAGTGAAAACATTCTTTTTCCTCTAAGTGGCTTTCATAGAAATAATGAGAAGCTCCAGCTTAGAAACCACATGGAGTCCATCATCATTAAAAATTTGTTGATTTCAAATGAAACAAATAAAATTTGTTATTACTATGTTCTCTGTATCTATGTCCTCTTGTCTTCTTTCTTTTATAAAGACACGTTTTGTTGGGTTTGGGGCCCAGCTGGATAATCCAGGATTATTCCATTTGGAGATCCTCAACTTAATTACTTCTTCAAAGATCAGTTTCCCAACTAAGTTCATATTGACAGGTTCCAAGGGTTAAGACATAGGCATATGCTTTTGGAGGCTGCAGTTCAATCCACTACATATGAGTTATTTGGAAGCATGATATTTAGTGTCCAGATATCTGGGGACTTCCCAGGCATCTTTCTGCTACTGATTTATAACTTAATTCCACTGTAGTTTGAGAACATAGTCCGAAATCTTTTTAAATGTACTGAGATATATTTTATGGTCTAAAATATACTTTATACTGGTAAATATTTCATGCACATTTGAAAAGAATGTATATTCTGCTGTTGTTGGGTGGAGTGTTCTAAAATGTTGATGCAGTTATTTGATTGTTTTTTCAAGTTTCTATATCTTTACTGATTTTCTGTCTACTTACTCTACCAATTACTGAGAGGGGTGGTAAAATTTCTGACTATAATTATGAGCAGTATGTACTATATTACCATGTTTTCTAATATTATCTCCATCTTATACCCTCAGGTTCATTAGTATCTACACAGAGAGTGCTTCCTAATGCATTATCTCCCTCTTCTATTAGAAGTATTGCCCATCTTTTGTCTTATTTTGTCATAGATATTTTTTCATAAATTTTGGTTAATATATAGGAGATAGTTGACTTCAAAAAATTCAATTTCAGGTTTTACTCATACTTTGAGACTCAAAGTATACTTTTTTGTTACAAATGTTGTAAATTATGTTCTTAGTTTCATGAACTGTCTGCTCCTAATCATTTGATGTAATTCTGCACACAATCAAAGCCACTTATGAAATTTTGTGAGAGGTACTAAATGCTCTACTGAAAAGTTTTTGGCATTAAATGTTTTAAAAGAAATAAAAAATGGTAACATTTTTCCCAAATATGTTAGCAAATTCAAGAAGCAGATTGTACTAATTACAATTACTGCGAAGTTACATATGCATCATGAACTCAAATTTCTCTTAATGAGGCTTAATGTAGCTTAACACTTTACCTCATGGGAGTTACAATAATGGAAAGAACACATAAAAAAATTGAGTTGATTGTTCTATATCACAGCAGGGCCTGTAAAATGTGCCAGGTCTCCCAAGGTGGCCATACTCTTTGATAAATTCACCTATGAGCTGCTGTTATATTTGAGGGAGGCTCATGAACTACCATCTGCAGAAAAGGGAAAGGCACATGAGGACTGCGTGTATTTCCTATGCACAGAGTCAAGCTCACTACTGGGAAAAAAAAAAACTGTCCCATATTCAGCGAGTTCTGAGAAACCAGCTGAATGAATACAGTGTGGTCACATCTCAACATTAAAATACGCAGAATCATCCACACTAGGTAGCACAGTGAACGGAAAGATGAGACAAGATCCAACTAATTGATATGGTAAAACTGCAATTTGTGATAGGAGACAAATTTCTGTTAAAATTGTCATGCAAAATAACTAAATAGTACACTTTGGGAGCTTGATCATTATTTTTACACCTATTTAGCACTCACCTTGTTTTAGGTAACTATGCCTGGTAGTATAGAGAGCTATTAATGTTTCTATTACCTGATCTCAAGGAAATTAAAAATTAATGTTAAAAATGCATAATCATGAAAATAAGGTAGCCTGTATTTCTGCTATTATTAAGCCTACCAATAATAGAGTTATCTTCTGGGTAAAAAGTCCCTGAGACAATCTCCTAGCTAGGTGTGGAAACTCCCAGGAAGTTGCACTTTTTAGGAACACTGTCTTTGGTCACCAGACTTCACCCCAAAGTAATCAATGCCTGTAGGTCTTAACCGTAACACTAAAGTCCTAATTCAGATACAAATGCATTATATGAAAAAGAAGTGTGTTATCTGCTTTTAGCTAAAAGTTTAGGATGACAGTGGTGTACTCTGCCATGAGCTGCATCACAGAAAAGAGGCCCCGATGATATTTCTCCAGGACAACTAAGGCAACAGGACAGCCTCCCCATCACTATTAGATACTCAAATAGTGAGAATCTGTAACACTTTGTTCACCTTTCATCCCCACTTTAAAATAGAGAACAGCTAGAGGCTTGTGATTTATTCTCATGTTAGAAGCCCTCTCATATGACATATTCAGGATAGGTAGTTGGCCAGTTTGTTAAATGAATATATTAAAGTCAAGAATCTTCAGAAATAATACCTCAAGTATTCTTTATAAATGGCAACACTTAAATGCACATAGTTGGCTACTCTTTTGATGTAGAGCCAAGGCCTTTGCTTTGAGTTTGAATCTCTTAGTTAGATTTCTACAATGTCTTACATCAAGAACATCCATTATGCATCATCTATGGCTTACAGTGTTTCTTTGTAATTGAGAAGTTAAGGCACTTGAGAAGCAATCTAAGAATCATTCACATTTCCTCCCAATCTTTTATGATTGGCTCACCTACATCTAATTCTACAGTAATTTTTTTAGCAAATTTACTAGCATTCTATTTAGTTTTCACATAAACACTTCTCTTTACTTATATGTTACATCAGTCTACATAATAATTATATGATATAATATAATAGCAAGTACAACAGTCATTAACAGATTTTGGATTCCTGGCAAACATGCACCGCCACAAAGGGGACCTGAAGTACAAAGGTGTACTAAAGAATAGCTGTCTAGAATGTCATAGACATTGGTGTGCAGACTTTAGAGAGGACATAGTGTCTGATAAGGCACTCTGCTGAAAAATATGTAGAATAAGGATTCGGCTGTTGCTTATTGAGCTTGTAACTTTGTGTAAAGTCCTGATTATTTAGAAAAGAACAAACAAAAAAAAAACCTGCCTAATGCTCCCCATTACAACTAGAAAGTAACCTTAATCAAAACACACAGATATAAATAAAAAATTACAGGGAAGAAAAACAACGAATCTGTTTGGGAGTTGAAGAATTAAAAAAATGAAATTTCAAAAAAATCAAAGGTTAGCAGAGGAAGACTTCTACCCTAAGAAGAAAAGCTATGTGTGAATATAACACTACTAAAGTGAAAATAAAGAGATACTACCTTACCAGCCTCAGCTCCCTGCTACAAGTTCACAGAGTGACGTGGTGCCCACAACTTCCCAAATTCATCAAATATGGATTGCAATAAAATGACCTTGAGAATTCCTTTCAGGTCTATTTGTACAAACCCTGGCATGTGAGTGGCAGTTTCAACGAAAACCCAGCAGATCACATGAGTGGGTTTGCATGTTTATAAAACTGTTTCAAATGCAATCACCAGATTTCAAGATTTGAAAAGCATTCTAAAATGTTTCAGAGTGCACAAGGAAAGGGGAAAGGAACATTTCAGTGCCTCTGAGCAAATACAGAGCTTTAAGAAAATAGCTGGTATCAATGAAGACATTTTGATTGGACAACTTCAGGCAAACAGGACGCCCGTTTAACACTACACGTTCTCTTTACCGTCACCATGAATTCAGGCATAGCTATCCTCAGTCTGTCACAACAACCCGGGAAACATGATAATTCTTATAAGTGCCACAAAAAACTGTTTAAGAAATAGCAGAATTTGTCTGTTTCCTTAGTGAGAGAGAAGATTGATACATACCCTGGCAGAAGCTGTAAAGTAATACCATTCCCATGAAATACAACAAGCCATTGTAGATACTTAAGTAATATTGTCTAAAGAAAAACAACATTCTTAAAGACCATTTTTGACAACAATGAAACCAAGTCAGGGCCACTTTTTTCTTACATTTGATCTCCGTAGATATTTGTACTCTAAAGATAGACAGACATTTGTTTACATAGAATAAAACATCATAAATTGCCAACTAGAGTAAGATGTGTGTCAGAATAGCTGCAAATGACACTTCTGCAAAAACCACAGATAATATGATGTGGCCGCTAAGAGATTCATCACTGGTTATTTTTGAAACTCCAGCCCATTACACCGACTACCATTATAGCTATTTAAGCATGAAATGTTTGCCTTCATTTTTATTCATATGTTTTATGGACCATTTACTGTTAGCTAGAAAATCGTTTAAAAGGTAATTCAGTTTACAGCTGAGGAAAAATAAGAAGCCTCCGAAACAATCTCAGAATATTGACTTACTGTCAGATAGGTAGGAATGAACTTAAATTCAATGTGAAATTGGGGTGAAAGGTGACTTTCTAACAAGTAACTTTAAAAGAAATAAATGAGTAGCTTGCTAATGTTTCTCTTTTTGTTTCCCCCTTAATGGAAAATATCTTAGCCACAAAGGGATGAGAACTTCCTGCAAAGTTTTCATTGTTCAAAAATAACATCAAGTATGAAAGGTATGGCTTCAACACAGTATTAACTACTGTTGGCCTCTGCCACACAACACACTGTAAAGACTTTGAAAGACTAGATGAAGAATAGGACAACCATGCCTTCTATGAGATATATTTTATTTCCCAGTAAAAGCAAAATTTAATTATATTCCGAAAGTCTTTAATCCTTACTGTGTGTCCAAGGCACTACTCTAGACAGCACAGACGGATACAAAAATGGTAAAACCTAGCTTGTGGCCTCCATGAACTTAAGGTCTAGAGGGAAGAGAAATGCCTGAATAACTTCAGCACAAAGCAGTGTATAAAACAGCCTACAAATATACAAAATGCACCTTCTGTTGGAAAATGCAGCTCCCCTAGCTGTCAGATGGGTTGAGGTGCCATGAAAATAAACTCCACCCTCGTATTGCTGTGTAGGAGAGGCGCCCCCTTCAGGCCTTAGGGCACCATTGCTTGCCTCTTGTAAGTACGTGTTTCCTCTACTGCGGGAAGGCTCTTCAAAGACAAGAACTAAAATTCTTATTTACCCTGTGTGCCTTGCACTTAGTTTAGTATCTTGTATATAGGAAGTAATCAGCAAATGTAGAATGAAGAATTAATAAATTCCCTCAATCCAGAATCCTCTGCCTCCTTTTCTCTACACGTGCCTATTCACATTTCTGAATGTAAAAATCCTACCCAGCTCAAATGCCACTTCTTCCTAATAGCAATATCCAACCTTGCCTCAAAATCCCCATCCTTGGCAGAAATAGTTTATACTTTCCCTGCTTTCTCTGGACTCTTTAGTTTATATCCCTAAAACTTCTAAAACTTTGAAATGGCTGAATCTTTAAATCAACAGTTGTCACTAGCTCTCATTTGACACAATCCCCTAATATTTTATTTGATTATTGCTATTTGTGTACATTTGTTTTTATGTGTAAGCTCCAAGAGGGAGGTACCTGATGCTAACATGCCATTTATGATGCCTCCAGCATTTTAAAGGAGCATCCATTTGTTGGTTCAACAAGAACTTCTTTAGCATCAATATTGTACCTAGAGCTAAATAAAATATTGATTTAACTAAATCATATTTCTAGAAGTGATTGAAAGATTCCAATGTAACAAGGGTCTTCTTAACCTCTGCAGACTTTTGTCTGTTCTAACAGTGTGCTGTGTTTGTGCAAGGATTATCATCACCTAGGGCTATCCCGAGACTAACTACTCCAAGCATTTTTCCCCCTCAAATCTGCAAGCATTGTTTCCCTCAGATTCATCTTCTTCTTGGATAATGTCACAGATGAAATATACCGATGATCTTACATCAAATACTTACAGGAGGAGGTTAAATCATTATTTGCCCCATGGTGGTGGTCAGCTTCTAGCTGTGACCACCAAACCTCTGCTACATATTTATGAGTCTTCCTAAACCTCTAATTTAGGTTTCTAAATTCAAAATGCAAATGTCCTCTCCACCCCCAGAAAAGTTTGACATCTTTTCATTTGGTCTTTCCCATCTTTACAAATAACAAAATAAAACAAAACAAAAATACAATGAAGAATGCATTAAATGCACAGCTTTTAGCTCACTGCTGGGCACATAGGAAAGATGGGACTAAAAATAGTTAACTAGTGATATGTATGAAAAAAAGTTTTTTAACTATAAAGAATATTTTGTGTAACTGGATATTTTATTTCACAGACAACTCTCATGTAGTCAGAGACTTCAAAATGCAACACTCATACCTGGTATTTTATGTGCTTTCAGTTTGAGGTTTCTCATTTACAATGAATCATTTATATTTTCTCTAAAAGACATAAAGCATTTTTGTTATTTTCAATCGCATCAAATTGATTTTGTTCTTGACATGATGACCATAATTGCAACAAGAACATCAATGATCACAATGGGATATGAGTATTTCACTTCAGCACTTCATATTCACCAAATCATGCCATGTGTGTACCTTAAATTTCTGAGAATTCATTTTTCAGAATCATCTTATAGATTGCTAATTTTCATAATAAACTAAACTGCTGATTCACCTACAAGAAAACACAGAAGGAACATGTATAACTATATTTGAGTCAACAGCTGCTGTGCCCACTAAAATCTTCCCCGTCTCACATTGAGAACACCGTCACTACGTTTTTGCAGCTAAAAGAAGGTTGTTCTAAAAGCAGATAATCTGAGAATCAGTCATCTTACATTCATGTCTTTCCCCAGAGTGGTTTAAAGGAAAATGCGTTAGAAAAATGTTTATAACATTTAAATTTGTTAGTTGCTGGAAACACTAAGTCTAATGTAGGCTGTTTCTAGAACTCCTTAAATATCACCCCCCTCAAAAAAATAACAGAATGCAAAGTCCAGTATGTCTGATTTAAATGTATCTATAGGAGCTCAAAATAAGCATGACATTTTGCCCTAACTGGTAAAAAGTTCTGGAGTAAATTTTAGACAATTTGGGTGATCCTATAAATCATGATAATCTCTCACCATCTGTCTCTTCTAATTTCACCATTCCTAACTTCTGTTCTGTTTCTCTCATCACAGCCCCAAAGTAAAGAGTCTGTTTTGAAGGTTATCAACTCTTTCCCCACCCCTGTAGAGGAGACTTCCCTACTGCTGAAATAGCAATAAAAAATAACTTGCCTACCAATTACTGAGATGGTTATAGAATCTCCGATTGGACCATCCTCTGGTTAAATGTTTAAAGCTCAGTTAAAATGCAAATTAACAGTAGACAATGTAGCAATTATGGCAAGAGTGGGACAAGAGAAAAAGTTTCATCCAAGAATGCAAATTTTTGAAACTATAATTAAATGTGCAATTTGTTCTGTTTTATAGAGATTTTTATGGCATGGAAAGGTACCAGGAAACCCCAACTAAAATAGTGCCAGATTAGTGTTTCTAGTCTGGTCAAAAAGAATCACCTTAGAGACACTGCAATTTTGACAGCGCATCTTTTACCTCATGTCACTGAATTGATTTTTCCTAAATTGTTAAATTGGGTAGGTTAATGTAAAATTCCCTGAGTTATTTGGAGAAAGATGAAGTAATTTATGGATGAGGATGAAACTTTCTAGATATGTCAAGATATGATTGCTGCATCACAGAGAGGTTGGTACTCATATGTGTAAGTAGGAATAGTGTCTCCACTAGTGGCTTGAGTAAAATCTATACATGCATACGGAACATATGTGGATTCCATCTGACCAGCCATTCATATAACAGTTGCCAGTGTGGGGATGGGTTGAGAAGAGGTGAAATTAGAACAATAAAAGATCAAAAGTAATAAGAATATAACAGAAGGCACAAAGCACTAAAGGAGGAATCATCTGAGAAGTAAATGATTATAAATCATAACAGAATGGAGATTGATTTACATTCTGAAGATCTCAAGGAAACAAAATGTATAAGGAACAAAAAAAGAAATTAATGTGTGATAAAATTAAGAACTGACACATCTAATAAGAAATGACTATAGACGAGCAGAGAATTAATGGTTTGTTCAAATGGAATAACCCATACTTGAAAAAACTTATACATTAATATGAAAAAATACATATAGAATAATACATAGGAGGCAGGGAGTGGTGGCTCACACCTGTAATCCAAGCACTTTAGGAGGCCGAGGTGGGCAGATTGCTTGAGCTTAGGAGTTTGAGACCAGCCTGGGCAACATAGTGAAATCCCATTTCCACTAAAAATACAAAAAGTTAGCTGTGCATGGTGGCGCACACCTGTGGTCCCAGCTACTCAGGAGGCTGAGGTGGGAGAATCACCTGAGCTTGGGGAAATGGAGGCTGCAGTGAGCTGTGATTGCACCACTGCACTGCAGCCTAGGCAATCAGAGTGAGACCCTGTCTCAAAAATAAAAATAATAATAACAAATAGGAGAGTATACAGACATAGATAAAGCAAAGGCATAATGATTTTTAAAAATACTCTTTCCCCTAGTGTATTTGTAACCCCCCAAAAAAGGGTCACAAGCCAATAATACAAATAGACAAATAGTAAGTGCTGTAACACAAAGAAAGAGACCTGAATATTTTCTAAAGAACGAAATGTTCTGCACTGTCTCGAAGGAATGTGAGGTAGCATCAAAAATTGTTAGAATCTTTTTTCTGGGTTTCCTGTTTATCCAAAGAGCAACATCTTTAATGAGCAATGACCTGGACACTGATTCAACATCTTGACATGGATACAAACCATCTTGACATTGCCAACCTCCATTACAGACTGATAATATTGGTTCCAATCTTGGACATTTTCAGGAAATGAGAAAACAAGCTAACCATCTGCCTTCCTTTAGTTGTAGTTTTAAAGCAAGGATATTCCAAAAATAAAAGTCAACTATATGCTACAGATTAAATATCAAACTATGAATGTTATCCGCTATCCAGGTAATAAAAGTGTAAGATTCCACTTGCCCATAGGGTTCTTTGAACAAAATAATAAAAATGTCAAAGAATTCAATTTAAAAAAGAACTCCATTGAAGAAAATTTTACTTTTCTAAATTAAAAATCAAGTATATAATTAAAAGCTTAATAGCTAAAAGCAAAAAAAAACCTATTACAATATAACGAACAAATATAACGTTTTTAGAGAAGAGATGATGCTAATCGTTAAGAAAATCCTAAAAACCCTAAAAGACAAAGGCCTGAAAAGACAGGTTTTTAAATTTCAAACTCACTAGTAATCCAAAAGATACAAACTAAAACAATGAGATTCTATTTATAAAAAACAAAATTAAAAAAAAAACCATGTAAGGCTAGCAACTGGGCAGTGAGACAAGCATACTTGTATAGAATACAGTGGGAATTTCTTTTTGAAAAATAAATTGGGAAAAGCCTTTGACCTGGTAGTTTCACTTCCGGGAATCTATTCTAAGTAAATAATCCAAAATGTAAATAAAAATGTTTGCACACAGATGTTCCCTAATAATTTGTATGCAATATGGGAAAATGACCAATACAATAAAAGAATGGTTAAGTAAATTAGGATATATAATTCATATAATACACATAATAGAGACACATTATACAGACTTTTTCGTTACATAGGGAAACATTCCTGTTAAGTAGAAAAGTAGGATTCAACATTCTAGATATAACGTCAGACTCTGTGTGTCTGCATGTGTTTGTTCATGTTCATACCCACAAGTGCATATTGAAAACTACATTTTGAAATAACTATCTCTATAGACATTATTTTTCTGAATAGAAAAACACATTATTTAAAGAATAAAATTTTTACCGTTTTCCAATAATACCATGCAGCCAAAACAAAATATCCTTTTGGTCTCACTAAGTATGGTTTACAATAACTGAGGATTATGAGAGAATCCACAGAGGGTCTAGGCATGGCTAAGTAAAGCCTGTCTTCACTGTATACACACTATTCATTTAAACAAAGTTGAAAGCCAAACATTTCGAGACATCAAATAACACTTAAGACTTAGATCCATTTGGTATGCGAAATACATATTGTTCTTTTGTACTTAGCTCTGCCAAGAATCTTTATTGATTAACTTGTAAACCTTAAGAGAAAATGGTATACATCTGAAACAATATAAAACACACTTCTTGCCAAAGATCCTACAGTCCTTCCAAACAAGTCTAATTCTACTGAATGCTTTAATTAATTCTATCAAACATTCATAACTTTTGCAGTGAAGAGTTATGAAGGCTATTTCTTCCAATTCTAGAGTTTGCAGATTTAATAACAAAAAGTATATGTAAAATATTTTATTCTTAAAATGTAGATGTGTTTCTAATTAGACGAACAGGTCCTCTCCCCCTTCCCCAACAAAAGATATTGCAGAGACTGGTACTGTCAACGAATTGAGTAATACCATTTATTAATACCAGTAAAAACAAAAACTTCAATTACTCTCAATTCTAAGACTAGTTTCCATAATCATGTTGTTGTTGGAACATATGACTAATTTTGAACTATCTCCTCTCTATTATGACATGGTCCAAAATGGTAACAGGTCCTTGTTTGATCATGTATATTGGAGAACTCTAAAGTTTCCTTATGAAATATTTATTTTCAAGAGTGTAAATTCCCCCCTTTTTTTTTTGAGACAGTTTCACTCTTTCACCCACGCTAGAGTGAAGTGTTATGATCTCGGCTCACTGAAACCTCTGCCCCCCCAAGTTCAAGCAATCCTCCTGCCTCAACCTCCCCTTATCAGAAAAAAAAATTGATGAACTATTTCATAAGCCACCCCTGTTGAAGAGTCATTAGAAGGATTCCTGAACACTGACTACCAATTTACTTAAAATACTTAAAAAGATGTAACGCGGCCGGGCACTCATGCCTGTAATCCCAGCATTTTGGGAGGCGATCACAAGGTCAGGAGATCAAGACCATCCTGGCTAACACGGTGAAACCCCATCTCTACTAAAAATACAAAAAATTCGCCTAGCATGGTGGCACACGCCTATAGTCCCAGCTACTCGGGAGGCTGAGGCAGGAGAATCGCTTGAACCTGAGAGGCGGAGGTTGCAGTGAGCAGAGACGGCGCCACTGCACTCCAGCCTGGGTAACAGAGCGAGACTCTGTCTCAAAACAAACAAACAAACAAAAAAAAGATGTAACCCACATCCTTATGATACAGAACATTTCCATCTCCCTAGAAAGTTCTCTCATCTCTCTGGTCAGTCTTCCCTTTCAGAGGCTAACCTTTTTCCCTTTTTCTAACCTAAGTTTTGTTCTAGAACTTCCTAGAAATGGAATCATACCACATGTATTCCTTTTTGTCTCGATTCCTTGACTCAGCATTTTGTCTGTGAGAGTCACTCATTTTGTTGCAGGTATCAGTAGTTCATTCATTTTTGTTGCGGAGTAATACTCCATTGTATAACTGTGACAAAATTTGTTTATTGATTCTCTTTTGATTAATATGTGGGTTTATGAATATGTGGGTTTATGAATATTTTAACAAGTATTTATGTATGATATAATTTTTTATGTGTAACATAAAATTTGCTTCTGGGTAAACAATAGGAGTGGAATTGCTAGGTCAAAGGGTAGGTGAAAGTAACATTTTATTATCTGCAAAACATTTTTCAAAGTAGTTACAACATTTAATTTTCCTATCAACAAGTGTAAGAGTTCAGTGGTTCTAACTCCTCACCAGTATTTGGTGTTTTCAACCTTTTTAATTTTGTCCTTTCTAGTGGATGTGTGGTGGTATTTCTTTGTGGTTGTAAATGCATTTAGCTGAAGCCTAAAGATGTGGAGCACTCTTTACTGTGTTCATTGGCCATTTGTATATTTACTTTTGTAAAGTGTCCCTTGAAATGCTTTGCCCATTTTTATTGAGCTATTTTCTTTGGTCTTTATCTTATTAATGTAGATGTGCTTTATGTGATATTGATTAAAGTCCTTTGTCAGATATGTTTTACAAATATTTTTGTCCTGTTAGTGGCTCTCTTACTCATTTACGTATGTCTTTTGATGAGCAGTCTAATTTACCAATTTTGAGGGTTATAATTTTCTGAATCCTGTCATGTTCTGTTCTTGAAGTATCAGAGTTTTACCTTTGCTTTTAGGTCTCCAATCCATCTTGAATTGATTTTTGTCTGAGGTGTGAATTTAGGGAGTGAAAATTTATTTTTTTCCCATATGGATATCAATTTATTCCAATTTCATTTATAAATAAGCCTCTCCATTCCTTTATTTAATTGCTTTGGTGTCTTGAAAAAAATCAATTTACTTTATAAATGTGTGTCTATTTCTGGACTCTTTTATTTCCTTCATTTATTTGTCTATCCTTATGTCAAAACCTCATAATCTTTAATACAACTGTATTTTTACAGTTATAATACAACTATATTTTATAGAGTCAGGTAGAATTGCTGTTGTTTTTCAAGATTATTCTGACTATTCTACCTTCTTTACTCTCCCATATAAATTTTAGAATAAGCTTGTCAATTCCTATAAAATAAAAGCCATTGTGATGAAGATTAAGATAAATTTGAATATATAGATTAATTCAGGAAAAATTAATATCCTAAATTGTTATTGAGTCTTCTGATCAATGAGCAAAGTATATCTCTCCATTTATTGAAGTCTTCTTAAATTTATCTTGGTAAATTATAGTTTTCAGTATAAGAATTGTGCACATATTTCATTAAATTTGCTACTAAGTATTTTCTATTTTCTGGCATTATAAGAAATGAAATGTTTAAATATTTAGTTTTAATTGTCCATTGTATTTATAAACATGATTAAATTTGTATTGACTGAGATACTGAGACCTTTCTAAACTCACTTATTGGTTCAAGTCCCCTTTATGGAAGCTATTCCTTATGGTTATTTAAGTATCTGTTTATGTCATACGTGAATAAAAGCTGCTTTACTTCTTGCTTTGCAAATTGTATGAGTTTTAATTATTCTTCTTGCACTGTTGCTAAGACCTTCAGTAAAATGTTGAATAGAGATTTGAGAACAGTCATTACTACCTTGTTCCCAATCTTATGGGAAAAGCAGTCTTTCATCTTTAATTATGATGTGAGCTGTTGGGCTTTTATGTAGATGGCTTTTATCAAATATTCCTACAGATGACTCCTTGCTGGGATGGGAGGAGGTGCTGTCCCGTGCACTGCAGGATGTTTAGCAGCAACCCTGGCTTCTACCAACTAGATGGCAGTAGCACCCTTCCTCTAGCTGTGACAATGTCTCCAGACGTTGCCTAATGTCCCTATGGTCAAAGTTGCCCCCAGTTGAGAACCACTGAGCTAAACTGAGGCAGCAAGTCAGGCACAAACACAGGAGATTACAGCTAACATCATCAGGCAGCTGCCTGAATGGGGACTTGAGTTTTCTGAGCTGCAGACTGACTTGCTTGGTTCACCTATGTCTTTAGATCCCCTTGCCTATTAAAAGGCTGTCTTAGTCCACCTGGGCTGCCATAAACAAAATGCCACAAACACAATGGCTTATAAACAACAGTAATTTATTTCTCACATTCTGTAGACTGGGAAGTCCAAGATCAAGGAACCAGAGAATTTGATGTCTAATAAGGGCCAGCTTCATCATAGATGGCACCTTCTCACGGTGTCCTCACATGGTGGAAGAGTTAACGGAGATCCCTAGGGCCTCTTTTATAAGAGCACCAGTCCTATTCATGAGGATCACCTAAACACCCCCTAGAGGCCTCAACTCCTAATACAATCACCTTGGAGGTGAGGACTTCAACATATGAATTTTGGAGGGACACAAACATTCAGACCATAGGAGAGGTTCTGACCCATTCTTCTGGGTACAATGCTTACATAAAATAGGAACATTCAGACTCAGGACCCTGAAGATACTGCAATAGCACCCTGGGGAGGAAGTATTCTTGGGCCTCTAGGCTTTCCATAGATGTCAGAGATGGCACAGAATGACAGCAGCCTAGTCTTCATCTCCTTTATTTGTTTTTTCCTGCACAATTAGAGAAAATGTCTTGAGGTACCTTCTTACCTCCAATGCAGCTATTATTCAAAAAAAAATGACTGGGTAAGCCTCCTTTTAAGAAGAGCCATATTTTTACACACATACGTATCCACACACACTTTCTTTCTAATAAGTACCATAAGTGCTTTCCAGTTGTAATAAAAGTTGACAAAGTTGGCGTATTTAAATTGTACAATGAGTCAATGTTTTCCAATCTCCTTCCCTCATGCTATTGCAAAAGACACATGCACGTATATGTTTATTGCAGCACTTTTCACAACAGCAAAGATTTAGAACCAACCCAAATGCCCATCAATATTAGACTGGATAAAGAAAATGTGGCACATATACCATGGAATACTACGCCACCATAAAAAAGAATGAGTTCATGTCCTTTGCAGGGACATGGATGAAGCTGGAAACCATCATTCTCAGCAAACTAATACAGGAACAGAAAACCAAACACCACATGTTCTCACTCATAAGTGGGAGTTGAACAGTGAGAACATATGGGCACAGGGAGGGGAACATCACACACCAGGGCCTGTCGGGAGGTGGGGGGCAAGGGGAGGGATGGCATTAGGAGAAATACCTAATGTAGATGATGGGTTGATGGGTGCAGCAAACCACCATGGCACATGTATACCTATGTAACAAGCCTGCACGTTCTGCCCATGTATCCCAGAACTTAAAGTATAATTTATAAAAAAAGGTTTGAGTATTTATACATTGAATGAAATTTGAATATTGGAAAAATGTACCTGCTTCTCTTTTTCAAATATTTTTGGTATTAATAAGATTCAAAATAATTTAAAAGCAACTTTTCTCATCAAGTATTTTCAAAATTCATAGATACTAAACCTTACCCTTCTTGGGTAGGGTTTGCCAAGTTTTGTGACATTAGAACAGGCTGGTAACAAGGAGCCTAGGCAAAAACAGAAATATAAAGTAATGAAAGCTACAAATATGGAGAAATATTAATCACTGGATAATTTTCTAAGATCCACTATGAATAGAACTGATTAATAACAGAAGGGAGAAAATACTCTGAAATTTAAAGGGTTTGAAGAAATAAGCATTTACATGGAATTCAATATATCGAGAAGTATGTTATGGTTACCAAACATGCTATAAATCTGGACATCATCTCAATTTCATCACCAAAACATTTTTAACTCAATCTTCTGGGAGAAATTTCTTTCATTTCATTTTATTATACATTCTATCCAATTGTATAATCAAAACACAGTTCCAATTACTGAAATACACTTTATAATAAAATTGCTGGTATTATCCTATAACCAAAGGTTAGTAGGTTGACCTCCAAATAAAAAGGCAAAGTGTTTTGATTCATAAATGAGAATTTCTATTCCCAGCCACTTATACAGGAAGTGCCAATAAGATTTCATTGTGGAAATGTTAACACAATATAACTTCTTTGCATGCTTAATTTAGCACAGCCAAAGAAGAAACATCTTCAAGATGTTCCAAGTGTGGGGCCCACTCCAATTGTAGAAGACTCATGTTTATGGATGTGATTAACAAACTGCCAGTGCATTCAGCTGTGGCGTAGAATTTTTAGCTACTTCAAATGTGCATTCAAAATAATGTATTTCTCAATTATCAAATTCTTTTTGTACTTTCAGATAATCCCTCTACTTGAGCAAAAACTATGAATTCATCATTTGGCTGTGGTTTACATATAGTTTGATGATTCTTTTCTATCTTACCTTAAATCAACAAGCATCTACCAGAAAAATAAAAAAAAAAAAGATTACAGGAAAAAATTCCAATTAACTTATCAGGTACAGAAAATTTATTTGCATTAAGCATGTTATTTTTCCTCAATCTCTCCTGTTTATGACTAACTGCATACCATTCAACTAACATAAAAGTGTTTACTAAAAGATCAGAGAAGTTATCCACCTTCATAGCCATTTGGAAGAGAAAAAAAATCTTTCTACTCTTTCCAAAATGGGTTATAAACACATCCCTAGAGAAATTTCAAATGAATGTATTCCTCTGCAATTTGATTCTGCAAAAAAATGTATGCAACTGAAAATTACACACAGAGAATATTTAAGTCATGACTATGGAAAAACAATTACTATATTTGGATACACAAATTAGGCAACTAATTATTTCAAAAATGCAATCATGCACACAAATAGATATTCACTAATTTCCCTCCCACTCTAATCCCTTAACTTCCTTCTGTGTTTTTCACATCAATTTTAGCTCTCCTATCATTTTTTTCTCTACTAAGAACGATTTGTGAAATGGTTTTTTATCTTCCACTAATATGTGCAATTCAATTATGTTTTCCTGTCAATGTATCCATCAATGAGGATGATTAACATCCATTATCTGACCCTTCATTTTCTATACGACCTTTGCAAATCAGTGGCATAAAAGAAATTCTTGTTCTTTGGTTTGTGTCAGCAATAACAACAAGAGAAACATACCAAATATAAGACATTAGAAATATATCACAGTAAATTCAAACACAGTGCGATTCTGTTATATTTCAACAGTCACCACGGAACTTTGAAGTCTCTGTTTCACTTATTCTTTTGAGGGATTCTTATCTCAAAAAAAAGGAAGAAAGGAAACAATTGAAAGTTCATACTTTAATATTAACTACTGGATTGTGTCTTCATTCCAAGTGGAGTCGGAAATTTAAAAATCAAATAATTAGCACACAAGCTCTAAATAAAAGTAAAATTAGGTTTTTTTTCAACCTTCTGATAGGAATTTTAGGTTCAAAATAGCTTCTGGCTAAAATCATGTAATGCTGCTGTGACCAACTTGTCACTAAAACCATTGAAGACAGCCTTTAAAACCAAAAGTAATGGATAATCAATTCCATAATCTTAAGAGAAAAATAGGTTCTAACTTTGAAACCGTAAAGGGAATTTAGTTATTCCTTGGCATACCCAGCTTTCACTTCCAATTGACTGGCTCATAGGTATAGAAAACTAAGAACATATCCTTCTTTTGTTTTTTCCTTCAACTTTTAAGTTCAAGGGTACATGTGCAGGATGTGCAGGTTTGTTACACAGGTAAACATGTGCCATGGTGGTTGCTGCACAGATCATCCCACCACCTAGGTATTAAGCCCAGTATACATTACCTATTATTCCTGATACTCTCCCTCTCCACAAGCCACCCCACCCCCACAGGCCCCAGTGTGTGTTGTTCCCCCATGTGCCCATGTGTTCTCATCATACAGCTCCCACTTATAAGTAAGAACCTGTGGTGTTTGGTTTTCCGTTCCTGCATTAGTTTGCTGAGGACAGTGGCTTCCAACTCCAACCATGTCCCTGCAAAGGACATGAACTCATCCTTTTTTATGGCTGCATAGCATTCCATGGTGTATATGTTCCATATTTTCTTTATCCAGTCTATCATTGGTGGGCATTTAAGTTGATTCCATGTCTTTGCTTTTGTAAATAGTGCTGTGATGAACATACACATGTATGTATCTTTATAATAGAATGATTTATATTCCTTTGGGTATATAGCCAGTAATGGGATCTGGCTCAAATGGTATTTCTGCCTCAAGGTCTTTGAGGAATCGCCACACTGTCTCCCAAAACAGTTGAACCAATTTACACTCCCACCAACAGTGTAAAAGCATTCCTTTTTCTCTACAACTTTACCAGTATCTGTTGTTTTTTTTATTCTTAATCACAGCTGTCCTGACTGGTGTGAGATAGTATCTCATTGTGGTTTTGATTTGCATTTCTCTAATGACGTGATGCTGAGCTTTTTTTCAGATGCTTGTTGGCTGCATGAATGTTTTCTTTTGCAAAGTGTCTGTTCATGTCATTTGCCCACTTTTTAATTGGGCCATTGGTTTATTTCTTGTAAATGTGTTTAAGTTCCTTGTAGACTCTGGATACTAGACTTTTGTCAGATGGACAGATTGCAAAAATTTTCTCCCATTCTGTAAGCTGTCTGTTCACTCTGATGATAGTTTTTTTTTGCTGTGCAGGGGCTCTTTAGTTTAATTAGATCCCATTTGTCAATTTCTGCTTTTGTTGCAATTGCTTTTGGCATTTTCATCATGAAATCTTTGCCTGTACCTATGTCCTGAATGGTAATGCCTAGATTTTCTTCTAGGGTTTTTATGGTTTTGGGTTTTACATTTAAGTTTTTAATTCATCTTGAGTTAATTTTTGTATATGGTGTAAGGAAGGGGCCGAATTTCAATTTTCTGCATATGGCTAGCCCGTTCTCCCACCACCATTTATTAAGTATGGAATGCTTTCCCCATTGCTTGTTTCTGTTAGATTTGTCAAAGATCAGATGTTGGAGGTGTGTGGTATTATTTCTGAGTTCTCTATTCTCTTCCATTGGGCTATGTATCTGTTCTTTTTTTTTTTCTTTTTCTTTTTGAGATGGAGTCTCACTCTGTTGCCCAGGCTGGAGTGCAGTGGCACGATCTCAGCTCTGCAACCTCCACCTCCCAGGTTCAAGCAATTCTTCTGGCTCAGCCTCCTGAGTACCTGGGATTACAGGTGCATGCCACCACACCTGGCTAATTTTTGTATTTTTAGTAGACATGGGGTTTCTCCATGTTGGTCAGGGTGGTCTCAAACTCCTGACCTCATGATCTGCCTGCCTAGGCCTCCCAAAATGCTGGGGTTACAGGCGTGAGCCAATGCGCCCAGCCTTCTGTGTCTGTTCTTATACCAATACCATGCTGTTTTGGCTACTGTAGCCTTGTAGTATATTTTGAAGTCAGGTAGCATGATGCCTCCAGCTTTACTCTTTTTGCTTAGGCTTGTCTTGGCAATTTGGGCTCTTTTTTGGTTCCATACGAATTTTAAAATAGTTTCTTCTAATTCTGTGAAGAATGTCAATGGTAATTTAATGGGAATAGCATGAATATATAAATTACTTTAGGCAGCATGACCATTTTCACAATATTGATTCTTCCCATCCATGAGCATGAAATGTTGTTCCATTCGTGTTATGTCTGATTTCTTTGAGCATTGGTTTGTAGTTCTCCTTGAAGAGGTCCTTCACTTCCCTTGCTAGCTGTATTCCTAGGTATTTTATTCTTTCTGTAGTAATTGTGAATGGGAGTTCATTCATGATTTGGCTCTCTGCTTGCCTGCTGTTGGTGTACAGGAATACCAGCAACTTTTGCAAATTGATTTTGTATCCTGACTGCTGAAGTTGCTTATCAGATTAAGAAGCTTTTGGGCTGAAACTATCTGTTTTCTAGATATAGGATCATATCATCTGCAAACAAAGATAACTGGACTTCCTCTCTTCCTATTTGAATACCCTTTATTTCTATCTCTCACCTGATTGCCCTGGCCAGAACTTCCAATACTATGTTGAATAGGAGTGGTGAGAGAGGGCATCCTTGTTTTGTGCCTATTCAGTATGATATTGGCTGTAGATTTGTCATATATGGCTCTTATTATTTTGAGGTATGTTCATTCAATATCTAGTTTATTGAGAGTTTTTAACATGAGTGGATGTTGAACTTTATCAAAGGCCTTTTCTGCATCTATTGAGATAATGATGTGGTTTTTGTCTTTAGTTTTTTTTATAGGATGAATAATATTTATTGATTTGCATATGTTGATACAACCTTGCATCCCAGAGATGAAGCCAACTTGATCATGGTGGATAAGCTTTTTGATGTGCTGCTGGATTTGTTTTGTCAGTATTTTATTGAGGACTTTTGCATCAATGATCATCAAGGATATTGGCCTGAAGTTTTCTTTTTTTGTTATATCTCTGCCAGGTTTTGGTATCAGGATGATGCTGGCCTCATAGAATGAGTTAGGGAGGAGTCCCTCCTTTTTTTTGGAATAGTTTCAGCAGAAATAGTACCAGCTCTTCTTTGTACCTCTGGTAGAATTCAGCTGTTAATCCATCTAGTCCAGGGCTTTTTTTGGTTAGTAGGTTACTTACTACTGTCTCAATTTCAGACCTTGTTATTGATCTGTTCAGGGATTCAATTTCTTCCTGGTTCAGTCTTTGGAAGGTGTATGTGTCCAGGAATTTACCCATTTTTTCTAGTTTTTCCAATATATATACATAGAGGTGTTTAAAGTATTCTCTGATGGTTATTTGAATTTCTGTGGAGTCAGTGGTGATATCCCCCTTATCATTTCTAATTGTGTTTATTTGATCCTTCTCTCTTTTATTCTTTTTTAGTCTAGCTAGCAGTCTCTTTTATTAATTATTTTCAAAACACCAGCTCCTGGATTTGTTGATATTTTGAAGGATTTTTTTGTGTCTCTATCCCCTTCAATTCAACACTGATCTTGGTTATTCTTGTCTTCTGCTAGCTTAGGGTTTTGTTTGCTCTTGATTCTCTAGTTCCTTTAGTTGTGATGTTAGATTGTTAATTTGAAATCTTTCCAGATTTTTGATGTGGGAATTTAGTGCTATAAATTTTGGTTTTTTGTTTTGTTTTGTTTTGTTTTGTTTAGACAGGGTCTCACTCTGTCACCCAGGCTGGAGTGCAGTGGCACAATCTCGCTCACTCCAACCTCCGCCTCTCAGGTTCAAGAGATTGTCCTGCCTCAGGCTCCCAAGTAGCTGGGACTACAGGTGCGTGCCACACACCCAGCTACTTTTTGTATTTTTAGTAGAGACAGGGTTTAACCATGTTGGCCAGGCTGGTCTCAAACTCCTGAGCTCAAATGATCCGCTCACCTAGGCCTCCCCAAGTACTGGGATTACAGGCGTGAGCCACCGTGCCCAGCCTAAATTTCCCTCTTAACACCGCTTTAGCTACGGCCCAGAGATTCTGGTATGATGTCTCTTTTTTCTCATTAGTTTCAAAGAACTTCTTGATTTCTACCTTAATTTCATTATTTACCCAAGAGTCATTCAGGAGCAGGTTGTTCAATTGCCATGTAATTGTGTGGTTATATCTGGATTTCTTTTTTTTTTTTTTTTTTGAGACGGGAGTTTCCCTCTGTCGCCCAGGCTGGAGTGCAGTGGCGCGATCTCGGCTCACTGCAAGCTCCGCCTCCCGGGTTCACGCCATTCTCCTGCCTCAGCCTCCCGTGTAGCTGGGACTACAGGCGCGCGCCACCACGCCCAGATAATTTTTGTATTTTTAGTAGAGACGGGGTTTCACCGTGTTAGCCAGGATGGTCTCGATCTCCTGACCTCGTGATCCGCCCGTCTCGGCCTCCCAAAGTGCTGGGATTACAGGCGTGAGCCACCGCGCCCGGCCTCTATGTCTGGATTTCTTAATCTTGAGTTCTGATTTGATTGTGCTGTGATCTGAGAGACTGTTATGATTTCAGTTGTTTTGCATTTGCGAGGCGTGTTTTACTTCCGGTTATGTGATTAATTTTGAGTCAGTGCTGTATGGCAATGAAAAGAACGTATATTCTGTTGTTTTTAGTGGAGAATACTGTAGATATGTATCAGGTCTGCTTGATCCAGAGCTGAGTTCAGGTTCTGAATATCTTTGTTAATTTTCTGTCTCAATGATCTGTCTAATATTGTCAGTGAGGTGTTAAAATCTTCTACTATTATTGTGTGGGAGTCTGTCTCTTTGTAAGTCTCTAAGAATTTGCTTTATGAATCTGAGTGCTCCCGTATTGGGGTGCATATATATTTAGGATAGTTATCTCTTCTTGTTGAATCGAACCCTTTACTATTACGTAAGAAAATATGGAACGCTTCAGGAACTTGCATGTAATCCTTGTGTGAGGGTCATGCTAATCTTCTCTGTGTTGTTCCAAGTTTAGTATATGTTCTGCCAAAGCAAACACTCCTTCTTTTCTTTATTGGATAAAAGGGACCCAGAGTTCTTGGTTTGGGGAATTTTACTTGGAGGCAAATGCTCTTTCTCCCACCATTCCAGCGTATTTAAGAAAAAAAAAGTGAGCAGAAAGTAGGGGAGAGAGGCCCGTAAAGCCACATGTTCCAAAAGGCTTAGTCTGCAGAGGTAGAGCCTTTGGTTGATGAAATGGAGAGAGAAGGGCCGGGCGCGGTGGCTCACGCCTGTAATCCCAGCACTTTGGGAGGCCGAGGCGGGTGGATCATGAGGTCAGGAGATCGAGACCATCCTGGTTAACAAGGTGAAACCCCGTCTCTACTAAAAATACAAAAAATTAGCCGGGCGCGGTGGCGGGCGCCTGTAGTCCCAGCTACTCGGGAGGCTGAGGCAGGAGAATGGCGTGAACCCGGGAAGCGGAGCTTGCAGTGAGCCGAGATTGCGCCACTGCAGTCCGCAGTCCGGCCTGGGCGACAGAGCGAGACTCCGTCTCAAAAAAAAAAAAAAAAAAAAAAAGAAATGGAGAGAGAAAAGGTGAACAGAGCACAGAGGAGCAATCCTGATAGGTTGAGAATTACAGATACCGTGTATAACTTCTTATAGTATCAAAGAATCAGGCTGCAGAAGCTGAATGATCAAAAGCCAACTGAGAGGAGATACTTTAAATAAAAATTAACAGAAAATGGTAATTGAAATGGCAACTAAACCCAACAATATTCATTAAACTGTAAACTGGATATTAAGTTTTCAACACCATTGTAATAGAAAAAGAGCTGGACCAAAAAAACCCACTCAACTTGGGTATCTTTGTGGCTTTACTTAAAATTGAGTAATATATATATATATATTTGATTCTCTAGTTATTTTAGTTTTGAGCTATACACACACACACACACACACACACACACACACAACACACAACAGGGGAAAGAGAATAGTGCTCCAAAAATTCAGAACAAACCTCTGAAAAATTTTTACTGCAGAATCCAAAAGAAAAACTCAGAAGACTACTTGGTGTCCTTAATAAAGAACCAATAAATTGGCCTTTATGAAAAGAAAACAGGATGAAATGAAGAGGATTCCAGGTAGGTTAAACAAGGCAATGGACAGTGGGTAAAATGAAAAGGGAGAGAGAATTTTTTTAAAGGAAGATTACATAGAAATTAAAAGCAAAGTAGAAGAATTAATTGATACTGAAGAAAGACAGTGGGCTTAAGCATTATTTAACAGTTCTATAAGCCTTCACAGGGAGAAAGGAAAATAAAAGTACAATAGAGAAGAAGAAAGAATTGAAAAACAGAGACTAGGGAGCTAACATATAGCTCATCAGTATTCCTAGAGGAGAGTCCAGAGAAATAAAACAGAAACAATAACCAAATACACATCCCAAGAAAACTTTCCTGATCTCAGGAAAATGGGTGACATGGCTCCAGGAAAAAAATAAATCAGTAAAAGACCTAAACCTTAACATATCTGGCACTTTTTAAACTACTGAGTAAACAGAAAAAAAAATCCTGCAAGATTCCAGGAAGAAATAAAACTTCTTACTTAAAAAAAAAAAAAACTCTAGCTTCAAATAAAATATAGACTCTAAGAAAATGTTGTAGCCCATAAGACACTACATATTACAATGTGTGTGTATAAATATATATACATGTGTGTATACACACACATACACACACACACATAGTTATAACTGTAAGAAGAAACTAACAGAAATACAGTACTAAAGTCTAACAAAACTCTCTTAAAGAGAAAAAGTAGCTGGAAAATTAAAAGGTCCATAAAGCATATGAGTAAATTCAATTAATGAAGTTGGTCTAACAGTTACATTTAAAAGTTTGGATTCTTCAAATCAAGAAAATACTTTTGTAAAAAGTTGATCAAAAATTGTTCATATATTAGATAGAGGCAGATGAAAGCTATAAAACATAGAAATTATATAAACCACAAGAATGCATAAGTATGTGAAAGACGTACACATAATCCAGTGGAATTAATATCATAAGATAACCTTTAAAAATAAAAACGCAAAGGTAAACCTTAACATAAAACATTTCTAAATGGCATAGGCTAAAGAATAAATCCAAATTGTAATTACAAACTATTTTAAAGTTAAGAACAACTGAAAAATCTATATAAAATCTAATGATGTGTGGTAAAGGATGGACTCAAAAGGAAAAAAACACATGGCATTCAGGGTTCTCATCATTTTAAAAATTGAATAAAATAAAATAACAAAATATTCAACTCAATAAACTGGAGAAGTTCAATAAAGGTCAACAAAATAACCTGAAGAAAAGTCACAGGAACGAATCAATAAAAAACAAAACAGAATGACATATTCATTTAATGACCTAGAAAAAGATCAGGACCCCAAGGAAGGCTGGAAAAATGAGTTAATAAAAATCAAAGCAGAAAAACGGCAATTAAGTAAGTAGAACTCTGCAAGAGTAAGACAAGAAAATTTAGATTTCCTTAAAAATTACAAAGTATATTTCACCAAATATAGAAACAAGATTAAAAATATACAAAAGAATACCATATACAATCCTATTCTGATTAACGTGACAGACTAATGCAGTGGCAATAATGTAAGAAAACATGAAGTGATGAAACTGATCCAGAAAGAAATCGAAACCGGAACATAGGAAAACAAATATATAGCAGAAACAAAAGAAAAAGACTTTTAGAAAAGTCGATCTAAACCAAAAAAGCAAAACAAAAATTGTATAAGAAGTAAGTTATTTCAGAATTACACTATATTCCACAACATAGATAAACAATGGAAGCCTATTGTATTCATTATATTACGTTGTTGCAAAACTATTTGTGGTTTTTGCCATTAAAAGTAATGTAATAGCTAATAGCTATTACAAACCTAATACCATACCTGACAATGATTATTTTTGAAAAGATACACCTATCTCACTTTTTAAAAATGCAAACATAACTAATTAAATATATAAATAAAGTTCAGGAATATATTAAAAGAAAAAAATTCACAACAAGAGTTGTAAATACTTTAAACAACGACACAGAAACAGAAGCATTATTTTCCATGGTAATTCTTTTTCTTAAAAGATAAAAGGAGAAAGATACAATGGGAGTTATGTCATTCTAGATCTTAAAGTGTATTAGAAACCTGTAACAATGAAAATATTATGACACTAGCTCTAGACAAGAAAGACAAATGACTAAAAGAGGTTTGATGCCAAAGACACCAAAATATGTCTAGTGTAAGATTTTAGTATAAGTAAATGTGACATATCAACTCACTGAAGAAGCTATAGACTAATCAAGAAAGGCTATTAAGAAAATTGACTTGTACATGCCAGCAAATTCTCAGGTCACAAGAAGAAAGGCAAAACCCCAGAGGTTAGCCTCTAAATTCAGCCAGACAAACCATCTGAAAGTGAAATGGCCCATAGAACACGCCAATGGAACTGTGAAATTGCCTCAACTCTGTCTGCATTTACTAGTCAGCCCTTTCTTCCCCAACCTTTATTTATCACTGTTCCGAAGTCACACTAGATTAGCAAAGGAAATATTAGGTTGGTGCAAAAGTAATTGCTGTTTTTGCTATGAAAAGTAATGGCAAATAAGAACAATGTCCCCACAAATTATGCCCTTAAAATTAACCAAAATATTAAAGCATAGAGAGTGACAGCCTATAGTTTGCAACCAGCCTGGCCAACATGGTGAAACCCTGTCTTTACTAAAAATACAAAAATTAGTGGGGCATGGTGGTGGACACCTGTAATCCAAGCTACTCGGAAGGCTGAGGCAGGAGAATCACTTGAATCCAGGAGGCTATGGTTGCAGTGAGCCGAGATAGCACCATTGCTCTCCAGCCTGGGCAACAAGAGCAAAACTCCATCAAAACAAAACAAAACAAAACAAAAAGAAGTCATTTTGTTCACAGGCCATTACTTATTTCCATGACAATTTAAAAATGGAGATGTTTCTATTCTATTTATACAGAAGAGCAGCAGTATATAGTCTCATAAAATGCCATTGAGAAAAAAGAGAATACAAATTCTGTCTCAACATATGGGAAATATTTTCATAACTTAAAGCCTAGTAATTTTCAAATTCTATTATGTTTGACTTTCCAGCTAACCTTCTCTTTTTCAATGTGTTCTATAGTATAATCTTTTGCAAAACTGAATTTAAATTAATTTTATTTTGAAAATTTTCCAACATCCCTTGTTGAATTCTGAGGTACCAAATAGCCAAGATTGGAGGTTTCCAAACTAGTCTGACCCACCCACTTGTGGGTCTGTTTCTAACGTTGCTGTAGACATTTAAGGATTGTCCAATTTTAAAAACCAATAATAACAAATCTTTGGTAATTGGTGGCAAAACTAATGCTACTATAAGATTATCAGCCCATCAGTAAAAAGTAGAGCCAGAAACCCCACGAAGGCTTGTGTTTCTAAATGTTGCCACATAAGGCAAAATTTGATCAAAGTGCACTTTAGGATGCTCTCCAAAGAATGTTCCACTCTAACACAGCATGGTTTATAATTACAGTATTATGGGAAAAGCCAAAGAAGAAAATTGCATCTGTAGTTTTCACAACCAGTTTTTCTCTGGGTTCCAAGATAATTCAGATGGCAAAACAAATGCCCCAAGACTGAGCTGAGGGATTCGAATTTGAAAATCCTCCCTGGCTCCCAATCTTTTTTCCAGATAACAAACTTGCCCCCCGCCCACCACCATTTCCCCCAGATATCCTACTCTGCCTCTCAGTGATTTAGTGATAAACTCTTCTCCGAAAAATATAAATTGGCAGATTACAACCAAGTAGAATAGGTATTTATGTTGCCTCTATGTTTGCCTTCATATATATTATAAACATATTGAGCTCTAAAAGTACATGGCTTTCTGCCTGGATACTCACTGTTTAGTTTACTCTGAGTTCTTGGTGGGAAACTGTTAATATTACTTAAATATTGTGATGGGTGAGTCTGTCAAGAAAAAGTCTCTAATACTCAAATCAATAAATGTCATTTATGTGCATAGCATCTGCCTCTGAAAGACAGTCTGGGGACAGGGAGAAACATGAGGGAGGAGGGGGAGGGGAGGAGCTGCAACAGGAAGCTAAATTTAAATTCAGATTACAATGAATTCTGTTTCCTACAACTTCCATTCTCAAAAGCAGCCACATTTATAGAAAAAGAGAAGTATAATGGTCACTGTTCACAATGAGCCTAACCATAAACAACTGGACAAACTAAAACTATGGAAACCAGTGGATCCTGAAACTTTGACATTAAAAACTCAATTTAGAAAAATTATATATATTTGAAATAGGTAATCCTATTAGTAGACTAGATAGAGAGATGGACACTTAGGCTTTTTCCCTTCTTCTAGGAATTCAGAAACTAAATCATTTTCAACCAGTTCTCTTCTCTGATAAGAACATTCACTCCCTCAGGGTTATAATATTTCTTAACAGAGAACACTGAAAGCACAACTGTTGAAAGAAAAGAACAGGAAAAAACGACTCATTTTTTTCTCTCCTCACTGGATCTACAGATGAAAACATCAGGAATGGGGCCATAGGGATATGCTGAAATGGCACAACATCAATGCCATATTAGCAGCAGGTGATAAATTTTAGTTTCTTATAGCAATGCTAATTTGCTTATATATCATGTAATAATTTGGACTACTGGCCAAATTATTAAGCATAAGACCTAGATACTATGTAAGACATGTGGACTAGTTAACATCACAATAAAAAGATTTTAATACAGAAATCCTTGGTGTTTTATTTAAATCCATAATCTAATATATAAGTAACATCATTTGAGTGCACTTATTCTCCTTGACTTCACTTTGGAGTTTTGATGGAAATGAATTGATTTGTGAGTGTGAGTACCCTTTTTCCTCTTGGAGAAGTAGGAAAGAATAGCTAGCACCTTACCACTAGTGCTTCCCACAGCTGCCATACTGAAGTGGCATCCTGGAGACCCTTTTCCTTCTTCAAATTCTCTTTTTTTAAAAATGCAAAGTCCCCAATCTTGGCCCTCTCTTTGACCTGATAGTTATGAAATCAATGAAAACAATAATCCCACTTTACCAGCATTTTAAAAAATCACATATACAGTATTACGTTCTACAGTGAGCATCTCATTTTGAGAAGAACAATAAAAATCAAGAATGTTTGCTTTATGATGGCCAGGATAGTAGAGGGTTTGGGAACAAAAATAAATATATGAATAATAGTTGATAGAACTAACAGTGTCTCACTTGGAGAAGGGAAGGTTTAAAAAATGAATGAGGAGGAGAGGAACTGAAGTTTATTCTGCAAAGTTCCAGTGGGTGTGTAGCAGAGACTGGTTAAATGCTCAAAAAAGCCTCACTTTCCTTCCAGGAACACAGGTAAAGTATTTTTCAGCCACCCTAGCAGAAAAGTGGGGTTGTGTGATTGACTTCTGGCCAACAGAATAGGGTTCTAACAGATACCGACATTATAACCTCCCATGTGCATCTGCACATGCTCCTGAGAAATGGATTAGTAGTAGTCAGCAAATCCAACCTTCGCTCTTGCTCTACTTCTGACACACTTCTTCCTGAATCTTCCTTTATGGAATATTTCTGTAGTCTCTACTTTCTCTTACTCTCTGAGCCTTTGCTCACCTCTTTAAACATCTTTTTATGCCTTTTGTACAAGTATGTTCCCTTTCTAGCCAAACAAGAAATTCTGCAAGTGGGGGATAATCATTCCATGTGCTCTCCTGTGTTCCCACCAGCATACCTCGTAACATTCCCCATACATAGGAAATATGAAGGTTCACACTTAGGCAATTTTTATTAGCTAATCTGAGTCCAACTCATTAAAATAAGTCTTTTTTTTTTTTTTTTGAGGTGGAGTTTTGCTCTTGTTGCCCAGGCTGGCATGCAATGAAGCGATCTCAGCTCACCACAGTCTTCACCTCCCAGGTTCAAGCAATTCTCCTGCCTCAGCCTCCCCAGGGCCGGGATTACAGGCATGTGCCACCACGCCTGGCTAATTTTGTATTTTTGTATTTCGTAGAGACGGGGTTTCTCCATGTTGGTCAGTCTGGTCTCGAACTCCCAACCTCAGGTGATCCGCCCGCCTTGGCCTCCCAAAGTGCTGGGATTACAGGCGTGAGCCACCGCGCCCGGCTGGCAAGTCACCTTCAAAGGAAATTCCATCAGGCTAACAGCAGGCCTTTCAGCAGAAACCCTACAAGCCAGACGAGGCCAGAGGCCTATATTCAACATTCTTAAAGAAAAGAAATTCCAACCAAGAATTTCATATCTGGCTAAATTAAGTTTCATAAACAAAGGAGAAGTATAATCTTTTCAGGGAAGCAAATGCTAAGGGAATTCATTACCACCAGACCTGCATTACAAGAAGTCCATAAGGAAGTACCAAATATGAAAAGAAAAGAACATTACCCACCACCATGAAAACACACTTAAGTACATAGATCACTGATACTATAAAGCAACTCCACAATCAAGTCTGCATAATAACCAGCTAACAACATGATGACAGAATCAACTCCACACATGTCAATGTTAACCTTGAGTGTAAATGGGCTAAATGTCCCAATTAAAAGACACAGAGTGGCAAGTTGAATGAAGAAACAAGACCTAACTGTATGCTATCTTCAAGAGACCCATCTCACATGCAGTGACACTCATAGGCTCAAAGTAAAGGAATGAAGAAAATTATACCAAGCAAGGCATGGGTTTGTATTATAATTTCAGACAAAATTGACTGTAAACTGACAATGATCAAAAAGACAAGGGCATTACATAATGGTAAAGGGTTCAATTCAACATGAAGACCTAACTATCCTAAATATATATGCACCCAACACAGGAGCACCCAGATTCATAAAACAAGTTCTTAGAGACCTACAAAGAGATTTAGATAACCACATAATAATAGTGGGAGACTTCAACACCCTATTCACAGTATCAGATGGATCACTGAGGCAGAAAACTAACATAGATATATTCGAGACCTGAACTTAACACTTCACCTAATTGGCCTAACAGACATCTACAGAACTCTCCAACCAAAAATAACAGAATATACATTATTCTCATCTGCACATGGTACATACTCTAGAATCAACCACACAATGTGTCATAAAACAATTCTTAGCAAGTTCAAAAAAACGGAAATCATACCAACCACACTTTCAGACCACAGCTTAATGAAAATAGAAATCAGTAGTATTAGTTTATTCTCACACAGCTATGAAGAAATATCTGAGACTGGGTAATTTATAAAGGAAGAAAGTTTCATTGACTCACAGTTCTGCACTCCTAGGAGGCCTCAGGAAACTTACAATCATGGCAGAAAGCAAAGGAAAGGCAGGCACCTTCTTCACAAGGCGGCAGGATGGAGTGAGTGCAAGCAGGAGAAATGCCAGATGCTTATAAAACCATCAGATCTCATGAGAACTCACTATCACAAGAACCACATGGGGGAAACCACCTCCATGATCCAATAACCTCCACCTGGTCCCACCCTTGACGTGGGGATTATGACAATTACAACTCAAGGCAAGATTTGGGTGGGAACACAGAGCCAAACCATTTCATCAGTACTAAGGAAATCACCCAAAACCATACAATTACATGAAAAATAAGCAACCTGCTCCTGAATGACTTTTGGGTAAACATTGAAATTAAGGCAGAAATCAAGAAATTATTTGAAATGAATGAGAACAAAGATACAAGATACCAGAATCTCTATCTTATCAATATTAAAGCAGTGTTAAGAGGAAAGTTTATAGTGCTAAATGCTCACATCAAAAAGTTAGGAAGATTTTAATTTAACAACATAACATCACACCTAGAGGAAACAGAAAAAGAGCAAACCAACCCAAAAGCTAGCAGAGGAAAGGAAATAACCAAAATCAGAACAGAATTGAATGAAATTGAAATGCAAAACAAAAAAAATTGAAAGATCAATGAATCCAGGAGTTGGTTTTTTGAAAGAATAAATAAAATTGATACACCACTAGCTAGACAAACAAAGAAAAAAAAAGAGAGATGATCCAAATAAACAAAATCAGAAATGGTAAAGGGGATATTACCATCGACCCAACAGAAATACAAAAAACCCTCAGAGACTATAATGAACACCTTTATGCATACAAACTAGAAAACCTAGAATTTTTCAGGGTAAATTCCTGGAAACATACAACCTCCCAAGATTGAACTAGGAAGAAATTCAAATCCTGAACAGACCAATGACAAGTTCTGAAGCTGAATCAGTAATAAAACACCTACCAACCAGAAAAAGCCCAGGACTAGAAAGATTCACAGGCATATTCTACCAGACATACAAAGAGCTGACTGGTACAATTCTATCTGAAACTATTCAAAAAAACTGACTAGGAGGGACTCCTCCCTAACTCATTTTATGAGGCCAGCATCATTCTGATACCAAAACCTGGAAGAAACAGAAGAAGGAAAGAAAACATCAGGCCAATATCCTTGATGAGCATAGGTGGAAAAATCCTCAACAAAATACTAGCAAACTATGTCCTGGATCGAACAGGACATCAAAAAGCTAATTCAGCATGATTAAGTAGACTTTATCCCTGGGATACAAAGTTAGTTCAACATACACAAATCAACAAATGTGATTCATCACATAAACAGAACTAAAAACAGAAACTACATGATCACCTTGATAGATGAGGAAAAAGCTTTCAATAAAATTAAGCATCACTTCATTTTAAAAACCTTCAGCAAACTAGGCATTAAAGGAACAAACTTCAAAATAACAACCATCTATAACAAACCCACAGCCAACATCATACTGAATAGGTAAAAGCTAGAAGCATTCCCCTTGAGAGCCAGCACAAGACAAGGATGCCAAATATCACTACTACTCTATTCAACACAATACTCGAACTCCTAGCCAGAACAACAGGCAAGAGAAAAAAATAAAAGGCATCCAAATAAGAACAGAGGAAGTCAAACTATCTGTATGCAGACAGTATGATTTTTTTTTTTTTTGAGATGGAGTCTTGCTCTGTCACCCAGGCTGGAATGCAGTTGCACGATCTCAGCTCACTGCAACCTCCATCTCCTGAGTTCAAGTAATTCTCCTGTCTCAGCCTCCCGAGTAGCTGGGATTACAGGAACATGCTGCCATGCCCAACTGATTTTTTGTATTTTAGTAGAGACGGGGTTTCACCATGTTGCCCAGGCTGGTCTCGAACTCCTGAGATCAGGCAATTCACCCACCTTAGCCTCCCAAAGTGCTGGGATTACAGGAGTGAGCCACTGCACCCGGCGGACAGTATGATTTTATTTTATTTTTTATTATTATTATACTTTAAGTTTTAGGGTACATGTGCACAACATGCAGGTTGGTTACATGTGTATACATGTGCCATGTTGGTATGCTGCATCCATTAACTCATCATTTAACATTAGGTATATCTCCTAATGCTATCCCTCCCCCACACCCCCACCCCACAACAGGCCCCAGTGTGTGATGTTTCCCTTCCTGTGTCCATGTGTTCTCATTGTTCAGTTCCCACCTATGAGTGACAACATGCGGTGTTTGGGTTTTTGTCTTTGTGATAGTTTGCTGAGAATGATGGTTTCCAGCTTCATCCATGTCCCTACAAAGGACATGAACTCATCATTTCTTATGGCTGCATAGAATTCCATGGTGTATATGTGCCACATTTTCTTAATCCAGTCTATCATTGTTGGACATTTGGCTTGGTTCCAAGTCTTTGCTATTGTGAATAGTGCCTCAATAAACATACGTGTGCATGTGTCTTTATAGCAGCATGATTTATAATCCTTTGGGTATATACCCAGTAAGGGAAGGCTGGGTCAAAAGGTATTTCTAGTTCTAGATCCCTGAGGAATCACCACACTGTCTTCCACAATGGTTGAACCAGTTTACAATCCCAACAACAGTGTAAAAGTGGTCCTATTTCTCCACATCCTCTCCAGCACCTGTTGTTTCCTGACTTTTTCATGATCACCATTCTAACTGGTGTGAGATGGTATCTCATTGTGGTTTTGATTTGCATTTCTCTGATGGCTAGTGATGATGAGCATTTTTTCATGTGTCTTTTGGCTGCATAAATGTCTTCTTTTGAGAAATGTCTGTTCATATCCTTCGCCTATTTGTTGATGGGGTTGTTTGTTTTTTTCTAGTAAATTTGTTTGAGTTCATTGTAGATTCTGGATATTAGCCCTTTGTCAGATGAGTAGATGGCAAAAATTTTCTCCCATTCTGTAGGTTGCCTGTTGACTCTGATGGTAGTTTCTTTTGCTGTGCAGAAGCTCTTTAGTTTAACTAGATCCCATTTGTCAATTTTGGCTTTTGTTGCCATTGCTTTTGGTGTTTTAGACATGAAGTCCTTGTCCATGCCTATGTCCTGAATGGTATTGCCTAGGTTTTCTTCTGGGGTTTTTATGGTTTTAGGTCTAACATTTAAGTCTTTAATCCACCTTGAATTAATTTTAGTATAAGGTGCAAGGAAGGGATCCAGTTTCAGCTTTCTACATATGGCTAGCCAGTTTTCCCAGTGCCATTTATTAAATAGGGAATCCTTTCCCCATTCCTTGTTTTTGTCAGGTTTGTCAAAGATCAGATGGTTGTAGATATGCAGCATTATTTCTGAGGTCTCTGTTCTGTTCCATTGGTCTATATCTCTGTTTTGGTACCAGTACCATGCTGTTTTGGTGACTGTAGCCTTGTAGTATAGTTTGAAGTCAGGTAGCGTGATGCTTCCAGCTTTCTTCTGTTGGCTTAGGATTGACTTGGCAATGTGGGCTCTTTTTTGGTTCCATATGAACTTTAAAGTAGTTTTTTCCAATTCTTTGAAGAAAGTCATTGGTAGCTTGATGGGGATGGCATTGAATCGATAAATTACCTTGGGCAGTATGGCCATTTTCATGATACTGATTCTTCCTACCCATGATTATGGAATGTTCTTCTATTTGTTTGTATCCTCTTTTATTTCATTAAGCAGTGGTTTGTAGTTCTCCTTGAAGAGGTCCTTCACGTCCCTTGTATGTTGGATTCCTAGATTTTATTCTCTTTGAAGCAATTGTGAATGGGAGTTCACTCATGATTTGGCTCTCTGTTTGTCTGTTATTGGTGTATAAGAATGCTTGTGATTTTTGCACATTGATTTTGTATCCTGAGACTTTGCTGAAGTTGCCTATCAGCTTAAGGAGATTTTGGGCTGAGACGATGGGGTTTTCTAGATATACAATCATGTCATCTGGAAACAAAGACAATTTGATTTCCTGTTTTCCTAATTGAATACCCTTTATTTCTTTCTCCTGCCTGATTGTCCTGGCCAGAACTTCTAACACTATGTTGAGTAGGAGTGGTGAGAGAGGGCATCCCTCTGTCTTGTGCCAGTTTTCAAAGGGAATGCTTCCAGTTTTTGCCCATTCAGTATGATATTGGCTGTGGGTTTGTCATAGATAGCTCTTATTATTTTGAGATACGTCCCATCAATACCTAATTTATTGAGAGTTTTTAGCATGAAGGGCTGTTGAATTTTGTCAAAGGCCTTTTCTGCATCTATTGAGATAATCATATGGTTTTTGTCATTGGTTCTGTTTATATGCTGGATTATGTTTACTGATTTGCGTCTGTTGAACCAGCCTTGCATCCCAGGGATGAAGCAGACTTGATCATGGTGGATAAGCTTTTGATGTGCTGCTGGATTCGGTTTGCCAATATTTTATTGAGGATTTTTGCATTGATGTTCATTAGGGATATTGGTCTAAAATTCTCTTTTTTTGTTGTGTCTCTGCCAGGCTTTGGTATCAGAATGATGCTGGCCTCAGAAAATGAGTTAGGAAGGATTCCCTCTTTTTCTATTGATTGGAACAGTTTCAGAAGGAATGGTACCAGCTCCTCCTTGTACCTCTGGTAGAATTCAGCTGTGAATCCATCTGGTCCTGGACTTTTTTTGGTTGATAAGCTATTAATTATTGCCTCAATTTCAGAGTCTGTTTTTGGTCTATTCAGAGATTCAACTTCTTCCTGGTTTAGTCTTGGGAGGGTGTATTTGTCCAGGACTTGATCCATTTCTTCTAGATTTTCTAGTTTATTTGCATAGAGGTGTTTATAGTATTCTCTAACGGTAGTTTGTATTTCTGTGGAATCAGTGGTGATATCCCTTTTATTATTTTTTATTGCATCTATTTGATTCTTCTCTCTTTTCTTCTTTATTAGTCTTACTAGTGGTCTATCAATTTTGTTGATCTTTTCAAAAAACCAGCTCTTGGATTCATTGATTTTTTGAAGGGTTTTTTGTGTCTTTATTTCCTTCAGTTCTGTTCTGATCTTAGTTATTTCTTGCCTTCTGCTAGCTTTTGAATGTGTTTGCTCTTGCTTCTCTAGTTCTTTTAATTGTGATGTTAGGGTGTCCATTTTAGATCTTTCCTGCTTTCTCTTGTGGGCATTTAGTGCTATAAATTGCCCTCTACACACTGCATTGAATGTATCCCAGAGATTCTGGTATGTTGTGTCTTTGTTCTCATTGGTTTCAAAGAACATCTTTATTTCTGCCTTCATTTCATTATGTACCCATTAGTCATTCAGGAGCAGGTTGCTCAGTTTCCATGTAGTTGTGCAGTTTTGAGTGAGTTTCTTAATCCTGAGTTCTGATTTGATTGCACTGTGGTCTGAAAGACAGTTTGTTATAATTTCTGTTCTTTTACATTTGCTAAGGAGAGCTTTACTTCCAAATATGTGGTCAATTTTGGAATAAGTGCGGTGTGGTACTGAGAAGATGTATATTCTGTAGATTTGGGGTGGAGAGTTCTGTAGATGTCTATTAGGTCTGCTTGGTGCAGAGCTGAGTTCAATTCCTGGACATCCTTGTTAACTTTCTGTCTCGTTGATCTGTCTAATGTTGACAGTGGGGTGTTAAAGTCTCCCATTATTGTATGGGCGTCTAAGTCTCTTTCTAGGTCTCTAAGGACTTGCTTTATGAATCTGGGTACTCCTGTATTAGGTGCATATATATTTAGGATAGTTAGCTCTTCCTGTTGAATTGATCCCTTTACCATTATGTAATGGGCTTCTTTGTCTCTTTTGATCTTTGTTGGTTTAAAGTCTGTTTTATCAGAGACTAGGATTGCAACCCCTGCCTTTTTTTGCTTTCCATTTGCTTGGTAGATCTTCCTCCATCCCTTTATTTTGAGCCTATGTGTGTCTCTGCACGTGAGATGGGTTTCCTGAATATAGCACACTGATGGGTCTTGACTCTTTATCCAGTTTGCCAGTCTGTGTCTTTTAATTGAAGCAGTTAGCCCATTTACATTTAAGGTTAATATTGTTATGTGTGAATTTGATCCTGTCATTATGATGTTAGCTGGTGATTTTGCTTGTTAGTTGATGCAGTTTCTTCCTAGCCTTGATGGTCTTTACAATTTGGCATGTTTTTGCAGTGGCTGGTACTGGTTTTTCCTTTCCATGTTTAGTGCTTCCTTCAGGAGCTCTTTTAGGGCAGCCCTGGTGGTGACAAAATCTCTCAGCATTTGCTTGTCTGTAAAGGATTTTATTTCTCCTTCACTTATGAAGCTTAGTTTGGCTGGATATGAAATTCTGGGTTGAAAATTCTTTTCTTTAAGAATGTTGAATATTGGCCCCCACTCTCTTCTGGCTTGTAGAGTTTCTGCCAAGAGATCTGCTGTTAGTCTGATGGGCTTCCCTTTGTGGGTAACCCGACCTTCCTCTCTGGCTGCCCTTAACATTTTTTCCTTCATTTCAACTTTGGTGAATCTGACAATTATGTGTCTTGGAGTTGCACTTCTTGAGGAGTATCTTTGTAGCATTTTCTGTATTTCCTGAATTTGAATGTTGGCCTGCCTTGCTAAATTGGGGAAGTTCTCCTGGATAATACCCTGCAGAGTGTTTTCCAACTTGATTCCATTCTCCCCATCACTTTCAGGTACACCAATCAGACATAGATTTGGTCTTTTCACATAGTCCCATACTTCTTGGAGGCTTTGTTTGTTTCTGTTTATTCTTTTTTCTCTAAACTTCTCTTCTCACTTCATTTCATTCATTTGATCTTCCATCACTGATACCCTTTCTTCCAGTTGATCAAATCGGCTACTGAGGCTTGTGCATTGGTCACGTAGTTCTCATGCCTTGGTTTTCACCTCCATCAGGTCCTTTAAGGACTTCTCTGCATTGGTTATTCTAGTTAGCCATTCGTCTTATCGTTTTTCAAGGTTTTTAACTTCTTTGCCATGGCTTCGAACTTCCTCCTTTAGCTCAGAGTAGTTTGATTGTCTGAAGCCTTCTTCTCTCAACTCGTCAAAGTCATTCTCCATCCAGCTTTGTTCCGTTGCTGATGAGGAGCTGCGTTCCTTTGGAGAAGGAGAGGTGCTCTGATTTTTAGTTTCCAGTTTTTCTGCTCTGTTTTTTCCCTATCTTTGTGGTTTTATCTACCTTTGGTCTTTGATGATGGTGACGTACACATGAGGTTTTGGTGTGGATGTCCTTTCTGTTTGTTAGTTTTCCTTCTAACAGTTAGGACCCTCAGCTTCAGGTCTGTTGGAGTTTGCTGGAGGTCCACTCCAGACCCTGTTTCCCTGGGTATCAGCAGCAGAGGCTGCAGAACAGTGGATATTGGTGAGCAGCAAATGTTGCTGCCTGATCGTTCCTCTGGAAGTTTTGTCTAAGAGGAGTACCCAGCCGTGTGAGGTGTCAGTCTGCCCCTACTGGGGGGTACCTCCCAGTTAGGCTACTGGGGGTCAGGGACCCAGTTGCGGAGGCAGTCTGTCCGTTCTCAGATCTCCAGCTGCGTGCTGGGAGAACCACTACTCTCTTCAAAGCTGTCAGACAGGGACATTTAAGTCTGCAGAGGATTCTGCTGCCTTTTGTTTGGCTATGCCCTGCCCCCAGAGGTGTAGTCTACAGAGGCAGGCAGGCCTCCTTGAGCTGTAGTGGGCTCCACCCAGTTCGAGCTTCCCAGCCGCTTTGTTTACCTACTCAAGCCTGGGCAATGGCGGGAGCCCCTCCCCCAGCCTTGCTGCCGCCTTGCAGTTTGAACTCAGACTGCTGTGCTGGCAATGAGCAAGGCTCCGTGGGCATAGGACCCTCTGAGCCATGCACGGGATATAATCTCCTGGTGTGCCATTTGCTAAGACTGTTGGAAAAGTGCAGTATTACGGTGGGAGTGACCTGATTTTCCGGATGCCGTCTGTCACCCCTTTCTTTGACTAGGAAAGGGAATTCCCTGACCCCTTATGCTTCCTGGGTGAGGTGATGCCTCGCCCTGCTTTGGCTCACACTCGGTGCACTGCACCCACTGTCCTGCACCCACTTTCCGACACTCCCCAGTGAGATGAACCTGGTACCTCTGTTGGAAATGCAGAAATCACCCATCTTCTGCATCGCTCACGCTGGGAGCTTTAGACTGGAGCTGTTCCTATTCAGCCATCTTGGCTCCACCAGTCAGTATGATTTTATACCTAGAAAACCCCATAGTCTCTGCCCAAAACCTCCTAGATCTGATAAACAACTTCAGCAAAGTTTCAGTATACAAAATCAATATTCAAAAATCGGTAGCATTTCTATGCACCAATAACATCCAAGCTGAGAACCAAATCAAGAACACAATCCTACAATAGCCACAAAATAAATAAAATACTTAGGAATACAGCTAACCAGGGAGGTGAAAAATCTCTACAATGAGAATTACAAAACAATGCTCAAAGAAATCGGAAATAACACAATCCAATAAAAAAAATTCAACCATCATGTGTAGGAAGAATCAATGTTGTTAAAACGGTCATATTGCCCAAAGCAATTTACGGATTCAATGCCATTCCTGTCAAACTACCAATGACATTTTCCAAAAAATTTGAAAAACCCATTTTAAAATTCATATGGAACCAAAAAAGAGCCTGAATAGCTAAGGTAATCCTCAGCAAATGAATAAAGCTAGAGGCATCGTATTATCTGACTTCAAACTATACAAGTCAACAGTAACCAAAACAGCATGATACAGGTACAAAAACAGACATATAGACCAATGGAACAGACTAGAGAGCCCAGAAATAATACCACCCACGTAAAATCATCTGATCTTTGACAAAGTCAACAAAGACAAGCAATGGGGAAAGGATTCCCTGTTCAATAAATGGTGCTAGGATAACTAACTAGCCAAATGCAGATTGATGCTGGACCTCTTTTTTATATCATATACAACAATTAACCCAAGATGAATTAAAGCCTTAAATGTAAAACCTAAAACTATACAAATGCTGGAAGATAACCAACAAAATACCATTCTGGACTTTGGTCTTGGCAAAGATTTCATGACAAAGATGCCAAAAGCAATTGCAACAAAAATAAAACATTGACAAATGGTATCTAATTAAACTAATGAGCTTTTGCACAGCAAAAGAAACTATCAATATACTAAACAGACAACCTGCAGAATGGGAGAAAATATTTGCAAACTATGCATCTGACAAAGGTCTAATATCCAGCATCTATAAGGAACTTATACAAATTAACAAGCAAAAAACAGCCCCATCACAAAGTGAGCAAAGGACATGAACAGACATTTTTCAGAAGAAGACATACACACAACCAACAAATATGTAAAAATGTTCAACATCAGTAATCATTAGGCCAATGCAAATCAAAACCACAATAAGATACTATCTCACACCAGTCAGAATGGCTATGATTAAAAAGTCAAAAAATACTGTTTTTTTTTTTAATTTGCTGGCAAGGTTGCAGATAAAAGGGAACGCTTACACACTGCTTGTGAGAATGTAATTTAGTTCAGCCATTGTGGAAAGCAGTTTGGTAATTTCTCCGAGAAATTAAGTCAGAACTACCATTTAACCCAGCAACCCCATTATTGGGTTTATACCCAAAGGAATATAAATAATTCTACCATAAAGACACATGTATGCATATGTTCATCACAGCACTATTCACAATAGCAAAGACATGGACTCAACCTAAATGTCCATCAGTGGTGGACTGCATAAAGAAAATGTGCTATATATACACCATGGAATACTATGCAGCCATAAAAAATGAGATCATGTCCTTTGCAGCAACATGGTTGAAGCTGGAGGCCATTATGCTAAGTGAACAAATGTAGGAACAGAAAACCAAATGCTGCATGTTCTCACAAGTGGGAGCTAAACATTGAATATATATGGACACACATACACACACACACACACACACACACACACACACACACACACACACACACAAAACCCTAACATATTTCAAACTTTTTCAGCTCTTTTCACACCTTTACCTCTCTTTCTTGTCCCCTCACCTTCAGCCAATAATACTGTCTCCAACCTTACAGGAAGATATAATTCCCAGTAGGTGAATTCTCTTATCTTTCTCATACCAACCATGCAATTAAGGGCACTTCCGCAAATCCCTTTCTGCTTATTCCCCTTCTCATGAGCTAACACTACCCGTTACCTATTTTCTCTCTGAAATAGCTGTCAGAGCCCTGTCAATTAAGTCTTTACCAATGGCTTTTAAGCATACTCAAGTCTCTTCCATCTTATCTAGAAAGTCTTCCCCAAATCCTACATGTCCTGTTCTTCTCTTCTTATAAGTTTTGTCTCTCTGTTCTCATTGCATCCAATTTTCCAGTCCTCACTCACTCTTCACTCCAGTCTACCTTTTTCCTCATAAAATAGCTTTCGCTAAAGTTGCCAATGACTTCCATGTCAATAACTCCAAAGAACTGGTTTAAACCTGTTATTTGAGCAGCATTTTATATTGCTGACCATCCGATCTTTATCAAAATATATCATCCTTTCATTTTTGTAACTCTACCTATCTTTGTGATATTCTTCCATCTCCTCTGTAGGTTGATCTTCGTTCACATAGATGTGAGATTAAGTTCCTTAAAGCTTGGTTCCAGACTCTCCTTTCTTCTCACTCTTTTGTGTATCTCTAGGCAGTGGCATCTATGGCCATGATGTCATGTACCACCTGTACACTTATGATACACACGGGTGTATCTCCAGTGTGGACCTCCACTCTAGGCTCCAGACACAGACTTAAGTGTCTACTTGATGTTTCTTTTCTCCCTCTCAAAGTCACCCTAAACCAAACATATCCAAAATTGAATTCAAAATCTGCCTTCCAAATCTGATCTGCTTCCAATGTCCCTATCCCAGTAAATGGTACCACCAACTGTCAGATAAACTTAGTATCAACCTTACTCTTTTGTTCCCCTGGCTTTTGTTTAATCTATCACTGATTTCTTCCCTTACCTCCCAACTACATCTGATACCCCTCCACTTCCCTCCATCCTTATACCACAGCTCTAGCCAAAGCTCTATCATATCTGGCCTTGTAACTTCAGCAATTCTCTGCTGGTCTTTCCCCAGCATACCTTGGCTTCTCACCAATACTTATGTGCCAAGCTAAAAAGAGCTGTCTAAATAACAAATATGACTTTGTCACTCAGTTATTTTCAGTGACTTTCCTTTGTTCTTGGGATTAAATATCCTTACTACCACCCCAAAGCCTTGCTTTGTCTGGCCTCTGGATGTCTCTTGGGCTTCAATTAGCATGATTACCACCCTCCACCCCCCACCCGCAGCCTCTCTCTCCTGAGGTCTCTCTGGCATTCTTTCAGTTCTCGGAATTTCAGTGCCCTGATCTGCTACAGGGTTTTGTCTCCTCTGCCCCCTGCTCCCATTCTTTACCTAGTTAATGCCTATTTACTTCTGAGCTATTCCCTCTGAGGTAATATGGCCCCAACAAGAACTAACTCTCTCATTAATTTCCTCTGGTAGCACCATGTGTCTGTCTTTGACGGTGCTTGTCAGCTCCAATTTTCTGTTTATTTCTATGAACGTTTGATTAAGTAAATGCCTCACTAAAAGGTAAATAAGCTCTATAAGGGCAGGACCTCATCTGTTTCCTTTACCACTCTATCTCCAAGACTTAGCTTAGCACCCAACATATTGCAAACACTCAAAAGAATTTTTGTTGGGTGAATGAACAAATGAATAAATTGACTATTTACTATTTTGTTCTCAGGGATGTGCTGTCTCTAAAATAGTCTGAATTTGAATATTTTCGAGACTGTAAGAGATTGTTTGTCTAACATTTTATTTTTCACACTGCACCTAACATCTGTCCTTATAATAAACTAGGAGCATCTCTGTTACAGGAATCATGTTCAGTAGTTTTTTATCCATAGGACCCAGCACAGTGCCTAAAAGATGACAGGTCTCAAAAAGTGTCTCTTGAAAGAACAGAACTGTCAATCCCAACTCAAAGATGCTGTATTGTATAAAGAGAGGCTAACTCCAGGCATGGTACTGTGCACCTGTAGTCCCAGCTATCAGGGAGGCTGAGGCGGGAGAATCACTTGAACCCAGGAAGCAGAGGTTGCAGTGAGCAAAGATGGTGCCACTGCACTCCAGCATGGATGACAGAGCGAGACTCCGTCTCAAAACAAAGACAAAAACAAAAATAAAGAGAGGCTAACTGTGTAGACTGTGAAGTTAGCTTTCTGAACTCAAATTCTGGTTCTGTCACATACATGACCAGGGACAAATTACTTAGCTTCCTTAAGTCTGTATAAAATGGAGGTGATAATACCTACGCCTCATATGGTTACTGTGAACCTCATATGGTTTCACCGTAGGATTTGTGAGATAATCCTATGAAACAACAGAAAACAAAGTATAGTCAACTATAGCTCTCAGAAAAATATGATTTCTAAAGAGATCTTATTCAGACTAGAAAACTCAAAGACATGGTAACCCAAAAGCTGGAAGATCCTGTGCACAATGACATAGAAGAGGAAAAAACTAAAAGAACATGGTGAGGCTCCCCAGGCTATAAGTTACAGCATTTCAAAAAGAATTGCATTGGGGCAGTCATGGAACTAGAGAATGGATATTATATTCTAAGCCTTAAAAACAAACCAAAATTCTCAATCACTTTATTCCCACTAAGATTCATTACATTGCCTCTATTATTCCCTAAGCTGATCCCTGAACCACCTAAGCCAAATGAGAACTAAACAATAGCTTAATGACTGGTCTGACAGGTTCTTCTGGGACAGAAGAAAAGCAATTATAGGGGGAAAATAACCTCAACCAACCTCCCACTTATTTAAGCAGCAGTTCAGCTATACTGCTTCTTAAAGATCTAAGATTTGTGCCTGATTGTATATATCCCTACAGGTAAAATAATATGATCTAATGGTCCCCTGAAAGTCTGCATGAAGAATTTCAGAAACTTTGTAGATGTCTTTGATGATTGATATTGTCCTTAATGGAAAGCAGAGGCAGTGGCCTTCCTTTAATAACAATCCATAAGATTTAAGAAACGGATGGGTAACTGTTTAAAAAATAAAAACTGATCTAAGAGAAACTACATAGAACTTTCCCTGACTCTCTTGTACTTTATTTTTTATTTTTTTATTTTGAGATAATTGTAGATTCACATGCAGTTATAAAAAATAATACAAAATCAGTGTATCTTTTACCCAGTTTTCCCCCATGGTAATAATATCACAACCAATATATTGACATTGATATGGTCAAGATATAAAACAGTTCCATTATCAGCAGGATCTCCCATGTTGCCCCTCTAATAGCCACACCCAGTTTCCTCCTATTCCTTCCCTTCTTAATCCCTAGCAACTACTAATCTACACTAATCTGTTTTCCATTTCATAATTTTGTCATTTCAACAATGTTATATAATTTGAATCATATAGTATGCAACCCTTGGGGATTGGCTTTTTCCATTCAGCATAATTCTCTCAAGATTCATCTAGATCATTGTATGTATCAGTAGTTTGTTTCTTTTATTGCTGAGTAGTATTCCGTGGTGTAGATGTACCACAGTTTGTTTAATCATTCACCCACTGAAGGACATCTGTGTTGCTTCCAGTTTTAGGCGATTATAAATAAGACTGCTATAAACACTTACATACAGGTTTTTCTGTGAACACAGAAGTCTTTATTTCTCTGGGATAAATGCCCAGGAGTGCATTTACTGGATAGTGTAGTACTTACATGTTTAGTTTTTTAAGAAACTGCCAAACTCTTTTCCAGAGTGCCTGTACTATTTTACATTCCCATTATCCATGTATGAGTGGCCCAGTTTCTCCACAACCTTGCAAGCATTTGCTCTTGTCATTACTTTTTATTTAACCATTCTGCTAGGTATCTCTGACTCTCCTTTAAAGGTAAAAGATAAGTATAAGGACTTGCCTAAAATCAGGGATAACACTAGACACTTTAATTCAGCAACTTAAATTTTGTCCTGTGTTTTTCCTAAAATATGATCAGCTAAATTCAGAAACTTTCACTCTTAGGCCATCAGAAAATTTTAAGAATTAAGTAAGGATGAACAACCAGTCGAGTGACCCAATTTCACCTGAAACATTCCATCAGGTACATAATGTTTCTTATGACTTTTTATCTCATTTAGAACTACTATTTGTTACTGTGATTCTCTTAAGCAAATGGTTTTGCCCACACAGAGCTATTCGCTCACTGACACAGGTTTAACTGGTTAAAGAACTCACAGATTGTTTCTCACTATTAACAGATATTATATTGTTTTACCATCAGTTATACCTTACTTCTGCTTCTATCTTTAGAACTGCAGGCTTCGGTCATTTTTAAAGTCGTTCAAGTTTAGATTGCATTGACATTAAATCAAATTATAGAGGACAAACAACTATGTATTTTCACTGAGGTAGACACAGTAAAAAGTTCCCAGGCTTTCTCTCCTACTTTTAGATAGGTCTTTTTCAGAAGCTTCCTAACTCCCTAAGAAGTCTGAGAGTTATTACAATTTCTTTATCCCCTGCTTACATATCCCATGCCATAGAAAACCGTTTAATAGAACCTACTGTAGCAGAGGCAAAATTTCACCTCTGCTCTCTTAGAGTCCCAGGTAGACCTGATAATGAAATTGACATAAGATAGATTAATAGGAGAAAAGCACATAACTTTTACATGACACAGGAGCCCTCATAAGGAAATGAAGACCCAAACAAGTGGCCAAACCTAAATGCTGTTATACTTGGTTGAACAAAGAGAGGCAATTGTGGAAAAGTAACTAAATTACGTGTGAAGACTAAAGGAAGATCAATAAGAATATTTTAACAAGGTCTGTGTGTACAGGATTCTTCTGGCTATGACTCCTTGTCAAAGAATGTTTCTTTTCTCTTGGTAGTAGGAGAGCAACTTTCACATGTGAGTTTTTATCTCCTGTTTTCAGGGGGAAGAAAAAGAAAATGATTAGACTGCCCTTTTTGCATCTGCTGTTATTCAAGTGCCCTTAGTTCAAACTAATCCTTATACCAAAATGGCATATTCTGGGGTGCATATTCTGCCATCCTTCAATATTAAATAACAGAACATATGCTTACCTATGTACCAGCTATTTAATTTCTGGTATATGCCAAACAGAAACGTGTATGTGCGAGCCAAAACAAATCTACAAAAATGTTTCTACCAGCATTATTTGTAATAGTCCAAATGGAAAACAGTCCAAGTTTCCATCAACAGAAGAATGCATACCTAAACTGCCATATAGCAAACATATAGTGAAATATTATACAGCAATGAAAATGAAACAGTAGTTTTACTGTTACAGGCAACAATATAGATGAGTATCGCAAACATTTATGTGGAAGTTACATGGATATATTCAGTATATGAAAATTCATCACACTGAGCAAATGATTTTTATGTTTTTTCTACATTTCTATTAAACCTAACATAATAGCTTCTACAAATATAATTTTTAAAAACATGAGTAAAGAAACCAAAATAAGAATTATGATCATGACAATGATGATGACAGAATCTTTCCTCTGACCTCAGATAATTGTCACCAGCCTATTTTCACAAAAGTACAACCCTCCTTATTGGGCATTAGAATTCAGAGTCCTGGTTTTAACAAACTGTTCATATGGCTGGATATCTAGCTCTAGTCACTGGGAGACTAAGGCATTTGACCTCCTTCCATACAATGACTAAAGGGACACAATGGGGTGTGGTTGGCAGCACCTAGGTAAGTAAATAATAATGTTCTGGGGAAAGGAGATTTTATGAAGTTTTGGTCACCTTTCTGAGAAGAGTCCATTCTTCTAGCTCTCCAAGGGAAAAAGACAGGATCCCAGTTATTATCTCCCAAATGGCAATATTATCTGACCAATTTTTGAACTTTATACAAATGGAATCAAGTCATTCAGTATGTACTCTTTTTTAATTGATTTAGTCAACATTATGTTTATTATATTCATCTATATTGTTGCCTATAGCAGTAAAACTACTGTTTCATTTTCATTGCTGTATAATATTTCACTATATATTTGCTATATGGCAGTTTAGGTATGCATTCTTCTGTTGATGGAAACTTGGACTGTTTTCCATTTGGATTATTACAAATAATGCTGGTATAAAGATTTTGTAGATTTTTTTGGGCTCATGCATATATGTTTCTGTTTGGCACATACCAGAAATGAAATAGCTAGTACATAGGTAAGCATATGTTCTGTTATTTAGTAGTGAAGAATGGCAGAATATGTACCCCAGAATATGCCATTTTGGTATAAGGATTAGTTTGAACTAAGGGCACTTGAATAACAGCAGATGCAAAAAGCGCACCCTAATCTTTTCCCTTTTTTCCCTGAAAACAGGAGATAAAATCTCACATGTGAAAGTTGCTGTCTTTCTGCCAGGAGAAAAGAAACATTCTTTGATGGGGAGTCACAACTAAGAGAATTCTGTACACACAGACCTTGTTAAAATAATTCTTATTGATCTTCCTTTAGTCTTCCCACATAATTTAGTTACTTTTTCACAGTCGTCTCTCTTTGTTCAACCAAGTATAAAAGCATTTAGGTTTGGCCACTTGTTTGGGTCTTCATTTCCTTATGAGGGCTCCTGTGTTATGTAAAACTTACATGCTTTTATCCTATTAATGTGGTTTAGTGGTGTCCCCACCCAAATCTCATCTTAAACTGTAGTTCCCATAATCCCCATGTGTCATGAGAGGGACCCAGTAGGAGGTCATTGAATCATGGGTGGGGGGTTACTTCCATGCAGTTCTTATAATGGTGAGTGAGTTCTCATGAGATCTGATGGTTTTACAAAGGGCACTTCCCCTGCTTCGCTCAGCACTTCTCCTTGCTGCCACCATGTAAAGAAGGACATGTTTGCTTCCCCTTCCACCATGATTGTAGGTTTCCTGAGTCCTCCTCAGACCTTCAGAACTGTGAGTCAATTAAACCTCTTTCCTTTATACATTACCCAGTCTCAGGTATGTCTTTATTAGCAGCATGAGAATGGACTAATGTACCTATTAATCTACCTTATGTCAATTTCACCATCAGTTCTACCTGGGACTCTATGAGAGCAGAGGTAAAGTTCTGCCTCTGCTACAATAGATTCTATTAAATGGTTTTCTATGTGATGGGATATGTAAGCAAAGGGTAAAGAAATTGTAATAACTCTCAGACTTCTTAGGGAGATAGGAAGCTTCTGAAAAAGACCTATCTAAAAGTCGGAGAGAAAGCCTGGGAACTCTTTACTGTGCCCACTCTCGGTGAAAATATATAGTTGTTTGTCCTCTATGATTTGATTTAATGTCAATGCAATCTAAACTTGAACGACTTTAAAAATGACCAAAGCCTGCAGTTGTAAAGATAGAAGCAGAAATGAGGTATAACTGATGGTAAAATAACATAATAGCCATTAATGGTGAGAAACAACCTGTGAGTTCTTTAACCAGTTAAGCCTGTGTCAGTGAGCAAACAGCTCTGCGTGGGCAAAACCATTTGCTTAAGAGAATCACAGTAACAAATAGTTCTAAATGAGATAAAAAAAGTCACTCTGGGAGGGTACACAGTGACTACACTCTTGGTGAGTCTCCAAGCAGGTAGATACAATTACAGTATAGAGGAAAATGTAAGATTTTTGTGAAAGGAAACTTTGATCTGATACCTTAATGCTAGAACTTTTTTGAAAAAGTAGTTAATGACTCAATTATGATGGCAGTCCATTGTCATTCTGTAAAAATTCATTAAGTATTCTATGTACCAGGCATTGTGTTAGATGTGATGATATAATGGTAAACAAGAGAGACACAAAGCCTGTGCGCAAATGAGCCTACAGTTTAGCAAGGAAGACAGACAAATAAGCCCAAACAATTAAGTGTACAAATGGGAGCACATGGGGAAAATACCAAATGAGCCTATAGCAGGAATTAGGGAAGTATGTTCCATGGCTTTCTGCCAACAGCAGAGAATGGTCTTGGCATCCATGATAAGTGGGGGTGAGCGGAGGGAAAGACCAAGCCCCAGGACAGCACACTGACCATTCCAGGAGCCAGCATGGGTGGCCCACACACATGGAAGAACTACAGCCCAGACAAGCAGGGCCGCACCAACAGAGGGACCCTGCCAATCAACTCCTGAGAAACAGGCATTCTCACAACTTCTTGAATCACCTTAATACTCAGAGTTTGTGCCATTTTTAAGTAAGAAAAGAAAAACATTTTGGACTACAGAAGCATATATGGTGTTTATTAATATTTTCTTTGAGCAAAAGTTTGTTCTGGGACATTTGAGTCCTTGCTAGCCAGAACATTTGCAGCAATTTACTAAACTGACAAATGGAGAGATAAGCCCAAAAGCTACATGGCCACAGGGAGATCAACACATCCATCCAGTACAGATGGATCAGGAGTGAACTGTCCCTTTCAGTATATTTGACATGAAATTCCTCACCTACACCACTGTTGTATTGTATATACCATTAATAGTAAAGGTGAATAAATACATAAATAATAAATAACTAGTAAAGGTGAATAAATGGTCTGTTTTGTTAGTTACTCAGCAAATATTTATTGCATGTCACCAAGTGCAAGGACCAGGCTAGGTTCTGGAAAGAACTGGGAAATTATAAAAGCAAAGATACTGATCACAGGCAGCATAACAAGGTAGAAAAATACATGCACTTTAGAGCTCAATCACCTAAGGTTTAATCTCAGCTCAACTTCTTACCAAGTCAGTTGCCTTGGGTCTGTTACTTAACTCCCCTGAGCCTCATTTCCCTGTCCCATAATGTGACAGTAGAACACTACCCTGAAGTGTTCTGCAGGATTAAATGAGGTAACATATGCAACGCACCTAAGAAAAGCCCTGCACCAGAATTTACTTATTCAGAAGAAGCTGGCCCCCAGGCTCTCTCCTACCCCTCCTTCTCTTCATGCCAACTTATTCTTTCACTGAGATTTGCAAACTTATGTATGGACGCCATGGTTTCTCATTCATTCACATTCCCTGCCCCTTGGCCTCCCTTTGTGTGGAACGCAAACTTCCCCCTGAAGGATAGACCTGTGTCTTGGTTTTGGACTACCCTGGCAGGAAATTCTAGAGTCCAGATACCCAGACCATGGCTTACATGGGAGGGTTAGGGGATATGATTACTTGGACTTACAGAATGCTCACCCTGTGGGGAAGGGGAAGGCAAGAGGAGGGTTTAATTAGGATCCTCTGAAATGCAGGGCTGGGCAGGGAATATTGTTGCTCAAGTCTAAGGGCAGTATGGTTTAGAAGTAAATTCTATGGGAGTATAAGAATTTTAAGGAATAGTCTTTCTACCAGACTATTTCACTGATTGTGTTTCTACAACAATCATCTTTCCTTAGCTACTCTGCTTCAGTAGCTATTTTATAGGAATGCTACTCATGTTCCTGCCTTTTCTTGCTTTGAAACTCACTCTGAATCTCTAACAAGTCCAAGGTCTTGAGGTGCTTGTTCATTGTTCTGTGCATCTCACTCTAGCTGTTGGATAAAAGAAAATATTACCTAAACCGTATTCACTGTGGTTGCTGTTAGTGTGTGGATTTAAATAACTCTTCCAGCTACTATTAAACATACTTTGTATAATGACAACTTAGAGGTGGAAAAAGTTCTAGAAATTTAAGCCTAAGTCCAAACATTGAATTTTTTTTAAAATTTAAATTTAAAGTTTAGATTCAGCGAGTACATATGCAGGTTTGTTACAGGGATACACTGCATGATGCTAAGGTTTGGGCTTCTATTGATCCTGTTGTCCAGATAGTGAACATAGTATCCAAAAGGAAGTTGTTTAGCCCTTGCCCCCCTCCCTCTCTGTTTTCGGAGTCCCCAGTATCTATTGTTTCCATCTTTATGTCTGTGTGTGTCCAGTTACTTATAAGCAGCTACCACTAATAAGTGAAAAGATGGGACATTTGGTTTTCTGTTTTTCACATTAATTCATTTATGATAATGGGTTCCAGCTGCATCCATGCTGCTACAAAGGACATGATTTTATTGTTTTTATGTCTGCATAGTATTCCACACTGCATATGTACCACAGGGAAATGGAAGTTATAAAATTACAAGAAAAAAATCAACAGTATCCAAATTCTAATAAAGATTATTAGCTATCTTTATAGCCACAACCACATAATTGACCAAAATATATTCACTCAAATTTATAACAACAGAATTATTAATCACTCAATTCAGTGGCCATATGTAGCTATGGCTATGAGTTATTTATCACTCAGTGGTTATATATAGATATGGCTATGAGTCATTTTAAAAAAAAGAGCCTTCTCTCTGTCAAGGAGACATGATTCATCGAAAAGTCAGAAGCAGAAGAGTCAAAATCCCTAACAGAGAAGTCAAAGGGTAGAATATGCTGAGATCAGGAATTATAATTCATGCTCTGTGCCAGGATAATCCAGGTATAGCATCCTGACATCCAAGGGGCATATGCAAAGCTTGGTGCAAGCTGCCCAGGCCAAGGCTGGCTCTAAGGCAGATGCAGGAAGGTCAACCAGCTGGCTGGTTAAAAGGAAACGATGACCTTCCTCTAGGTCTCTTCATTACCCTGATATATTCTCCTTGTTCAGGGATAACTAGATCCACTTAACTCTTCTCCTACAAAGATTCATTCATCTCTTCTCCTAGTTCAGGTATGACTCGCTCCCCTCACTGATTCACTCCAGGGCTCATCTTTAAAATACAGATGCAAACAGGCTGAAATATCCCCAAGGCTAACAGCTTAAAATATATTAAAGATGAATAAGTGCACCTGGGGCTTCAAGGACTAATGCCATAAAACTGTCATCATTTCCCACCAAACGTTATTTCACCCACTCACTTGATGTACATCTGTGGCCTGTTCACACTGCATATGGCTGTGGACAGAAAATGCCTCAGTTCAAAACTGACACAGTGGGTCTGGAAGAGGCTTCTGCTGTGGCTTTCTCTCTCTGGTTTTAGCTCCGAACCTTGTCACCCTAACATAAGGACGATGAACAAGCCCACGTGGAGGCTCAGAAGGTTCCAAATATGGTTCCAACTCTGTGTCTGACTAACTAATGTGTGGCCTGAACAAAGTATTATTTAAAAATCTAAAATGCCAAAAGCAACTACTCTATTTCTGCTACATTTAAACCTGTCAATCACGCCCCAAACTTCTACCAGCTTCCTCAATTCACCACATGCATTATGTGTGAGCTGCATCCATCCACACCTGTTGTTACAACTTTCCATTTGATTGCAAATAATTCCAATTCATCATAACTCACAAATCTCACCCATTTCCACAAGCAAACTTCAGGTTTTTTTTCAACATGAGGTTGAAAGAGAAGAGGGAAAGAGTGGAGGAAAAGGAGAGAAAAGAGAGAAAAAATACGGAAATACACAACGGGTCAATATCAAGTCCAGATAAGCTTTCTTCATGGCTGTCACACACAAAAGCACTGTGGCTCTCAGGGTCACCCTTTCTGTCCTAGCCACAGTGCCCAATCACTGATTCATTCTCACAATATCAATCAACACACAGCTTTGCTGCCATAACTGGATGTAGTCATTCCTTCCCAATGTCAATGTCTATGTGTTTTTTCTTTCTCAATCATAATATGATATCAAGGTCTCTCCACATTTCTGTTATCTGGATGTCTTCCTAATTTTATCTTCTTGAAGACCTGGTTATGTAAACAAGTCCTGTATACATCATGAAAAGGCAAATTCTGGTAGCCCACATTCAATCATTATTGATTACTAGTGCCCTACTGATAACTCCTTCTGATTTGATAACAACTCACCCCAGCCTGACTCCCAATGGACCCACCTAATAATTATCATCTTCCAATTTGAGAAGCTAATAACATTAACTTGTTCATCTTGTCAAGCTAGTGAGTAAGGGAATAGAATAATTATTGTAAATCACATTACAGACCTCAGGCAAAGTTCATCGCAGTGATCCCAGTAGCCACAGGGTAATGTCTCTAAGCATCAGGATTTCTGAGTCATCTCCTGCTCTGACTTCATGCCTAGCCCTTCTGCCAGAATTACACAAGATGTGTCCTCTAATTCCCCAGTTATAGAGTCCCTGTGGGTCCTTTATCCCATTGTGGGTAGTATTTCCTATTTAGGAGACACAAGCCCAGCACACTCAAGCCACTGCCCCCGAGAGCTGCTGAGTCCATTCAGCTGCCAGGATGGAAAGAACTCTGAAAGGGAGGAAACTAGTTTTCTTGTAAACTTGTGTTTTACCCTCCCAGTTGTTCTTAATGAGGCTAAGACTCCCCAAATAAGTATAAAGAGAAAAGAAGGAATAAATACGATTCTAGATTTCCTACCCCTGTTTCCATAAGAGTAATTTTGCCTTCACCTGCTTTATTTTGTGCATTCCATATAATTTTTTAATGGATTCCATTTACAACCTAATGATAGTCTGAAAACAGCTGAACAGGGTGACCTTCTAGTCCCAGTCTCCTATATATAGCAAAATACACCAAAGGCCTGTTCTAGGAGTATGAGCAGAAGAGACAGCCACCTGTATGCAATGTGATTTAAAAAATAAAAGATGCCTACCCCAAATCATCTCCTTCCCATGCTCCTTGCAATTTCCAAATTCTTCACACTGTCAGAGATAAAGGAAGCCAGACACTAGTTAAAGTGGGGAGGACAGATTTGAACCACTAATACGCTATTGCAATAGGGAAGGGAGTGCAGTGTGAACTGAACTCAACCTTGATTTGCACAGAGGAGACTGTGTATTTCAGAAGAGGAATGAGAGAGTAGAAAAGGGAAGGGGTGAGAGCAGGCTCAGTGAAGTCAGAGAGTGAAAAATTACAAAGGGTTGGTCAACATTAAAGTTGATTAGACAATTATGGGAGTTAGGATTCTATCTGCCCAGATACCAAAAGACAGAGGCCCTCTCTCTCCTGATGGTTACTTTTTAGAAGAATGGCTCTTGGGTCCTTGAGAAAGACACTCTTGAGCAGTAGGAAGTGCATATATTTATCAAAGGTTACAGGGCAAGGATTCACAATTGTAAGCCCTTTTTAGTAAATGCTCTAAGAAAGGGTGGTTGGGCCTAGCTCCAGGGTGTTGGCTAGAAGAAATAGTAAACTCTCCTGGCAACCTTGAGCTTCCTCAGGCAGGCATCCTAAGTGGGGTAGGGTAGTCCTAGGGATGTGGCCTTGAGCTGTTAGAAATTATTCTAGTGTTTGTGTAAGTCTTTTAATGTGGGGCACGAGTGGATGAAATCATTGGTGTTGAGAATCTGTAGTTGTGATAGGAAGTTAAGGCCTAGTCAAGAAGGGGGTTCAGAGGAGCATGGCTAAAGTTTGGTAAGTTAGAGAATCTTTGTCAACACCTAGAAACCAAAGATGCTATTTTTAAGTCATTAACTGATAGCACTAATATGTCAAATAATTTTAAACTTGTGTCCCTTTACTGATATTAAACTATTATCAAGCAGCTTAGCAGCATGGTCACTTGGTCAGGGCTCTGGGGTTGGAGACAGCCTCACAGGGTAGGTTATTGGAGAGCGAGGAAAAGAATGAAGAATTCCAGACACAACTGCTACCACTCCGACCAAACACTGACAACTTATTTCCAAGTAACTGTCCTGCCAAGCTTGCTTTAAAACAGAAAGGTAAGACTTATGGTAGTATAAACAGTGGACTTGCCAAAAGTCTTTTAAAATAGTTTATTCTTTTATGTAGAGTAAGAAGAACCCACTTGGAAGTTTCTTTCCTTGGCATTGCTCAGTAAGCCCTTTTGTTCCAATAATATATAGATAAACTAGAGGTCAGTCATTTTAATTGTTACCAACTTGAATTTTACTGTAAATATGTGTTTGTGGCATGGCTATCCTGAGAAATAGCAAGTACTCACTTTGATAACTCAGCAAAGGTTCATTTTCTTAAGGGTAGAACCCTAGTGTGTGCTTCCACCTTTTCCACAGACCACATCCACCTATTTCAGGGTGCCCGTGCTTCCTGAGTCCCATTCCTCCACAACACAATTTGGCTGCAAGCTGCCCAGATAGAACTGGTTTATAAACTGGAAAGCCAAGAACTTCAGTCTTCAAAGCAGGCTAGCATATGCTGTTCATGTACAAACAAGTGAATTCTTACTTCATACAAAAATCTCACTCCCTCCTCTCTTTTTAGGTTGTCACAAAGTGTCTGAATGGCTGAATGATTCTGTTGATAGGATCCATGGTCTCTTCTTGCAGTTTCCTTCTCTGTCTGCCAATTTCACACTTACCCTCAATTCTAACAGTTCCCACACTGGCAATACCCATCCAGTGGGGTTGGGTTGGGTTGCCAGATAAAATACAGGATGCCCAATTACACTGAATTTTATATAAGTAATGGATAATTTTTAGTATAAATACATGTTATTTTAATTTCCTAATTTCAGCAACTCTATTCCTAGACAAAAATCCACTATCCAATTATTTTATCTTCCTGGTGTATAAAACATTATTCTGGAAAGTTGTAGAACTATGATAACTGCTTAAAATATAAATTGATAGGCTGGATGTGGTGGCTTATGCTTGTAATCTCAGCACTTTGGGATGCCAAGGCCGGTGGATCACCTGAGGTCAGGAGTTTGAGACCAGCCTGGCCGACATGGTGAACCCTGTCTCTACTGAAAATACAAAAAAAAAAAAAAAAAATTTAGCTGGGCATGGTGGCAGGCACCTATAATCGTAGCTACTTGGGAGGCTGAGGCAGGAGAATCACTTGAACCCGGGGGGTAGAGGTTGTAGTAAGCTGAGATTGTGCTGCTGCACTCAAGCCTGGGCAACAGAGAGAGACTTTGTCTCAAAAAACAAACAAACAAACTATATATATATATATATATATATATATATATATATATACACACACACACACACACATATATCAATTCATAGATCAGTTGTTTCCAGGAGCTGAAGATGTGGGGAGACACTGGCTATAAGAAGGAGGGAGAGCTTTTGAGGGGAGGTGATCAAACTGTTCTATACATTAATTCTGGTGGTATACACATGACTATATGCATCTGTCAAAACTTATAGAACTCTACAATAAAAGGGATGGATTTTACTGTAAATAAATAATACCTAAATAAACCAGACTTTTTTAAGTGGAAAATAAATGTACACTACTCGGTATCAGACGGCCCTCACACATTTCAGACACCATTTTATTCCTCCCTTAGTATCACCAGAGTAAATGCCTCACAACAGCTATTCTATTTTTTTCATTCTCCATAGGTTCACAATTCCAACACCACATCTCTCCCTGCAAACAGATTTGTTCAGTCACGCAACCAGAGTGTAATCTTAGCTGGATCTGGAACTATAAAGATGAAAATAGAGTTCCTACCAAAAAACATTCCTCATGGGCTAGTAGGCAAACAGAAACAAATAATAATAAAAAAAAAGACATACAATGTAAAAAAAATCTGTATAATGGGCAATTATAAGATGTTGTACTGTACAGAGGAATAGTAAACAGTAAAGTCTCTTCAATAACTCAGGAAAAGTTAAAAATGCTGGAGTTCAGCCTTCAAAGCAGGGAGTTATATAGGTAGATAAAGGAAGGTGAGTAGCCGGAGAAAAAAGGCAGACGATCAGCTGCACAGGTGGGTCAGCACAAACGATGAAAGCCGTTGACACTCAGGTGCTGTGGGAATTCTTGCTTGCCGTAACAGAAACCGGCCTTGGCTAGCTGGAGGAGAAAAAAGTAGACTCCATTGGAAGGACATGCAGGTTCAGACTCAGTAGAAGTCTTCATCACTAAGGACAGAAAATGAGCAAAAACCCAGGCGCGCAAGATGCCAAGGAGCAAGAATCACGACCACTATCCTGTAGCAAGAATTACAGCCAGGACACTGCTGCTGCCGCCGCCACTGAAAGCCAATGGGCGCCACCACTGACACCAACAATAAGTTCTAACAGCCTCTTGACCTTTAACCCATTCGCTCTAGAGTCAGAGTCCCAGCCTGAGTCACATGGCTATCTATGAGCAGTGCCAGGGGCTGCCAGAATGCACAGGGAGGTAAGGACAGCCTCTTTCCAAGGTTCCATACACACGACATGTCCATGTGACTCGCCCGGAGGTCCCTTAGTAGCCGTCTCTTTGGCAGATCCACCTTCGAGGTATGGAAGTGCTTGTGTTCAAGGAACTCTTAGTTTACTTAATAATGGCCCAAAGTGCAGGAGTGGGGATGCTGGCAATTTGAATATCCCTAAAGTGCTTCCTTTAAGCTAAAAGGTGAAAGTTTGAACCTAATAAGGAAAGAACAAAAATTATATGCTGAGGTTGCCCCTTCCCAAAATAGGAGAGGGGCCTGAATCCCTAGCACCATTAGTATCCAGGGGCTCTATACGACAGTCCCCCATTATCTGCAGGGCATATGTTCCAGGACCCCCAGTGTAGGCCTGAAACTGCACTGATAGTACCAAACCTAATTGCGGTCAATCAGAACACATTTCTGTTTATGTCTTCCGCCCACAAATTCAATGCCTTTTTTATCTTAGCTAAGCACTTATTGCACACTGTGGCCATAACCTTTGCAGATCAAGGTGCAACAGCAAAACTGGCATGAATTTCTTTTTCCCTCTTCACATCTTCATGGATAGAAGATTCATTTTTAGCATAAACCTTGGCAACCTCAGCATATAATTTTTGTTTTTTTCCTTATTAGGTTCAAACTTTCACCTTTTAGCTTAAAGGAAGCACTTTAGGGATATTCAAATTGCCAGCATCCCCACTCCTGCACTTTGGGCCATTATTAAGTAAACTAAGAGTTCCTTGAACACAAGCACTTCCATACCTCGAAGGTGGATCTGCTAATGAGACGGCTACTAAGGGACCTCCAGGCGAGTCACATGGACAGCATGGACATGCTGGACAAAGGGATGCTACACACCCCAGGCAGGATGGCATGAAATTTCATCACACTACTCAGAACAGAATGCAAATTAAAACTTACGAATTGTGTATCTCTTAAATGTTCCACTCAATATTTTCGGACACGGTTGACTGCAGGTAACCGAAACCACAAAAAGCCAAACTTGAAATAAAGGGTGCCTCCGGTAATATGGCCTGTCTGGTCTTTCTAACCTGGATTTTCCCCACTGGAAAGAAAATCTCTTCTCCAACTCTGTGGGTCTCATACTAGCACGCTTTCGGGACGTCACATTTTAGGCTGAGTAATATTCTCTGTGTGTCTTCTGGCTCATCCTTCCAACTCGACATGTGCTTTCTGGAAGCAGTTATTTCACGGCAGCCATGTGTCTTTCTATTCCCCCTTGTGCTCAGCACACTGCCTTCCACAAACTAGCTGCCTAATGCATGTCTGTGTTCTGCATGGATGTGTTCCGAGGCAACTCAGCATGTGCAGTTGGAAATGTGCCGCTTTTATTTGGCAGAGTCAAATCTCCTCCAAACCAGACCCTTTTATTTCAGCTCACAGAAGATCCCTGCCCTAAAGGCCTCTGCCTTGAACCAAACCTCAATAAGCCAGATTATAAACCAGCCAAAACCACCGGAGATTATGTCAATGTGCATGTGGCTTTGGAGCGCCTAAAAACTGGCACAAAGCATCAGGGAGGCTGCCAGTGAGCTCTCTGAAGAAAGCAAAACAGGGATCCGGGCCCACGGCGCGATGTTCAGGGAATCCCTGCTTACAGCGCCTTTTCAGACATTGCATAAGCTACAGAAAAGCAAAATCTGTGAATTATCTGTCTTTTAACAAGCCAAAAGAACCTGTACAGCATCCTATTTTTTTTTTTTTATCTAGGGAAAAGAAACAATAAGTTTCACTAGGCTGAGGAAGAAAAGGGATTACATTTGTGGAGTGGATAGTCTTCTCATCCCATTTAAACACAGAAATATTTAAAGAGATTGTAATGGGAATTTTATCTCAGGCCTCAGATGTTACCCTGGTATAATAGTTTCTCCTTTCATCCATGACTAGGACATGGTGATGCCACAATCCTCCCACATCTCCAAGAAATCATAATAGCCTTCTTTCCTGACAAAGTTGTTGAAGAGGAATAGAAGAGAACACAGACTCATTATGTCCCTTCACAAAGCAGTCACATCATTTAAAAAAAAAAAAAAAAAAACCACAAGTACTCTCATTTGCGGCCAAGTTCAGGCCTTAAATAAAATTTACAGAATAAAGTGGCTATTTAAGTGGAGTTTTATTAATATTCCAGCAAAAGAGATATAATGAAAAAGCTACAAAGTTCAGAGAAGAGTTTAAACAATCCAATTACATATAAAGACAAATAATAATAATATGGATTTTCAAGGACATTGTCCTCAGAAAGGGGCATAAACACAAATATCAGCCTTTGTTCCTCTGTATGTAATAGAAAAAAGAAAAAATAATTTCCCAGTCTTCCATTTCTATGAGTTTTTATTCGGAACTTCTGTTATCTCTCAGTAAGTAAATGTAAGAGTATTCTCTAGAGAGCTGTTTTATTATACAACAAGTACACCATAAAGAGCCATGCTGGCCAAAAGTAATGCAAAATGGAAGTCGAGTCAGACTTCCCTTTCACTATGATTTGCCATCCAGTGAGTCAGAGCAATATCTTGAAACTGTTCTGAATGAAAAATGTTTGGTTTTTTTTTCTTCTGTTGAATTAATGTTCATGCTTCAAAGAACAGTAGAAACTACAAAACTCTAGAGCCACAGAGATCATTAAACCCCTATTGCATTACAGGAGAGTCAACTTGGTTTAAAGTAGTCAAGTGGCCTACCCAAGGCATGGCACAGAGCCCAGGCAGGCATCCAGGCCTCCTCTCTCTATCCCTGGGCTCCTCCTGCTGCTCTCCAGTTTTCTATCCATGCCACGGTGACTGTGACCATGCCCTTTCACAGAAGTGGCCACAGGCAGATTCTGAAGCACCTTTGTGTAGAGCCTGAGAGCAGGTTACAGTGGTCAGTTCATGCTAACCCAGAAGTGGAGCTGGAGGGGTAAGGAAGAGCTATGGTCACCACTCCCCAGGTGTGTGACTCAAATCTGAATATCAGGATTAAAATTCCTGAAAGATTGTAGACAAGCCAAATGCCAAGTCCATTTAAAGACTCCAAACACAGCACCTTTCATACTTACTACCTTGTTAATACTTAAAACCAAGAGAAGAAGCCCATACACAGAGCGTTTCCCAAGCAAAAACACTGTGTTGCTATTACCCTGCCTTTAAAAGGGCACCATCCAAGGCCAAAATTAACCTCAAAGAGTGTAGAGCCACATAAGGATGTACAAAACTCAGAACTATGCACCAGATTGAAAATGTAGTAATTATAGGATGCTGGAGTTAGCTTGCCAACCAAACACAGACCCATCAGCCCTCCACCCCACCACTGTCTAATCAACATGAATTTACAGGCAAAGAAGAGCAATAAGCAATCCACTCACTTAAGTTAAGGAGAGAAGACTCCATGAGGCTTAACTTCTGCAAACCTCTTGCAAAGCAAATGCAAGAGAAACAGTTTCAAACTATAAAATGTTTGCTTCCTTGGAACAAGTAAAGGACGAATGTCATTTTCAATCTCTGCTTGAGAGTGACACAGGACATGGTCAGAACTCTGTGATCATGGAAGACAGAGAAGAATAAGTGAGATGACTTGATACTTGTTAGGCAGTCTGCTTTATAATCAAAAGGCTCATTTCTTTTTTCTAGAGATTGGTTTTCTCAGCTGTAAAAGGGGAGACTGAACCAGATGCTCTTTAAAATCATCTCCTGCTTTGACCATTTTTTTGCATTTACTTCTTTCCCTTTACGCTTTATTGTTTAACATTTACAATAAGATGTCAACATTACCATGTATTAATAGTAGTGGAAGGTGCGAGCTCAGTCCAGCAGCATGATTTTGTGACCGTGGGGGAGGTTTATAACCTCTGCGTCAGTATCTTAGTCTTTAAAGTGAAGCACCTGTCTCATAGGGTTGTTACAAGTTCCTATATCACATCAAATGAGAGAATGAAACCAAAGTGCTGGGAACAATAACTGACGTGGAGGAAAGCTCAAAAACTCTTAGCCATTATTATCTTTTATTATTACTTAGTTGGGATCTGGTCTTAAAGGTGAAGAATACAGAACCAGAGAAAACAAGACAATGTTTAACTCCTTGAGATCAATAAATGTTATTTCTGAGAATAGGATAATCGGAAAACCAATGAAAAAAAAAAGACTGACAATATTCCAAAACTTAGAAAAGCTGCTATTTTTCATACTGGTAAAAGTCTCTCAGAAGAGAAATTCCCAAGGGCTCAGCAAAATGCTACAATAAATAGTGCATTCTCAAAAGGGGAGCAATTTAAGAGGGCACTTTGGCAAAGCCTCGTGACTTATCTGGATGGAATTTTTTAATTTTATGTCTATGCTTCAAAATAGGCAACTATGTGATTATTCCTGGTGGGCCTATTAAGGCATCTTGTCAAGCTTCTATTCCTTTAAATTTATTAATTTTAATGCCATGCTACAGAAAATACCAAAAAAATTAAATATGTATTCTTTCAGTTTTGCAGGACAAAGCTAAGCTCAACTCTAAAGGGACTAGGATATGTAAGGAAATCCTAATTTTAAAATCATTAATTTTAAAGTTAACTTCCAAGGGTCATTTCCCACAGGGTTGTGAATTTTTATCATGCTCCTAAAACTGCCTGGATTCTTTAGAACATTGCGTGGCTCAGTTCTTGTCATCAATGAACTAGGTCTGCTGACTCTAAATGTAATCAACGCAGGGTAGATGAGAATGGAAGGTGGAACACCCCTGCCTCACCAAACACTAAAAATGCTGAAATGACTAGCAACCTGACCACAGCAGGGCCCGGAAAAGGGCTGTAATTAGAAACAATCTCATAGCATCCAACCTGTAAAGTACATTCACAAAGAGATGTTGCTACTCTGCAAATGGCACCAATGATGATAACAATGATGATGATGATGACGATGATAATGGTAGTGTCTATTAAGCACATATCTTCCAGGCACTGTTCTAAATGCTTTAGGCATAATACCTCTGAGGTAGGAATTGTTGCCTGTCACACATCCATTCTTCACCTTTCTCCTTCTCTGCTCTGTATTAAAGAGAGGCAATGCAGAGTCCCTTGTCAGTTGACTTCTGGCTGTGTTTGGCTACAAGACTGGAGGGTCGAAAGATGGGAACACCAAGATATTTCTCTCCTCTCTCGGTGCCTTGAGCAGAATCTCTACCATCAAAAAGCTTTCTCCCATGCCTCCTCCAGTTACACCATAATTCCAGTGACCTCAGTCTGTGGACCCAGTAACACTGTCTCCAACATATTGTCCCTTCAAATTAGAATTAGTGGATGCTTCCTGCTATTGCTAATATTCGGGTTGTTTAATGACCCCATTTGGCTTTTCAGCTCTTCCCTCAGCTGCATAGCCAATTAAATTCTCTCTGGTTCAAATACTTAAGATGACTCATCTTTTTTTTTTTTTTGGACCATTATCATCCACATTTTCCAAATTAGAAAATTGGGAGTAGTTTGTCCAGGATTACAGAGTTATAAACTGGCAAATTTTGAGTCCAGTGATTCTTAAGTCATACCTCTTGGCCACTACATTATATTGCCTCTTCTTAATGAGACAACATAACAATAGGTTAGACAATAAAAAAGGTTAGAAGTATATGAAAAGGCTCCTATCTACCCCTGCTTCATGAACAATGATCCTCCACATACTTGCTATCTTGCTGCCAATCCTTCTCCAACGGACATAGCAAGGGGTTTTGTATGGACTGTGAGTTTCGCTTTGCTAAGGGATCTAAGTTTATACTTCAGTCAATAACAATAGAGCTCTCTATTCGTTAGTTTTGGTTCTTGATTTTTTTTTTCTGGGCACCTTAAATTTCCTGTAACAAAGTGAATATATCATGACCTTCCTTAACTAGGTATCAATCTCTTATAGAGTAGAAAGTTATATCAATGGTCTATTAGACAAAGGTATAACAGTGACCAAAATGAAGGACCCATAAAGCCTTTCTGATTCTCTACTAAGTACTCTTTCCACAAAACATTTCTCTTGCATTTTATCCTATAACCTATGCAATAAAATCTTTATGCAAGAATTGTTCAAATTTTCACCAACTACCTCAGTCTTATTACGAAAGCAATACAGGAGCTAAGTAGCACACAAGAGATAAATAGTTTAAACACACACACGCAAACAGATGAATTTACTCAATTTTAATTGATCTTATTATCTATCCAAAGATTTTTTAGAAAAACACTCATCTATATAGTCTTCTGTAAAGAAGTTCAACAAAATTCCAACCGCATTTTGACATAGTTCATTCACTATGTTCATCTGCCAAGATTTAAAATAAATTATATTGATTTTCTGATTATTAAAATAATAGACATATTGTGGAAAAAGTGAAAATACGAAGAGTATAAAGGAGAAAATAGCAATAATTATTCAAATCCTAGAGATAATATTTATTAATACTTTGACTTTTTTTGCAATCTTTTAATTTTTTGTCTTTTTTTATGTAGTTGAGATTATACTATATACGTATTACATACACGTATATATAGTTTTAGGTCTTACTCTCTAAAAAATTAACATTATATTATAAAAAAGGGTGAGTTCATGTCCTTTCTAGGGACATGGATGAAGCTGGAAACCATCATTCTCAGCAAACTATCGCAAGAACAAAAAACCAAACACCACATATTCTCACTCATAGGTGGGAATTGAACAATGAGAACACTTGGACACAGGAAGGGGAACATCACACACTGGGGCCTGTCGTGGGGTGGGGGAAGGGGGAGAGGGAAAACATTAGGAGATATACCTAATGTAAATGACGAGTTAATGGGTGCAGCACACCAACATGGCACATGTATACATATGTAACAAACCTGCATGTTGTGCACATGTACCCTAGAACGTAAAGTATAATAATAAATAAATAAATAAATAAAGGGAGAGAAAAGTAAGAAGCAATGAAAAGAAAATTAACTATTTGATGAGCATCTAAAATGTGTCAGGAATTACTAAATAAAAGAGCTCTTCCCTCTCCAAAAAAAAAAAAAAATTAACATTATATTGAAAGAGTTTTCCTTCATCATTTAAATAATCTTACTTATATTTGTTAAATAGTTGCATAAAACTATAGCAAATGAACCTGCCACAAATTATTTATACCTCTACTTGAATATTAGGTACTATTCAACTTTTTATTATTAATAGTATTTCTGCAACCATCCTTATGCCAAGATGACTGAATTTCAGATTTTTCTCTAGGCTAGATTCCTAAAATAGGATAAATTTCTAAAACTGCAATTACTGGGCCAGGAGAGTAAATATGTTCAAATGCCTGAAACATATTATCAAACTGTTTTCCAGAATAATCCAAATTTCTATTTAAATGATAAAATCACTGAAGCATTTCTAAAATATGTTCATAGTCTCTTAACAAACCTGTTTTCTTTTTTATAAAAAAAACCAAAGCTTATATCCGTTGAGTAAAATTCAAAGCTACTCATTCAGTTAAGAACTTTAAATTTATCACTACTGTTTTCTTCTACTTATTTTATTTGGGTTTGTAAAAATCTTTAAAAATACATATGCAACATGCATGAGTTTGTAATCGATTTTGAATTTGCCAGGATGAACTTTTCCACTTTCACAAGGATTATGGTAATGATGAATAAGTTTTTCGTTTATCTTATTCCTACTGACCTTCTTAAGAGAAATTCAACTGGAAAGTTCTCCTAGTGCTGAGTGGCTCTGACAGTCCAGAGCATGTCAGATGTGGGTCCTGCTGGTGACATTCTAACATAAGCTGAAGAAAGCAATCTGTTGACATTCAGAAAGCAATAGGCAGAAAGGAAAGCTACAATTTTCTATGTTCACCTTGTAGAATTTTAGAAAAAGTATTCAGATGCTGTTCTCTAATACTCAAATTACCATTATTTACTGCCTCTTACAAAAATGACAGGAAAATTTGTTCAATCCATTTCCCATGGTTTTGCAAAATCTCTAGCAAATTGCCAGTCTAATATTCATGGTTGTGCCCAATCTACTGGGCAGTAGCCATGACTCATGGTGAGATATTAAGCAACAGCCATGATGCAGGAATCAGAATGTGCATCCCCTGGCCTCAGCTCTGCCACTAATTGTGGGGTCTGAGCCACTCACAGCAACCCAGAGTCTCGGTTTTTATATCTATAAAATAGAGTCTGGAATAAAGGGGATAAACACTCCTATTTGCTCTTACATTTCATGATTTTGATTCCTTAGTAAAGCATTGTTTTTCAATGCTAATTAAGTATTCTTCCCACATTTCTATAACCCAGTTCCCCTTAAGAACAAAATTCCAATGATGATATTCTGCCAACTTTGGAAATGACACTATATAGGCTAATTATTTAAATCATTAATTCATTCCACAAACAATGCATTGTTCTTAGTAATGGGCTTGAAGTGATGAACTAGAGAGAAGAGTTTCCTGCTCCTACAGAGCTTATATTCTGAATTGTAAACATGTGAACAAATAGACAAACAAAACAATTTAAGGCAGACAATTAAACAGGGTGATGGGTTAGAATGATTGGGTGATAGCAAATTTGCTATTTTCAGTAGGGTGGACAGGGTAGGTCCTTCTGAGGAGGACACTTAAGCTGTGAACTGAATGATGCATAAGAGCCAGTGTGTCCAGGACATGGGCAGAAAGAATGTCAAGTGCAAAGGCCCCAAGCAGGAATGAGCTCCATTAGTTCAAAAAACAGAGAGGGCCAGTGTGGCTGGAAGTTAAGGAGCAGGAGAAAGAGTGGGTAAGAAAGAAGATTCTTAGGAGCCAGATCATGCAGACATTTGTAGAAAACATAAAGGGTTTTGCTTTTAATCTAAGAGCAATGAAAAGCTGTGGAAGGTCTTAAGTAGGGGACTGACATGATCTAAAGTATACTTTAAAAGATCACCCTGACTGTTGTGTAGAGAATAGGTTGCATATTTTATTTCCAGCAATATACTAGAAAGGACTCCCTGTTCTCTCACAGAAATATTGAAAATACTAGTTTTGGGGAAAAACAACAAAAAATGCTGGATAAAATATTCTAAAATATTTAAATGCAGACATGATTTAGAAAGTAAAGGACATGCCCAGACACCAAAATCAATGAGAAAGCACAAGTCTAGACAGCTAAAAGCACTACTGAAGCCAGCTGCTATCCCGATAGCTTCAGCCCACCTCTCATACCCTGGAAGAGTCAGCTACATATAATTCCTTGCACACTGAGAAGTTCACCTGCCATGATGGGAAAAAGTAGAACAGAGGAAAGAAAATACAAAAGCTATCATGGTGCCAAATTGCAAAGCGAAAACTCAGGATTACACAAAACCTCCATAGAACTGTAACCTGGACCTGGTATTCCCTTCTCAGTTGTTTTCTGCCGTTTTTGGAGTAATCACAATCAGCCCAAAAGATTAAAGCTGGCCTTTGAAATTAAATGGGCATGACCTAAATTATTGCCCGCCTACTTTGCTGAGGTATATGCCCATAAGCCCTACAAAGGACACAATAAACACTCAAGTGTTTCTTAATTTGACTTGTCTCAGTGAAACAACAGAAGTCTTGATACTGTCCCTTGGCCATGGGGAGAGAATTCAGGGTGAATATAGGGTGAATAAAAGTGTTCAACATGTCTTCCCTTCAGCCAGCAAATTCCTTTCAGTTAGCAAACAAGAACCTGGGGAGCAACACTCAGCAATGATTCTATGATTCCTTCTTCTTTTTCCATTGTTTCTCCTCACAACTTCTCATCTGATGCTCCAAACACAGAAAAAAAAATCCAGGCAGAGTATTAGGAAACATGGATTTATGGATTGCTCCCTGCAAACTAATATTAAGTTTAAAAAATGTCTCTTGAACCAGTAAATCTACCTCTGAGAACTCAAATTTTAAAAAAAACTCAAGTATGGAAATGGTCTATATATAAAAGTATTCCACACAGTATTAATTAGTCTTAGTAGAAAAAAATATTTGAAACAGCTAAGTGAACTATGACACACTTGGTAGAATCATTATATATACATTAGAGTTGAAAATTCTTATGAAATAATGTGAAGTCCAACTGCTTAAAATTTCATTTTTAATATGATGACTTTCATGGAACTCTAGAATATTTGTTCTTTTTTTGCGGCTTGCCTGTATATTACAAAAATTATTTAAGGAATTGATATTACTTTTATAACTGAACATATATTTTAAAGACAAAATATATAAAAACAGAAAATGCATACTTTAACTTCAGTATCCTAACATTAGATAAGGAATGGAAAGAAATCCCATATACAAATTTTCTTTGAAAACAGAATCTGTAATTTTATTTTGCTAAGAATGAAATTGGGGACCACTAGGAAAAAGAGGTTAATGCTTTTAATATTAATACAAATAGTGTCAATTATCATGTAGATACAAAGCAATATCTTCAAGGAATCACTTTTCCAAGCTGTATGTAAATTACTAAATTAAAACCTAATACCACAAAGTAAATTTGGAATCAAATAGGTAAAATGTGATATACAGTGGAGCATAGCACAATAGGAAAATGTTGAATGCATTAGGATAGAGCAATGACAAATACTAGTGAAAAGCCAATTGCTGTTTTTCTCACATGCAGACTATAGTTAATGCACTGCCCCAGCCACTGAACACATCTGACTTAAGCTGAAGGAACTCTTGCATGGATATTTTCGTATTAAATACATGAAAGAAAAAAATTCTAACTGAAATAAAACTAATGTAATTTATATTACTATTGTTAATTAAAATGTTGAGGCTTTCCTAGTTACGATGAATAAAAACAGATCTTACAATTACAGACCCCCACATCTAAGGAAAATCAAATAGAGACTGAGTGTATTTCTCAAGGTAGCAAATACTTTTTATTTTCCTTTTTCCTATTTGCACCATTCATCAGTAGGGCAAATTTAAAGATCGAATCATGCCACTTTAAACTGTTGGCATTTACTATCTAAGGCAGAATTAAAAGATTTCATTTCAAGCCAAAGTCCATGAATACAAACGTCAATCCAATCACTTACTTGGGCTGGAAGAAGGTAAGAGGACTCTTTCTGAAATTTATAAACACAATCCCAAAATAAAAGTTTCAAATGATGAAAGCAGAGTTTTCTCAAGCCATTCTTTCCAACAGAGCTGATAGACCCTGATTTTTTTTATATAGCAGGTAAGTAAATCCTAAATCCTAAATCTTTTTGAGGTTTTCGTGTCTCTTTTCTACATTAACATTAAAGTAATTACAAAGTGAATTTTTAAGGGTGGCAAAAATATACATGCATGTATCAGTACATGTTTTGAGAGGAGAGTGGATTGGGAAGCAATTGTGTATACTTCTTGTTTAAAACAATGTAATGCCCACTTCATGAATTCAGATAACAACATCAATGAACAGATTGCCAACCAGTTGGAATACAGGCCTAGGTTTTGAACCACTTGAATAAGCCTCCTAAGTAGGTTACAGAGTCATTCATGGAGATTATAGGGAAGGATTTCAAATAGCACCATCTGTTAGAACCAGCACCCTGAAAATATTACCCTAGCCAATTATCACTTCAAAATACCACAGGAGTTCACTCCACCTGTGTTGGAACAACTTGGCTACAACCCATAGTTACATCCTGGTGTCAGCTTTGTAAACCATGGCTCAGGTTCGAGCCTATCAGTCAGTCTTGAGACACCAGCTGCTCCTAGGTGCACTTCCGTGTCTTCCCACAGATGACTCCTGGCAACCTCATACTGGACAAGCCTTCAGGCTTTCCTTGTCAAGATCTTTTCTTCTAGGACCTCAACTTTAACCTACATCCTTTCTCATCTCTCCAGGCTAGGAGTTCTCCACATACTCTGCCCACCCTGATAGCAACTGAGGTAGGCCAGAAACTTCTCATGCACTGGTTACCTCCTGAGCCATCCACAGAAAGGGTCACAGCCTAGATGCTTACAGGTATTCAGCAGGTTACATTCAATGAGTGAAAAGTAGGCCAAACACAAGATATCAGAAATGCGTCGATGGTTGGGGGCCAGCAAATGCAGGCCCCACCTAAGGATGACAACTATTGCTCAGTCCCAGGATGTTGTCAACACGCAGGATGCAGGACAGGTGTGGCCAAATGGCCTAACTATTCAATATATATGAAATAAACTAATTTTCAGATTTGGCTCACTTTTTTCTAAAACTGTTTGGGCCAAACAAAACATCTTATTTTAGATTTTTTATGGTAATCAAAGGGTCTTGATTCGAGTTTGAGTGGCTCTAAAAACACCTAGACTGTGACCCCAAAAAGATCCCTACTCTGTTTCCTCCTCTTAAATTTTTTTCAAGAGCTTCAGCTGCTATAGGCATTTATCTGAGAACATGAGCCAAGGTTCAGAGGCTGTGTGCCAAAGAATTCCAGCTTACACCTGCTATTGTTTCAGTGGATTAAAAACTACAACAAGCAGATAAAAAGGTCTCAGGTGCCGTTGCTGATCTCACAGAGCTGAGCATGTGCTCAGGCATTTTTGGCAGTATTCTCTGAAAACCAGTTTAGTTTCCTGGATCATCCAGAAGTAAATGTGAGAAACTCCGTTTGTGGCCCTAGAAAAGAAAGCCTCAGCACAGAGCCAAAAGGCCACAGTCAACAACAGCATAGTATAATCCCCGTCTAGCTCAGTCTTATGACAGAGATCACCTACTTTATGGCAGAGATTAGAGTTGCCCACTAAATATCCACTCATCTTCTTCTCCTTTCATAACAGAATCCCATTTTTTTGCTAGGTATATTTCTGCTTGGCCAAATAGCCTAAATTTACAGGCTCCCTTGCAGCTTAGTGAGGCCATGTGACAAAATTCTGGCCAAAGAGATGTAAGAGGAAATATTGCATGGGCCTCTGGGGAAGGAGAGTACTTCTCCCTTTTCTGCTGGCTGGAAATCAGAGATGATATCTAGTTCTTTAGCAGCTATCTTGGATCATGAGTTGATCTTGAGAATGTGAGCCATGTGCTTAGAAAATGGATAACAGAACAAGAAGGAAATTGGGTCCATGATGACCTTGCAGAATTGCCATGCCAGCCCCAAACTGCCTACTTTCAGACTTCTTTTAACATAATAAACACGTATGTCTGTATTTAATTCACTATTTGGAAAGGAATCAGTATTATTATAGCTGAATATAATTATGAAGCAATGAATAGTCTCTCACTTTGCTGGGTCATCTTTCTTCCACCTAATTATTTTATTTATTTATTTATTTATTTATTTATTTATTTATTTTTAGAGACAGGGTCTCATTCCATCACCCAGGCTAGAGTGCAGTGGCATGATCACAGCTCACTACAGCCTTGAACTCTTGGGGTCAAGCGATCCTCCCACCTCAGCCTCCTGAGTAGCTAGGACTACAGGCGTGCACCACCACACCCGGCTTTTTTTTTTTTTTCTGTAGACATGTGGTCTCTCTGTGTTGTCCAGGTTGGTTTCAAACTCCTGGCCTCAAGTCAACCCTCCGCTTTGGCCTTCCAAAGTGCTGGGATTACAGGTATGAGCCACAGTACTTGGCCTTTTTTATCTTTTTAAACTCCTATTGTGAACTAAATTCTCCTATATACTCAAAATGTTTCTATCACACCTCCACCTTAACCAATACATACCATTCTCCCTGATAATACAAATTTCCTCCCAAGGCACAGTAGTGAGCCTCCTTTTTGCCTGTCTATTCAGCTTAGCATGGCTCACAGTTACTGGACAGTTTGCATTTCTCTCTTCTCTCTGGAGACTGACTAGGATGCACAGTCCTTCTAGAAGATGATGCTCCTGACCCATCATTACTAAAGAATTTTGAGAAAGTATTTTCTGCCACTTTTCTACACTTTCTCTCTGCTCAAAAGCAGGTAGTATGATGAGGTAAGACCAAGAGCGAAAGCTGAGGCCACAAAAGAGAGTAAAACTAAATGGCTTACCTGGTGATAGGACCCACTGCTTTGGCCTCTAATTGGCCCTGTGCCTTCAGCCATAGAAATAAGCAGCCTTAGACATTAGCTAGAATATTGGTATTTTCAATCTCTAGTTTGAATGACAGGACCCTGAAGGCAAAACATTTCCTGTGGAGATTCTGCATTTCTGCCTGCTCTTGCTTTTATAGCTCAAACAACTCAATTTTGTTGGGCTTCAAAGTACAGTTCAAGGGATATTTTATAAGGAAAATTAATGGGCCTGGGGATATCACCAGTGTAACTCATTGATTAGAGGGAAAATATGGAGTACGTGTAAATATTCTGTGATGGATTTGAAAAAGACACAATTATAATTATATTTGTGATTATTTCTAGTGGTACTCCCACAAATGTCCATGAAATAACATAATGCTCAATGACTTGACATTGAAACAATATGTAGGAAGCATGTGTTCCAATGGGATATTGATTATGGCTCAACTAAAGATAACAGAATCTACTGTAGCTATTTTAAGAAGAAAAACATTTAAGACATATAATTAAATGGCTTAGAGAATCACTGGGGAGGGCTGAATACATCTAAGTTGAGCCTTCAGAAATAGTTCCCAAGCAACACCACAGAAATGGGCTGCTGGAGGAACTGCTGCCTCTTCTGGGATCAGGAAGCTACCTGCCACCTTGGGTCACTGCCAGTTCCATAACCACAGTGCTTTGCCACAGTTAGAAAGCAAACACCAGCAAGGAAGCCAGCGGATCACTAACCACTTTGATCCTGGGACCACCCAATCAGGAAGCTGCTGACCCCACTGCTACTGCTCTCAGCTCCCAAATCATACACTCCTCACTGTGTTCCTCACCAGCACAGGTGATACCTTACATCCTGCCTCTTAACACCCACACTGCTAGCAAATGGGCCCTGGACTTGTGCCAGTGCTGAAAGCAAAGCAACAAGATATCCCCATAACCCTCTGCATGGTAGATGAAATAGCAGAAGTTAGTCTCTGCTTTCCTTCCACCTACTAAATCTCATAAATCAGTACCTCTGAACTCATGTCAACTAAAGGATGCTTCACAAGGGTTCTGGTGAGCAGAATTCCCCCAACAGACTAGCACTTTCATGGATTCAGTACCTTATCTCCAGGGAAGACTAAGAGATGGTTCCAGCTTTCACAGGGCCAGGGGTACACTAGTAAGAAATTGGAATGGATGTTGAGAGATAATCCATAACATATATCACAGAATAGTTTACTTTTAATGTGTCATATTAATATATTAATAAGTATGTGCCAAATACTTTATATGCATACAACACTATATATTGACCAGGCGGCCAATAACATTTGCTGAGAAATTCACTGGGCCAGGGTCTTCAATTTCCATCTCCTAGAGCACATAGTGTCTAATCCACTATGTTTTTTATACCACCATTCACGGGATCATATTTAAGCAGCTACTGCATGAATGCTTACTTATAAGAATGAACATCATGGTAACTATTCTGGAAAGCTTTATAAAAAGATATATACTCTCCCAAGAATCTTAATAACTGATAAGATAATACAGTAGAAATATGAACATCTATGAACTAAGTGACAGAAATATGAAAAATGTTCCAAATCAAACCTTGAAACTTAGTTATAATTACCTTAGAGGTGAATAATTTAGAAAGAAAATGGGGGAAAGGAGGTATATTTGAATCATCACTCTCATTTGACTATTTAAGAAACATTATTTAAGTTATACTGACTACTTTTATTCCAAAGTAGCAGATACAGAAATAGTGCAAAGTAAACAGAAGTTCATACAGGGAACAAAGTGTGTAACAGAAAATGGCAAGGCACACTATCAAATACTGTGAACTGATTTTCAGACCAATGCTGAGATGTGTTAAAGTTAAGTTTGGCACACAGCAGATTCTTTACTTGGTAGTAAAGTTTGGCTCAAAGCAGTCTCCATACATAGCAAGCTGTAATCTAGGAGTATACCCTTGTTACCAAGCAACTGTTTCTCCGCCAATCATAGCAGCCAAATCCTCAGTCAATTCCCAGGCTGAAAGCTGCCAAATTATGCCCACATAAGGCAAACATTGAATTGCACCAACAAGGTAATCTCTATATGTTATTTCCTGTTTTCTGGTTATAAATCTAAGTCACCACAATTGGAGGTTGGGGCATTCTGAACCATTTTTAGTCTGGGATGTTGCCCAGTACTAGGACGTTTTTCTGGCTCAAATAAATTTTTTTCAATGTAATTGGTCTCTGGGTTAGTTTTCATTTTTTAATGTCATTGAAAAAATAGTCCAAGACATTTATTTCATTCTGTTGGACACTGAAATTAATACGCTTGATAATAAATCACTAGAGAAAACAACAATTTGACTACTAATTAGGCTACCCATTTGGCAGAATCCACTCTCCAATATAACCAATTTGCAATAAATCATGTGAGAAGGCAGTGCTGGTGGTAAGGGCTATATACTATGATTGCCATTCCCACAGCAAACTTAATACAGATGAGAATTATGGAAATGCCATGTAACATAGGAGGAATAACTAATAAGTTTCCTGGAAGCTGTTTCTTTGTTACTGTTTATATTTGTTTTTATTTTTACCGTAACAGAAACACACAAGATCAAGAAATTATGTGCCACTACTGCACTGTAAAAATCCTGTAAAAAGTAAAAACAAGTCAAGGTGTAATAGTCAGGAGACCAAACCTAAGGAAGGTCACTGTGACCTTTGGTCACCTGACTATTATACTTTCCCTGCACTTTGCAAATGTATCTTGTTGCACATTAGACTAGTACTCTAGTATTCATAGGTAAATATTCACATTGTCAGCAAGAATATCTGGCTGCACAACTGGACAAGTTGGATGATGATAATCTACTTTCCCTACAGTCTCCTGGCAGAGGGCCATGTACACCTGGATATCAAACCATTAGTACCTTCACTCCTTGGAATTCAGATTGACCTCTAAGTTCCTTGAACCAGTCCAGGAATAGAGAATCTTTCCAGACATGAAAAACCTTTTAATCTACTACAGCTGACCCTTGAACAAGGTGGGGGTTGGGGGCATTAACCCACGTGTAGTCAAAAATTTGAGTATAACTTTTGACTCCCAAAAAACTTAACTACTAATAGGCTACTGTTGAGCAATACTATAAACAGCCAATTAACACGTATTTTGTATATTATATATATATTATATACTGTATTCTTACAATAAAGTAAGCTAGAGGAAAGAAAATGTTATTAAGAAAATCATAAGGAAAAGAAAATATATTTACTATATATTAAGTGGAACCATATCATTCAAAAGGTCTTCATCCTCATCATCTTTGCATTGAGTAGGCTCAGGAGGAAGAAGAAGAGAAGGGGTTGGTCTTACTGTCTCAGGGGTAGCAGAGCCAGAAGAAAATCCAAGTATAAGCAGACCCACACATTCCAGACTTGTGCTGTTCAAAGATCAACTGTACTTCACTTTATCCCTACATCTAGTCTGGTTCTCAATTCAGAGGAATTTGAAAATAAGTTCTCTCTCACATTTAGTAAGAAATGCCTCAGGAGGGGTCCTGGGAATGCTCCCAAGAGAGTGAAAAAAACTGCAGGGGGTCCATAATTAACTGGTCAGGAACCCCCAGAGCCGCGTGTCAGTCTCACAGATCTAGAGCTGCCCTTTTATCAATCCCCAGGAACTTCAGCATTACATTCCCATTAATATTAACAGTGTTCTCACTGACAAAACAGAGTGATTATTATGTTCTCACTGGCTCTGCTTATTGAACAGCCCCAATAATTACCTTGAACATTTTATTATCAAGATGAAAATGTAGCATTTTACCTAACCAAGTTGTCAATGCTTTTCTCCGAATACCATTTGCCTTACTCCTCACGCATTTAAATAGACTGCCTTGGGCTGCAGTTGTTATTTTTATATAATTTATGAATCTGGAGAAATCCAGATAGTAATATTACTATCAGCATATTCACATCTGAATGATAATTTTTATGAATACTGTGTTTTTCTCTGGCTACACCAATATCTACCTATGATTAAAAATGTCTGAATTGAAGCCATTTGACATGGCTTCAACCTTCTTCTAATTTATTTCTTTTGAGAAATTTACTAGTTTTCCTTCTTTTCCCCCCACTTTAAAAAGTTATTTTCTCATCATTTACTATTGGAAAAATAGTACTGAATATTCAAGTGAACCAAAATGAGTGAGTAAATAAATGATGTTGATATTGATGCCACACACTAAATTTGCTTCATTTAGCTTTCATCACACTTGTTTGATTAACGGTATATATCACCAGGGGCCCCATGGCTTGGAAGCACCAGAAGCAAGGAAACTGGCATGTTAGTGCATCATGTCTGGCTGTGCTGGCAGGGCCTCTGTAGCTCTATTACTGCTATTCATCTGGCATGCAGCTATGGAACTGGACACTCACGTCCATCAACACAGCTACTAGCTCCAATGTCATAAATTCACTGGTGATGTTTTTACAGGTTAGGGAAAAAATGAGCTTGATAAAGAAAAATACTGCAACTAGAAACAGAGGTGGAGGAAAGAAAAGCATTTCAATCCCAGTGGAAAGCAGACAGAAAGGGCAAGGAGAGGGTACCAGGAGACAGATGTGTTGCAGCAATACCAAAAAAAAAAAAGCAGGGAATAATTGAAATCAGAGGCCCGAGAGCTGTCCCACAGGTTAGGTGAGGCCCCAAAAATCTAACTTTATCATGTTGCTGCTCCACAGAACCAAGCTCTTCTCATAAGCCTCTGCTACTAAATAATTTTTTGAGCTTCATTGTATTTATGAATGCAGAACCAAGCTGTGCAGTGAATTCACTTTTAAACTCTCTGGCTTATTTTCTGAGTTGTCTTTGTAAAAAAAAAATCACTCTTACTCTTTTAACATCTGTTATGAATAAACCATGCCATGCCTTCTTTCAATTCATTTATCTGTATATTCAACTTTCTATTAGCTACAATTTCAACTCATTAAAAAATTATCTTATCCTGGGACTAGAGCCTGATTTTTATTTTTTATGCCAGACCAACTGCATTTCAAAGACTAAACTTTTATGTCTTTCTACTTGGAATTTTTACTAGATTTCTATCTTTTGGCTTCTGCTACCTCTCAGTAAAGTTGAGAACAAAAACATTTGAAAGACTGAAGCAATGAGAATTAAAAGCTTTGGGTTATATTATTCTCCTCATAAGTGAAGTAGGATCCATAGTGCATATAGAAATATTTTTAACATCTGCTTGGTAATAACATCAGTAGTAATGGTAACAACACAAGTAATAATAATATGTTTTTATTCAACTAGCGTTTCTCATACATCCTCAAATACTGAACTTAGGTGGCCAGTTATACATATTTCACATCTCCACTTACCACATATATGCAGTTGTCCTGACCCTGCCTTTATTAACAAAAGCCATACAATACATAGTAAGTACACAGTATCTCATTTAATCTTCACTACAACCCTATGAGATAACATTTTTATTACTTTCTCTATTTTATAGATCAAAACCCTGTGGCACTGAGGGTTTAGTAACTATCAAGGTAATAAGTGATAGAAAAGGAAGGGGAACCCAGGCAGTCTGGCAACAGAGCCTGCAGATTTGACCACTCTGCTATACTGTGGTGTTCCCTTGACCGCTTCCTAGTGACTGATGTGGTTGAGAATGTGAGGACTCAGGTGCAGTAAGGGAGTAGCCCTTCTGCCTGCAGAGAAGACGGATTATATAGAGATAGATGCTCATACACTGCTGATTCCCAGGGAATGAGATAGAAGCAAAACATGGGTTCCTGGCTGGTTTTTCTTCATCCTTTTGCCTTTTACTTCTTCAGCAGTCTTTTTGATCACTGCATTTGGCTTTTGGTTCTCTTAACCATCTTGGGTAGCTGGCAGAGGCATTGATAAATAATCTTGTTTTGGCTGACTGTATCAGACATGTTATGGTATGGTATGTGAAGCCAATAAAATATCTCATTCTGATAGATATTCCCTGGGTGGTACCAAGCACTGCCTTTGGCTTCACACTCATAAGGCACTTTACAGGACAGCCAGCCATCTTTCCCAACCCATGTCACCCATTGTGACATAGGCCTGTCATCCCAGGGCCTGAGTCTTCCAGACCAGCGACATAATTTACCAAAGCAAAATGCCAAAGCCCCTTAGCAGCAAAATATAATAGTTAATTTTGCGCATTATTTAATAAGGTTTCATTCAAGTTCAGTGTTGAGATATTACAAGAAAAAACTACCTATGTTTTTCCCTGAATTTAAATAACAGACATAAATGAAATCAAATCACTAGCAAACAAGATATGTGTGCTGGTATTATATGTGATATTTAGGAAATCTTTTCACTGTAGAAGGACAAACAGAAGCAAGTTTTTATTCTTTTTCTATCAGGAGTCCTAGGTCTGTCTTCATTCACTAATTAATTCATTTAATTAATCAAAAGACATCAATTGGGCACTTATTATGTGTGGGTGACAAGGGTGAAGATATAACCTCTGTCTTCAGGTGGCTTCCATTCTAAGTGCTTAAGTAAGAATATATGTGGTCTTCCATAGCCTAAACAGAATATTGTTATATTGTTATAGGCAGGGCACTGTGGCTCACGCCTGTAGTCCCAGCACTTTGAGAGGCCAAGGAGGGCTGATTGCTAGAGTTCAGGAGTTCGAGACCAGCCTGGGCAACATGACAAAACCCCATCTCCACCAAAAACACAAAAAATTGGCCGGGCATGGTGGCACAAGCCTGTGATCCCAGCTACTCAGGAAGCTGAGGTGGGAGGATCACTTGAGCCCCGGAGGTAGAGGCTACAGTGAGCTGGGATCGCACCACTGCACTCCAGCCTAGGTGTCAGAGTGAGACCCCATCTCAATAAAATAAATAAATAAACAAACATAGAAGAAAATATTGTTATAAGAACAAGGCACCTTGGAAAAATAATGAGTTTCAAAGGTGGGTCTTATAAAGAAGTAGTAGCCGATTTTCCCCTATAAATATTTGAATAGAACAAATAAAAGGATGGAACTTCCTATTTATGTCTTATTCTTAGAAAGGGCAACAAAAAGGAAAATTGCTTGTTCCCTAAAGACTTCTTAAAATATTTGCTCAAAACCTCTTCACAAGGACAACACTTTCAGTAAAACACATCTTATAAAATGTCTTCTGACCTTTATAGACAGTCAGTTTGCCTTTCCCAAAGCTGTTGTTGCACACTATCTGTGCATTATCTGTGCACTAATATTATGGAATCATTTGGTAAATTGGTGTCTGATCCACCTGTTCTCTTTCTTATCCATCTACCCCCACAAAACACACGCCTTCTCCCATGTTTCTAGTGCCATATTTTCTTACCCAACATGACATGCTCCTTCCTCACATTCATCCTCTCATGCTTTTGTAAATACCTTTTGTTAAGGTATTTCATAATTATGCTGCAAGTTGCAGCACTGTGCCAGTGCTAAGCACTTTGAAAACACAATCTCGAACACCGCCAATACCCTACAAAGTGGGTAAGCCCCAACAAGAACCTTGTTGTTGAAATGTCCCCATAGAGCTAAAGTGGATGTGATTTGTTGCTAGGGCACAAGGTCTCCTCTATCTGTGACCTGGGAGCAGGGGTGAGATCAGACAGGTGGGATTGCTCACACAAAAATCAGGCAAAGCAGACTTGGCTTTTTGAAGTCATGTACCAAAAACATACTCATATTACATTCTTTCTCAGACAAAGCTGTAAAACACTGACCAGAAGCCCTAAATTCCAAGATCTTTGCAGAAGGAAGCATTACCCCATTAACATGATGACAGCATTAATCTGAGAAAATCATCAAGAGTAAATTTTCACATTCAACTAAAATGCAATTGCTTTTGAAAAAAGCTAAAGAAGAATGTGTAACACAAAAATAACTTACAATCCTCATTCAGAATATCTGCCTTTTCACACAGCAATGGCAGAAAACCAGCTTACCACCACACACATCTGCTATTTACTGAAGGGAAAACGTGGGGAACTGTGGTCAGCGAAGAAAATCCCTTCTGTGGCTGGAGACCGAAGAGGCCAACTTCAAAGCACCAGAGAGTAGAATATAGGAGTTAAGGATTTACACCTAATTAAGCTTAAATTTAAGTACCTTCATCCATACCTAATGCTATATGTGGGTCTTCTTTTGTCATTTTATAGGGACAGTGCTGAATCATCAAGTCTTCTCCCAGAAACTATCACATGCATGGTTGGCATCTGTGCTCTTGTTATCATCAGAAATAAATCCTATGTAAGTGTCCCAACTCAGGAGACCACTGTTAGAGAATGAATGGTGAGCTTCACAACGCAGTCTTCACTCCACGACTAATCATCAAGTGAGCAGTGTTTACTTGAATTATTAGTTGAATAAAAATTATTTTAGGAAATGAACTATCAAATCCTAGTCAACTTGCAACATCATTATGAACATCACTATCGCCAGTGCTAAGCACTTTGAAAACACAATCTCAAACGCCACCAACACCCTACAAAGTGAGTAAGCCTCAATAAGAACCTTCTCTGCATGCATTGAGATGTATTCATTTCTGAGCTCAGCTAAGTGAGTGAAGACTTAACAATAATTCAGCAAAGCCATACAATGTAGTATCTAGCATAGTGATCAAGCACATAGTAGATGATCAAGCACATGAGACCCACCTTCCCTATGTCTGATCTGTTCCCATGGACTGGTTCCCAATAAATGTTGGATACATTCAAGGATTGAATTTAGTTTGTAATATTATTTAATTTGTAGAATTTAATAATTGATTAGTAAATCAATAATTAGTTACTTGATGTAGCTGTGAAAATTAATCAATCATTGATGCAAAATATATTAAAGAATGAAATCATGATTCAATAAATCAATGGTAACTACATGAGGAAAATAAGACATTCTTTGATAATCAGCTTACCTTCTCCACTCTAATAAATCAGTCTGTGCCAAAAATCAAGCAGACAAATACTAAGTAAATATCATTAGTTCTGTTCACAATTAGACTTTCTGCCCTCCCTTGTGGATGGTTTTGGTGGGGCCAGGCACACTGAGTTCTGTTCAATGAGTTTTGAGTTGAAGTGTCACATTCCATTTCTACATGAGCTTATTTAACCACCTGGGGTAACATCCTTTAGAGTTTCCTTTCTTCCCAAGCATGGTAATTAACAACGTTTGAGATGGTGGATGCTCCATCAACCCATGCCTGAGTGACAAGAATGAACAGAGCACTCAGCTGACCCACAATGGACAGACAGCATGAGCAAGAAATAAATTGTTGTTGTTTAATCCACATCACAGTCGCACATCTTAGTCCACAGTAATTGATAAAGCAAATAAAACGCCAAGATCCTAAAACTTGTAAAAAAATAATAGTGAGCCAGGACCATGTCACAGCCCAGACTCACAGTTACTGATTTTGCTCACCTAAATTACAGGCTATGTCCTTGTCTCCCCCTAAATACCTTTACTCTTATCTATTTATTAATTCCACAAGAATTTAAAACTCTGCTTTCTGCTGAAGCTTGTAATCAGTGCTGGGAATAGTGAGGAGAGAAGGCAATTTATGTCCTACAGAAATGCAATACACATTCTTGTTGAGGAGATTATACTGAGAGCTCTGCTCAAGAGATGTGAAATAAACCAAAAAGTGTCATGAGACCCACCTTCCCTATGTCTGATCTGTTCCCATGGACTGGTGTTGATGAAATTCTTTTGGCCACAGAAACCCATTTGCTTTCTTTTGTTTCATGTCTTAAAAAGATGAGTAGAAGGTCAGATGAGTCATCTTTTGGGAACCTGAGAATTTCAAGCTTTATTTACAAGGATTTCATATTTTTCCATCAAGATGAAGCATTTAACAGAATTTCACATTTTTCTGCCACATGGTAACAATAAGGATGATGATTGATGAGGATTAAATCTCAATGGATTATTTACTGCATTAGTTAAAATTTCATCAGCTTCATGGGACATCTCCTGTCCAACATGTCTTAGGGTACAGATAAGAAATATTATTTTATTTCTGGCTAGGCACAGTGGCTCACGCCTGTAATCCCAGCACTTTGGGAGACTGAGGTGGGTGGATCACCTAAGGTCAGGAGTTTGAGACCAGCCTGGGCCAACATGGCAAAACTCCATCTCTACTAAAAATACAAAAATTAGCCAGGTATGGCGGCAGGCATTTGTAGTCCCAGCTACTCAGGAGGCTGAGGCAGAAGAATCGCTTGAACCTGGGAAGTGAAAGTTGCAGTGAGCTGAGATCATGCCACTGCACTCCAGCCCCCTGGGTGAAGAACAAGACTCCATCTCAAGAAAAAAAAAAAAAAAGAAATATTATTTTATTTCTGTTTGATGTTTAAAAGATTAATTCTGTTTACCTTGGTTCCCAATGAGCCACTTATAAACAATTATATGAGTAACCACAGAGTTTCAGGGTTTAAAAACTGTCTCTAGCTGTGCTTATCACCGGTTGCTTATCACCTTGAATGCATGTTTTCCCTTCTTTCTATTGGAAAAGCATTTATCAGCCATGCAGATAGGCTCAAAGCAAACTAGAAGTTCACTACATTTATTTAATGGTCTGCAAAAATGTCATCAGCCTTCCCATTCTTATCAGAATTATAGAGGTAAAGCTTTGAGTGTGTATGATTTATATAACTATATCTACCATTAGATTATCATACAGTCTGACTTTCAAGTAGTATATATTTGCTTCTTTTTCTGTTTTAAGGCCGTACTTGGAATTTGCTGCTCAAATCATGTAGCTAATTCCAACAGTACCATCTTTTACTATTTCCTCACTACCCTCGAACCCTATTCTTTCCATCCCTTCCATATAATAAAATTACATACCAATCAAGAGTCAAACAGATTACAAGTAAAGCCACTGAATGTGGGCAAATTGTAATTCGTCCATCTAACAAATACTTTTGAGCACTCACTTCATGCCAGATACTGTCCTTGATTCTGAAAATATAGCAATAAAGTACAACAGAGAAGGTACTGCTTTCACAAGGCTTACATTTTAATGAGAGGCAAATAATAAGTAAGATAAGTTCAAATAAGGGCTATGAAGAAAATAAAACAGAGTGATGGGATACTGTGATAGGAGAAGTGGCATCACCAGAGGAGACCTCTCTAAGAAGGTCATATTTGACTTGAGACCCAAATGAAAAGAAGCCAATGATCTGGAGAAAGAGCCATATAGAAACAGGGACTAGCAGGTTCAACAAAGAGCTTGAAGTGAGAAAGAGCTTAGTCTATTTGAAGAAGAGAAAGAAGGCCAGTGTCACTGGAGATGATGTTGGAGAGAAAGGCAGAGGCCAGCCCGTGTAATTCAAGAGCTTCAGTAGTTCAAGATCTTGTAGCTCAAGATCTTTACCTTATGTGGAATAAAATCCAAGATCTTTACCTTGAACTACATGGGCTGGCCCAAGTAGGTGGAAGTTACTGGTGAGTGTTAAGTAGAAAAGTGATATTAAGTTGTAACTATGCAAATATCACTCCAGAAGCCTGATAAAATTGGTCAAACTTCTCAATATTCATAATAGAAAGCTAGTTCTACCAGCTCTACCAGGAATTCACCCAGGCCTTCCTGAGTTTGAAACAGAGAATACCTGAGTTCCAGGTTCTCCTCAGGCTGCTCACACTTGTCTTTTCAGAAAGACCAGCCAAACTGAGGGATCCTGTTGAGCTATTTTCTGAATTCTTACTCTGCCAGTGTAATGTATTACCCAAGCCAGGATCTATCAGAAGATCATTGTCAACTACTTTAGAGGGTAGACAGTAAGGAAAAATTGAAGATAGGGGAAATTACATGCTTTATCACTGGTCTAGCAATTATGTGGATCTTTACAGAATTTCTTTAGGAAAGCATTAGAAAAATAATCAACTCTATTGTAAAATATTAAGTTATTTGTATTAAATAACTTATTTAATTGTAAATTAATACATTGTAAAATATTAAATACTATCATAAAATATTGAATTCTGATCTTAATAGTCTTTGATAAAAACTTAAAGGTTTTCTTACACAGAATCAGTAAAATGTCATTTTTTTCTCAAGCAAAAAAATAAACTTTATGAACCATGCTTGCACCAGTTCTGTGAAATGCCAGCCCAATTTAAATTTACCTAGATTTGTTTTCAACTTGGCAGAGTGCCATTGGTGCTTAGTCGTTAAAACAGGTGGCATTTCTATCAAGAAGTTTCCTATTTCTTCTTAGAAATGTAGATTAATGTGCCTAAAAGATTAAATATCTGTTTTTAAAACCAAAATATACAGATTACCTCTATCCCAAGAAGCAGAAATGTAAGTGTCCTTCCCATTCTTCTCTTTCTTTTCACTGCCAATCCTAAACCTCCTTGGAAGTCCATGAAGAACCACATTTTAAAAACCTTGATAGACTCGCTTCAGAAAATAAATTTTTTTTAAATAACCCACAACAATGTTTATTTGTATAATCCAAGTGACATAACTAGCCTATCCTCCAAATGATAGAGGGATAAGTAGATGACATCTCTCCTTTAAAACTCATTAAAAGTAGAGAAGCTTCCCACTCAACTTTAAAATAATACAGGAACATATTTCTAAGGGCAAACTTATATACCAGAGCAGAGGTCACAAACTGACACATAAATACCTAACGTGCCCAACATATTTTCTCCATCTTGGCATGCAACAACATGAGGAGAAGTCTTGCAATGTTAGCACAAACATTTGAATTAATTGTCAATATTAAATAATCTGATTTCACATCTTGATTTCCAGCTCCTTTTGAAATGTCAGAAGATATGGACCCCCCTAAAGCTGCATGTTTGCCTTTCTGCAAGACAAGAATCCCAAGATTGACAGTGGCCACTCCCTATAAATAGGGAAATACTCTATTTGTCAAGTCCCTACCACTCCTTACGGTTTTTTAAATCTCTCTCTGCATCATTCATTTACAACACCTGCCCAACCTGTGCAAGCAAGCCTTTTTTGGTACTAAAGAAATAGCACAGATAAATAGATGGATGGATGAATCAATAGATAGATAAATATATCACACCTAAATTATCAAGTTTCCCTGAACAGCAAAGGCTTAGAGCAGGCACTCTTGTACCAAGGGCGCTGAGATTACAACATTTCTTGAACTTTGTATTCCTCAGATTAACCAAATCAAACAACAGACTTACATAGTTCAGGCCATCTAAGAATCTGGCCATTTCGGCCAGGCGTGGTGGCTCACCCCCGTAATCTCAGCATTTTGGGAGGCTGAGGCGGGTGGGTTACCTGAGTTCAGGAGTTAGAGACCAGCCTGGCCAACATGGTGAAACCCCATCTCTACTAAAAATACAAAAATTATTCGTGCATGATGGCACATGCCTATAATCCCAGCTACTCGGGAGGCTGAGGCAGGAGAATTGCTTTAACCCAGGAGGCAGAGGTTGCAGTGAGCCAAGATCATGCCCCTATGCTCCAGCCTGGGTGACAGAGTAAGACTCTGTCTCAAAAAAAAAAAAAAAAAAATCTGGCCATTTCCAGAACTCTAAATCCCAAATCCCACTATTTCTGCTTGTTCTTCAACAAAACAAGAACCAGGACTTGAGGAGCTGAGCAGGAAAGGAATCACAGCATCTTCCATGGACTTCCATCCTGTTCCTGCCTACTGCCTTTCCCCTTGTTTGTGCAGATAGCATGCTTTTTTTCCCCATTTCTCAGGGTTTTTATATCTAAGCTAAGCTCTTTATGTTTATTTGTAGGACACCAAGCAATTTGAGGCCTATTTACCCTCAAGTATAACTGCCCCAAAGATCAAGAGAAGAAGAAAGTCAGATCATACACCAAGTGTCTTCAAAGGCTAAAACACCACTATTGTTTCAAGCATAAGGCACTTGGGGTGAAGTTCTCCCTAAGTAAAACACATATAATGTTCCCACTGAATTGAAATATATGTAGGACCATCATCAAAAGCATTTACCAGATAACAATGTGCATGAAGCACTGTACCAGGCACATCTCAGGGTAGCCATGATGTCAATGAACCTTAGTGGCAATCAAGGCCACTTACTAGCCCTTTGTGTGAAAGAGAAAAAGATATCCCTCCCTCTGGGCTGGCACAGACTCACATCACACTGCATGGCTTGGCCAAGCCAAGTGTGGCTGCCGTTCTGCACTTACTCACCCCCTGCAGCCCAGCCAACTTGTGCAGTGAAGAATCTGCAAAAATAGTTGCAGCCGTACAGCCCTGGGAGAATTTAAACTTCATGCAAATGAAATAAACATGCACATGAAATTCAACCAGGAGATTTACCTGGCAAGTCAAGAGATTAAAAGGGCATGAATATCTGAATTTTTTTATCAGTTACTTGTTTTTTAATCTCTTAAATGAAACAGATTCTAGAACTTTTGAAAAAGGGAAATAAGTGAGTGTCACACCAGACCAAGAGAGGAGAAAATTAAATCCAAGCTCCAACCACTCATCCTAATCTTTGAGATCACTCTGTCCTGGTGAACATGCCTTCCGGGTGGGTGGATACACAGTCTCTTTGGAGAACCAATTTTTTTTTGTTGTTGTTGGGAGATAAAAAGCAATTTACAAGAAGAATTTTTTGTCAATAAAATTTCTACAACGGCCAGGCATGGTGGCTCATGCCTGTAATCTCAGCACTTTGGGAGGGCGAGGTGGGCAGATCACCTGGAGTCAGGAGTTCGAGACCAGCCTGACCAACATGTAGAAACCCCATCTCTACTAAAAATACAAAATTAGCCAGGCATGGTGGTGCATGCCTGTAATCCCAGCTACTCAGGAGACTGAGGCAGGAGAATCACTTGAACCCAGGAGGAGGTGGAGGTTGCAGTGAGCTGAGATCACGCCATTGCACTCCAGCGTGGACAACAAGAGCGAAACTCCATATCAAAAAAAAAAAAAAATTATACACCAAATGGAAACTTTGAAAAAACATTTTCTTTTCTTTTTTTTCATCCTAATAGCCCAAACTAGGTCATCTTTCCTACTCCTTAATAGAATATGAGTTTCCACAAGCTGCCCAGTCATACTAATCTGAAATTTCTCCTGTCCTATCTCACAGTTCAATTTCATGTTTCTCCCTCCTGCTGGGACCTGGCTACTCTGGGCCTTCCAGTGGGAGTCCTGATGCCCTGGCTCAGTATGCTTGTCATTATAGTCTTCTGTACTATTTGAATCTGAAGAATAAGCACTGAATACTAAATTAATTTTTTCTGAGCCCATCAGAAGGACACAGCTCAAGTGCTCCTATGACTCTTTTGGAGGAATCACCAGGGCTAAGTCCCCAGACTCTAACATGATCCCCTGCTTCCCCTTGGACTGAAATAGCTGCCTGTCCTGTCCAGCCCTGACCTGTCCTGTTCTGCCCTGCCCTCTCCAGAGAAAGCACATTCTGTACGTCATTACTGAGCGTTCTTTTTCAGATCTTATAGACAGTGAATATGAAAGAAGCATTATGGAGAAGGAGATTTATTGTGATTCATTGAAATGTTTTTGATGCTCTACAATTCCCTGGTTTTGTCCAAGCTGCAAATATTTCAAAGAACAGATCTCCATTATGCTCATAAACTTACCCATTTTATAAAATAACAACGATAAGTTTTCTTTATTTAAAATAGGAAAAGTCGTACCCTCCTCCTGCAGACAGAAGGCTTGTGTTCTGCAGTTTACAGGTAACAACGATGTGGCTTCACATTCCTCAGCAACAATGTTAGAAAGGCATTGCAGTTGTCTAGGAATGCCATTGCAACCCCTAGGGCACTGTGCATGAAATGGCTGAATAGTAACATTCTGGCAGTCACGATATTAAGTTTCACTGGGAATATCGTGACCTGTGTTCTGGGGCAGGGAGGTTGGCAGGATGTGGGGGTTAGGGGGACCCTTTTCTCCCTCTGGCCACATTTTGCTTTAATGCATGAAACAGGAATTACCATCAACACCTGTTGGTATTGAGAAAGCAGTGCTTTCCTTTGCTCTAGCATTCATTCATTTTCCGTGAGGGCCAGAAGAGGGAATTATTTGATCCTTGAGAAAATTCTGATACGGTTTGGCTCTATGTCCCCACCCAAATCTCATGTTGAATTGTAATCCCCAGTGTTAGAGGAGGGGCCTGGTGGAATGTGATTGCATCATGGGGGCGGGATGTCCCCCTTGCAGTTCTCGTGATAGACTTCTCAGAAGACTTGGTTGTTGAAAGTGTGTACCAGCTCCCCCTTCTCTCTCTCTTCTTCCTGCTCCATCCAAGTGAAGATGTGCCTGCTTCCCCTTGCCTTCCACTATGATTGTAAGTTTCCTGAGGCCTCCCCAGAAGCAGAAGCCTGGACAGCCCGCAGAACCATGAGCCAATTAAACCTCTTTTCTTAATAAAATACCCTGTCTCAGGTATGTCTTTATAGCAGTGTGAGAATGGACTAATATTTCAAATATTTCATTACACACCCATAACCCAGCCATGGTGCTGGCAGCCTCTCTCAGTTTCTTGCTGTCCCACTCCTTCTCTCCTCTGTGTTCTGCTTGTTTGAACCCCACTCTCCCTCACCCTGTCTGTCTTCCTCTCTCCTCTCCTGCTTTCTATGCCTTTTTTTTTCTCTTCTTACCTGTCTTCCTCCCCTTTTCCACTCTCCCTCCACTCTGGCCACCAGCCTGACAGCACAGATGTTTTTCTGTCCTCCTTGTTTGAAGCCACCAGGGCAGGTGCTGCTGCTTTGTTTGTGACTGAAGAGGTGAGTTCAGCACAGAGGGGAATGGTGGGCAGCCCAGGGAAACCGCCACCAGAACAAGGGGTACCATTAGCAGAGAGGACATTTTGATCCTCTTCTGACTTCCACGTCTTTATTTCCCCATGGGTTCAGAACCCACAGAAAGATGAGGCAGGCATTAAGCCTCTTCAATACCCAATAACTCCCACAGCTAGGAACAGAGTGCACAGGACAGAACAGTGAGTCAACTGACCAGAGCACCAAGGCAGAGAGAGGCGGGATGCAGACAGGGGTTGAGTGGGAGTGAAACCTCATGAGCCAGGCCCAGGGACAAGCCACGAGGAGCATGCGCACCATGGTCCATGTCATAGGGACTTCCTTACCTTGCCTTTAGAAAAACCAACAAAAACCTTGTGTTTAATGAGATTGAGGCTTGTCTGCTTCTATTCATAAGACCCCAACATATGAAAGCCACACCCCAGAACAAGGCAGAGTAGGACGAAGACCATATAAGACTAAGTGTGGGGTCTGCAGGAACAAAGCTCACATGAGAAGTCAACATGCACACACAAAAAAAAATCAGACCAGACGTGAATCGAGGTCATTCTGTGAGTGATATTCATTCATGAGTTTTTAACCAGACTCTTAGTAAGAAAGAACTGGTAAATCATATCCAAAACCTTTCATGTAGTATCCACAGATGTCATTTGTAATTAGGCCTTATCATGAGCATTCCTAGCATTAGTTTCATTTTTTTTCAATTAGTGCCTCTGTAAAGTCCTAAATTAGAGAACCCCTGCAGGATTTATCACAGAGAGAAAACCTAGCTGAGTGAACACCTGTGAATTTACTCAGTCCAGAGTGGCTAGGCCAGAAAGCAGCTCCCCTAACAGGACAGAGCCTTCACAAGGCCAGCTCCTGCCCCAGAGGCCTCTGGGTAGAGTACCCATACATCCCAGTTTGCCCAAGTAGTGCTGGTTCACAGCCATTGCCCTGGTGTTCATAGCACCCCCTTTCGTTCTTAAAAGGCCCCAACTTGCATGTTCAATCAGAAGGTCTCTTTGGTATGCGCTATATAATGGACTATTTATAATTCATTAGAGGTGTTGTAACAACATATCATCGACTACATTCAACAGAATCTCTGGAACTAAGGAAAAATTAGAAATGAAACTTACTTAAAAATTATCTTCATGAAATTTGTGGGAAGATAAGCAATATATAAGGAAAGGCAAGAATACAAATCAACCTAGAAGAGAAGGAAGTAATAAGAAGAAAGAAAATGCAAACCTGACCTTAATTTTCCATCATTCTCATTAACGATGACTGCTAAAAGCTGGTCAGCCACGCTATTTGAAAGCAATTTTGGAAATTAATCCTTTAAGAACATTTTTTAACCTTTGATTCATGAGACAAATGGCCTTTCTATTTTAACCAAGATACCCAGATAGTGATTAGTCATTACTAAAACAAGGATCCCAAATCTAGTTTTGTGTATATGTGTGTGTGTGTGTGTGCGTGCGTGCATGCCCACTTGTGTGTAAGAGAGAGGGAGGGAGAGAGAAAATGAGAGAGAGAGAGGGAAGGAGAGAGAAACTGAGAGAGAGAAGGCGATTTTAGTAAATACACAAAATGAGTGAATTGTCCCTTTCCCTTTAAAGCCACCCAGGGAACTTAGCTGTTCACATTATCATCAACCTGCTGCATTTCTCTCCCTAGGAGACCACAAACCAGGAGAAACCATATGTGAGCTCACAACTCTAGCAAAAGCTTTGTTTTCATTGCATATGATTTGATTAAAATGATATTGCAGCCTTAAATTTTTTTGTACAGAGTTCTAGTGCTGAACTAACAGGCAAAAATTAAACAAGGTCAAGAAGTGAGCTATCAGGATCTACTCTGTATCCACCTTAAACAACCAACTCCTTCCCAGGTTGCACTACGCGAATGGCCTTTGCTGACGTCTTCTGAAACAGGATTAGATATAGCCATGCAGCTGATGTAATATTGTATCATCATTCCCATGACAGGTACATGGTGGACTTTGTCACAGCAAGATGCTGCTCCCCGTTCAGTCCGCCATGTGGTGATTCTCTTTCTCCTGTCACCATCGTTGTGTCCCTAATTTCCCCCAGCTCCCTTTACCCAATATAATCGGAGATGCATTAAACAACTCAGCCTTTTTTTCCTAGCTGCACTTGTCAACAATTTCAACACTGCCCTGTCACAATCCTAGACTCCAACCTGGGCCTTATATTTTTTTATCTTAATTCTCTATTGAAATATAATATATGCACAGAAAGTACACAAATCATAAAGGCAGTGGATTTTCACAAAGTGAACACAGTCAGGTAATAAAATTTAAAAAATTAGAACATTGCAGGACCCTAGAAGCCCACTTATGTTCTATCTCAGGCACCTTCTCCCCTGAAATATAACCACCATTCTGACTTCTAACACCAGAGCTCTGATTCTAAGCTTTATGTAAATGAAATCATGGCATGCACTCTTTTGTATCTGGATGCTTTGATCAACATTTTATTTTTTAGATTCATCCATATTGTATGTATTGAAGCTCATTCTTCTTTATTGCTACTGCGTGTTTCATTTTGTCAGTACACCAAACATTAGTGAGTTGTTTGCATTTTTCACCATTATAAATAATGCTACTATATGCATATGTCTTTCAGTACAGAAATGTACACATTTCCACTGGACTATAAAAACGGAATTGCTAGGCTATAGGATATTACATAGGTTCAGCCTTCGTAGATACTGAAAATGGTTTTCATAGATACTGAATCTACCCATTTACACTCTCACCAGCAGTCTAGGAGCATACCAGCTGCCCCACCGTCTCACAACACACAGCATTGTCAGTCTTTTTTATTTTAGCCATCCTGATGGATGTCAGATGGTATTGATGTGGTACTGTAGATTTCATTTGCATTTCCTGCTGGCTAATGAAGTTGAGCCACCCTGCTTTCTTAAGGTTTCAACTTTTACCAAGCCAATGGCCAGTCCTGGCACTCAGCTCCTCTCTGGTTACCACCTGCAAGGAATGCTGAGGAAAGAAGCAAGGGTCTGTACATTCTTTCCACTCAAAGCCTTCCTGTCTGTTGGCCTTTCTCAATGGTCCACCAATTGATTCCAAATCATGTCTCCATCTCCTGTACAGGTCACCCTGGTGGCAGCCTCTTTTCTCCTGCAATATCCAGTCTGACACCTGCTTCCCCCTTATAAACTATTCTTAAGCTTACCAGATAGCCTTACCTCCCACTTGCACCAAGACAGACAAGCTCCTGTAGTGTGAAACCTGCATGTTCCCTTGCAGCCCTTATTTCATTCTTTTCTTCAGGCTCAGAGGAAGCATTGTTCCTCTTCTCTAAAACCTGTAATCACTGAGAAAATGTGTTCTTTTGAGTTTCCTTTGACACGTACTCTCTGTGTGACCAAGTACAAGTTACTTGACCTCTCCCGGACTCAGGTTTCTTCCCTGGAAAATTAGAATATTTCTTACCTCTTAAAATTGTTGTGAGACTTAAAGGATAATGTGCTTAAAATCCCTGGTTCAATGCCTGGTAGATATTTTGTGCTTAGTAAATATTAAACTCTTTCCTTCCATTTCTCCTTTTATCTCTCCATTATTAATCTCCTCCTTTGCCTTAGAGGCAGTGAGATGGAAAAAAACTTGGCGTTCACAATCAGACACACCGCAATTTGAAACCTTATGTTTACCATTGACTAGCTCAATTATTAACTCCCCTACGTCAGTTTCTTCAACTCTAAAGTGGAACTGTGGGTGTTACACTCAGAACCGTGAAAATACAAGTCACTCCGGCTGACTGCAATTCTAGATTAGCTGTCTCAGACTGGTGGCCCACGGGCCATACCCGTCCTGTGTTGAGGTTCATTTGGTTGGTTGTTGGTTTTTACTTAAATTGTCTAGAGTTAAATATTAGGATAATTTACATTACATTTCAAAATGCGGGCATCTTTTGAAAAAACTAGATCTAGCAAAAGTGGTCACATTTCCTCACGGCAACAATCACCATGAGGAGCTGGCCATGTACTCTCTGGTCAGCCACACTCCCCTGCCCCTCTATTCTCTTCCAACCAGGCTAGTCTCCTTCATTTACTCTACGTGTATAGACCTTGATGGGTTTTCTATTATGTTTAGTTGCTACCTCTTTCTCTAGAGTCTTATTGAACTCAATGATGACTTGCCTGAGAGTTGCAAACCACTTCTAAAATGTTTAATATCACTTATTTTACAAATATAGACTACCTGATCTCCAGATTCTTACAGCTTACAACTGTCAGGCTCTTCAGAAAGCTCCTATATTGGTTTCCTGTTGCTATTGTAACTACCTAATGGAAAACCTAGTGAGAAAAGAATAGAAATTTATGATCTTACAGTTATGGATATCAGAGGCCAAGAAGGGATCTTTTTGGCCTAATCAACAGGGCTGCATTAGTTTCTGGGAGGCTCCAGAGGAGAATCTATTTTCCTGCTTTTTCTGGCTTCCAAGGGCCGTCCTTATTCCTTGGCTCATGGCCCCTTCCTCTGTCTTCAAAGCCAGCAATGACTGGGTGATGCTTGACTTTCTCATGCTGCGTCACTCTGACACTTACTCTATTGCCTCATTCTTCCATCTTGAGGACCCTTGTGATTACACTGGGCCCACCCAGATAATCCAGGGTAATCTCCCCATCTCATATTCAGTTGATTGATGAACTTATTCCCCCCTTGTCAAAATATATTCATGGGTTCCAGAGACATTTTTGAGTGGCTGTTATTGTGACTACCACAGCCCTCAACACTGTCACCAAGCCTTCCTTTCCTTGAAAGATACAGGTGAGCCAGGATTGCTGATTTATCCAATAGTGCTGCTACACATTTTCCTTCAGTTCAAAAACAATCCCCCAAAATGACAACTGAGTGTTGGCATCATAATGTTGTATGGGAAAGCAGTTTTCTCCTACATGCCTATAAATTCCAATGGACACTTTTTGCCATCTCTCTCCCCCCAAAAAAACACCATCAACATTTTGAATTGTTAGAAAGAAGGGAGGAGAAAAAGGAGAGCAAAAAAGAATGGCACTAGCTACAGTTTCAGGTGCAAATCCTCTTGGGGATTCTTTAAAAAGAAGAAATACTGAGGAGCATATCAAAGAAACGTTTATATTGCCTAGGGTACTCTAAGCCCTCAGCAAAGCTCCGAAGAATAATTCGGTCTGAGAGTAATCCTGAACTACTGAAGTCGCCCATGAATATTCCACCATGTTCTGTTCTCTATTCAACAGTGCTTTCATAAATTGCTCCAGGGAAGGTCATCTCACTTATCCACAACACCATCAGAATTAAACAGGAAACAGCAAACAGAATAGAGCAAGCACAGGTCACGTAAGATACTATCATATCTCTTCTCCAAATAGATCATCAGGGCATTGTTCCCAGTTCAAAAGGGAAAAAAGATGATAAATTAAATCCAATCCTGAAATATCTGTAATGAGCTAGGATCCAGACTTCATTTGCTACTTCATAATTTTAAGTAAGAAATCTTTCATGTTATATAATATGCTTAAAAATCGGTGAAATATGCACATATACATATATATGTATACGTATATTTTTTTTCTTTATAACCTTTAGGGAATTTTACAGTGCAACAAATAAATGCTAAATATATTATTGCATGTTTTAATTTCTATCCCAGTTCATTTCTTAAGTCATAGACAAAGTTAGCTAGGTAATCTGGTTCTAGCTCTGAAGGTGGGCAACATGGCCAACCTTGCCCTCCTTCTTGAAACCTTTCCAATCTTTCTGGAATCAGCTTCTTTAATCAGAGTCTTGTTCTTTCTACTTCTAAACTTTCTCAAATATTCCTCATTGTCTACATTTCCTAGAATTCATTTTTATAACACATCACAGCTTTAAATCATTATCAGGGTAAATTTTTGTTTACCCTATGAGGACAGGGACATATCTGTCTCTTTCTCCCCAGCTACAGCCCTGTGCTTCTGCATAGCTGGCTCTCAAACATTGTTGAATGAATGAATGCTCCCTACCCCTATTTGTCTTTTTGGCATGCCTTATTTGTACCAGGCACTATTTTAAGTGTTTTGCATATATTAATATAATTCTTATAACCAATTTTATTATGTAGGGATCATTATTTTACAGATAAGAAAATGGGCATAGAAAGGTTCAGTAATTTTCACATACAACAGTTAGTAACAGATATCATTTATTGAGTACTTAATTTGTGCCAGGCAGGGCTGCCATTAGCTACCCAAAGTGACTATGTGTAAATTTGAAAAAGATGCCCCTTTTACATGGATAAATTACAAAAGGAGTCTCTTCCCTAGGCACAGGGCTTATCAGTGAAAGCCAGTTCCTACCTGTACTGGCCCCTCAACCATGAGCATTTTTGGAGGGCACAGGCTACACAAAATACAGTGTATCTAATATCATTTCTTTTATAATATACTACCAGCTGGGCATGGTGGCTCATGCCTGTAATCCCAGCACTTTGGGAGGCTAAGGTGGGCAGATCATGAGGTCAAGAGATTGAGACCATCCTGGCCAACATGGTGAAACCTCATCTCTACTAAAAATACAACAATTAGCTGGGTGTGGTGGTACGCGCCTGTAGTCCCAGCTACTTGGGAGGCTGAGGCAGGAGAATCACTTGAACCTGGGAGGCGGAGGTTGCAGTGAGCTGAGATCGCGCCACTGCACTCCAGCCTGGTGACAAAGCAAGACTCCATCTAAACATACGTATATATATCTCCTGATTCCCAGATTTTTACAGCTTACAACTGTCAGGCCTCGTCAGAAAGTCCTGTATTAGTTTCTTATTGCTGCTTAACAAATTGTCACCAATTTAGTAACTTGAAGCAATACAAATTTATTATCTTATAGTTATGAATATCAGAGTCCCAGAATGGGCCACAAACTGCTCTGAGCACTAAATGGTGATAAACCCACAGCAACCCTATGAGATAAGCATCATTGTTATCATCATCCTTATTTAACAGAAGCAAAAAACAAAGGCCAGAGAAGAAAAGTAATGGCTCAGAGCTTCCCAGCTATTGAGTGACACAGGTAAGACTAAGCCCAAACATTGTGGCCCCAGAGCTCACACTCCCAGCATTACTCTATAGTGAACTGTTTAGCCGGGGTTCCTGTAACAGCCTCCTACTCCCTAGTCTCCAGGCCTCCTAACGCATCCCACACTTCAATCTACTACAGAAGCCACAGCGAATTTCCAAAGATATCAATCTGCTCATATGTCCTTCATGTTTAAAACACTCAGTAGCTCTTCCATTCCCCTCCAGGTAAAGTCAAGACACTTGCCTGTGGTTGAATAGGCTCTGGTGATGTGATCCTGGTCACTCTTCATCGGCATCTCTGGTCCTTCCCTCTGCCTCTACCCCTCACTGCACACAATGACATAACCATAGCAAACATTCTGCTCAATACATTCTCCCATTCCCACTTGTCCCAGGCCTTAGCAAGTGATGTTCTTTCCACCTGGAAACTTTCTCTTCCGCCTCTTTGTTGACTATCTCCAAATGATAAGTCTCAGCCTAAATGTCTCAACCTCTGATCCATGGTCCTTCAACACTCAGTCTAAATTGGAACCCTTGATAGAGCCTTTCATCACAACTTGTGTTTTCCTTTATAGCAACATCGTACGTATGCATGTATGTAATTATTCAGTCAACACTGACTTTCACCAATAGTAAGTTTCACGATGGCAAGGACAGTGTCTATTTTGTTAGTTAACTGTAAACTCAGCTTTTAGCACACTTCCTGGTAAACACAGGCAACCAAATATTGTCCATGTGCCTCCTGTGAGCTCACTGTGCTTCTCGCCTATAGCATTCCTCACAATACAGTTTATTGTCACTGCCTATTTCTGTATTCCCCATTAGATTTCACTATTTTACACACTATGAGGACAAAGACTATATCTGACTTGGACCTCACTACTGAACCCCCAGTATCTAGCACAGAGTCAGCATATCGTGGACACTCAAACATTCCAGAATAAATGAATAAACAAGCATAAACAACTGGCCCATTTGGGGTAACAATCCTCTTTATTACTACTGCCATAAATCAGATCAAGGGATTGAAGGATTGTTCTACTTTAACCACTTTAAAGGAATAGAATCTATTTAGAACATTGAGAGAAAGCTATCAGCTTCAAATTCTGACCAAATATTGTTTATTAGCCAAAACAGACAACAGGGCCAACTCAGGCCTCGATAAGAAACAATCCATGAGTTTAGTCAAAGATCTCATGAGTGACCACTCAGACAGAAAATTTGGCATCTACCTGCCAACTCCTACAGAAACCAAGAGCCAAGAACTGCAAAGAATGATCCCAGAGGTAACTGACTGACTGACTGTACCTACCAGTAGTCATTATATTACTCCCCGTTAAAGGCTTAAAGGGAGGTCTTGAAGACAAAAATTTATAATTAAATGACGTTTCATCATGCTGAAAGGAGAAAAAGATATATTCAAATGGAAAAAAAAGCAAAGGCAAAGTAAAATATATTAACAGGATCTGATGAGACTACAGATGAAAAACAATTCCTGAAAAAGATGATCCATCTTCTCAATGGGAAATACATAGGTCTTTTCTACACATAGTATTTAAATGAAGACAACATTAATGTCTCTTTCTGACCTGGCTCCAGAAAGTCTGCTCACTCTTGGAAGTGATGACTACATCCTTTGAGTGCTAGAATAGAACTATATTGTTTTGTCCAATGGGTGAATCATAATTGCCCAGTTGGATATGAAGGAATTTTAGAGCAATCTTGGAGCGCATAAATATGAAGCAAGAACAGTTCTGTTATGGTAATGATAGTAATCCCAAAATGCCACAAATACACTGGTATTTCAATAAATTAATAAGAATATTTCATGGTGACATGAATGCCCTTGTGTCTTCCCACTAGTAAAGGGGACACATGTTGGGTTGATCAAACTTCATCTTCTCTATAATTTAAAACCCTTTCCAACCACAGTGCAATTAGCTCCATACTCTACTCCTAATACCAGGATTCCGAACATAAGGATCCAAGTTTACCTACTTAATTTACCTTCGTTCAATATCCTCTAATCACCTTTGCCATGTTTTTCAACATCTCATTAGTGCTGAAATTAATACCTTAATATGAGTGACACAAATTTTGCTCTGTTTGGCTTATTCCCTCAGTAATCTAGGAACCAGCCCCCTTGACACAAAATAGAAACATAAGTAAAATACTTTTAAAAGAAAAAAAAGGGCCAGGCATGGTGGCTCATACCTGTAATCCCAGCACTTTGGGAGGCCAAGGTGGGTGGATCACGATGTCAGGAGTTCAAGACCAGCCTGACCAACATGGTGAAACCCCATCTCTACTAAAAATACAAAAATTAGCCAGGGCATGGTGGTGCCCATCTGTAATCCCAGCTACTCAGGAGGCTGAGGCAGGAGAATCACTTGAACCCGGAAGGCAGAGATTGCAGTGAGCCTAGAGAGCACCACTGCACTCCAGCCTGGGCGACAGAGCGACACTCCGACTCAAAAACTAAAAAGAAAAAGAAAGAAAGAAAGAGAGAGAGAGAGAGAAAGAAAGAAAGAAAGAAAGCAGTATGTTGCTGACAACATGCACAGTGGTTCCACTTGCTTTAAAGCTGTTATGCCAAATTTGACTGAGCATTTACTCCCCACACTGAAGCACCTCCCAGGCAGCAATAAAGGTCCTACATACATGGTTACCCTGCCTTGGACAATCAAAGCCCTATTGCATGCCTTTCTGCTCTTAACTATTGTGTGCCTGCTAATAGGCAATGCTCCCTATTGGCACTGAATTTGGAAGAAATTTCTTGTGGAGCAGTTTTTAAAACTGTAACCAGGAAAAGAAAAAAAAAAAAACATTAAAACCAATCAACCAAAGAAGTCGTTTTGGCTATTTGCTGCATTGCCAGGGACTAGTTTTTATTTTTAGAAACACTTTCATGAAACAGAGCTTTAGGTATTTTTACCAAGTATAGCTGATCCAGTTACTTTTCTTCATTCTTATTTCCGGTATATTTTTAGCCGCAAGAGTTACTTTCTCTGGTAAAAGAGGTGCTGTCCCAAAAATAAATAAAACTTGGGTGGACAAAAAGGACATGGTCCACAGGTCTATTCTTGGGAAGTGCAAAGCAGCTCTGAGGACCCAATCTCATGAAGCTGTCCTCAGCCACAGACATCTAAAGGATGCAGAGGAGCTAGTTGACTTGGTAGCCCAGCACTTGAAAATTTCTAGAAAGCAGAACCAAAATAGCATTTTTCTCCTGCTGCCCTACAATAATGTCCATGCATATGATCTTTGTGGGGCCTACAGGTTCTTTGTAGGAAGTCTTTTAGTAAACAAAACCCCAGAAGAAAAGCCCCCACCACACTACTCAGTGCTTTAATGAGATTAGAAAAAGACACCTCTTTCTCCTCATCCCATCTCAGGACTTGGCTTGTGAGCAAAGCATGGACTGGGTTTCAGCCTCCCTTCACCCCCTTGGCCTGACGTCTCACTGTCATTGAATAGCACCTGGATTTCTTTGAAACACTGGGACAATACTTCTTCTTACATTAATTGATTACATGTTTCAGCCATGACCACAGGTAAGGTACCTGGGCTCTGGAGAATTCAAAGGTGAATGAAATGGTAACTATCTTCAAAAAAGAGCCCTCAATCTCAGTGAAAGTATGAGCAAAGGTATAAAAGGTGCTAAGATAAAATGTGCCCGATGCTGGTTAATTTTATGGTTTCACTTGCGTATAGGAAAGTCATGGGTGATTGAGCTTAAAAATGAGCTTACGTGACTAATCAAGAGAAGACCATGATACGGCAGTTATAGAGAACAGAAATGGTTTGTCAACACTGAACTTTGAGGATGTGAACTTAGTGATGGTCAGCAGGATAGATTAGTGTATCCTAGCTGGCCTCTCTGCTTCCAGCCTCTTTAGATACTCTAATGATCATTTAACACAGAGGCTAGCTAGGAAGTTGATAGATTATATTACTGCTCAAACATTCCAAGGGAATAGTATACATCCCTAATCCAATAACCTCAGGCTGGGATGTGTCACTTACTTTAGACAATAAAATGGGAATACATAGTATATGCACCACTTTCAAGCAAAATTTTAAGAGCCATTTTATGGTTCTATAATACGCTCTTTTCTTTTTGCCCCAATGTCCCGATCAGGGCTGTTCCTTCAGTCGGGGTCCCAGAATGATTATACTTTGGAGCAGAGCTGCAGTCAACTCATAATAGACAAACGGCAGCATCAAGAAATAACTCTCTTGTTTTAGCAAGTGATACCAATTTGGAGATTGTTTGTTAGCGCAGCGTAACATCCTAAGTTCACTGATATGGGAAGCTAGTGCACCTTGAAGGTGAACACAATAAGGTCTTAGGCTAAACATAAGAAGTGATATTGGATAGAAAAGGGCAGAGATAATAAAAATCACAACAACGAGAAATCGACATCACTTAGTATTTATGTGTCCAGCAGTATGTTAATCACATCTCATTTAATCGTCTCAAAGGCAGAACTCAAACACATATCTAACACCACAGTATGTGCTCTGAATTTTCCCAGTAACCAACAAAGCTTGGTGATTTTTCGTGCATGTGTAGTAAGATTAACTCAGCAAATCTAGGTGGCTCAAGCCCTGCACATGCCCAAGAAAAACCTCTCTTCAAGACTGAACTTAGGCCAGCTCCTGAGAGTAAGCCTTGAGCCACAGGTATATTCTGCCTGGTAAGAGTGTTGTATGCCTCAGGCCTTGGAGCATGTGGTACCAGTTTGATCAGATAGTTTATGCTAACAATGTGATGCATGATGGCTGCCTGTTCCTTCTCTGAGGAGCTGAAGTCTGAGTAGCTGAGGTAAGTCATACAGGTGCTGCATGACTATGTGGCTGGCCTCCATTAAAAACATCAAAGCTCAAGTGTTTCCCTGGTTGACAACACTTTGCATATGTCACACGGTATTGCTTGCAGAATTAAGTGCATCTGTGCAATTCTACTGGAAAAAAACTTTTAGAAGCTTGCACCTAATTTCTCCTGGACTTTTCCCCACATATCTTTTGCTTTTCAGATTTTAGTCTGTATTCTTTCACTAAGTAAAACATAATTGTGACTATAACAACTTTTCTGAGTCCCATGCATCCTTTTAGCAAGTCTGAGGGTGGCCTTGGGAACCCCTGATACAGTAGTGTACATGAGACAGGTTAATGTCAAAGATGACACCAAATTTCCAAGGCCAGGTGATTCAGAAAATGGTAGTTTAGTGAACAGATACGGGAAAGTCAGAAGGAACTGGTGAGCTGGGAGGGTGGGTAAAGAAAGAAGCCGAGGAAGCAAGTGGAGGATGGAAGGTAAATTTGGTAGCTGACATTCAATTTGACTTCCATATCCAGGTAGGAACATCCAATGGGCAATAGAAAATGTACAACTGGAATCTGTGATGAAAGCCCAGAATGGGAATATAGTTAATGGTTAAAACCATGAGAATGAATAAGGCACTGAGGAAAAGATTAGAGAAAAAAACAGCAAGGAGTTGAACACAAACTGTGAAGGATGAAACTTGGCTGTCTACATATGAAAAAACAATGAGAAGGAAAACAAATTTTACCTATTTTCAATTCATCATGAAAGATTCTGTTTAATTTTATATATTAAGCTAGTTATACTGTATACTTTTCACAGGAAATATTTGCTAAAGAGTTTTTTCTTGATACTAAATAACATTTTAAAATCAGCTGTATTTATTTCCTCATTGAAGCCTCATTTTAAGGGCATTTAGAAGTTTGTCTTATGAGCAAAATATTCAGATGTAATTATGATAAGCATTGAAATATATATATATTTATATATGAAATAGTTTGGAGTTATTTCCAAATAAACTGGGGCAGAGAAAAGCCCCAGTCATTCCTGATGCTACTTCATGTATCTATGTGGCTAACACCAGGTCTATTTCTATATGTTTATTTGCGGTTTTAGCTACCCCAAAAATTAGGGTCAAAAGAAAGATAACAATAAAGTCAGTCAAGGTCCTATGGGGTTTCATTTCACTTAACACATTTCTATTTTTCTGCATTTTCTTTAAATGGCAAACAGAGCTAGACACCAAGAGCATCGGACTCAACTCAAGCCACTCACTTTTGTTTCTGCTTCCTCCAGAGGTGATTTTTTAAAAATATTCTCATGTGCTTTTAGACTTTTATTCTTCTATGGAAGAACATGTTTGATCATTTCAGAAACTCCTTTAAATAATGTTGCTGTCAAAATCAGAGTTTCTGGCTGACTTCCCCCATTTCACCGGAAGAGGCAGCCCCCCAAGTTTATGACCTCAGGTACTTCTTACTGAAGTTTTAGAAAATACTGGATCTGCCTTCACTTTTCGTTTTCATTTTCTTAGCCCTACTCTTTTGTGTGAGAGAATACATGTTTATGGCTATCTTTCAAAGAGATTTATGAATTGGTTCTAGGGCTGCATATGAGACAGTGAGCGCTAGGGAAGTCAGTTCTACAGCCAGTTGCACCCTGCTACACTTCCTTCAATGAAGAGTTCCAGTCCATCATCTTAGGGTCAAGTTGTTGAGAAAGTCTTCAAAGTGTAACATTCAAACTAGTGTCTCAAAAGCTCCCCCATGTGTGCGCATGAAAAATAACTCATCAAGGGAAAGTTTCACTGGAGTACATGCAGAATAAGAACAGGGACCAATTTTCAGATCTAAAAAATGTAAGATACAAGAAAACACCACATTCTATAATTATCATTTTATTTACATGTGTCATGTTTAACATCTAAAAGAATAATTAGGTGGGCTGTTTTGTACAGATTATAACATTAGCAAATGAAATGAATGCACTAAAAACAATTATTTTTCTGTAAAAGGTATGAAAAAACAGGGCAAAAAAATGAAAAACACTTGGAATTTTTCCAACCATAAGTATACTCAAAAAAGAAATGATAAGCCCTCTGAATATAGTAACTGATTTATGTTTTAGCCCAAGAAATGAATTCTATGAAAATAAACCAACCAAAACATTAGTTGTACTTTCCAGAAAGCAATTGCCTAATGGAAATGCCTTCCATTTCTCCTTTTAGCCCATTTATCTTTCCCTTAGGGGAAAACACACTACAGCTAAGACTACTGTGTAAATCAGCTACTTCCAAGCAAAAGGTGTGCTTCCCAGAATATTAAAACTAAGGCTGGCTTGAAAGATGTTCTATTCTAACCTCCCTCTTTTATAGGTGAAGAATGTGAACTCAGAGAGGTGAATGGACTTGTCCCAGTTCAGAGAGTTGGCGGAAAATTTGAGAGCAGAACCCTAATCTGTTTTATAGTTCAATCATTATCACTTTATACTATTCTGCCTCCCAGTTTTTAGTAATAGTAACAAATTATAAATAGAAAAAATACTAACAAATATTTCTAACGCTAAAATGTGCTGATCATTTACTCTGTGCCATTTAAAATGCCTTTAAATACATTATATGAATTAGCTCATTTGGTACTAAGAATTAACTTCTGAAAAAAAGTTGTATTCTCTCCATTTTACAGATGAGGAAATCAAGGCACAGAGAAGCACAGTACCTACCCAGGGATCTTAAAGAGTAAGTGTTGAAGCTACTGTAATAGCTAAGCAGTCTAACTCTACAGACCAGATTCTTAACCACAAATAACTAAATAGTATAAAGAAAATAGAATTGTTATTCAAAATTCAAAGGGGCATCAGCTATGGTATTAAATCTTATCTTTTGGCAACATAAAATTGAAACCTGTGATAATTCAAACAGAAATAGGGACCAACTTGAAACTAAAAAACAGCAACTAGCTTAAAAGAAAAACCCTTACCTAATTAGGTGAACAAACTTGAAGCTTTCCAAGTACTGAACTTCATACAAATCATACAAATAGAGGGGCAGCATTTTTCAGTATGGTAACGCAAATCATGCCACCCTATAATTAGAAATTATTCTTACCTATTCATTAAAGCAATCCCTGTCCTAGGCAATTATTGGTTAGCCTAGTTTTCAAGTAATAAAACTAAATGTCTTAAGTGGAGGTAATCTCTACTACTTTTCTAATTGATCCAAATTAGTATGAACTTCTTAAATAAACAATGACCACTCAACTTCCAAATCCAATGGGAGCCTGAAGTCTGACCTTGCCAAGCCTCTCTGCAGTCTTTGACTCTGTTTGCTTCCTCTCTCCTCCTGACATGATTTCCTTTCTTGGCTTCTACGACATCACTCCCCTGGCCCTTGCCTGGTGCTACAGATCACTCCTTCACTGTAGCAAGTTCCTCCTCATCTATTTGATTGTTAAAGGTTGGTACTCCCAGAAGTTTGTTTCTGTTGGGTTCTTCCTACTCCCCATCCCCACACTCAGCTTGAGTGACCACAGCCACACCCACTTCTTCTACTACTACTCAGGGGCTGATGCTCAGCTTCCAAACTGGGGTGTCGCAACTAGTCCTCTTCCCCAATGCCTACACTGTCCATGGAAATACCTCAAATTCAGCATAATCAAATCCAAATCCCACACATTTCACCAAAAATCCTATTCCTCTTCTTGTATTCCTTATTTTGCTTAATGGATCCCACCAGTCAACAAACCTAAACCTTGAATCATCGAAAAGTCCTTCCCTGTCTCCCAGAATACATACAGCTTGGCCATAATTGCAACGAACTGTGCTTTCTAAATTGAACCAGAGTCTTCCACTCTCTCTTGCATTCTCATGAAAATCATCCAGACTCCGCCTTCATTGCCACTGTTCCTCCACAAGCCAAAAACCTGTCCCAGATTGGATTCCACCAGAAGTAGAGCCTGAGCTAAGAATTTAAGCATGAGTAGTTTTTCGAGAAGGGATTCCAGGAAGCAAAATGTAGGAGGGTATGGAAGAATGGCAAGTATGGGAAGGAACAATACTGGTGTGTAAATGACCAGACAACTGCTGTGATCAGGTGAGACTCAATGTCACCGGGAACCTCCAAGATATTATACAAAACCTGCTGCAGACTCATCCTCACCAGGGGTGAAGAATCTGAGCTATTCATGCATCATTGTCTGAGCGATGCTCTCAAGGATGTTAACTTCTGGTGCTTTGGGCCTGCCTCATTACAGTCTTGCAAACTTGTAGTCTCTGAGACTTGTAGCTGTTGTCTTGTACAGTAACAGTGACTGCCAAGGGAATATGAGAGGGGCACTGGCAACACTTGCCACAGAAACCTTCCAAGGCTCTCATAAAATCCAAGTGCCTCTGGTGCAGCCTGCAAGTCATTCCATGACCTGTGTCCTACTTTCTTCTCCAGCATCATTTCTCAGTCTTTCTGGTCTAATATTTATGTGCTATAATCCTATCAACCTACTAACGGTCCCCAAGTCCATAATGCTATTGCCACCTCTGTTTTGTACTTACTACTCCCCCTTCTCAGAATGTCCACCTCTGTCTCCCAATCCTATTTTCATCTACCTGGAATACACCAACTTTTTAGGAAGATACAGCTCTCAGATCTCTTTCTCTCTCAAGAGCCTTCCCTCAATTCCTTGTACCCTAGCTGGGCACTTCCACCTGTGCCACTGCCCTGCCTTCTGTCTCTCTCATCAAATTGCACAGTAGTTGTTTGTGCACATGGCTACACCAGGCTGCCAGAGTGTGAATTCCCAACAAGAAAGGACTCTGCATAATTTGTCTCTGTTTCCCCAGCACCAAGCCCAATGCAAAAAAAAGAGGAAAAATTAAATAATAATAATTCCTGAGTTATATATTATACAAAATAAATAATAAATCTGTAATTAAAATGGCAAACAACAGCCAGACCAAGGAAACTTTGGAAAAAAATATATAGTAATTTTCCCTTTAGTACGTGCTTTAAAAAAAAATGACTAATTAGGAATTTTGCTTTCTCTACCTATGAGCTATAAATCAATTTTTTTCACTCTGCTTCAGCTTCTCAAGCTGTGTGCCTCTTTATTAGCAGTGATTTCCTTAAAGGGAATCAAATGCTTAAGAGCCCCTAATAAATCCTTATGGATTTAATACATTCATGGATATTTTGTGACCACATTTCAACCTCTCTAACTCAGAGTCTCTTCTATGTGCCTGACAGTGAGCTGCCTTCACATTGAACCCAATTAGATACTCCTAAAAGGAAGAAACACGTGTTGTAATTGCCCTCCTAAGACTCTTTGCAGGCCCCTCTAGGTCACTTGCTTCCGTTCCTCTGCAGGGGGGTTCTGCCAGCTCCAGCACTGATGGGCAGAAAGCCAGTGCAGCATTGGGCAGGGGCAGCCCTGCGCATGAACTTTCACTGGATCCATCACAAGCAATGCATTTATATGCAAATATACCCAAACCTGAATAATGATTAAATTCGGATTCTGGGAACTTCCTGGAGACAAAAGAGGATGAAAAAGGAGAAAGAAGTAATGAACTGTATATCTAAAGGCTTCTAGTTCAAAACTGACTTGATGTACATTGATGTGAAAGCTAAACATATGGTAGATATCTTTGATCTGGGATCTGTGACACAGTTTGTGCTTGGCATCTGTTGTTTGTGATTTTGTGATGCATTGATCACTGTCACCATGTCTGATAGAAACTAAATTGCCTTCAGTCCATGCAGACGTGATTGCTGCTTTTACTCTCCTGCCCATTTGCATCCTTATAGTTTCCCAATGGGAAAGAAAAATAACCACAGTGGATCAGGTTTTAACATTGGGTGTTGCCTCTCATCACCTGTGTTTTGGATTTGCCCTGGCCAACACTAGGATTCTTTCATCTGAGATGATAAAAATCTACCAATGCAGTAACAAGGACAAGGTGATCTGTTACAGAAAAAGCAAAGAAGGAAACTTGGAACGTCCTGCTCATAAGTCAGGTCTGCAGTTCATGTTTTATTTCACATTTGCAGACCCACTGCAGGCAGCCAAGGAGTTGCTATTTGAAATGTTTTGCTGACCTCATAAGAAACAATGTAAATAGACTTTGTATCCCAATGACGTCAATGTTAGAGCCAGTATCCATGTTCTTTTCTATTTTGTGAGACTTTTGTGTATATTGTTTCCAACTCCCTGTGCTCACCAGCAGTGTGTTCTGTTTTGGTGTAAACTGATACCAATCTTTGCGTGTTACCATTTCTCCTAGTTCCCCTACACTGACTATAAAATGAAGGATAACAGAGGGTAAAATGTAACATGGGTGACAGGGGCAGAGATGCCTGTACTGACCCCCTCTTTCCACTCCTATACCCTTTGGTGCTTTTTCCCTGGGGACCTTGTTCTAGGGTTGTTTTATGGACAAAACTTTGCCCTTAAAGGTCTGGGCTTCTGTGTCAGGAAAAGCTCTCTCAAACCGTGTTTTTCCTCTACTCTCACGCCACCACAACAACAGTCATCAACACAGAAGAAGCCTTCTGTTACCCGAAGTGTGGAGTTTTGCCCCCACACATCAAGCAGTGGACACCAACTGGGGGTCCTCTAATTCAATTCTGCCACTATCTACCTGGAGATAGCATCAGATCCCATAGGTTGAGGGCTCAGTCCCAAAGATGCTTCCACCTGTAGACACCAGTCAGAAGTCTGGTGTCTTTTGACCAACCAACTTCAAGTTGGGGTTTCCATGACCCCTTCTTTGGGTTTGATTAACTGGAATTGGAAGCAGCTCACAGAACTCAGGGGAACACTTTTACCCTTACCAGTTTATTATAAAGTATATTACAAAGGATACAGATGTGTAGGGTGAGGTATGAGGGAAGATGCATGAGCTTCTGCGTCCTCCGTAGATGCACCACCCTCCAAGAACCTTCACGTGTTCAGCTATCTGGAAGCTCCCCAAACCCAATCCTCTTGGGTTGTTATGGAGGCTTCATTACATAAACATGATTGACAACCCTGTAGAAATGTGATTGGACAAAAAGTGCATGATCTAAACCCATCAATGCCTATCTACTCAGACTTTTCTTGGCCTCTCTGTGTAGCATTCATTCCTCTTAGGTATAGAGCAGGACTCTTTCTGGAATGAGGGTATTTTGGTTTTTTGGGGTTTTTTCTTTATTTTTTCTAAAAAAAAAATGGGATAAATATGCAGAACGTGCAGGTTTGTTACACAGGTATACATGTGCCATGGTGGTTTGCTGCACCTATTGACCCATCCTCTAAGTTCCCTCCCCTCACTGGTGTATATTGTTCCCCTCTCTGTGTCCATGTGTTCTCAGTGTTCAACTCCCACTTGTGAGTGAGAACATGCGGTGCTTGGTTTTCTGTTTCTGTGTTAGTTTGCTGAGGATGATGGCTTCCAGCTTCATCCATGTGCCTGCATAGGACAGGATCTGGAATGAGGGTATTTTGACCGACAATCAGATTAGAGTCCTGCCTTGGGCAAGTGAAAGGAGGACAGGAGAAGGTTAGAGGGAAAGATTCCGTTTCCTGAGGCCTAAAGTGCCCCAACATTATAACAAGGATTATGGGAGCTAGAAGCCAGGAACCATGGATGAAAACAAGTATCTATATCATAACACCACAGCGACCTAATTAAGTAATCCATTATCAATAACGACAGCTAAAAATTCAACAAATATTCATTGTGTACCTCTTATGGGCAAGTTATGGCTTTTCTAAGCATATTCACTTCTTTTTTCTTTTTTTTAATTTCAACATTCCTTTGAGGAAAGAAAGGACAGAATTTTAATCCACATTTTGCCATCCAAGAAATTATGATATAGAATATCATATAGATATAGAATATGATATAGAGAGGTTTTACACTTTATCTCCAATCAAAGAGCAAATCTATGAAAGGATTGGAATAAAATACAAGTCTAACAATAGAAAGTCCAGTGTCTTCTCCCTCTTCCTTCCCTAAGCTTACACCAAATTGCACTTTATAACACAGTAGTGAGAAGAAATTCTGACCACAGAGGTTCTCAGCTTGGAGTCTATGCCCATGGATGGATGTAGAAGGTATTCAGACTCTTGAAACTGTATTCAAAAGGTTGGCATATGTGCATTTTTCGAAGGAGAGAATAAAAAAACTCTAAATGATTAAAAAATTTTAATCATATGATTTATATTTTATATACTTGAATAACAAAGCAACCTCAATATTGCATGAAACCTGGTATTTCTCTTTCCTAGTCACCTAAAATGCACCCTGTTACAATCGTTCACATATAACAAGCTACCTTAAAACTTAGTAGCTGAAAGTAACAACAGTGATTTCATTTTCTCACAAATCTACAATTTGGGGAAGGCTCAGAAGGCACAGCTCATCTCTGTGCCATGTAATGTCGGCTGGAATTGCTTGACAGGCTGAAGGATCTGCTTCAAAGATGACTCTCACACATGGCTGACTGCAGTTTCCTCTCCATACGGGCCTTTCTATGGGCTTCTTCACAACATGTTGGCTGGGTTCTGGGAGCAAGCCTCTCAGGATACACAAAGTAGAAGCGACCCATTTCTGAAGGTCTGCACCAGAAACTGACACCTCTACCCCATCCCATTGGTCAAGCAGTCACAAGAGGATACAAGGGGAAGAGACATAGACCCCATTTCTTGATGGAAGGAGTGTCAAAGGATTTTGAGGCCATGTTTTAAAGCTGCCATATCCCTCTGGAGGCATCTTATTTCTTCCTTTGGTTTACTCCATTACTATTCTCTCTCGCTCTCATAGATCTTTGCCATGTTAGAAACCAAGCTCTAGCATCCCTCCTATTTCCCACTTCCCGGGGCAAGTGTGTGGCTGTTGCAGCCTACTGCTGCCAATTGGCTGGCCCTTCTACCTACATCTCTCTACTTCTTAGCTCTGGGTGTCCAACCCATGCAACTTCCTCCCTTCCTCCCCTGCTGGAGTCACATGAGGAGCTCTGTGCAGCCTGCTTGTTTAAAGAAATGCTAGCCAATAGCTTTAGGGGGATAGTGGTGGTGACTTCTGTCTAAAGGCAGAGAGATCAAAGTTATTCTGCAGTAGTATATTAAATACGAGCCACGTGCAGCAAGAAAAAGAGGCCAACCTTTGCCAACAGTACTCTGTGACCTCTGGTTGAGTTTAGCGCAACCCCAATTCTGCCTGTTTCCAGTCACTAACCAAATTCCTTACCCTTTGAAAAGTAAGAGGTATTCAACATTCAAGGAAATGCCAACCAGGACTTACATTGTTTGCATCACTTTCCCCCATTCTCCTTATTAATTAAAATGACTGATCCATAAAATTGGTTATCAGCACTGAAACACTCTCTGATACTCTCTGCCTCCAGCTCCCTTAGGCTGCCCTTTGGAAATGGTCTGCTTTTTCTCTGCAGTAGAAATGATAATTTAAAAAAAAAAAAAAAACAAGAACCACCAGCTGAGGAGAAAATCTCCAAGGCTTGGCCTGAGGGGGAATATAAGCTACTATTAAAAAAATCAACCTGGCACCTTGGAAGTTTTACCTACATTCTCACCTATTCACCATCTCCCATCCCTCCCGTGCCAGGAACCCTCTGCCCTCAGAGCCTTTGCATTTCCTTTGCTTGGGATAGAAAGTCACTGGCTGTTTCTTCCTTCCTAAAAGAAGTCCTCGGGTCTTTATTTACATATCACCTTCTCAGTGAACCTGCCCTAGAAGCCCCATCTAAAATTTACAAACCTAATATAAACATGCACACATATACACATGCATATTCACACACACACACTGCTTCCTATCACTGTTACCTCCTCACAGTTTCCTCATCACTTATCGCTATCTAATATATGATGCATTTTACTTATTTATTATCTTTCCCCTTCTACAATGATAGCTTCATGAAGGCAAGATTTTTTATGTCTTGTTTACTGTTTGGCCTAGAACAGTGACTTGTACCAAGTAGATGTGCAATAAATGTTTATTAATAAATAATTGAATAAATGATTGATCTAACCTATAACATCCCCACATGGTGATCACAGGGGGCTCCCAGTCACACTGTCTGCTCTGAAGGTAGATAGCTATAAATCAGGCTCTAACAGCCACCCCGCAGATTAGTTTCCTACTGCTACTTTAACAAATTACCATTAGTGGCATAAAACAACAAAAGTTTATCATGCCACAGTTCCATAGGACAGAAGTCCTATGAGTCTCAGTGGGCTAAAACCAAGAGGTTCATAGGGCTGAGTTTCTTTCTGGATGCTCTAGGGGAAATTCTCTTTCCTCGCCTTTTCCAGCTCTAGAGATCATCCACATTCTGTGGCTTGTGGCCCTTTTTTCCATTTTTAAAGAACGCAATGTTATATCCCTCTGACTACTGCCCCTTAGTTTCCTTAGTCACAATTCCCTCTCTTTTCCTGCCTACCTTTTAAAATATTGAATTGGGCCCACCAGGATAATCCAGGATAATCTCCCTATTATAAGATCATCTGATTAGTAATCTTAATTCCATCCACAATCTTAACTCTCCTTTGTCCTATAACGTATTCAAAGATTCCAGAGATGAGAACATAAACCTCTTTGGGGGCCATTATTCTGCTCACATCATCCTCTTGAGCAACCTAAGAAGTGATAAGGCCTCTCTCATCAATTTGATAGCTGTGATGTTCCATGTTTAGCCCTTACCTTTAGTCCTTGTTGAGGTATAGTACAAACTTCCCTGGATTGAAAGGCAGAAGATATTTCATTCAAGACCCTTCTGAAACTGTTGGTTTTATAACCTGGGATGACTAACTCAATCACAATTACTGAGACTCCATATTTTCAACAGAAAAGTAGAGTTAATAAAACCTACTGACAGGACTATTATAAAATGAATTGTGGAGAAATCTTTTTATAGAACTTTCATACTTCACACAGTGTAAGGAATCATTGTGAATAGAGATCTCTAGGACCAAAGATACCCTGAGTTTGTACTGATGGTTTTTATTGTTTTGCTCCTCAAAATAAAGTACCACATTATCACTTGCAAGTTTGAACAAATTACAAACTGAAATTGGCAATGTCACACTCAGTCCAAGTCCTATAATACCATTACATGATTTACTGATGACAATATTGTACAGACAATCCAACTGTGAATATGATTTTTGTTTTTTCTAGTTGAAGTTTCTTCATTTATTTGTCCTCAGAAAAACGACATTGAGAAACAGGTAAGCCTCACCTCTTTCATTTGGTAGTGTGAGAAACAATGACTGTAGTTAATTGTATATTTCCTTCTAGGCTCCCTCAGGAAGAAAAATGTGCCTCATTCACTTTTGTAACTCTGGTGCCCAGATTCTTGCCTGGCAGAGATACTCAATGAATATTTGTTGAAGTAATTAATAAGCTAATACACCAATATTTAATTAGAGATGCACATTAGGAAATTGTCCATGCTGCTGCTATGTAGCTATAAATCCCTTTCCATCTTCATTTTCTAGCCTTTTGTTAATCCCACCCTGAAATTCCCAATATCAAGGGGAAACTGGCCTTTGCCTGACCTCTGGAAAGCCATTTAAAAAAAAATTTAAGCAAAATTTCTTTAAATGGGGAACACCGTACTCCAGTTCATGCTTCCAGTTACCACTCTCATGATCAAACATTTCTTCCTAGAGTTCCCCTAAGAAGGATACCACAGGGAAGATTGTAAACTTCTTATTCAAGTAAAAGAGGTGAAGATGTGCAACACATTTAAACGGGTTCTTCCCCTAAGGAAGGTGTAACTATTGCTTCTACAGGGAGCCAGGGAAGATTTCCTTGAGGCTGAAAAATATGCCCAGTAAACAAAGCTTTGATTGTGAAACTTCAAGTCTCTGATGGACTTTTTTTGAAGGAAAGCTTATAACAGAGGGGTCAGTCAATGACACACCACCAGATATGTTCAAATAAATCAAATGCTTATACCAATTCCACAACCTGCTTTTGTGAGCCTCAAGACACAACCAACTTAAACCTCCATAAGGTGGATGTGTCACACATCGGAACAACTTCATAGGAAAACAGTGAGAACTGGGCCCTTACTGATTTCACATTGCCTGATTTGCCAAGAGAGGAGAAAGGCTTTTCTAAGCCAAGAGAGTCTTTAAGCATCGCACATTGTGTCCAATACTTGAGGTGTGACAGTAAGGGTCTAAGAGGAAATAAGTTTCTTTTTTCCTTTTTTTCCCCTTGAAGCTGCAAGATTTATGAAGAAGAACCTTCAAGTTTTATGAAAAAGAACTCTATAAGTAGCCTACTACAAATAAAAAACACTACCAATTTAATCAAGAAGTTCAAGGAATAAGATATGTTTGTATTGCATTTCACTTAAAATACTCTTCAATTTAAAAGGAGGACTTGGCAATGTGAATTTTGCCAGCAACAAAAAATTCAAATTCAACAACCAATTCCACAATAATCATTTTGCCACACTCACAGCAAATATCCCTGGATTCACTCAAACTTAATACTGCAAAGGTAGCACTTAAAACTCTTTTCACTTTAGGTACCCACTGAACACTGAGGTGGCCAGAGTAAGTAATAAACTCTTGGTGATAATGAATGGCTAGTCCATTTTTCTTTGCCAACATACAATAGATTCTGGTGTGGAAGAAAATAGTTTCACAGTAAAACACTAATTTAACTCTCTTAGGGTACTAATCTATGTGTTGAAAAAGAGGTTTCATTGAATGTTTTCCTGAGTTATATTCCAATTATCTACAGATTTACCTAAATTTTCTAAATCCATGTGTATTTTCTACTAATATAACCTCTTATTTTTTGCAGCTTAAGTGCTCAATAAAGCTCTAATTAGCAAAAGATGAAATATGTTTCAGTCATCTGGATTTTTATTCAATCTTATTTACATGAATTCAAATCTATATTCTCCCCAAAATTTCGACAAAATTCACCTTTGTCAAGTAGGTCTGTCCTATACTTTTAACATGAAGACTCCAAAATATGCACACAAACTAACACATACAAAGAATTTTTTGGCACAAATGCTAATTTTTCCTACACAAGGTCACCGTTAATGAACTGCTTTCAAGAATATGTAAAAAGAGTGGAGAACAATATATTTTAAATTATAGTGGCAGCTCTTGCCTCCTTTTAAAGTTTTCTCCCCATAACTTGGGTTTGTAGCACTGAAATGGGGATAAGAATGCTCACAGTTATTGTAAAGTTAATTTAGGAATTGTGTTTTTATGAAGAACTTTGAACTCGAGGTTTGATATGTTGAAAATAAAATGTATACATTTCAATTGCCTATCGATTTGTCTATATTTTCTGAATCCATTTGTATTTTCCACTAATATAACATTTTATTTACTGCAGTTTTAAGAGCTAAACAGAACTCTAATCAACAAAAGCTAAGTTTCATCATCTAGACTTTTATCCTATTTTATTGACTTCAACTCAAATCTGTGACCTCCAAAATTTTCCTTAGTAAATTCAGGTAATCACTCAGTACAAATGAAGTAAAGACTTTCAGTTACCAGATACTAAATTACAATTTATAACTTGTCTTGTCTATTTACATATGTTTAAGATCTTTCTTCAGGGATGGAGCAGCAGTAATGACATTACTTTGGCAGAGCTCATGAATCTACATTAATATCCTCTCATCTGGGGTTTTCCACATCTTGCTCCGGTACAAACATTTTCTTGATGGCAAGAACCAAAACTCAGCAACCCAAGGAATTCTTGCAGAGAAATATTAGCTGTCTCACATTTTCGCCTTCAGGGTAGTTCCAAGAGCTAATGTCTAAGGCTATACTAATACTCCTAAAGTGACCCACCCGAGCCTAGATTTTCTTCAAATGGCTCGGTCCCAAGACCTTCCTCATGCTCCATCTTAATGTACAGGTGCGGTGGGATTCTCTTAAACCAAATCCAATTCAACAAAGAGGTGATGCTGAGTTGCATAAACCACCCCCCTCCACCACTGAGTTACAAAAATAATCGTACCAGCAGAAATCTGACAGCCTCCATCTGCTGAATAACTTGTTGAAAACCAATCAACCAGAGACCACTAATTATTCTGAGGTCTTTTTAAAATGTAAGGTTTTTTTTTTAATTTCTGGAAACTTGACTGCTATTATTTAAGATGGCCCATTCAACAACAATGGTTCATAATTATATCTATTTATTTTGACAGTCCATAGCTCCTGATAAAAGGCCATCTGCAACATTTTCAAATTAAGGATTTTTTCCTACAAAGAACATTATTATTAACAATGTGAAATATTGAAGCTTTGGAAGGGAAGTGTAATCAAAGACCACAACATAAAATTCCATTATCACAGTGTCTGGTTTTGCCTCTGCTTTTTCAATTTAAAGAGGAAGAACTAGAAGTAAATGTAATAAGTAGTGAGGCAGAAAGGATGAGGGAAAGGAATTGCTGAGTTAGACTGAAAACATCTCAAAAGCAAAGATTACGCCTTTTATTTCTCTTTCTTTTTCAAAATACAATGCATAATCTACACTGTGTTCTGTTAATAAAGGGTGCCAAGATAGAAGAAAAAAAAAAAAAGCAAACAAGCCAAACTCCCCTTCAGAACTCCTCCCTCCCCGCTCTGCATCTCTCTACCTTGCTTAGGTGCCCATTCCATGAGTTGTTTGAGCCCCCTAACCAATATCACACCGCTTAAGCCTGCCCATTACCACCACCAGGGGACCATGTAGAGTGGTCCAGGTTGTTTACCACACAAAGGTACTCCGCTCAAGCAGGCATGTGATAGCTAAAACCCAGCCCACGGTTACCAAGAGAATCAGCTACTAGTGCCCAGCTGGAACAGCCTCCTTGGTTGTTTTGTGGGCTTCTTTGAGAATACCAAGCTGTGTGCACTGGTACAGGGCTACATCCACCCAAAGGGGGCACTGCTCTTTTCTGTTTTGCATAAAATAACAGCTTTATCCACTGCGCATGTTCCCAAATTTTCACACTCACTCTTCCCACAAAGGAGCAGATATGTTAAAATAGATGATCCTGAGAGTTTATTATTAGACAACATTTTGCAGATGGTGGAGTCTAATGAGAGGAGTAAAAATAAGAAAAGCCTCCTGTGTCTTCCTTTATGAAGTCAGGAAGGTGAACTGGGTTGGGCTGCTGCCACCTGGGAAAGACCCTGCCACATATTTCTTTGGCTTCTTCCCTTATTTTCTTACGGGTCTTCTTCTCATGGGGCTAGAAGGAAAGTCAAACCAGGGATTACCCCATCTGAGAAGACCTGTTCCCTCTCTCTCTGGTTCTATATTAACTTTTAACTCCTTTTTTTTATTCTTTTCTCTTTTTAGAGACAGGGTCTTGCTCTGTTGTCGAGGCTAGAGTGCAGTAGTGTGATCATAGTTCACTGCAGCCTCAAACTCCTGGGCTCAAGGGATCCTGCCTCAAGGGAGCCTGCCTCAGCCTCGTGAGTAGATGGGACTTCAGGTGAAAGCCACCATAACAGGTCTGACTCCTATTCAAGGCTGGAGATTTTGCCCCCAGACAGAGAAGACCCAGAGTTAGGTATCTATGCCAGCTTGGCCTTAGACAACAGGTAGATCTGTGTTTCCTTAGTCTTAGGCTTGCTTCTGCTGACTTGCTGGCCGACTTATCCCAGGCAGACCTTTCCTTTCCTTGAAAATTAAAGCCTTCAACAGCCAAATTCAGACGTGGACCTCAAGGTAGGTTGGGAATTGTATGGAAACAAAGACGAACACTAGGTCATTCTGACTCTTAGCCCATTTTCCGGCCTCACAAAAGAAATTCTTCACGTGGTCCAATGCAAATTTTTAGGATCCCACATTTACTACTAGCACTCACAGTATTTTTAAATGTGCATTTCCCTTACAAATTAAAACTGCAATGAGCTATCACCTCATATCTGTTAAAACAGCTATCATCAAAAGACAAAAGTTAGCAAGTGTTAGCAAGAATATGGAAAAAAGGGAACATCTGCACACTGTTCATGGGAATGTAAATTAGTGCAGCCATTATGGGAAGCAATATGGAGGTTTCTCAAAAAATTAAAAATAGAACTACCATATGATCCAGGAATCCCATGACTAGGTAGATTTCTAAAGGAAATGAAATCATTTTGAAGAGATAGCTACACTCCCATGTTCATTGCAGCATTATTCACAATAGCCAAGATATGGAATCAACCTAAGTTTCCATCAATGGATGAATGGTAAATAAAATATGGTATATATACACAATGGAATCCTGTTCAGCCTTAAAAGAAGGAAATCATGTCATGTGCAACAACATTACTGAATCTGGAGGACATCATATTAAGTGAAATAAGCCAAGCACAGAAAAACAAACACTATACCACATGGTTTCACTCATATGTGAAAATTTTAAAAGTCAAACCTACAAAAGCAGAGAGTAGAATGGTGTTTACTGGGGGCTAGGGACAGAGAGTTGTAAGTGGGAGAGATATTGGTCAAAGGATAGGAAACTTCAGTTAGCTAGGAGAAATAAGTTCAAGGGATCTATTACACAAGGTGTTGACTATAGTTAAGAACAGTGTATTATGTACTTGAAAATCATGAGTAGATCTATAATCTCATCCTTTGTGCTATTCTGCCTGAGCTCTCATGTTGGAAAACCATCAGATAAAATAATTCCTTATAGTATAATTTAATCACATTATAGGCAATAACTTACCCTAATCAATTTGTTCATAGAGTTTAGACCTTGAAATTCTTGCACTGTAGCAAAACTAGGTGAGCACTCTTACAGTTATTCACAGCACAGGCTCTACTGGAATGGACAAGATTTCTCAGGATTACCCCAGAAGATATAATTAGGATAGACCATGAATCCAAGAGGTTTTGCTTTGGGAGGAGAAAATGCCATTCTTTTTTGTTTTTTAATCTTCTATGGTTGAATGCAATAAAAAAAATTGCCCAAGAGAATTAGCTCTTAGTGCCCAGCTGGGAAGACCTCCTATTTTTGAACTGATTTGCAAATGATAGTGGTACCTCACCATTATTGAAGAAGGCCATAGCTGTATTAGCTTCTTCCATCCACCACTCACACAACACATTGGCCAAATCAAGTCAGGGAAAGTGGTCAGAGCTATAATGATGGTGGTAAAAGTGGCTGTCACTTTTACGGATCTGTTACTAGTTGGACAGACCAACAGGCTTCTACCTTGGCCTGGTCAGTTCATTTCCAGATTAGGGTTGACATTGATGGACACTGCCTGAGTGGCTGGTGTTTCACCATCAACATCAGGAGTAGCCCAGCTGAGAGGACTAATCCTTGTCTGAGTTCTCAAGAGAGTTACTGTACCATAGAGTTAGCTATCGAAGGGAACCTGGGACATCCCTCAGTCCACCACACTTACTCCCCAGTGCTAGATCTTCCTCTACAACACCCATTGCATTGTCAACTGACCTCTGCTTGACATTTCCTCCAAAAGCAACCCATTTTTACTTTAAGAGAACCAACTTCTCCTCTATTCTCCTATAACAGGAATTAGAATGAGAATAGCTATTTACTAAATACTTAATATGGGATTTACATATATGAATTTATTCAATTCCCATACCAACTCTGTGAGATAAAGATTACCACTGCCCTTTTTCAAATGAGAAACAGACTCAGAGGGTGAAGAAATGTGCCCCAAGTCACACAGCTGAACAAGGACTTGCACCCAGGTCTGTCCAACCCCAACACCCTGTTTGTAATCACTAAACTCTACTTCCTCATGTTAAGCACCCACCTATCTTTGAATTGCAATGAGGCATACATCCCAAAATTAACATTTTAGGTCCCTGGAGATCTATAATTTGATTATTTATAGAGGAGGAAAAGCCAAGTTTAAGCAACATCTAAGCCCCACTTAAATAATTGCTTTTTATTTCCTTTCATCTGATCCATTCTAGGCCTATTTTATAGTTGCACTCTCAGAAGGTGTGTTCACTTCTCCAATCCAATTTCTTGGGGTGGGGGTGTGACAGAGGCTATATTACCTCTTAGTATTGCTTATAGAAACTTCAAGAAAGCTATAAAGAAAAGGAACTGAAGGATATCTCTTTATATTTTCTTCTCCTACTTGAAATACAGACTATTAATAAGGGGCTTAAAAGAATAAAGATGTCAGCAAGAAGGAAAATTAAAGGTTCAAAAGAATGCCTTTAGATAAAATGAGTTGATTATGTATTGTCAGACTGTGGCCTTCTGGTATCTGAAACCCTTCCTATATTTGATGAATTTCCTGCCATGTGAATCTTAGTGGGAAACAAAGCCCCTTCCATTACAGCAGTCAAGATAGCCAGATTCTTTCTTTTTCAGACTCTCTGGCAGTCATGGCACAGATCATGGTCATAGACAATGATATACATCCATCCTGGGGCTTCAAATCCGGGGCCAGTGGCTCAGAGAACAGAGAAACTTCATCCTGGCAACTGTGGTGGCAGCAGCCAGTTGCCAGGCCAGTAGGTCCAGCAGCACCAAGCAACCGTATCCAAGGCCAACACCAGCAGTGGCCGTGCCGGCCCCATGCCCAGTGTTCAGCAGGAGCAGCAGTGATGGCTCCCCAAGCTGGCTCTCTGGTGTGACTTTTAATTTGGCTCTGGCTTCCCTTTTTCCCCACCCATATTCTAAGTCTGGTTCCTACAACTTTACAGTGAGTCCACCAGATAACCTGGTATCTCTCAAGAAGTTACTTTTATGCCTAAGCCAGCCAAAGTCTGTTTCAATTGCTTGCCTTGAAGATCTCAAGTGGATATATGATATAAAAGGACACATTTGTGCTCAACCAGAGTAACAGCAAGGGCATCAGGCCATATCAGGACCCCTCACTAAATTCACATCAGCATCTGAGGCTTATCCTACCTTTGGATCTGGAAAAACACAAGTATGGCCAGATTCTCTCCTATTTATTTCATGACTGCATCACAAAGTGACCACTGCCTCAGAACCATACTCACTACACAAGAATGTGGAATGGTAAAACAGAAGTGGATGGGACTGGGGTTCGAAAGTTTTCATTAGTTTTCTGCTATATTGAAATATAAATTCTCGCCTGTAATCCCAGCACTTTGGGAGGCTGAGGCGGACGGATCATGAGGTCAGGAGATCGAGACCATCCTGGCTAACATGGTGAAACCCTGTCTCTACTAAAAATACAAAAAATTAGCCAGGCGTGGTGGCAGGCGCCTGTAGTCCCAGCTACTCGGGAGGCTGAGGCAGGAGAATGGCGTGAACCCGGAAGGCAGAGCTTGCAGTGAGCCAAGATCTCACCACTGCACTCCAGCCTGGGTAACAGAGCAAGACTCCATCTCAAAAAAAAAAAAAAAAAAAAAAAGAAATATAAATTCTTATCAATCCCCAAGTATATGTAATGACATATAAATTTCTTGTCCTAACATCCTACTATAAAATCCATTAATTTATAGAATTAAAACTGAGGGGCTGGGTGCGATGGCTCACGCCTGTTATCCTAGCACTTTGGGAGGCCGAGTTGGGTGGATCACTTGAGGTCAGGAGTTCAAGACCAGGCTGACCAACATGGTGAAACTCCATCTCTAACAAAAATACAAAAATTAGCCGGGCGTGGTGGCAGGCACCTGTAATCCTAGCTACTTGGGAGGCTGAGACAGGAGAATTGTTTGAACCTGGGAGGCACAGGTTGCAGTGAGCCGAGATCATGTGGTATTGGGGGATACAGAGGTGAAGTTTGCTTCGTGCACAAATTTCTTCATTTAATTCTGCATCAGAGAATAATCAAAACACAAGCACTTGGGATAAAGGCCATCTAAGCTATTTTAAAACAGAGCCAGTTTTTGCAAACAGGGGTACTGTTTACAAAACCGTGGTACTGGGGTAGTTTTGTAAACTTGGTACTGCTATGGAGTCCACAGGGCTTTATTACACAAAAGCCACATTTTAAATACGGGGAAGATGTTTAGCAAACTATCTTATGTGGTAAAACTGTCCAGAAAAGTCAGGACATGATAAGCCCAAATTTCAAGGAGTGGTTCCAACAAGGAGACTGCACAAAAAGCCGGCTTCATGCTCCATACAGTACAGTGGGCATACTCAAGACTTATTTTATGGTTAGGCTTTTGATGACATGATATAAAGTCTTGAATATATAACACACTTCACAATGAAAAATCTAGAAAAAGGGCAAATGATGATAAAAAGAAAAGTCCACCTTTCACGAACATCTTTCTTCAGTCTACTCAATTGCTGAAGCTGCAAAGAGTAAATGACACACATCTCTGGAGTGTGCACACCCTCCTGCCCTTATGTTAAAAAAGAGGATGGAGCCTCCCTCTCACGGCAAGCCCACGGGGCAGGGGGAGGCTTTGAACTGATAATGATGTACAGGTGAAAGTGATCACACGTCAGTGATCCGCACCAATGTTGATCAGCACTCTGTGGCATCTCCCTCCAGGCCGCATCTCAGGAGTCTACGTGTTAAACGTGAGCACTGGCTAATTCTTCATCTTAATAGGCACTTCCCAGGAAACTCCAACCCTGCTGAGACCCCTCCAGTTTGCCCAGTCCTGATTAATGTGCTACTTATTACAGAACATTGAAATGGTTCCCAGAACATGTTTGCAGCATCTGCGTCAATCAACAGATATGTCTAGCCCAATAAACTGAAACACTCTGTCTTCTTCCCTGCTGCATCTTAATAAGAAACCCAGAGAGTTTCAGGCTTCTTGTTAACCTTTTAAAGCACTATGAAATGAATCTCAATAAAATCTAAATGTGAATACCCAAAAATGGGAAAGAAAACACAGATTATAACTCCAATCAACCAAGAGTAAAGAGAAAAAGATCCAACATAAAACTTAAATTGGAACCCTGACAGCTGGAAAATACGACTGATGACTTCAAACGCTCTCTCTCAGAGTAGATGGGGCCACTGGTGGTGATTGTTTCTTTGTTCCAGCAATGCCTGAAATAGCAATAATGTGAGAACAATAATTCCACCCTAAATGCCCATGGGTAGAGAACATTGAACTATAACAGCAAGTGATATCTGCAGAACATCCTGGAGGTTGTGCGACATACATGGGAAGACATGCGAATTTTGGCATCCAAAAATCTTCTCAAATCTCACCTCTACTTCTTTCCTCTCTGAGTTGCAGTTCCCCATTTGTGTTGTGAAGGCAGTAATGTCTACTACATGGAACAGCTGTGAGTTTACATGAGACAATGTGTGTGAAATGCCCACTATGGTGCCTGGCATGTGGGAGGTGTTCAGTAATTGGCTCTACCCTTGTTCCGTGGGACACCTACAGCCACGAAGAGCTGCTTCATTCCTGCTTTCTATGGGCTAGGCCAGTTGCTCCAGGCCAGTAGCTTCTGGCAGTCCGTGGTTGCACCACCGAGTGGACAGTCACGCTTCAGAATGTCCTGGAGCAGTTTTCCACAATACACACAAGCCTTGCTGCATAAGGGCACCCAGTTTTGAAGATCACGTTTGGAGCAGTCAACTGGCTTCATTCCAGGTGATCTTATGTTGATGCTTAATATCCAGGAAGACTCCTAAGGGATGTTTATAAACCAGGTTGGTATCTAACAAAGCTGTGAAACAGTCCTAAAACTGTCATTGTTGATCCCCTGTTCCTTCATGGTATGTCCCTTATGCTCTTATTATCAGGCACCCTGTAACCACATTGGACAGAAGCTCCCTGTCCTTGCAGGGCTATAATCCCCACATTGCCACCTTCCAAAGCCATCCAACCCAGGCATTGCCCCATGCCTCAACATGAAAACTCACTTGCCTGGTAACCCACTTATAAAACCAGAAACCAAACCATTTACAGAAGATCTAGTCTAATCCTCCATTTAATTAATAGGAAATCTGAGGTCAAGGCCCAGGAAAGGCCAGATGCTAGCACAGCCAGGTCTGGAGGCCAGAATATCCAGCTCCCAGATCAGAGGTGTTTCCACTCCACAGTGCTGTCTTAGGAGGCTCGGCAGGTGGACCAAAACCATGGCACACAATAGCTTAGTGTGTTCCTTCTCTAAAGTAATATTTGCTTTTAACAGGGACATATAACTGAATAGAATGAAGAATACTTAAATTTCAAAATAGCAGCCAGAGCCAGTGGGATGATGTTTGAGGTTGAATAAGAGACTTTTGGCCTCCCCAAATCATTGTACTTAGGCAACCACCTACACTCTCAGGAAATGTTCTGCAGATGAAGAATGTTTTGTAGATGTGACTTCCACCCTTCCATCCACCTATCTATTCAACAAATACTTGCTGAGTGTCCAATATATACAAGGTACAATTCAGTAGGGACAGAAAAGATGACCTCTTCCCCTGTATTCATGTTCTGTGTGCCAGGTCTTGCACCAAGCACTTCCTTTGCCTTGTCTGACTTAATCATCACAACAATCACATGAAGCAGGTATCATGTCCCCCATTTTACAGACAGGGAAACTAGAGCTAATAGAAGTTAAGTAAATGCCCAAAGTCTTGAAGTTTAGTAAGTAACACAGCTGAAATTTAAGCCCAGTCTGCTGTACTCCACAACCTCTGCTTTCCCTCCTTCCTGATGCTGTCTCTCCAGCAGGTAGGTGCACAGCTGACCTTTGTCAAGAAAGTATTGTGAAACCCACATTAGAAAATGCACGTGAAGCAGGCAGCACAATGCTTGGCATATAGTAAATGCCTTCTCTTTTTAAGGTTGGACAGGACAAACTGTTTCATAAAACTTTTGTTTAGTTTGGAACTCAATGACTCTTTGGTTTGCAATATTGCAACAAATGCCAATATTTTATATAAATGACAAGCATTTTAGTGTAAACTGGCCACTTTGTTAAAACTGAGCGATTCTCCTCAGAAAGGAAGATCTAGGAAAAAGGAAGTTCTAGAAAAAAGATCTAGAGAGATTTTCTGATCCTACAGCCTAACCAAGTTATTTTGTGTACCCAGCACCCCGAGTCAGCCAATTCTTTTTTTTTTTTTTTTTTTGTCTCTCTCTCTATTCATTTATCTGGAGACAGAGCCACATTCATTCCTCATTTAACTAGTACACAATTAGTGGGTGGTATTTAATGAAACTATGTTGACTGCTTGGATAAAAAAAATCATCAGAATGGAATGTTGAGCAACTATTATTTTGGTTGGAACAATGGGCTTTGTTAACCTGAATGTAATTGAAACTGGAAGTCTTCCCCAGGGATTGCATTACCTCTGCTCAAGTGACTACAAAAACTCTCTGATGTCAGGTCGCTGAATACAACTTCAGTGGCCTAAAGCTTCTAGAGCAGCACTCTCTACAAGAGTAGAATTTCTGTGATGATGAAAATGTTCTTTCTGTGTCTCCTCTGCCAAGTAGCTACTAGCCACATGTGGCTATTGAGCCCTGGAAATGAGATTGTGTGGCCCAGGAACAGGATATTTTATTTTCTTTTATTTTCATTAATGTGGAAAGCCACATGTACCCTGTGGTCAGCATAGTAGATAACATAGTTACAGAAGAATTGACAACAGGAAAGTTGTTTTATAGAGGAGGGAATAAGGGCTCCGTAACATGACATCATAATTTCTAGACAAACGCTTAACTTCCCTGAAGCAGATTCCGCCAAGAGGGATTGGGCCATGTTGGAAAGAGACCAGTTTGCCTGTAATATTCTTCCTTTCTCTAATCCTGGGCTCCCTTCAGGTAGAACCCAGATCACCATCAGGAACCAGAGAATGAGAAAAAGTAGAGAGATTGTGGAACCTCTAAGCCATCTTCTCACAGAGGAGGAAACTAGAGTTCAAAGATGCAGCCACCTGCCCTACCTCATATAATGAAAGAACAATAGAGCCTTCTGACATACAGACTACCCGCTTTCAACTAAATTTGGCTGACATCTGTCAGTTCTCTTCTCTAATTAACTGTGGGCAAATAAGTTTTCAGGTGTTGCAAGGGCCAGGAAAACAGTGAAAATGTCTAAAGAATGCCAAGAGTAAGGTGAAAGGGATCAGTATCCTATCAGGAGTGGGCATCCCATCAAAACTGGGCAGCTGCCCCTTGCAGCCAATTGCAGCCAGGCAATAATGTGTCATCTGACTGTCCAGTTTTCCCAAGAGGAGCAAGGAATGAGTTTGCAACCTGTAGCTTAACCTATTTCACCTCACTCTCATAACTCTCCTCCATTCTCAACTACCAAGAATACTTGCATTATAATAGAAGATCTGGCATTTTGGAAGTTTGTTCAAAACTCAGGGGACTGAATCTGTAACTGGCGCAATTTTTGGCTCTATGAAGGACAATGAGGTCACTGGCCCTGTCGAGGACTCTTCAAACCATTCCACATAGGTGGGCACCGCTATGCTATATCCAGCCCAAAGCTAGTCAGGAGTTTCACTCCCCCAACTAAGAAAATTTAACAAAAGACAGCAAATAGGTCATTGTGCAGAAACATTCAAATGCTTATGGTATTGCTTATTAATTATAACATAGTGGCCTACATCTATTTGAAAAGGAATATTTGCTGGGTATAAAGCAGATACTTCTACTGAGTATAAGCCAGATACTTTACCAAGGTTATTATAATATGTTAATCTCTAAAACACCATTTCTAGATAGTGATTATTATTCCCAATGTATAGATCATAGATTATTGAAGTTAAGTATCTTGCTCAAGAACACAAAGGAAAAACATAGAACGTGGACTCAAAAACAAGTTGGGCTTCAAAACCCAAGCACTTTCCACCATATCCTGCCCCTTCTTCCTGCCCCAATTACACCCACAGGGGTTCCTTATTCTATCCAACAGATGGGCTCTGGGTGGCTCTCTGTGCAATAGATCATCTTGCACTTTTTTTTTTCTTTCCTAAATCATAGTTTCAGACTTAACTAATTACAACATTTCCATTCTCATCATTGGAAAAAAAATAATAAAGATATTTCCTGCTAAATCAAAACAACAATAAGACAAAATTTCATATCTGCAGTGACATAGAATGGATAAGCATCTCCTATCCAAATTTACCCCATTCCTGATGCCTGTCAGCAGTGGATGAGAAGTATGTGCCCTACATATCTTCTTTTTAAAACTTGCCATGTCTAAATATTTAAAGTACAGGATTCTGAAATGCACAATTAATTTTTAAAACTAAAAGGAGGAACCAGAGACAATACATCTGCTATCCCAAACTCTTTCAACTGTTTTCTCTATCTAAAGTAAAAAACAACTCTCAGTGCACGATTTATAACCGCCATAACTCTCTTCTGTTTGAGATGCCACATCTACAATGATTAATGGGAAGAGTCCAGGGTTTCTAATACTGTCTACTCTGATGGCAAATTGATATATAGTCCTCAGCAAATTCCATTTGAGTCTATGATTTTCCTGTAAATGTGCCCCAGAGTTGCTGCCACATTCCTAAATTCCAGCTAAAATTTATGATCACACTTCCACCTTTGATTATTGTGTAGGAGTTTAATGTAAAACTCCCAAAATAGTAATATTACAATTGTGTTTCTTTATTTTATTCCAGGCTGCCTGGTACTCTCAGTTTTACATTAGCAAGCTTTTTGATGAAAATTTGCCTCATTTTCTATCAGCTGCATTAATAAAAATAAGTATTGCTGAGAAAATAGGACCACGTGGCACAATTAGCTAATACACATTCCTTCTATTTCTTGTAAATTATGTTGAAAAAAAAATGGCAGTAAAAATGAGTGTGGGGAGTTCCATGTGCTTCCCAATGGCTGGTTGAAAAAGTACTATAAATTCAACACAACTAGCCTTCCTTGCTGTAAGCACCAAGAGCAGTGTGTTCACCGAAATGTGACTGAAATTGGAAATAAGGTAGGGATGAGGAATGAAAAAGGCCAGGAGATGAGATGTGACGGAAAAAGCGGAGGCCAAGCAAGATGAGCTGGAGGTGGAAAGGAGAGAGTGTATGTTTGGAGAAGTTCTGATGAGGAGCTGCTTGGTGACAAGAGGGTCGTTGAGTACCTGAGAGTACCTTTACCTATTTTATTATGACCACCAAAGATTTCAAATGATTTTCTGCAGCTCTTAGCTCCCGAGCACACTGGAGCTGAGGAAGGAGACGTTTCTCTCAGAAGATCATCAAAACACTCTAGCTGCAAAAAAAGCAGGGCACATGTGCAGTAAATGTAACCTGGATCCGCGCAGTCACAAGCCTATCTCCCTTTCCAGAATACAAGACCCCTCTCTTCCCCTCTGCTTGCTTCTTTCATCCTTACATTTGTATTACATTTTTTCTTTTTCCTTTTTTTTTTTTTTTTTTTTTTTTTTTGAGACGGAGTCTCACTCTGTCACCCAGGCTGGAGTGCAGTGGCACGATCTCGGCTCACTGCAACCTTCGCCTCCCAGGTTCAAGCGATTCTCCTGCCTCGGCCTCTGAGTAGCTGGGACTGCAGGCGCACGGCACCACACCCAGCTAATTTTTGTATTTTTAGTAGAGATGGGGTTTCACCACATTGGCCAGGCTGGTCATAAACTCCTGACCTCAGGTGATCCATCCACCTCAGCCTCCCAAAGTGCTGAGATTACAGGCGTGAGCCACCACGCTTGGCCCCTTATATTACTTTTAATGGCAAAAACCGCAATTACTTTTGCACCAACCTAATATTAGTTTAAAACATGGCTGCAAAATTCTTAGACCCTCCTCCCATTTAGAAGGGCGGTCTATGTCATCTCCCTTGAACTCGGTGGGTTTTGTGACTATTGCAACCAAGAGAAGACAGTGGAAGTGAGGCCGTGTGATTTCCAAGGTTGGACATGAAAAGCAGTGTAGCTTCCGTCTTCTTTACTGGAACTCGTATGCTTGGAGTCCTGAGCTCCACACCCAGTGTCTGACAACATGCAACCACCAGGCTGTAAGGACACTAAGCCACACGGAGCCATCCTGATCACCAGACATGTGAGGGAAGGTGTCTTTATGTGACCCCATCCTGGCATCCGGTCTCCCCTGCCCTTCAAGTCTGCACAGCTGGAGCAGAGACAACCTATTCCCGCTGTGCCTTCACTGACTTCTTGACCTGTAGCTTCCTGCGTGAGCATAAAAAAAATGGTTGTTCTCAGCTGCTAAGTTCTAAGATAATTTGTTACACAGCAGCAGTCTCTGGAACTATTTCTTGTTTCATTCCCACCTCTGATCTTTCTCTGTGGAGGCTCCAATCCTGAAATAAGTAGTTTCCACTTGGGTGTGGCCCTAAAACTCTCTGTTCAAATGAAAATTTCCACATAAGCCATTGCCAACTGAGGCTCTGAGGCTCCTCAGCACACAACTTGACAATTACTCTTCTTCTAGAAAGTACATATGTGACCTTCCTTCTGTCAATCACATAATTTCTGAAGCACTGCTTTGCCTGGAAAGTCTTGCCAGTTTAATCATATGCAAATGGAGGGCCTGTAATTTTCCCTCACCCACTCCCCACTCCCTCCACCAATGATCACCAACATGTTTGTATTGAGCAGCTAAATATCAAAAAAAGTGTGAAAGAAATACGAGCATGATGTCTTCCTTCAAAGGACTTCTTATCATTTTTAAGAGGCAGTGCTAGCCCACTCTACCACCACCATCACTATAGAACAAAATAATAAAGGGAGAGAGATATTCTCGCCATTACTATGGTTCATAATAAATATAATATAGAAAATCCTTATTTCTGTGCTTATGCAAGGTACTTTTGCTCCATGCACATCCATGTCACCAATGTTAATAATCATAATGATTCTTTTTATCTGAAATAAGATAGCATTCAGTCACTTATCATGTATTCAATAACTATGTATTGAGCTCTTTTTTGTGCCAGGTCCTCTGCCAGCCCAGTGGGGAATAAAGCGGACACAGCCCCTGTCCTCTTGAGGCTTACATTCTAGTGGAGTAGAAAGACAAAAAAATGTGTAAACATAAAATAGTGACTTATGCAGAAAAGAAAAGAAAAAGGAGGATGTGGTATGGAGAGTAACTGGAAGTGGGGATGGCTACTTCGGTTAGGGTGGCCAGAAAAGATCCAGGAAAATCGAGGTGGCAGCTTTTAAGGCAGGGACTGAAAATGAGAAGTCAGTTAAGAAAAGATATGGGAAACAGGGCTTCAGGTGACAGAGTAGTAATTATTACATACCCCAAAGCAGGAAAAATCATTTCATGTTCCAGGAGCAGAAAGTCTTGTGTGGCCAGAGAGATGGGGAGGGGGCAGAGGGGGTGAGAATTGTGAGAGGCGGAGCAATTACGTGTCATGATGCCAAGTGCACAAGTGCTCTGAAGTTATGGTCTCTTCCCTAAAACCAGAAGCTATCCAAGGGTAAAAACAATCTATATAGCAATTATCCTGTGCTAATGGTTACTTTATCATCATCATCATCATCATCATTATAAAGCTTGTATTGATTATGCGCTTACTTTGGATTAATATTTTGGAAAACATCACTGTGCTCTTCCTTGCTTTTCAAATTTATAAAACATTCTTAAGACAGATAAAGGAAGAAGGAGTTAATATTCAGCATCTGGCATTCAAAACAGGCCATTTGCCAAGTCTTACTGACATATTGTCTTGAGGAAGAATGTTTAAATGTCTGTATTGCTTTTCACATATCCAAATGATTTGGCTCAAAGAGTTCTTCCATGGTGAAATGAAGATTTGGCCTAGAAGAGTGTAGAGGAAACTGTCATCTCTCTTTCTCATCCCAGGAGTGTGAGAAGGAAAAGCAGGGAAGAACAAAGCAGTCAGATGTGTGTGCCTTAAAGACTCTTGTGTGGATAGAGGAGAGCCCGAGGGATGAAGGATTTCTGCCCCATTCCTGTTCAGGGCTCTAGAAAGATATGCCCTCTCAGGCTGCCCCATACCAAGGACATTTGGAGGGAGTTAGGCAGAGGGAGGCCTCGATGTTTAGCTTTTCTGAGCAGCTCTTTGTTCCCTATGGCAACCTTTGAGGTAGGGCTGGGAGTCCAGGTGTTTAAGGGGGAAATTAGAAAGTGACTAGCTGAGAGCTAGAACACAAGCCTGGCAAATAATGTGATGGCACCCTAGCAAAGGCTGGGTGTGGAGAGTCCATCCAGAGGCATTGGTCTCTGTTCCTGAAGTGCGATCAGTGGACACCATGACTATGCCTATGGGTCCAGACTTTTCTCTCCCACCAAGAGGCTGCCTAAGCCCCTCCCCTCCCCTACATACCAGACATCATCTTGGAGAGAAACCTGGAAAATCCTGGAACACAGAGATCTGAAAGTCTGAGCACCTTTTCCTAGAGACAGAGCATTATCTAAAATCAATACATCAGACTAAGACAGCTTAGACATTTAATTTATTTTTCCTTCTAATCAGCAGTGGTTTGCTCAGGAGGAAGATCACATTAGTTAAAATCAAAACTAAGAAGCTACCTCTTCTCCGCCCATCTGGATGAGATGTCAGTGAACTTTGTGACTCACCACAAGTCTTGACAAATATCATCTCATTTAATCCTCAGCAACCACACAAAGCAGACACTATGACTGACTTCCATTTTACAATGAGGAGAGCTAGTCTAAGGTTAAGCAACTTTCCAAAGCTCTTACAGCTGTCAAGTAACAGAACTGTCAAAGATTTTCATGCTTGGCCACTGCAGGTATTGCCTCCATGTCCTTGATACAGGCTCTGTGATAATATGATGGCAATGAGCCTCAGACATTTATATTTATTTTAAAAACATAAGGCACTTGCCATGGGAGAGACACTGTTCTTACTGCTTCTAACAGGAATTCATTTAAACTTCTCAATAATCATATGAAGTAGGTACCATTACCCCATTTTACGTATGAGAATAGTGAACTAAAAAAGCTGCATACTTTTCCCCAGGTCAGTTTTGCAGCTAATACATGGAAGAACTGACATTTGAACATAGGCTGACTGGCCCTAGAGAATGGGAGATGAGATATTAACTGCTGCACTGGACAAAGAGGGAGTCAAGCAACTTGGTAAGTTCTAATTTTTTCAAGTCACACTCATTCTAGGTTGTAATAAAGCATGCACTGGTATAATTTTCATTGCTGATAAAAAGGATAACTTCCAGAAGGGTTCATTTTCCATTAACTGTAAAAATCTATGTGAAAATAGTTACAACTGGTAGCTATAACCAAAATAGGTTATGATGTTTAAAGGAAAAACGGACTAAAAGACTAGCTTAAGTATAAAGCAAACTTATGTAAGGGCTAGAACTATCCTGGCCTTTCACGTGTATTATTACCACCACTGTATGACATAACCAGAAGAAATTCAGACATGTCACAAAGGGAAGTATCACATAAGTGTTAGCTAATCTCATTATCATCATCATCATCATTGCAATTATTATATAAAACCAAGGCATCACAATATATGAAAGTAATCACCATGTAAAAAGAATTTTTCAATGCATACATTTATTTTATACTAAAAGCAACGAATTTCACATTTTAACATTATTTCCGAATATTTAAGTCCAATTCAAACCATTTAGCTCTAAAAAAGTAAAATGACAATTTAAAAGATCGGCTCTAAATCAGGGATTAAAAACCAGATCTAAATGAAGGAAAACGTGAGTGAAATTAACCCTAAAGTTAGAAATATATTTTTCTTATTGCTGCAATAACTAAGCTATGATCCAATGGTGTTCCCCAGATATTTTCCACCTTTCCTAGAAATCTCAATTTACATACTAGTTTGTTCCACTGCTACTGACCCAACCACCCGCAAAAAAGGTGGCTAGATAGGTGTTATATTGACCACAATCTTTATCTTCCCAAAGATTCCCCATGCCAAATTATATTCAAAAAGATTAATATTTTAAGTCACTAACTTAATAAAACAGTACAATTCTTAGAGTAACTATCTCTTTTTAGCTGAGGGTTTTTATCCCAGTGAAGGAGCTGTTGGCTTGTTTTTGTTTCTTTCACTTTTCTTGAGGTTTTCTCCATTCATGGCTGGGTTCATCTGTACATTCAGTCTCAGGACAATAGGACTACAATTATACGTGTCTTCAAAAGAACACTAGGAAAATGTTATCTCCACTATTCCATCTTGCAAGTAGATCAACTAAAACACAAAGAAATTAGGGGAAAAAACAGCCAAGGGAGACTGAGACCAATAATTTTGTTGCCGTTACCCAACACTGCATCGTTTTTATAGACATATTTACACATTCACTTGAAAGAGCAATCCAGAAGAGATAGAAAAACCAGTCAATATCTTTTTAGAGAGCCTTACTCCATCTGGAGGTATTTGGGCAGTCTCAAATAATTTAGTGTAGTATTCTACCACATTCCACCTTGTTTTTGTCTTTTTTCTGCATGTCTGGATCACTGATTTGTATTATTCCCAAGGAGACAGAACTTTTTCTCAAATCATCCTCGTTCTTCGATGCTTAGTTCAAACCCTGCATGTTTTGTGTATTCACATAGATACTTATAGCAAAAGGATTCCATCACCCAGAATTATGTTATTGGTTCTAGAAAAGTACAATACTCCTTATGTTTCCAATGATGACTATGAGGCACTCCAAGATCTTAAGTTATTTACTAAATCATTTTGTTAAGTTTTTCTGTTAATTTTATGTCAATTATTTTGGTTATTTAAAAATATGTAACCACTGTAAGGTAATAACAGCCAGCTGATTGTTTTTTATTTGCCAAAGCCTATAGCATTATTTCCTATAACCCTTACAACAAATCCTTAAGGTAGGTTTTAATCAAATACTTTTTATAGATAAGGAAACTAAGGCTAGGCTAGAGGTGGAGTCATTTGCTAATGACTAGGTGAATATTAAGTCATAATACCAGGATTTAGATCCACTTCAGTCTGATTCTAAAATGATGACTTTAACTACAACATTATATAGTTGAAGTCATGGAATATATGTATAATTCATTTAACTAAGCTATTTAATAAATGCAAGCTCCTTCATCCCCTCACTAGCTGAGCTCACAAGCACATAACGTTCATGCTATCAACAGTTTTATTTATCCCAGGACATACTTCCTAGATTATATTCCTACTGACTACTGTAGCTTACTTTCATTACATCATTCACTCAAAAACCCTCAGGATTTTTAGAGAGCAATATACTTTATAACATTACCTCATCAAACCTATAGGCAGAAAAAGGTATATTGTCAGGTCTGTTTTCATTTAAATCCACTTTTTTTCCAATCTGAAGGAGAAGCATCCCTTGCATGCATATTGCTCTATGTTTTACATTGGTCCCAAAGGTACTCACACACAATAGACTTCCAGAGCCTTTCATTTTCTGAAGATGAGAGGAGGAAGGAGGAAGGAGAAGGAGGAAGAAACGAAAGGAGAAATAGATGGGAAGACTACACAGACTCAGGAACGCAGTGGTGCACACTTGGTAAAAGGGCATAAGGTACTTTTAATATTTTGCACTAAGCCTTGTCATTCCTTCCACCTTCATAAAACCAGATTCTAAAAGGGCCAAAGCCTATCCTTATAAATTCAGAATGCCATGGATGTAAGAGAATTTGGGAGTGGTTTGTTTTAATTTTGAATTTCTTTTTTCGTTTATTTTTTTTTTTTTTGGAAAAACAGCTTAGAAACTTCAATCTGGTGAAAGTATCATTGACTTACATTGGGTTGTTTCAGCCCTGCATCAGATCCCAAAGTAACAAATAATCTTAATGTAACTACTATTTCCATCCAACCAGTTATAAGCATCTCCTAACCCAAAGAACACTTCCAGATTTTTCTTGCTGCTTTATCAGAGTTCAGGTTCACTTTGTCAAACTTTTTACAGTTCTAAAATAGAAAACAGAACCGATGCCCTATGTCTTACAATTAATTGCATGCACTTCTGTTTGTTCCACCAAGTTTCTCGACAGATACAATTTCTCCCCTTTCGAAGGTAAGCAGAAGGGGTCATGTATTCCTTAGTACATGCTGTGATAACAGTCCTTGTCTGTCATACACAGTAGGGCCGATGCTAAGACGAATCTCCTCAAATAAACAAACCAAAGCTTCTGTGCACTAGCAGTCCTTGGTTTTGTACTTTATACCAATTATATACCATTTCTGCCATATTATCCATACATTGTTTTTATATTCTTTAGGTAGTTTTTATGTGTTAATCTGCCTCCCTAGAGAATGCAAATAATAGTCATAAAAACAAAAATTGATATTATTGAGTATTTTTATGGGTCATAAAACTCTATTAAGATTTTTTATCTTAACTGTTTTTGATCACACTATTAAGATATGCATTGCCCATCCAGAGATAAAGCTACTTAAAAATAAAATCAAATTAAAAAGTTAAATATACATACACACACAAAGACAGGCAACTATAATTTGGACCTATTATAAAAATTCTCCCTGGCATCATTCCAAGGGACATATATAAGTTAAAGATCAGCAAAGTATTGCTTTCAAGGAGAAAGAAAAGACAGAATATGCAACCTACTTCTGTTGGTACACACAAGGCTACAAAGCAGTTTGCTGGTTAACACTCCAGGTATCTGGAGTAAACCAATCCTAGCTATTTTCTGAACTCTTTCTTTTAAGTGTTATAAATATGGTAATAAGGAATAACCAAGAAACAAAGTTGTGCCTCTTATGTAAACCTACTTGTAATGGAATTACATTAAATCTGGGAGTCATTCCACATGACAGCCTTCACTTACCTATCTAAGGTCATAACATCCCCAAACCAAGAAGCACCTACCCGGACAAATTCAAAGTGCCTCTTCGTCTCTGGTATACGTTTTAAAATCTCTCCTTGGTTAAGACACAGGAAGAAGGGAAATGAAATTTGAGTCTTAGGGTAATCATTTGCCATTGGGCAGACCCACATCAAGCTAGATGCCAGTACCTTGTCACATGGTAGGAATGCCTAAGTGGTTGCACTCAACCTGGGTGAGACAACTGGAAGTCCAAACCTTTAAAGTGCCACTGAAAGGGAGCAATCAATGGTACTCATTAATGTGCATGGGTTCCCTTCTTTCAGCACCTATTTCCTAGACCCTCTGCATCTGATCAGGCTATGAGACAAGTTCTAGCCAATAGAATGTGAATGTAAGTCATATGTACCCCATCCAGACCTGGTTCCTAAAACCTCCAAACCACCTATTAAGAGGTGACAGCATGCTGACAGCCCTCACAGCCCTTGCTGGCTCTCAGCGCCTCCTTGGCCTTGGCGCCCACTCTGGCCGTGCTTGAGGAGCCCTTCAGCCCTCCCCTGCACTGTGGGAGCCCCTTTCTCGGCTGGCCAAGGCCGGAGCCGGCGCCCTCAGCTTGCGGGGAGGTGTGGAGGGAGAGGTGCAGGCGGGAACCGGGGCTGCGCGGCAGGCACTTGAAGGCCAGTGCGAGTTCCGGTGGGCGTGGGCTTGGTGGGCCCGCACTGGGAGCGGCAGGCCGGCCCCGCCACCCCGGGCAGTGAGGGGCTTAGCACCTGGGCCAGCAGCTGCTGCACTCAATTTCTCACCAGGCCTTAGTTGCCTCCCCACGGGGCAGGGCTCGGGACCTGCAGTGCGGCCACGCCTGAGTCTCCCCACACCCCCACCATGGGCTCCTGTGCAGCCCGAGCCTCCCTGACAAGCGCTGCCCCCTGCTCCAGGGCGCCCAGTCCCATCCACTGCCAAAGGGCTGAGGAGTGCAGGCGTAGGGCGCGGGACTGGCAGGAATCTCCACCTGCCGCCCGGTGCGGGACCCACTGGGTGAAGCCATCTGGGCTCCTGAGTCTGGTGGGGACTTGGAGAATCTTTATGTCTAGCTAAGGGATTGTAAATGCACCAATCAGCACTCTGTATGTAGCTCAAGGTTTGTAAACACACCAATCAGCACCCTGTGTCTATCTCAGGGTTTGTGAATGCACCAATCAGCACTCTGTATCTAGCCCAAGGTTTGTAAATGCACCAATCAGCACTCTGTGTCTAGCTCAGGGTTTGTAAATACACCAATCGACACTCTGTATCTAGCTAATCTAGTGTGGACATGGAGAACTTTTGTGTCTAGCTCAAGGATTGTAAATGCACCAATCAGCACACTGTCAAAACAGACCAATCAGCTCTCTGTAAAACAGACCAATCAGCTCTCTGTAAAATGGACCAATCAGCAGGATGTGGGTGGGGCCAGATAAGAGAATAAAAGCAGGCTGCCTGAGCCACCAGTGGCAACCTGCTGGGGTCCCCTTCCACACTGTAGAAGCTTTGTTTTTTCACTCTTTGCAATAAATCTTGCTGCTGCTCACTCTTTGGGTCCACACTGTCTTTATGAGCTGTAACACTCACTGCAAAGGTCTGCAGCTTCACTCCGGAAGCCAGCGAGACCACAAACCCACTGGGAGGAACGAACAACTCCAGACACCCTGACTTAAGAGCTGTAACACTCACCGCGAAGGTCTGCAGCTTCACTCCTGAGCCAGCAAGACCACGAACCCACCAGAAGGAGGAAACTCCGAACACATCCGAACATCAGAAGGAACAAACTCTGGACACACTGCCTTTAAGAACTGTAACACTCACCATGAGCGTCCGCGGCTTCATTCTTGAAGTCAGTGAGACCAAGAGCCCACCAATTCTGGACACACTATCATACACTCTTCCTTCAGAGAAATTAATATCCAAGACTCTGGGGCTTTAGAGGATAATGAACTAGGTAAAAACAGCTTGGGAATCTGAATAACTTTGTGGAACATGCTGTGTCCCACTTTACCCCCAATCCACATTGTAATGTGATACGAACAAGAAATAAATATGTAATATATAAAGCCATTGAGATGTAGGGATTGGCCTGTTAAAGTCTTCATGCTACCATGACTAATCACACTGTGCGATTCCATCTACAAATGGCCTACATGGTTATTAATTAATCAAACATCCAATTTACCTGAAGTAGATGTCCAGACTCATTTGTACTGCCAGAACAGCCAGAACATGAAGTAGTCATGGTAATAGCCACAATGGTGTTTGGGCAACCAGATTTTAAAAACTGATTGACAGCAATTGAAAAGACCACATAAAGCAAGTGTGCCCAGAGAACAGCCTCTCTCAATTCTGGGGCGGATTCTCCCCACAGATTTATCTTGTTTAATCTGTGAGATGAGTACAATTGTATCACGGATGAGAGAACTGAGATTTAGTGTACCTCACCCAAGATCATCCAGCCTACATCTGTCTGCTTGAGTTCAGATCCTACACTCACAACCATTGCACTCCTGGAGGGCAAAAACCAGACTTCTGCATATCTTTGTTCTGTTTTTTGTTTCCCTCACACAGTTCTAAGCCTAGAGCTTAGTAGTGCCAGTAGTACCAGTTAATACATTCTCCAAAGAAGCTAACACACTTGTTTCTCAGAGGAAAAATCAACTACATTCGCAACATCTTTTCAAGCCATTCAGTTACAGTGTTTTATAATAAGTTGGAACAATAGGCCAGGAAGGGTATTTGACAGGAGGACATAGAAGAGTCAAAGGCAGGTGGCAACAGGAATCTCAACATGGGAGGATGGGGCTTGGGGGCTTAGAGCTTTAGAATATAAAGAAGAATTTTTTTTAGAAAGCAGTTACCAAGAAGAAGAAAAAAAACTCTTCTGAATGGGCTCTTTTGAGTGTTGATTCCACAAGTATAGTACAACATCGTGTTGGGACCACACAGTTTAAAGTACTAACAGATTTAGAGAAAGACAAACACATGAGAAATGTCCTTGTCTATAATGTTTAAATGGTCAGGGTTTAAAGGGAATGCAAGAGAGAGGGAAAAAAAAAACACTCTAAGCTAACATTAAAGATAAACACTTCCAAATTTCATAACAATGAGTTCACAATTCACTTTTCAGTATACTGCAGACAAGAACCTGAAAAAGAGACTCCTGAATTACCTAGTGACAATTTAATGTTCCAGGAAGTGGAGAAGATTCCATCAGAGTCACTGTTTCCACAGGAAAACATTGATTCGGAATGTTCATTGAGTAGCTAAGTCTTGTCACAAATATCTTTAGCTCCTCAAATTCAGAAGAGCAAGTGAGGTAAAGGGAAAAAAAACAAGAAAGAAAGAAAAGCTAGAAAGCTCACAGGACATGATTCCATACAGAATTAATAAAGTTAGACTGTGCATTTGAAAGACACGAGTTCAAATTGGGAACAGGCTAGCATATGTTATATCCCTATTTTTAAAGCACAAAAAGGGGAGAATAATTTGAAAATCAGACTGACTAAAATGGAAATAAAATTGCACTTTTAAAATGGATATTATCAGCTGATTCGTGCCCTGGAATATTAGGAAAATCAACCACAGCAACCACAGTAATAATAATAACTCTAATTTATATAAATCGCTGCTGCTTATCTTATTTGTTTTTTTGTTTTGTTTTTTATCCTTCTATAGACTATTTTCCTTTATTTTCTGTGTGACTCTTTTTGTCTTTTTTTGTACTTTAAATTTTTTTATTTTTAATTGTTCTGGGTACATAGTAGGTATAATATATTTATGGGGTACATGAGATGTTTACACAGAGACATGCAATGTGAAATAATCACATCATAGAGAATGGAGTATCCATTCCCTCAAGCATTTATCACTTGTGTTACAAACAATCCAGTTACACTCTCGGTTATTTTTAATTGTAGAAATAAGTTACTAACTCTAGTCACCCTGTTGTGCTATCAAATAGTAGGTCTTATTCATTCTTTCTATTTTTTCCTCATTAACCATCCCCCTCCCCCTTAGCCCCCTTATTTGTTATAACAAGAAACTTGTAAGTTAATCAGGGAAAGATTATTAAAAGATTAAGATAAACATAAGAATAAAAAATAGAAGCCAATTTTGTAGATGTACCATGGAGAAAATGGATACTGCAGGTAAAACAAAAAAGTCAGCATTCCTCCCATACATTTTTAACGAGGCTACAGCCACTAACACAGCTGCTGGAGGGAAATTTGGCAACATTTAACTAAGTAACAAATGTGCATACATTTTCAGGTAGCAATTGCACTTTTATGAATGTATCCTACAGATATACTGGCATATACCAAATGGTTTACCCAAAGTAGTTCATGAAGCATTGTTTATAATAACCAAAAAGTATGAGTAAAAATAGGAATCTGGTGAGATAATTCATGGTATTTCATAAAACTGAGTATCATGTAGCCCAAAAAAGAATGTAGAAATTCTTTATATATTAATATGTATAGCCTCCAAGATATGTCATTAAGTAGAAAAAAGACAAAACACAAAAAAATATAAAGTATGCACATCATGCTATCATTTATGTGAGGAAAATAAGAAGAGGGAGAGGATTTCATATATATCTAAAATATGTCTGAAAGGGAACAAAAAGAACTGGTAATATCTATCACCTCTGAGGAGAAGAATTAGGCTACTAGATTAGAAGAGAGATTTTTTGCTACATATTCTTCTATAGCCTTTGAATTTTATTCATGTGAATCAATAAATACATTCCCTGATCAAAAATAAAATGATTAGAATTACAAATTTTTTAAGATAGGCAGAATGCATTGTAAACTAGAAACAATTGCAAATCAAATTGATACCTATATATTTCTGCTTCCAGCTATGATAGAGTAACTAGTAACAGATTATCTGTCTCACAGAAAATACTTACAAAACTAAGTAAAATATATGAGGCAACCGTTTTCAAACAGTGGCTAACAAGCCAATCCAGAACTGAAATCCCTCTGCCCACGAATGTCCACCTCTGTGAATAAGGATATTTTCCTAAACATGACAAAAAGAGCTGGAGTCTGAGGCAGCTGGCATGGCTGGCATCTATAAAGCAGAGTCTTAGAGAGTAAAGACTTTAACACAGAGAAGTCTCAGAAGTTTTGCAGAGATTTGTCCCAGACATGGGACAAATCTGTGACTGAGATCACCACCATACATTTGCAGAGTGAGAATACTGGAGGCTTAACAGAGAGAAAATGTTATCAGGTTGAGAGAACAGAAATAGTGGAGGTCAAGTAATGCTGGAAGAAGAATAGTACTAGACATCATTGCAGTTCAGGTCCTATGGGTTTGAGAGAGCTCATAAATAAATACTACTTTGACACCCCTGGGATCTACCTGAGAAACAGAAAGTTGGTACCTCTCTACAAGTAAAGACTATGTCCTAAAGTAAGTCCTATGACTCCAGTAAAGTCTAAAACAAAGCCTATCATCAAGAAAAACATCCTCTATCAACACTGAATACTGCCAGGTTGAATAGGTTGGGAAAGCACCTGGGATTTCTCAAAGATTTGGACTAACAAAGCCTAAAACCATGCTTAAACATGTTCAACGTGATCAGCCAATTGAACAGCATGCTAAGATAACAAGCAAAATTCTTCAGAAGAAAATAACACAATCCAGAGGCATGATAACACATTGTCCAAAATGTCCAGTATGCAATAAAAAATCACCAGATAAAGAAATAAGATCTCCATTCCAAGATGGCCAAATAGGAACAACTCCAGTCTGCACCTCCCAGCGTCATCGATGCAGAAGATGGGTGATTTCTGCATTTCCAACTGAGGTACTTGGTTCATCTCATTGGGACTGATTGGACAGTGGGTGCAGCCCATGGAGCGGGAGCCAGCGCAGGGTGGGGCATCGCCTCACCTGGGAAGTGCAAGGGGTTGGGGGATTTCCCTTTTCTAGCAAAGGGAAGCCATGACAAACAGGACACTCCCGCCCAAATACTGCGCTTTTCCCACTGTCTTAGCAACCAGCAGACCAGGAGATTCTCTCCTGTGCCTGGCTTAGCAGGTCCCACACCCATGGAGACTTGCTCATTGCTAGCAGAGCAATCTGAGATTGACCTGCGAGGCAGCAGCCTGGTGGGGGGAGGGGTGTTCACCATTGCTGAGGCTTAAGTAGGTAAACAAAGTGGCCAGGAAGCTGGAACTGGGCAGAGCCCACCACAGCTCAGCAAAGCCTACTGCCTCTATAGACTCCACCTCTGTGGGCAGGGCATAGCTGAACAAAAGGCAGCAGAAGCTTCTGCAGACTTAAACATCCCTGTCTGACAGCTCTGAAGAGAGCAGTGGTTCTCCCAGCATGGCGTTTGAGCTTTGAGAACGGACAGACTGCCTCCTCAAGTGGGTCCCTGACCCCCACATAGCTTAACTGGGAGACACCTCCCAGTAGGGGCTGACAGACATCTCACACAGGCAGGTGCCCCTCTAGCACGAAGCTTATGGAGGAAGGATCAGGCAGCAATATTTGCTGTTCTGCAGCCTCCACTGGTGATACCCAGGCAAATAGGATCTGGAGTGGACCTCCAGCAAAATCCAACAGACCTGCAGCTGAGGGACCTGACTGTTAGGAGGAAAACTAACAAACAGAAAGGAATAGCATCAACATCAACAAAAAGGACATCCACACCAAAACCCCATCTGTAGGTCACCAACATGAAAGACCAAAGGTTGATAAAACCAAAAAGATGGAGAGAAACCAGTGCAGAAAATTTAAAAATTCTAAAAACCAGAGTGCCTCTTCTCTTCCAAAGGATCACAGCTCCTCACGAGCTATGGAACAAAGCTGGACGGAGAATGACTTTGACAAGTTGACAGAAGTAGGCTTCAGAAGGATGGTAATAACAAACTTCTCCAAGCTAAAGGGGCATGTTCTAACCCATTGAAGGAAGCTGAAAATCTTTAAAAAATGTTGGACGAATGGCAAATTAGAATAAACAGTGTAGAGAAGACTTTAAATGACCTGATGGAGCTGAAAACCACGGCACGAGAACTTCGTGATGCATGCACAAGCTTCAATAGCCTGTTAGATCAAGTCGAAGAAAGGATATCACTGACTGAAGATCAAATGAATGAAATAAAGCAAGAAGACAAGTTTAGAGAAAAAAGAGTAAAAAGAAACAAACAAAGCCTCCAAGAAATATGGGACTATGTGAAAAGACCAAATCTACGTCTGATTGATGTACCTGAAAGTGACGGGGAGAATGGAACCAAGTTGGAAAACACTCTGGAGGATATTATCCACAAGAACTTCCCCAAACTAGCAAGGCAGGCCAACATTCAAATTCAGGAAATACAGAGAACATCACAAAGATACTCCTCAAGAAGAGCAACCCCAAGACACATAATTTTCAGATTCACCAAGGTTGAAATGAAGGAAAAAATGTTAAGGGCAGCCAGAGAGAAAGGTCGGGTTGTCCACAAAGGGAAGCCCATCAGACAAACAGCAGCTCTCTCAGCAGAAACCTTATAAGACAGAAAAGAGTGGGGGCCAATATTCGACATTCTTAAAGAAAAAAATTTTCAACCCAGAATTTCATATCCAGCCAAACTAAGCTTTGTAAGTGAAGGAGAAATAAAATCCTTTACAGACAAGCAAATGCTGAGAGATTTTGTCACCACAAGGCCTGCCCTAAAAGAGCTCCTGAGGGAAGCACTAAACATGGAAAGGAACAACTGGTACCAGCCACTGCAAAAACATGCCAAATTGTAAAGACCATCGACACCATGAAGAAACTGCATCAACTAATGGGCAAAATAACCAGCTAACATCATAATGACAGGATCAAATTCACACATAACAATATTAACCTTAAATGTAAATGGGCTAAATGCTCCAATTAAAAGACACAGACTGGCAAATTGGATAAAGAGTCAAGACTCATCAGTGTGCTGTATTCAGGAGACCCATCTCACATGCAGAGAAACATATAGGTTCAAAATAAAGGGATGTAAGAAGATCTACCAAGCAAATGGAAAGCAAAAAGAAGCAGGGGTTGCAATCCTGGTCTCTGACAAAACAGACTTTAAGCCAACAAAGATCAGAAGAGACAAAGAAAGGCATTACATAATGGTAAAGAGATAATTCAACAAGAAGATCTAACTAACCTAAATATATATGTACCCAATACAGGAGCATCCAGATTCATAAAGCAAGTCCTTAGAGACCTAAAAAGAGACTTAGATTCCCACATAATAATAATGGGACACTTTAACACCCCATTGTCAATATTAGACCGATCAACCAGAGAGAAGGTTAACAAGGAAATCCAGGACTTGAACTCAGCTCCGCAACAAGCGGGCCTAATAGACATCTACAGAACTCTCCACCCCAAATCTACAGAATATACATTCTTCTCAGGACCACATCACACTTATTCTAAAATTGACCACATAATTGGAAGTAAAGCACTACTCAGCAAATGTAAAAGAACAGAAATTACAAAAAACTGTCTCTCAGACCACAATGCAATCAAATTAGAACTCAGGATTAAGAAACTCACTCAAAACTGCTCAACTAAATGGAAACTGAACAACCTACTCCTGAATGACTACTGGGTACATAATGAAATGAAGGCAAAAATAAAGATGTTCTTTGAAACCAACGAGAACAAAGACACAACATACCAGAATCTCTGGGACACATTTAAAGCACTGTGTAGAGGGAAATTTATAGCACTAAATGCACACAAGAGAAAGCAGGAAAGATCTAAAATCGACACCTTAACATCACAATTAAAAGAACTAGAGAAGCAAGAGCAAACAAATTCAAAAGCTAGCAGAAGACAAGAAATAACTAAGATCAGAGGAGAACTGAAGGAGATAGAGACACACAAAAAACCCTTCAAAAAATCAATGAATCCAGAAGTTGGTTTTTTGAAAAGATCAAAAAAATAGACTGCTAGCAAGACTAATAAAAAAGAGAGAAGAATCAAATAGATGCAATAAAAAATGATAAAGGTGATATCACCACTGATCCACAGAAATACAAACTACCATCAGAGAATACTATAAACACCTCTACACAAATAAACTAGAAAATCTAGAAGAAATGGATAAATTCCTGGACACATACACCCTCCCAAGAATAAACCAGGAAGAAGTTGAATTCCTGAATAGATCAATAACAGGCTCTGAAATTAAGGCAATAATTAATAGCCTACCAACCAAAAAAAGTCCAGGACCCGATGGATTCACAGCTGAATTCTACCAGAGGTACAAAGAGGAGCTGGTAACATTCCTTCTGAAACTAATCCAATCAAAAGAAAAAGAGGGAATCCTCCCTAACTCATTTTATGAGCATCATTCTGATACCAAAGCCTGGCAGAGACACAACAAAAAAAGAGAATTTTAGACCATTATCCCTGATGAACATCGATGAGAAAATCCTCAATAAAATACTGGCAAACTGAAACCAGCAGCACATCAAAAAGTTTATCTGCCACAATCAAGTCAGCTTCATCCCAGGGATGCAAGGCTGGTTCAACATGCTCAAATCAATAAACCTAATCCATCACGTCAACAGAACCAATGACAAAAACCACATGATTATCTCAATAGATGCAGAAAAGGCCTTCAACAAAATTCGATAGCCCTTCATGCTAAAAACTCTCAATAAACTACATAATGATGGAATGTATCTCCAAATAGTAAGAGCAATTTTTGACAAACCCACAGCCAATATCATACTGAATGGGCAAAAACTAGAAGCATTCCCTTTGAAAACCAGCACAAGACAAGGATGCCCTCTCTCACCACCCCTATGCAACTTAGTGTTGGAAGTTCTGGCTGGGGCAATCAGGCAAGAGAAAGAAATAAAGGGAATTCAATTAGCAAAAGAGGAAGTCAAACTGTCCCTGTTTGCAGATGACATGATTGTATATTTAGAAAACCCCATCATCTCAGCCCAAAATCTCCTTAAGCTGATAAGCAACTTCAGCGAAGTCTCAGGATACAAAATCAATGTGCAAAAATCACAAGCATTCTGATATACAAATAACAGACAAATAGAGAGCCAAATCATGAGTGAACTCTCATTCACAATTGCTACAAAGAGAATAAAATACCTAGGAATCCAACTTACAAGGGATGTGAAGGACCTCTTCAAGAAGAACTACAAACCATTGCTCAACGAAATAAAAGAGGACACAAACAAATGGAAGAACGTTCCATGCTTATGGATGGGAAGAATCAATATTGTGAAAACGGCCACACTGCCCAAGGTAATTTATAGATTCAATGCCATCCCCATCAAGCCACCAATGACTTTCTTCACAGAAATGGAAAAAACTACTTTAAAGTTCATATGGAACCAAAAAAGAGCCCACGTTGCCAAGACAATCCTAAGCCAACAGAAGAAAGCTGGAAGCATCACGCTACCTGACTTCAAACTATACTACAAGGCTACAGTAACCAAAACAGCATGGTACTGGTACCAAAACAGAGATATAGACCAAGAAATAGAACAGAGGCCTCAGAAATAACACCACACATCTACAACCATCTGGTCTTTGACAAACCTGACAAAAACAAGAAATGGGGAAAGGATTCCCTATTTAATAAATGGTGCTGGGAAAACTGGCTAGCCATATGTAGAAAGCTGAAACTGGATCCCTTCCTTACACCTTATACAAAAATTAATTCAAGATGGATTAAAGACTTAAATGTTAGACATAAAACCATAAAAACCCTAGAAGAAACCTAGGCAATACCATTCAGGACACAGGCATGGGCAAGGACTTCATGACTAAAACACCAAAAAGCAATGGCAACAAAAGCCAACATAGACAAATAGTATCTAATCAAACTAAAGAGCTTCGGCATGGCAAAAGAAACTACCATCAGAGTGAACAGGCAACCTACAGAATGGGAGAAAATTTTTGCAATCTACCCATCTGATAAAGTGCTAGTATCCAGAATCTACAAAGAACTTAAACAAGTTTACAAGAAAAAAACAAACAACCCCATCAAAAAGTGGGCGAAGGATATGAACAGACACTTCTCAAAAGAAGACATTTATGCAGCCAACAGACACATGAAAAAATGCTCATCATCACTGGTCATCAGAGAAATGCAAATCAAAACCACAGTGAGATATCATCTCACACCAGTTAGAATGGCAATTATTAAAAAGTCAGGAAACAACAGATGCTGGAGAGGATGTGGAGAAATAGGAATGCCTTTACACTTGGTGGGAGTGTAAATTAGTTCAACCATTGTGGAAGACAGTGTGGCGTTTCCTCAAGGATCTGGAACTAGAAATACCATTTGACCCAGCCATCCCATTACTGGGTATATACCCAAAGGATTATAAATCATTCTACTATAAAGACATGCACACGTATGTCTATTGCGGCACTATTCACAATAGCAAAGACTTGGAACCAACCCAAATGTCCATCATTGATAGGCTGGATTAAGAAAATGTGGCACATATATACCATGGAATACTATGTAGCCATGAAAAAGGATGAGTTCATGTCCTTTTCAGGGACATGGATGAAGCTGGAAACCATCATTCTCAGCAAACTATCACAATGACAGAAAACCAAATACCACATGTTCTCACTCATAGGTGGGAATTGAACAATGAGAACACTTGGACACAGGGTGGCGAACATCACACACCAGGGCCTGTTGGGGGGTGTGGGGGGTGGGGGATGGATAGCATTAGGAGAGATACCTAATGTAAATGATGAGTTGATGGGTGAAGCAAACCAACATGGCACATGTATACATATGTAACAAACCTGCACGCTGTGCGCATGTACCCTAGAACTTAAAGCATAATTTAAAAAAATGAAAATATGATACATAGGCAAGCAAAAAAGCAGTAAATACAAACAAATCTCAAAATTACCCAGATATGTCCAAACAAAGAATCTAAAGCAGCTTTTGTAAATATGTTAAAGAATTTTAAATATATATGTCCAAAGAATGACAGGAAATATGATCTCAAGGAGTGAATAGAGGAGTCTAGGCAGAGAAAATAACCAAATGAAAATTCTAGAACTAAAAAAAAATAAAAATGAACAATTTAGTGGACAGGTCTGAATAGCTGATTAGAGATGGCAGAAGAAAAGAGAACCTAAAACAGATCAGTAGAAATTATTTAATCTTAGAAAGGAAGAGTGGGGAAAATAATCAGGAAGATGAACTAAGATTTAGGAATAGGTAGGACAATACCAAATAGTCTTAACGTAAATGTAATTGGAATCCTAGAAAGAAAAGCGAGTGAGAATGGGCCAGAAAAAAATATTTGAAGGAATAACAGCTGAAAACTTTTCAAAACGATCAAACAGATCCAAGAAGTTTAGCAAACCCCAAGAAGAATAAATATAAAGAAAACCACACCCAGGCACATTGTAGTAAAACTGCAGCACATCCAAGATAAAGAGGAAATATTAAGGGCATCCAGAGGAAAGACACACATTACGTACAGTTGAACAAGGATAAGAATGATCATGGGCTTATGAGAAACAGTGGGGACTGAAAACCCCAATGGCATGGAATTTTTAAATCGCTGAAAGGAAAAACGAAAACAAAGCTGTTAACTCAGAACTCTACAACCAACAAAAATATTCTTCAAAAATGGGAAGAAAATAAAGGCACTTTCAGATAAATAAAAGCTGAGAAAATTAATCACCAGCAGACCTACACTATAAGAAATACAAAAAGTTGAAGATAACTGATACCAGATGGAAATTCAGATCTACAGTAAGAAAGAAAAAGAGCACTGGAAATGTTAAGTAAATTACTAAATATAAAGTAGTATGTTTTCTTTCTTAGAATTTCCTTAAAGACTACTATTTAAGGCAAAAGTGAAAACACTCTAAGGTTGGGGTTATGACATGTTAAAATAATGAATATGACAATAACCATACAAAGAAAGGGAGATGAGGCCAGGTGTTGTGGCTCATGCCTGTGATCCCAGCACTTTGGGAGGCAGAGCAGGGAGGATCATTTGAGCCCAGGAGTTTGAGACCAGCCTGGGCAATATAGTGAGACTTCATGTCTACTAAAAATAAAAATAAAAAATTAACTAGGTGTGGTGGCACATGACTGAGTCCCAGCTACTCAGGAGGCCGAGGCAGGAGGACTGCTTGAGCCCCAGAGTTTGAGGCTACAGTAAGCCATGATTGTGCCATTGCACTCCAGCCTGGGTGAGAGCAAGACCCTGTCTCAAAAAAATAAAAAGAAAATAAAAGAAAGAGGATGACTAAATTGAAATAAAATGTTGTAAGTTTACTACATTTGTCAAATGTTAAGTGTGAAATGTGGAGAGGTACAATACTGAGTATGAATAGATTCTAATGCATAGGGGCTGCATATTTTTAGCCCTTGAGCAATCAAGAAAATTAAATTAAAAAGGAAGATAAATGATAAACAGAGAGATAAGGGGGTATAACTAAAAGCCAATAGAAAAAATAAAATGGCACACTAAAAAATATTCAAATGCTCTGAAAAGAGCAGGAAAGAAACAACAGAGGAACAAAAAACAGAAGAGATAATGAGAAAAAAAAAAAGTTTGATACCTGGTGTTTAGTGGAATTCACTCAATAAATTCATTCATGCAATGAGAGGCTACTATACTGATGCCTGAAGGTATGTAAATGTTCATAAGCCTTGCCTCCTACTCTCAAAAACCTTACAATTATACATGCGACTATGCAACAAAATGGCATATGAAAAATACAAATAAAATTATAGTTATCACTGAGGACTTCCTATATACTGAAAATCCTACTAAATGCTTCACAAATAGTATTTACTTCTCACGATGATATAAAGAATTTTCATAATGTAGGTATCCTTGGCCCCACTTTGTAGATAAAGTTGGATGTAAGCTTCATGACAGCACAAACCATAAATATTATTTACCATTGTGTTACCAATGCCTTACAATTTGCACACATCTAATACAAGCTTAGTAAGAAGCTATAAAAAGAATAAGTGAATGGCAAAGGATATAATAATCTACTCAAAGTCATGCTGAGAACCAGAATTTGGAACCAGACAGACTTCGGTCCAAAGTCCTTGATACTAACAGTTAGGATCCCAAAAGGCAATAACTTGGGTGACAATACATCCAGTTTACACAGGATAGTTCCAGTTTATGATTATTGTCCCAATGTGACTACTAATAGTTCTCCCATTCATTCACCCTCAAAAAATGCCAAATTTGTATGATAAATGTTATGGTTTCTCTAGCTATAAGATTTCAGAGGAGATTCTTCCTATCCATGAGCATGGAATGTTTTTCCATTTGTTTATGTCATCTCTGATTTCTTTCAGCAGTGTTTTGTAATTCTCATTGGAGAGCTCTTTCACTTCACTGGTTAGCTATATTTCTAGATATGTTATTTTTTGTGGCTATTGTGAATAGGATTATGCTCTTGATTTGGCACTCAGCTTGGACATTATCGGTGTAGAGAAATGCTACTGATTTTTGTATCCAGAAACTTTGCTGAAGTTATCTAGGAGCTTTTGGGCAAAACTATGGGGTTTTCTAGGTAGTTTGACAGAGGTAGTTTGATTTTCTCTCTTCCTATTTGGATGCCTCTTATTTCTTTCTCTTCCCTTATTGCTCTGGCTAGGACTTCCAATACTATGTTAAATAGGAGCAGTGAGAGTGGGCATCCTTGTCTTGTTCCAGTTCTCAAGAGGAATACTCCCAGCTTTTGCCCATTCAGTGTGATGTTGGCTGTGGGTTTTGTTGTGGATGGCTTACTATTTTGAGGTATGTCCTTCAATGCCTAGTTTTTTGAAGGTTTTTAACATGAAGGTTGCTGAATTTTATCAAAAGCCTTTTCTGCATCTATTGAGATGATCATGTGTTTTTTGTTTTTATTCCGTTCATGTGGTGAATCACATTTATTGATTTGCATATGTTGAAATCAGTCTTGCATCCTAGGGATAAAGCCTGCTCAATGGTGGTGGATTAGTTTTTTTTTTTTTGTTTTTTTTTTTAAACAATTTTATAACTTTATTTGGTATATTTGATGATTAGCAGTTAGTTCACATTCACACCGACTGTAGATTTTTTTAAAGTGGTAACAGGTACGTAGGCAACCAAAGTATAGAGCTTGTTTGGTAAATCTTTATCTTCATTACATTTTCTGGACAACCGAACATGGATACAGTATGAGACGTTGCTTATTCCTTTGGCCCAGACAGCTTTGTTGAGCCTGGTATCAAAGTGTGCATCTGGAGTTCCCATCTCCTTCAGGGCAAGTTTCCGGAGCTCTTTGAGTGCCTGAGGGGCACGCTTCTTGAAGCCCACTCCATGAATGCACTTATGAATGTTGATGGGATATTCTCGGGTCACCATCTCGTTGATGGCGAATGACCCTTCTTCTTCTCATCACCCTTCTTTGCAGGAGCCATTCTGCCGGGCCCAAGTTGGAAAGGAAACTGGCCACTATTCTTACATCATAATCAGTAGTAAAGCTAGTCTCATCTTCCACTACTTCCCCTCTTCCTCCCTCTACTCCAGCCCCTTGGCCTTGCTTCTTTCCCTGAGGGCCTCGACCCTAGCTTTCCCTTCTGCCTCGCATGCCATTCCCCCAGATATCCTTCTGCTTGACTAATTTCCTTGTCTCCTGCAAGTTCTTAGCTCAAACCTTTCTTTTTTGTTTGTGTTTTGTTTTTTTTTGTTTGTTTTTTTTTTTTATTGATCATTCTTGGGTGTTTCTCGCAGAGGGGGATTTGGCAGGGTCATAGGACAATAGTGGAGGGAAGGTCAGCAGATAAACAAGTGAACAAAGGTCTCTGGTTTTCCTAGGCAGAGGTCCCTGCGGCCTTCCGCAGTGTTTGCGTCCCTGGGTACTTGAGATTAGGGAGTGGTGATGACTCTTAACGAGCATGCCGCCTTCAAGCATCTGTTTAACAAAGCACATCTTGCACCGCCCTTAATCCATTTAACCCTGAGTGGACACAGCACATGTTTCAGAGAGCACAGGGTTGGGGGTAAGGTCACAGATCAACAGGATCCCAAGGCAGAAGAATTTTTCTTAGTACAGAACAAAATGAAAAGTCTCCCATGTCTACCTCTTTCTACACAGACACAGCAACCATCCGATTTCTCAATCTTTTCCCCACCTTTCCCCCCTTTCTATTCCACAAAACCGCCATTGTCATCATGGCCCGTTCTCAATGAGCTGTTGGGTACACCTCCCAGATGGGGTGGTGGCCGGGCAGAGGGGCTCCTCACTTCCCAGTAGGGGCGGCCGGGCAGAGGCACCCCTCCCTCCCGGATGGGGTGGCTGGCCGGGCGGGGGGCTGACCCCCCCACCTCCCTCCCAGACAGGGTGGCTGCTGGGCGGAGACGCTCCTCACTTCCCAGACGGGGTGGCTGCCAGGCGGAGGGGCTCCTCACTTCTCAGACGGGGCAGCTGCCGGGCGGAGGGGCTCCTCACTTCTCAGACGGGGCGGTTGCCAGGCAGAGGGTCTCCTCACTTCTCAGATGGGGCGGCCGGGCAGAGACGCTCCTCACCTCCCAGACGGGTTCGCGGCCGGGTAGAGGCGCTCCTCACATCCCAGACGGGGCGGCGGGGCAGAGGCTCTCCCCACATCTCAGACGATGGGCGGCCGGGCAGAGACGCTCCTCACTTCCTAGATGGGATGGAGGTCGGGAAGAGGCGCTCCTCACTTCCTAGATGGGATGGCGGCCGGGCAGAGACGCTCCTCACTTTCCAGAGTGGGCAGCCAGGCAGAGGGGCTCCTCACGTCCCAGACGATGGGCGGCCAGGCAGAGACGCTCCTCACTTCCCAGACGGGGTGGCAGCCGGGCAGAGGCTGCAATCTCGACACTTTGGGAGGCCAAGGCAGGCGGCTGGGAGGTGGAGGTTGTAGCGAGCCGAGATCACACCGCTGCACTCCAGCCTGGGCACCACTGAGCACTGAGTGAACCAGACTCCATCTGCAATCCCAGCACCTCGGGAGGCCGAGGCTGGCAGATCACTCGCGGTTAGGAGCTGGAGACCAGCCCGGCCAACACAGCGAAACCCCGTCTCCACCAAAAAAATACGAAAACCTGTCAGGTGTGGCGGCGCAGGCCTGCAATCGCAGGCACTCGCAGGCTGAGGCAGGAGAATCAGGCAGGGAGGTTGCAGTGAGCCGAGGTGGCAGCAGTACAGTCCAGCTTCAGCTCGGCATCAGAGGGAGACCGTGGAAAGAGAGGGAGACGGAGACCGTGGGGAGAAGGAGAGGGAGAGGGAGAGGGAGAGGGGATTAGTTTTTTTTATGTGCTGCTGGATTCAGTTTGCTAGTATTTTGTTAAGGATTTTTGCATCTATGTTCATCAAGGATATTGGTCTGAAGTTTTTACGTTGTTGTTATGTCTTTGCTTTGTCTTTGCCAGGATGATGCTGGCCTCATAGAATGAGTTAGGGAAGAGTTCCTCCTCCTCAATTTTTTGGAATAGTTTCAGTAGGAATGGTACCAGCTCTACTTTATATGTCTGGTAGAATTTTGCTGTGAATCTGTGTGGTCCAAGGCTTTTTCTGGCTGGTAGCCTTTTTATTACTGATTCAATTTTGGAACTTGCTATTGGTCTGATCAGGGTTTAAATTTCTTCCTGGTTCAGTCTCGAGAGGTTGAATGTTTTCAGGAATTTATCAATTTACATATGCAATGCTATTCCTGTCAAATGAACAATGATATTCTTTACAGAACTAGAAAAAACTATTCTAAAATTCATATGCAACCCAAAAAGAGCCCAAATGGCCAAAGCAATTCTAAGCAAAAAAGAATAAAGCTGGAGGAATCACATCACTTAACTTCAAACTATACTTCAATGCTACAGTAACCAAGACAGCATGGTATAGGTACAAAAATAGATACATAGACCACTGGAACAGAATAGGGAGCCCAGATATAAACCCACACACTTACAACCATCTGATCTTCAACAAAGTTGACAAAAACAAGCAATGGGGAAAGGACTCCCTATTCGATAAATGGTTCTGGGACAACTGGCTAATCATATGCCAAAGACTGAAACTGGACAGCTTCCTTAGATCATATACAAAAATCAACTCAAGATGGATTAGACACTTAAATGTAAAATGTAAAATTATAAAAACCATTGAAGAAAACCTAGGAAATACCATTCTAAACATAGGCCCTGGCAAAGATTTTATGATGAATATGCCAAAAGCAATTGCAACAAAAACAAAAATTGACAAGTGGGACCTAATTAAACTAAAGAGCTTCTGCACAGCAAAGGAAACTATCAACAAAGTAAATAGACAACCTACAGGATGGGAGAAAATATTTACAAATTGTGCATCTGGCAAAGGTTTAATATCCAGAATCTATAAGGAACTTAGACAAATTGACAAGCAAAAAAACAAACAAGCCCATTAAAAAGTGGGCAAAGACACTTTTCAAAATAAGACATTTACACGGCCAACAAGCATATGAAAAAATACTCATCATCACTAATCATTAGGGAAATGCAAATCAAAACCACAATGAGATATCATCTCACACCAGTCAGAATGGCTATTATTAAGAAGTCAAAAAGTAACAGTTGTTGGTGATACTGCAAAGAAAAGGGAATATTTATACACTGCTAGTGGGAATGTAAATTAGTCCAGCCACTGTGGAAAGCAGTTTGGCAATTTCTCGAAGAACTTAAAACAGAACCACCATTTGACCCAGCAGTCCTATTATTGGGTATGTACCCAAAGGAATATAAATCATTCTACCATAATGATACACACATGCATATGTTCATTGCAGCTCTATTCACAATAACAAAGACAAGGTATCAACCAAAATGGTCAACAACATTAGACTGAATAAAGAAAATGTGGTACATATACATTATGGAATACTATGCAACCATAAAAAAGAATGAGATCATGTCCTTTGCAGCAACATGTATGCGGCTGGAGGCCATTATCCTAAGAGAACTAACACAGGAACAGAAAACCAAATACTGCATGTTCTCATTTATAATTGGGAGCTAAACATTGAGTTACATGGACACAACGAAGAGAAGGACAGACAGCGGGGCCTATTTGAGGGTGGAGGGTAGGAGGAAGGTGATGATCAGAAGACTACATATTGGGTACTATGCTCATTACCTGGGTGACGAAATAATATGTACACCAAACCCCCAAAACACACCATTTATCTATTAGAGCAAACTTAAACATGTGCCCCTGAAACTAATATTTAAAAAAAAAAGATTTCAGAGGAGAAAGCTCTCTTTGATTGACATGATCAGGAATCTTCATTTAAGAGATGACACTTGAATTCAGCTTTTTAAAAAATAAATAGGATTTGCTATGCAGACAAGAGGTTAAGGCTTAAAAATTGAAAAGAGTTCTGTAACTTTAAGAAAACATGACATGAATTTATAAATGGTTGTAAGATTCGGCACTGTAAGAAATCTTTAAATAAAAATTATTGTTCACAGACTTTCATAAGTGATGGGGATTGAAAGCTTTCTAAATTATCAGAAACCAAAGGCTGATAACAAAGACTACTGTGTAACACATCTCACTGGGCTGAGGGGAAGACACCAGAACATGTCTCTTTTTTTTTTAATATTTGTGTGTTTTAAAAGGCAGAGTCAGTAGCATGAATTGTATAGATTACTCTAATTTTAAAGGCAAAAGTAAGAAAGATTTAATGGATTTAAATGGACACAAAAAGAGGTAACATTAACCAAAGTGGTTTTCAATTAGTCGGACACAACTTAGTTTTACTTGTTAAATACAATTTGTAATTCAGATATTATGCAGAAAACAAAGCTCATAGGCATCCTAATGGTTTTTAGTTGTAGAATCTGAATCCATTCCTAAATCTCTCTGATTCCATCTCTCACTCAAACCTCCAGATTTCAATGCACCAACAATGATGAGTTTGAATGGAAAAAATCAAGGTACAAAAAGAAAGGCCAGGGCTTTCCTCTCTCTCCCTTGCTCTCAGGGATGGGTCTGTATGTCAAATTAAGAGTATTGAACCCTGCAAAGAAAATGCTGATGGAGATACAGAAATGAAAAAGGGAGTTAGAGATTAACTGCTTGGAAAAAATAATGATTTATAAATATGTTCAGAGTATACTTTGTCAAGAGCACTGACTTATGGCATGAAATTAAAGGGAAGTAAACATGGGTCAAGAAACTGGAAGGACAATTATGAGATGTGTTTGCCATTAGCCTGTAAACTTCTATAACAGAATTGTTGTCTAAGAGATACAAAAGTAGTTCCTTTATGTCTGCAATGTAAAACCGAACTTGAAAAACTATCTAAGAATATTCAGTACAGATGGTTCCTTTTGAATGATGGGAATTACTAGAACAATGTGTTATGCATTTTTCAACTCTGATTACTAAATCTCTATCCTGAATTTCTTTGGCACAAAAAGCATTTTAAATCAAACAACTAGAGCATATATTTAAATTGTTTAAATCTTCCCTTTTTCTAAAGTACCTGCTTGATAGACACAACTTAACATATAACTTAAATGTTTAAATTTCCAGAGAATCTTTAAGATGTTTTAGAAAGTTCACAGCTTTTCATTTGTTTGGCTTTTTTATTTTTACTCCTAACAAAAAGTTTAGGTTTACATTTGGAAGCTTTATGACAATTGGTGTTAGTTATGAAGATGATTGTCTCTTGACTCTCTTTGCTTAGAAGTCTATGGAGCATGTAGCTTTCAAGATTTTTTTTTGAAACTGAAGCCCAATATTTTATTTCTAATTGGGGAATACCTCTTTCTATTTGCAACTTGAATAAATGAGAGAATTATTTAGGACGTGAAGATTAATGAAGATTCAAGAAGATGAATGTCTCTTGACTCTCTTTGCTTAGAAGTCTATGGAGTATGTAGCTTTCAAGATTTTTTTTTAGAAATTAAAGTCCAATATTTTATTGCAAATTGGGAAATACCTCTTTCTATTTGCAACCTGAATAAATGAGAGAATCATTTAGGACAAGTTGAGTGTTCTTCCATTGCAGACTTTCTTAAGCTAACATTTATTAAACAGAACAAAAAAGACAGATCTTTAATTTTTCAGAGCCTCCAGGGCTGGTTTATAGGTTTCAGGACAATTCAGCTAAGAAGCCTACCAAGGCTAGTAGGGAAAAGGAACACAGCAGAAATGATTGCTATGTAAACAAAAGTTCAGAGTAGATAATGAAACTCTGGAGAAGCCTGCCAGAGAAGCTTTTCAGGTAGCATTTCTTTAGGTAGGCAAATTCATCTGAATTTATCAAAGTGCTGAATATTGATAATTTGTGAATTAGTTTTCTGGTTCTGCTGTTAAAAAATCTTTTGGGGAATGACAACAATCATCCATTGATCCCAAGTAGTACCAATTTATTAGGAACAAGAAATGTGGCCATATTATTTGTTCTGAAATTACTAATAGTGTCTTATATGAAACCAATAGCCCAGAAACAAAGTCAAAAATCAGTTAGACTGTACAGCAAGTTTCTAATATTAATCCTCAATAAAGATTTTTAGAAATCCACCAGCTTTCATTTATTTCCCTGAGCTCTCCTTTGAATGTTTTCAAGACATTCAAATTTTCTCCTACACAAAATCCTATGCTTTCAATACAAGAGCACTGTATTTGTATTTAAAAATTAATAGTAAGCCAAAACAACTCATGATGTGTTCCAAGTAGAGTTCAAAGTAGATTAAGATCAAGAATTCATTTAATCTAGCTTGAGCTTCAAACAGAAAATACTCATCCCTTCCACACCCTTTAGAATTGAAGTATGATTGCCCACTGCCTAAGCTACTTGCAGGTGGCAACCATTATTCATACATGTTTAGAAGCAGTAGGAGTCTTCTCAGGCCACTAGGATGCATTCGGTTCACTGAAGCATACTGAACACTACCCACAGAACTTATGCTGTTTTTAGAAGCATGAAATTAGGCTCAATGAAGTAATGGGCTAAATAACGGGAAAATTCAGCACTGTTTTTAAGTGCTGATATTTGACACTTTTCTGCAAGGAATCTCTGCTAATTATCCCTTTACCTAAAGGGAGCAGGCAACTGGCAGAAAAAATATTATGAACATTGTACAGAGAATAGACTATAGTCATGTTTTAAAAACAAAATTCATAGGTTTGGAGCTAGAGGTCTTGAGTTCACACATATTCTGACTCGACCACTCTAGATGTGTGACCTCAACACAATCACTTTTTCTCCCCCACACAATCACTTTTTCTCCCCCACATCATTTCCTCATCTTCAACAGAATATCTACTCTATCTGGTTGTTGTGATAGTTGAACATATGTGAACCTATTTCAAACTGTTGCTTGGCTCTTTGGAAGGTACTCAATAAACACTGGTTGGGCACAAGCTTTGGAATCAGACAAATCTAAGTTTAAATCCCAATTCCATTTATTAACTGGTTGTTTTGGGCAGGCTATTTGACCGGTCTCTAAGTCTAAGTTTATTCATCTGTAAGGTACAATGAAATTACTACCCTTCAGGCTCACTATGAGGATGAGACAATATATAATGTACTGAGCAAAGTGCCTTATACAAAGTATTAAATAAATAAAGCCTATTGTTTCACATTTGACTCTACAGCACAAGAAAAGCTAAGTGGCCAGCTTGTGGTTTCATTGAAAGTTAGTGGTGGGTATCCTCTCCTATCTTTGGACTCCAAGGTTCTCTCTGTTTCCCAATAACCTACTGGTAGACTTTTCCACTGCAATTTGCATGGCAGGCCTTGAATAGTCTTAATACACTTGGGCTTTGTCTTATTTTACTTTATGTTTATATTAATACCCTTTCTTTGAACATAAATTCAGAAAGAATATGTAAATTGAGGATATTCTTTAGATCTTTGAATCCATTATGGAAATTCAGTTGCCAGTGCTTCCATGGTGAAAGTCTTTCTTTCTAGCTTCAGAAGCATCCAGATAAACAAATTAATAAAAGCTTATGTTTCCATATCAATCCTGCTGTAGACATTTTATGTCTGGCCATAGAAGCTATGATGAATTTTTATTTCTACTTTCCTTCATTAGAACAACTTTTGCAAAAGAAGACTGACTTTGTCTTAAGGAAAAAAGTCATAAACCAGCCTCATTAAGAAGCCATCTCTTTTGTGATTGACAGCAGGCAAATGCAGGACAGTGGGCACTATCTGAGAATGGAGTGAAGTGACCCTTGGTGAGGGCTGGAATATGCCCTATAAATTTAACAGATTTTAAAAAGCCTTTAGATAGCATTCGTCTGTTCTGACATGTCAGATAATTCATAGTGGAGAGAAATCATTTTAATGCAATTATTACGGGAAAGCCATTAACCAAATGCTAACCATGTTCTGCATTAGGGAATTTACACTTGCAAGTAATAATAGGGATCAAACAAGGGAGGGAGAGTAAAACTAGAGCACACAGATGAGAAAGAAGCAGGGAGAAGTACTTGGAAATGCCTTTCCTGTTAACCTCATGTAAAAGAGCAGCTCTCCTATCTTCACCATCTAAACCCTTACTCTGCTTTATTCTTCTGTGTGGTACTATTACCACTTGATATTTATATTTTTAGCTAATTTATTTTTTGTATGCTTCCCCCTTTAAAATGTAAGCTCTATGAGGGTAGAATATTGTGTGTATTTTGTTCATTGACTGTACCCCTTGTGTCTAGTACTGAGCCTGGCATATACATGCTTCAATACGTGTGTTCATCAACAGAAGAGAGGCCATTACCTGAGTAACCCAAGTCAGTCTACACAGACCTGGAAATTAGGACGTCTATTCAGGGCCTTGAAAGATGTCAGAAAAAATGAGCAATTTTTTTTTTGACAGTCATTACTTTCTCATAATTGTAGAGGTTGAAGAATGGTTAAAAGTGAGAAGAGGAAATAAACATATTAATAGGAGGAAGGTGCTTGATTGTACTCCTGACAAAAGAAACATGAATTAAAATTAAAACAAAGTAGCATTTTTTTTCCTATGAGATTAGCACCTGTGTTGGTAGGGTGGTAAGAAAAGCAGTCATTCCCAGACAATCTTCTGGAAAGGAAGATTGGTAAATTTGGTAACTGCTTTTATCTAATAATTCTACCCTTAAGATTTTGTCCTACGGATATACTTGCACAAGCATGCACTGTTGGAGATAGGAAAAGGTTGAGACAACCTAAATGTCCACCAGGAAGGAACTGGCTATGTACATGATATGACATATAAGTAGAACACCGTGTGGCCTTTAAAAAGAACAATGCGTCCCCGATACAATATTTCACCTCTCCAGAAGTTCCCAGTTGATAACCACCAAACATTTGTTTAAATTCCCAAAATACCTTATGGCTTAATTAGGGACCATTGTTTTCACACCAATATCAAAGCTCTTATAACTGCGGAAATACATGTTTTTTACAGGATAATAGACATCCCAGAAAATTGATACAAATGGACTGTGGATAATGAATATAAACTTCATTCCATCCTTAATAATTTTAAATTTAGCTTGATATTCATTCTAGATCCACCTCAAGATATATCTTCTCCATGAAGCTATCCTCCTACACCTCAGTGAGTACTGCATGACAAGCACCCACAATGACTCAGTCTCTGGAAGTCATATAGGAACAATTCATTCTATCCCAAATGGCATCAGAGTTTTGTATTGTCAGGTAAATTGATGCCTAAGAATTGTTGGAAATTATCTGCTATATGAAACCTTCTTTCATCCATAAGTTAAATAAGAAATATGGCCACAACATCCATGTAGATGTTTGAGTGAGAAACTGAGACATCATATCAAATTGCTTTCTTTCTTTTCCCTAACATTTCTTCAGCAAATCCTGTCCATTCTACTTTCAAAATAAATCTCAATTCCACCCACCTCTCTCCATCTCCACTGTTGCCAGTTGAGCCCCGGCCATGCAGTCTCTCACCTACAAGAGTGCCCAACTGTTTTCTCTGCTTTCACTCATCTTCCCACTCTCTGTCTTCCATCCATCCTGGGTGCAATTTTAAAAGTAAAGTATTATCTTTTTATTCCCCAGCTTAAAACCCTTCAAAGGCTTTCCATTGTTTAAAAAAAAAAACAAAAAAAAAAAACCCTAAACTGCATAACTTGGCCTGAAAGTTCCAGTGACCTATCCTATCTCTCTCCAACTCTCTAACTTCAACCCATGGTACTTTCTCCCTCCTTCACTTCACTACAGCATTGATGATCTGTGAGTTTCTAAATGTGCCAAGCTCTTTCCTACTTCAGAGTCTTTGCGAGGTAACAGCCAGAGCCCAGTTAGCAGCAAGCTAACGACAAAAACGTCTTAGTGGGGGATGAGTGAGAGGTACTAATTCTATACTTATGCATCCAAAACAATACTCTTGTCATTTTTGACTAGTTTGATAATGATGATTTCTTATCCAAAACCTACACCCTTCCTTCTATATTCATTCAACAAATACCTATTACATTTATGTTTGGAGAACTTTCCTTGTTACTTTAGAATACAAAAAAAATAAACACAAACCCTGTTTTCAAGGAGTTTACAGTCCATCAGGCAACACAAGATTTCTTCGTGTGTAATTAAACTAAGCCAACATGAATCAAGTAAACAGGAAAAGTATAAGATAGGCTGTGAAATTTCAGAAACATAAACAATCCTGGTATGATAGGTGAAGGATCGTGGAGGAAGTCTATTTGAGGTTCATTTGAAGAACTGATAGAATTTCTAAAGACACAGGAGAGATAGGGCGTAGAAAAGGGTATTACAGGCAGAGGAAGCAAAAGATAGATATTGAAATGCATATATATTGAAAAATGCACAATGTGTTTAGAAATAGTGAGTAAAGAGAAGGTTGGATTTGAGACAAAATATGAAAGCCCACAAATAGCAGACTAATAATAATAGCATAAATTCATTGACTGTTTACTATGTGCAGGATAATCATTTAATTATTACAACAACCCTATAAGGCAGCACTATGATTATCCCCATTTTTCACCGAGGCAACTAAAGCACAAAGGAGTTGAATAATTTTTCCAAGGTTACAAAACTAGGAAGTAGTGGGACCAGGATCAAAATCCTGGCAGTCTAGCTTCAGAGTACATGTTAAACATGTAGGAAATTAACCATTATCACATAGAAATCAAGATTCATTGAAGATCTTTGAGCAAGAATGTGGCATAATTGGACCTTTGATGACTTATTCTGGTTGCGATGTAAAGAATATCCTAGAGAAGAAACAACTAAAGCCAGGAAAAGCATCTTTATGGAACCAAAAAAGAGCCTGTATAGCCAAGACAATCCTAAGCAAAAAGAACAAACTGGAGGCATCACGCTACCTGACTTCAAACTATACTACAAGGCTACAGTAACCAAAATAGCACGGTACTGGCACCAAAACAGATATATAGACCAATGGAACAGAACAGAGGCTCAGAAATAACACCACACATCTACAACCATCTGATCTTTGACAAACCTGACAAAAACAAGCAATGGGGAAAGGATTCCCTATTTAATAAATGGTGTTGGGAAAACTGGCTAGCCATAAGCAGAAAACTGAAACTGGACCCCTTCCTTACCCCTTATCAAAAATTAATTCAAAATGGATTGAAGACCTACACGTAAGACCTAAAACCATAAAAAGCCTAGAAGAAAACCTAGGCAATACCATTGAGGATATAGGCATGGGCAAAGATTTCATGACTAAAACACCAAAAGCAATGGCAACAAAAGCCAAAATAGACAAATGGGATCTAATTAAACTAAAGAGCTTCTGCACAGCAAAAGAAACTATCATCAGAGTGAACAGGCACCCTACAGAGTGGGAGAAAATTTTTGCAATCTATCCATCTGACAAAGGACTAATATTCAGAATCTACAAGGAACTTAAACAAATTTACAAGAAAGAAACCAAACAACCCCATCAAAAAGAGGGTGAAGAATATGAACAGACACTTCTCAAAAGAAGACATTTATGCCCCCTGCAAACGTATGAAAAAAAAGCTCATCATCACTGGTCATTAGAGAAACGCAAATCAAAACCACAATGAGATACCATCTCATGCCAATTAGAATAGCAATCATTAAAAAGTCAGGAAACAGCAGATGCTGGAGAGGATGTGGAGAAATAGGAATGCTTTTACACTGTTGGTGGGAGTGTAAATTAGTTCAATCATTGTGGAAGACAGTGTGGTGATCCCTCAAGGATCTAGAACCAGATACACCATTTGACCCAGCATTCCTATTACTGGGTATATACCCAAAGGACTATAAATCATGCTGCTATAAAGACACATGCACGCGTATGTTTATTGTGGCACTGTTCACAATAGCAAAGACTTGGAACCAACCCAAATGCCCATCAATGATAGACTGGATAAAGAAAATGTGGCACATATATACCATGGAATACTATGCGGTCATAAAAAAGGATGAGTTCATGTCCTTTTCAGGGACACGGATGAAGCTGGACACCATCATTCTCAACAAACTAACATAAGAACAGAAAACCAAACACCACGTGTTTTCACTCATAAGTGGGAGTTGAACGATGAGAACACATGGACACAGGGAGGGGACCATCACACACCAGGGCCTGTCAGGGGGTGGGGGGACTAGGGGAGGGATAGAGGAAATACCTAATGTAGATGACGGTTGATAGGTGCAGCAAACCACCACAACACGTGTATACCTATGTAACAAACCTGCACGTTCTGCACATGTATCCCAGAAATTAAAGTATAATAATAAAATAATAAATAAATAGCCAATACAATATTAAAGGCCAAAAGTAAGGGTTTAGATAAGCACTATAAAAGTGGGAATGTAAAGCAAAGCCTGGGTAACAGTAGAAATCAGAGAACATTGAAATGGTTGGCTATGAGAGAAGAATCAGCAAACAACTCATTCTTAGGTCTCAAGTTTGGGTGGATAGAAAAATGGTTGCATCATTAATGTAAATATTTCAAATTAAACATTTATTTGAAAGAAAATATAGGTGGAATTTTGTTTTAAATTATACGGAATTTCTATTAATGTTGAAGCTTTTGTGGGGCAGATGGTAGAGCTTTCCAGAAACAGTAGATCTGAACATAGGAAAGAGGCCTGACTTGAAGGTTAGGGTTGGGGTGTCATCCCTGCAGACATGGTGCAACTTAATATCCACTCTCAGGACATCAGAAAGAGGACCACGGAAGAAACAGAAAATAAAACAGAAAGATACGAGCAAATAGACAGTTGAGTGTGATAGACATTAAGAAAGAGCCCATTCAAAATAAAGGGGAATTTTAATGGTTTCAAGTGTTATCAAGAGGTGAAGAAAAATGAAAACTGAGAAATTGACTTTTTAATAATTTGGAGACTGAGAGAAGAAACCAGGTAATAAAGATTTCCAGACCTCAGTGTATGAAGAAAAGGTGTAGATAGTGGTCATAGGTCATTCAAGAAGTTTGGAGGTAAAAAGAAAAGTGAACGTTAAGGTATTCAACTAGTAAAGTCAAGCAAAATTTTTGTTTATTGAGCTGTTTCAAGGATGGAGATTCTAATGATGTCTGCAAACAAAGAAAGAGGTAAATGGACAATGAGAGATTAAAAGTTAAAAAGTTGCTTAGGCAATATTTAAGAAGAAGAGAAAGCACACTTAAATGAGGAGGTTCTTTTTCCCCAGGGTAGAGAAAAGAATGCTGATGTAGAAGAATTTGAGGAGTGAAATTGAGCGGCTTATGTCAGATGAACTTAACATTCTCAAAAAAACAAGGTTCATTTGCCCAGAGTAAGACAGTGGGTGACACCACAGGTAATGCGATAAAGAATCCAAGAAGTAAACAAAGCAAGTAATAATAAGAACTAGCTAAAATTAGGCAGTATGAACAGAGGGAACCAAGTAAAACAGTGATGCTACTTTCTCCAGCAAAATTAGCATTGCCATCTCAGAGAGCTGAGAAAGTAGACATGACAGTTAGCTGGCTGTCATACCCCCAGCTACACACTCAGCATTCAATTACTCACAAAATATTTACTCAACATCCACTGGGTGCTAGAATCATGAAAACAATGGCTACACATCAATGTGGACAGCTTTGGTCCAAAACATGGCATATCCCACCTCACCCACCCTACCCACCCACTCACCCAAAGCCATGCTTTCATTACTTGTGATTACTGATAACTCTTGGTGACCAACTCATAATTAGGTATGTGTTAGGACTCTGGTAGCTCAGGAAATAGGTCCTCCATGTTATAAACACCCCAGGAAATTTAGAAAAGTATTTGGTGAAAAGCGCCTTCATTTAAGGATCCTAGAACTTCAAATGTGGTTTCTTAATAAATGGTGATATTTCAAAGTTGACATTATGGCTTCACCCATTCTGTCCTTACTTCTGTTAAACTCAAAGCTGGTCCCTTCACCTCTAACAGCATGCTGTTTTTTTCTTATGCAGTTACTTCACACAAGCCCCTGCCAGTGATTTCACCAGGGCTATGTCCTGCCATACATTCATTGTTTGCATCCATTCTTCTGTTCATCAAGCATTCACTGAGTGCCTATGCTATGCCAGGCAGTGGGCTCTGTGGTTACAAAAACACAGTCCTTATTCCCAAAGATATTATAGTACCAGTAGAGGAGGAAGAGTAGAAGAGTCACGGTAAAATACAGATTAAGTACAGTGGTTAAAAATAAAGGAGAGAGATCAGCATTGCTTAAGGGGATCAGACAAAGTTTCATAGAGGAGGAGGCTCTTTGATTGTTGTTTGAAGGACAAGGAACCATTTTCCAGATGGGCGAGGTATGTGTGGGAGAACACTTTGGCAGAAGGAATAACATGTAAAAAGGCACTGGGGTGTGAAACAGCAGACTGGATAGACAATTGCAAGCAGTCCAGGAGGGGAAGGGTGGGGATGTGGAAGAGTGGTCAGGGAGAGGGCAGGCAGGTAAGAAAGAAATGTCAACCAGGGGAGGACCTGCTACTGACAAGCCGTTCTGGGGGGTCTGACTTTCTTCCTGTGGCACAGAGGTTATTAATGCTTTGGAGTCATGGCTCTTTCAAAATCTATGATGCTATCAATCCTCTACTCAGAAAAAAAAAAAAAAAATCACCGAAATGGTGTCTACAAACACTCTGAAGTTCAGAAATTGCTTGGACTTCAGGTTAAAATCTTGTTATAGGCAAAGGGCTCATTTTTAGTTGATAAAAATAGCTGGAAGTATGTATACACAACAAGCAGGGCGTAACGTGATCCAATTTGTGTTTTAGAACAACAATTCAGCCAACTTTGTTGTGAATGGATTAGAAGCAAGTGAGACCAATGGTAGAATGAGCAATTAAGACATTATGACGACCATCTGGTCAGGAGATGATGAAAGAAACTGCCAAGAAATGTTTGAAAAAGATAAGAATGATTCAAGCTATCAGATGTTTAACTGCATTACAGTAATTAAAACAATGTTATGCTGTCCAACAAAAAGAGAAATCAATGAATTATATTAAAAAACTAGATCCAAAATTTTATATTATGTTTTTTCAAGGTAAAACTTAAAAAGCAAAGGATAGATTATTCAACAAATCATTATTCCACTGGCAAGTGGAAAACTATCTGAGAAAAATATAAAGTTAAATTCTTGCACTCCTATACAACAAAATAAATTCCAGATGGATTAAGATTTGCATGTAAAATAAAGAAACTGGAAGAAAATGTAGGAAAAGTGTGTGTGATCTTGGGATGATGAAGTCATTTCTAAACTAACTCCAAAGGCAGAAACTTTAAAAGGAAAACATCAAAGACTCAACCACTGCCCAGGGGCTGGGGAAGGGGGAAATGGGGATTTGCTATTCAGAGGGTATAAAGTTCCAGTTATGTAAAATGATTAAGTCCTAGAGATTTGCTGGGCAACATTATGCCCATAGTTAATAATACTGTATTATAGACATAAACACATTTTAAAGGGCAAGTCTCATGTTAAATGTTCTTACCACAATTAAAAAAGACTCAATCACATGCACAAAAACTTCTCATGTAAAAATATACCCAAGGGAAAAAGTCAAAAAGTGACTAAGAAACTTGGAAAAAAATATTTACATTATAAACAACCTATAGACACATGGATTACTATCTGTACTATATAAAAATTGTCAGTAAAATTAATTGGAAAATAAGCATCTCAAAAGAAAAATAAGTAAGGAACATTGATAGGCAATTTGCAAAGGATAAAACTACCCAACCTCACTAGTGACTTAACAAACACAGAAAAACCACAGTGAAATGCCATTTTCCCCATATCAGATTGGCAACATTTTTAGAAAACAACACTACTTAAGATACGGGAAAATGTGCCCTCTCATGCACTGCTGGTAGGAGAATAAACTGAAGGGGAAAAAAACTTTCTGGAGAGCAATTTGGCCAAAAAAATCAAACCTTTATGAATAACTATACTCCTTAACATACAAGCTCTGCATCCTAAGGAAATAATCCTGATTTAACTACCAGGAGATACACAATAATTTTTACAGTAGCAAAATATTTTAAATTTCATTGGCTAAGTTAATGTTATTTAACCATTAAAAAACTATAAAAAATTATCTTGGAGAAAAGTGTTTAAAAGGCATGGATAGATGTTCACACTAGTTCGTTAAATGGGGGGGAAAACAGACTTCAAAATCATATTATCATATACTAGCCTGAGACAACACCACTACCACCCCATACTACCTACCATAGCTAGACAAGAAATTCTAGGTTGGTTGAGATATTAATTTGAAGTACAAGTCAGTTGCATTGATACAACAAATGATACCAATATCGTTAGCAGTAACAGAAGTAACAAAGGGAAAAAATACACAACACCGAAAGCAGCAGGCTGATTCACAGTGATGTGTTAATAAGAGAATTCAGATGGAGAGCTAAGTTTCTATAATCCCTTCATTAGTCTAATGTAACACCTCTGGTATAGCACAATGGACCTTGGTATGCCTGCTCATACTGGCCTCTTCAACCTAATTCTGCGCCTGCCCCCTGCCAAGCTTTGGCCCAGAAATTAGAGAGGAAAACTACAGGTAGTTAGACCTGAAAATGTTGAAGGGACAGAAAAAGAGATTTGTGGGGGGCGCTGGAGGCCTCAGCACTGCCCTGGGGGCCTTGGCAAATTCTCCAGGAATGATAAAGATTGAAACAAGAAGGAAAACCCTACCTCAGATGGACGGCCTGATGGCAATGTGGTGATTGTTCTGGTGTCACTTCAGCACAGGAGCACTTGCACACCATACCGTGGCCTCCAGCTCTCTAACATGTGCTGATTGCTAGGAATCAAAGTTTGTATGGAGCAGGGCAAGTGGCATGTTCTCATCCATTGCCAATATAACATTTTCATTTCAAATGGTCCATATGGGGCCTCTGAAAATCTACAACTATCATCATATGGATAAATTTATCAATCAATAAAACCATATCACATGCTTCAGAATAGCATCTCAAGCAACTTACATTTTATTCTGAGATATGTCAGCATAGGGATTACAGCCTATAGTAGTTAAGCATAATTTGCAACGGAAAAACATGTTTCTACTTAGTTTGCCTTTGCAGGTTTATCTTTGTGATTGCTAATTCCTTTGCTTCTCCCCTCCTTTCAAAACTACAGACAAGAGATTCATCAGAAGACTTTACTCTGTGTTGAAAGCAACTGAATATAAAGTAGAAAAGAAGGAATAGCTTTTGAAAAAAAAAAGAAAGAAAACAAATACCCACACAAATCAGTGTGTGTTTAACAAGGGAAGTTATCTCAAAGGTCACAGATCTGCAGAGGAAACGTGCTATTTACCAATGGCGGGGAAGGAAAAATCCCAAAGACACATAAAACTCACTCTAAATATTTGCCACTCTGTTTTATTTAAGACCAGTGTGTATTAGCAGGGGCAAGCTGAGTACACACTGAGGACTTGACAAGGACACCAAGCTACAGGATCCAGTCCCTTCATCGGCAGCGAGAAGTTGCTTTCAACAGTGCCTAATTGGTTTCAGCAGAATTACCGTTACTATACTAGGAGGGTAGCCTCAGAGAGTATCTATCTTACTGGCCACAGTTCTTTGAGGATATATGTTTTTAAATTTACTTTGTTTATAGTATAGTCTAACTCAATTATTTGGGTTGGGTTTTCTCATGATTTTGCTTATTATCATTCATCTGTAATCTCACTCATAAAACTTGCTTGAATCTATTTTGTTGATTCAAAATAGATTCATTTTAAATCTATTTGATTCAAAATTCATTTGAATCCAAAATAGATTGGAACATTTACATCTGTTCCAAATAGAAGAAAATAATGAATGATATTTTGTTAAAATAAAATGCAATCAGTCAATTCTTAAAGTTTTCATTGATGATAAAGGCATCCTCTCCATACATTAAACCATATGTGACTTTATATTTAAAAATTCAAAAAATAATTACTTAAAAGCAAAATCATTCATTTACCAGAATAACTCAGAACAAAATGGTACCGTTAAAGACCTGACAGGATTTCTTGGAACAGAATGTTATTAGTTCATAAATTTAAGGCAGGCACACAGATGTCTGCCCTGCACATAACATAAAGCATTTTGCAACAGAAAAACCTTCATTCATATTTTGGCCATCAACACTACTCAATAATCACACCAGCAGGAGGTTTAGACTGTGTTCAGTGTTCTTCTTTCTCACACATTCAGACAGACAAAGACGTACACTTTCATTCTGAAGATGTCCATTTGGTTTTCCCCCACGTTTCATCAACAAACTCATGCCTCACCGAAATTCCTTTTCTGACTTACCTCAAGCATACAAATCTGGAACAGGAGTGTTGCTTCAGGGAAGCCAGCATCAGAATGGGATGAAGGAAAATGAAATCTCAGTTTCTACCAAGAATACAAATCTCTGACATTTGATAGCATCCCATCTAATCTCAGTGCTTTCATAGCAGATATTTTAATGAAAACAATTCAAGCTCCTGACGCAACAGAGGGTAGCCTTTGCATAATGTTTAGTTTCTAATGCCTCCAAAAGGTATCTGATATTTATTTATGATCCAAATATATTAAGCCTGAAATGGAAACACTTCTAGAATTTCCAAAGAGCTTTCATAAAGCTGCCTGAATAATTATTAGCAAATAAGTTAGTAGAAAATATTTTTAAGTTCCACTATTGTTTCTTTGGTTATTGTTTGTTCTCCCCATATCCCCCTTCACCCACCCCCCCAACTGCCCGCGCACACACACACACACACACACACACACACGATCATGAAAATATGTTTTAAAAGAGTTAAACACAGAAACCATTAATTTGCTAAAATCTCCCTAGATCCCATTTTTAAAGATCACCTGGAAAAATCTTAGGATTTTAAAATGTCCCAAATTCAGAAACCAGAGATTCAAGTGCAAAGGTCCTATAGGATGGCCACTGAGAAAGCTTCATTTGGTGTTCTGAAAGAAACAACCTCCTTCTAAATGGAATTGAAAAGTGAGAAACCATTATTCTCTCTCTTCATAATAATTGGAAATCATCATTCTCAGTAAACTATCGCAAGAACAAAAAACCAAACACCGCATATTCTCACTCATAGGTGGGAATTGAACAATGAGAACACATGGACACAGGAAGGGGAACATCACACTCTGGGGACTGTTGTGGGGTGGGGGGAGGGGGGAGGGATAGCACTGGGAGATATACCTAATGCTAGATGACGAGTTAGTGGGTGCAGCGCACCAGCATGGCACATGTATACATATGTAACTAACCTGCACATTGTGCACATGTACCCTAAAACTTAAAGTATAATAATAATAAATAAAATAAAAAATAAATAAAATAAAAAATAAAATTAGGGATAAGCTCTTGCTATATTGCCAAGCTTGGTCTTAAACTCCTGGGCTCAAGAAATTCTCCTGGCTTTATGGCAGTATGATTTGTAGTCCTTTGGGTATATACCCAGTGACGGGATGGCTGCGTCAAATGGTATGTATACATATGTAACTAACCTGCACATTGTGCACATGTACCCTAAAACTTAAAGTATGATAATAATAAATAAATAAAAAGAAAAAAAAAGAAGTCATATGTGGGAGTTTGAGGGTTTATAAAAGAGTTTTCATATGATTGTGGTGATGGTTATATGAATGTATACATGTGTTAAAATATATAGAACTATATACACCAAAAAACAAGTCAATAAAATTTTTTTTCAGTAAAAAAAAAAAAAGAAACTAAAGTAAAATCCTGTTTAACTGGAATCTAAATAATCAGAAGTTCACATACCATAATTTTATTGTCATTTTTATGAGAAAGAGACAAATAAAATAAAGCAGCTGATTCAGATACTTACCTTTTTAAAAAAATCTGTTAAGATATGATTGGTGGGGATTCAACCCCATATTTAGCTCATATATATCAAAAGACTTCTAAACCTGTGATTGATATTCATGACAATGTTAGTATTAAGTACATTTCACTATCTTCTAGGTATTCAAAAGGTGGTTTTGCCCCAATCTGACATAAATTCTAACCCCATGTTAATCACTATATAATTATTTAATTAACCTATCCCCAGCCTAGTTTGGACAAACTGAATTCACAACAAACTGAAAAATAGGGGTTAGTTGTTTTACTTGGAGAAGGGAGGGACAAAAGGGCTGAGTGAGCCATTTAAAACCATAATTTTAATATGCAGCATTTCTTTGTGGAACAATTAAATAACACAAGGTTAGAGACCAAAAAACTTGTATCTGCAATTTACTTTATATCAAAATAAATTTGGGAAAATCACTTAACCTCAATTTTACCAAAAGTAAATTAGGGCCACTATTATACTTCTTCTATCTCCCATGACACAAGAGTATGACATAAATACAAGTTTCATTGACCTGGCCAAATTGAACTGGATAAAGATAATTGGCCATATACATGGTGATATCTATCTTCAACTGCAGAAAATAGGATGAACCAATGATTTGACTACAAATATATAAATGCTATCTTTATGTCTTTATATGGGTATATTAGAATAAGATGCTTCCCCACCATCAACCTGCAGTTCCCTGTAAGGTTACCAGGCCATTACTATTACTGTCGCCTACATATAAATGACAAAGCAGAAGCAAAAATCATAAAAATAAATGGCCCAACATAGAAGATGGGTCAAAAATAGAACTTATAATCTTCAAAGCATTAAAGATAGTGCTCTGCATTAAGTAAGCACTTAATGTATTCTTGGAGCAGACTCTTGAACTGACACCCCACAGTTCTGGAGATCACTAGGCCTCCTAAGCACCCTATGGTAGACGGAAGCCCAGTGTCTTGTCAAAAATCCTAGATGCTCAAATGCGATGAAAATTACATAAGGAATATATTTCTGCTACTGTTTTTGATCACTTTTTAAACTGTTTTTATTGACATGTAATAGTTGTACATATTTGGGAGGTACATGTGATATTTTAATACCTGTACACAATGTATAATGATCAAGTCAGGAAAATTGGGATATCCATCAGCTCAAACATTTATCTTTTCTTTGTGATGATCATGTCTTTTTGCCCCTGTCTCTTTTTTGGCCTCTTTGCTACTTCTATAATAACACAAGTTTACTCCAAGTGAGTTCACAGCAAGCAATATATTCATAATAGCAGAGGCCCAAGTTATAATTCTAGTCTTGGCCGCTCTCTCAATAACTACAGGCCTTTAGGACGTCATAATAGATGTCTTTATTTTCCCATTCTTAGAAGGGATTAAAGGTGGAATTTGACCAAAAGGCAACTGATATTAAGGATGTTGGAACCACTCCATATCTCCCAAGGAGGAAAACTTGCAGAAGTTTGAATGGAGTTGAGAGATTTTTAAAAGCCAAAGAAGAATTCCCTTTTATCCCTACTTCCATGGGACCCTCTGCTATGCTGCCGAACTCTCTACAGAGACAAAAGGGGGAAACTGGACCAGTTACATTATCGGCTCAATAATGTCTTACAGCACAACTGATACAGGATCTTTACTGACCAGAATGCCTGGATGATGTTTTGCCAGGTTTGTTGAAAAGTTATGCTACGTAAAAGTGAAACAGAAATATTATTATGAACTATGTAATGACAATAATAAAGACCTCTTCTACCTGGACTCTCAAAAAAACAGGAAAAGTGACCAAATAGTTTTTCTCAATAGCCCAAAAGACAGTCCAAACAGTTTTAAGGGATGGTTCAATTAACAGCAAAAATTCATGTTTCTTATTCCTTCTCTTGGAAAGAATTAATAAGCAGTTAAATGAGAAATGATAAGAAGAAAAGCCTCAGGATTTGGATGTCCTATAGGCAAGAATACACAGCCCCTGGAATTTTGTAAATCTCTGAGAAAACACTAAAAGTTTACTTATCCAAAGAACCAAGGGCAAAATCCACAATTGTCTTCAACTAATTTAAGTGTCATCTCATTTCTCAATTATTTTCAATGTAATTGATCACATTGAATTACATTTTGAATAACATTGGGAAAAGGTTGGACTGCAGATGCATGTTTTCACTTCATTTTCCATCAAAGAACCAAATTAATCTGCAGGATATTATGAGCACATTATCCAGCAATAGCCCGCCACATGTCTGCCCACTCTCAGAAGACAATGTATGTCTTATCTTCATTCACCGATTCCACAAACATTTCACCAACCCAGTGAAAAGCCCAGGGTAAAGAAGACAATGATATGAACCCTGTCCTCAAAGAGTTTAAAATTTGGTACAAAAGATATGTTTGCATGCCAAATTACCATAACATGAAGCAAAACGTAATAACTGCCACAAATGAGGATTTAAAAAATGCAAACACCTATGGCATTTCAGAGGCAACAGCTACATTATGGAAAAGGGAACATTTCTTGCCATTTTAAAAATCACTCGAAAAAGTATTCCAGGTGATTAAACAGATCTGAGACAATAAAGCATCATAGCTGAAGGAAGAAAAAACAAAATTAAAAAATTGTTTAAAAGTAGCATCTTCATGTTTTCATTCAACTATACACACCCCAGAAAAACGTAAAATGTGGCCAGATTTCTCCAGTCAAACTTCTTCCATTCTCTGTGAGAAAGCTAGGTTCAAATGCCTCCACAATCCTGAGATTAAAATGGAAAGTGAGAGAACCTTACATCATTGTACATGTGCATTGGTCAAATTACCTTTAGGATTAAAAATCATATTTTTATTTTTTCAATTAACACTGTAAACATGGGCAGTCAGAAGCCTCTTACCTTTGCTGTTTAATTATCCATCTGATTGCAGCTCAGATCAGCTCTTTATAATCCAATTTTGAGAAAATGATACATCTATTTAAAAGCACATATAGCTTGTTTTGTTCAAGTAGAAAGTGACCAAATTCTCCTAGACTGAGAAAAGATTGGCATGTTTGCTTGTGCATATCAGATTGTGTAGTCGCAAACCTGGGAATTATTCCACAGATGTGAATGGATTTCTAATTTATGTCACAAAGGAGAGATTATACTCTTAGGATAAGTTATTTACTTACTCATTTTCCTAATTCGATTTCAACACACATGAGAACTTCAAGTCAGGAAAGCATTGCCAACAATGCTTCAACAGAGACAACCAAAAAGAGATCATAAATGTCTTATTAGCTGTAAATAATGATAAAAATCAAATCTTTGGGAATATAATTACAGCTGGTCTAGCTTAAAGGGTTTTACATTTATATTAGCCCAAGTAAATCACAGTATACTAATTTTAATTTATACATTCAAATAGGTTTGTTGTACTGGTTGCCATAAATTTCAAAACAAGAAAAATCAAGAAGGATCAGCTTCGTTATTTTTTTTTTAATCACATTTTCCAATTGTAAGGTCCATAGCTCCTCCTTTTCTGCCTGTTGACAAGTGTACTTCTCCCGCTTTCTAACTTTAAGTACACTCCTCTCTGCAGTAACTTGTCTGAGCTTGTTTGTCATAGTTCTTACTGGCAATTTCTAAGCTATCCTTTCATGATCTTTTGAAGAAACAATGTATAAGTGCACCTGTGTTATTTTATGTTCATGCCTTCCCCTTGTTTTCTTTCCTTGGCACCATAGAAGCAGACATACATGTCTGTAACTTATGATGGCTTATTTATTATTTTTACCTGCATATATTCAGAAACTATTTTTAAGAAAAGGACTGGACTGATAAATCAGGGCTAGGAAGCCTGGTCATTGTGTGGGCTTGGACAAGTGATATAATTCACTAGAACTATATTTTCAGGTACAAAATGAGGACGACCCTGCCAGAGAATCAATCATCAAAACTGCGACAACTCTGAAACTGTATGACTCTCTAGCTCTTTGACTTCGGACTTCACACTTAGATGTCATTTGTTACTTTAAAAGATGGTTGGTTCCATTGTGGAAGACAGTGTGGTGATTCCTCAAGGATCTAGAACCTGAAATACCATTTGACCCAGCAATCCCATTACTGGGTATATACCCAAAGGATTATAAATCATTCTATTATAAAGATACACGCATGCGTATGTTTATTGCAGCACTATTCACAATAGCAAAGACATGGAATCAACCCAAATGCCGATCAATGATAGACTGAATAAAGAAAATGTGGTACATATATACCATGGAATACTATGCAGCCATAAAAAGGAATGAGATAATGTCCTTTGCAGGGACATGGATGAAGCCAGAAGCCATCATCCTCAGCAAACTAACACAGGAACAGATAACCAAACACCACATGTTTTCACTCGTAAGTGGGAGCTAAACAATGAGAACACATGACACAGGGAAGGGAACAATACACACCAGGGCATGTTGGGAGGCAGTGAGGGGAAGGAGAGCATCAGGATAAATAGCTAACGCATGCGGGGCTTAATACCTAGGTAATGGGCTGATAGGTGCACCAAACCACCATGGCACACATTTACCTATGTAACAAACCTGCACATTCTGCACATGTATCCCAGAACTTAAAGTAAAATAAAATTTAAAAATAAAGATGGTTGGTCTTTCCCCTGGTAGATATAAACACAAAGACGAAGCGGCACATACATGAGCGGGGAGTGTAAACAAGAGAGAAGGGGTGGGGGAAGAAAGTGAGAGAGAAAGAAGGAAAAATGAGGCAAGAGAGACAAAAACCCAGAGACAAGGCAGGGAAAGGGTGGGGAACAGGGTGAGGAATTTAGAGAAAGAGGAGAGAATTTGGGAAAACAGAAGAGTGTATACAGTAAGAGAGCTAAAGAAGAGGTCTAATTAATAGTATACAACCAATTATAGGGTATAAAATTTTAAAATTCTTGCATGCATTTTTTGCATGTCAACAAATACCTACAGGTGTTAGTTTCTCTCCAGAAAAGAAAAAGCAAAATACTTGGATATTGAAGTGCTAATTTTAAATGTCTGTAAAAATTTGTGAGGGAACAAAGTTATTTTCTATTATGAATTTACTAAACACTAGATGACATTTTAAGCCATCATATGTTATCAATAAAAATTAGCACAAGAGAAATTCCAGCACAGGGCACAGGATATAGTAGGCAATAATATACCTTAGAGAGAGAGAAGAAGGAAAATGAGAGACAGAGGAAGGCTCTATTTTAAAATGACATAAATCATTTTCCTGATCTTGAAGACTAATGGAGATAGGGAGAAAGGATAAAATAAGCCCATGTAAAATTGCCTAGACTCTGAACAAGCAACAAGTACAAACTACAGTAAAAAGTTAAATAACCAGAACTCAATTAACTACAATTCTCAATTTGCTAGAACACATCCACACACCTTTACAGTCCAGTATTCAAGGAGACAACTTTACAAAAAAATAAAAGATTTCAATGTTCATGAAATAATAATAGCAATTACCACCACCACCATTAGCAACTCCCTAGGAATGTCTCTGGAGAACAGTCACATCTAGTACCTACAGCATTAGAGTCCAGAGAACAATAACCACTGTTGTTACACATGCAGACCAGGAGGCCATTCAAGGACCTCTGCGATCAAGTCTAGTTACTCAAAGTAGTGCCTGCACTTCGTAGTCAATGTGTTGACTGCTTTAAATGGTTTCCCACTGGAGAGTTAGAAATGTCAGCCCATGCCTAAAATTTTTGGAGCCAGGGTTCTCCAGCCAGTAGCCCACTCCCTTCTCTTCTCTTCCCCACCTTCAGTTCTTTTCTGCAGTGAGGGGCCTTGCACACACCCCCAAGGACATCTCAGCCCAAACATCTAAGATTCATGCACAGCCCCACACTCTTTGGTCCTAGGAGTGCTCAACACAAGTGGTACAGTTCACCTTCGGGAGATGAGAACTCAAGAGAGACCCACGTAGGCCCTGGAAGTCATCTTGGGATCACTTAGGTAGGAATTGTGGGGTACCAAGTGGTTTAGAAGAGGGAATGGGGTGCTTTGGATTGACAATATCCACATGGCTCTGCAGAATCGTCTCCCCATAAGGCATGGCACAGTGGAGGAAGACCAGTAGGGCCCTCTAAAGCAAGTGACACGAGGCAAGAGCCTCTTTCCCCAGGTTTAAGGGTGCTACTGTTAACATGGCATTTCTGCCTTAACCTGGGTTAGCCAGGAAATCTAATTAGCCATATCTCATTCCATGCAGCCAGACTGAATAGTATTTGGTTGTGCTATACAGTGAAAATAAACAACCTAAGCTCTAAAATTACTGTAACTCAGGTGGTCAAATGATTTTGGTTTTAATCCCTTGGAATCCCTGCCCAATTAGCACAAGAGGATGAATTTTCTTCAGCAATAAACCCCTAAATGCCTCATGCATACTGCTTAAGAATAAGCTAGCACAAAGAGAACCTTTACTCTCAGTGACCAAACAGAGAGTAAAGTTTTTGTCTCAACTTCTCCTTCCTTACTCTCAGTCTACAAAACATCATGCAAGGCTGACCCAAGGCCAGAAGCCAAATTTAATGGTGAGCCTCCCCTCTTGTTCTCTCTTCTTGTAATACCTCATCCTGACACGCCCGAGTTATCCTCTGTAGGAACACAAGAAGATCCACTTTCCCAAAACAGTGTCCTATACCTCTGTTCCCCACTCTCTACCACCTGATTTTTTTTCTTGTCTTTTTGGGCTTTAATCTGGTCACGGTCAACTAACTAAGAGAATAAACTACTTACCATATACTAGTGAGCTAGTGAGTGTTATCAGTCGAATAGGTCATCTACCCAACTTAATTAACATTGCAAAAATGAGGTCAGAGCAGTGGAGGCACACAAGCTCCTTGGAACACTTCGAATAAACTGTACAGCCTGCTCGACTGAGAGACCACCACATATAGACACAGTAGAAGGAATACATAAAAGAGACGAGACTTGTCCTAATAGATTTGCAGTACAGCTGAGAGACAGAATCTATATAACATGGAAAGAGCTTTAATAATATTATAAAATAACACAAGGATACAAATCAGTGAGTAATAAGGCCTTTTTCCCTCCTGTTTTCTAATGTACTCCCAAAAGTCTCATCTGCCATAAGCTTTCCCTGAAATTTTGATTTAAGAGATAGAAGGCTTGGCCTGAATAGTAAAAGAAACAGCTTGGAAGAATTTAGACACATTTCCTTCCTTCTCTGCTTCCTCATGTTTCCTGTCCTTAGAAGTTAGGCCTTTTGAAGGATGTTTGGAAGTGTTCCCTGCATGTCCATGTGCTTCTGCTACCTCAGTCTTGTTTTTATTACTATAATATATCAGGGCCCTCAAGAGTTATCTTTATTCTTCCTATGTAAGAGTGAATAGTAATTTCATTTCAGTTTTTCCAGCTGTTCCTTTATATTGTTCTGCCCCATGACTTCAAAAAGATAGGAAACCCTTGAAGTCCTAGAATCCTAGACTCAGAGTCAGAAAGCACACATTCTTATTCTAGTTCTAGTGCTTAGTAGCTGTGAGGAAATTATTTAACTCTTCCGAGTCTCAATGCCGTCTGTAAGATGGGGGCCTGTTTCAGCAAATGCCAAATCAAATCCCTTTCTGCGAGAGCAAACAACATGGTGCTGCTTAATAGGCATGGTTGATGTGAGCACTTGTGGCAGATATTCTCTGCTTTGGAATTTCTCTGAACAAGATCCGATTGATTTGTTTATTCAGTTAACAAATATTTTCTTGAGCACCTAATATGTATCAGACTCTCCACTGAGCGCTTATTAGAACCACTGGAGCTATGAGCCATCCAGTTGCTACTGGACAGTTTCTATTTTCAAATTACCACTTTTCTAGTGTTCTCCCTTTTGGAGAATAGCTAAGAATATGTGTCATGGCCAGGTGCAGTGGCTTACACCTGTAATCCCAGCACTTTGGGAGGCCAAGGCGGGTGGATCACTTGAGGCCAGGATTTTGAGACCAGCCTGGCCAACACAGTGAAACCCCATCTCTACTAAAAGTACAAAAAAATTAGCTGGGCATGGTGTCACATGCTTGTAGTCCCAGCTACTCAGGAGGCTGAGGCAGGAGAATCACTTGAACCCAGGAGGCAGAGATGGCAGTGAGCCGAGATGACACCACTGCACTCCAGCTTGGGCAACAGGGTGAGACTTCATTGCAAAAAAAAAAAAAAAAAAAAAAGCAAAAGAAACAAAGAATGTGTGTCATGTTGCTTGCTTAAATTCTATTCGCAGCATTTTGGAATGACACGTCTCCCTCTCCTGGCTTCATTATACATCAAAATTCCCAAAGTTAAAGTTTTTTCAAGACATAAGTCAGCATAGTCGCTAAGAAATTCTCCCTTGGGCTTGATAGAAGAGAATTAAAATATATCTGGACTTCATCAAGTCTGGTTTTTTAGTCTGTCATGGGAGGCTGGAGTCACTAGGGATAAATTAAATTATTAAGAATGAAAGTTTCCAATAGTGTAAAGGAGAGACGTGGTAGTGAGCAGCACATCAAGATAATGAGTGAGCACACGCACCACACCCGGACTCATGGATACTTATGCTGCAATCCATAAGTGCACCTCCTCAATATGCCACCTCTGAAAACCAAAAATGTAACAAGCAAATATCAGAATAGTCATTCCTGCTCAGTGGAGTCCCTAGCGACAGTCAAATAAAAGAAGACGAGCTTCTTTGAAGCTCGAAAACAAAGAGCACCTTTCCAGTGGACAACTAACTAAAGTGGTGTGATTTTGGTATAAGTTTGTGTGTGTGTGTGTGTGTGTGTTGTGTGTGTGTGTATGTGTATACATTTAGTTTTATTGTAACAAAGCAACTTGTACTTTTCACGTTTAAAACTGAGCATCATCTTTCCTTTACAGTGAAACAAAAAGAAAACTTAAAAATAAGCAGGAACAAAATTACAATAGAGAAAGTCAATTCCAAATAAGATCCTACAGGTTCTTCTGATTCTCCCTTTGAGTGGCAGGGCTCAAGTCATCATTAGGAGATAATTTATTTTAAAAGTGTCATCTTAAACTACAAAGATGCCTGTTAAATATCACAATAAACATGCCAAAGGAGAAGCCATGTTGTCAAAATGCCCACTTAACCTACCCAAACATCTCAGATCCACCCTTTGCTGACCTTCTATAATCCCATTTTGTTTTTTAGTTTTTTTCTTTTTTTAAACAAGAGAAAATAGACAGATACATGTTGGTAAATGCTAACTGTCCATATTCACATAGAGACACCGTGTACTCTCTAAGCCCAAGATACAGAGAAAGGAGGGAAAAAGCTAGAATTCTATGCACTACTACACAGGGGCCTAGCACCCTCCAGCTTCCAGCAGAATGAAAGGAGCAGGTTTTTCTTTTTTCCCACAGAGCTCGGTGGTGTTGATTCCATACAGTTTTTGTTCAGACAGAAAGGGATAAAAATGAATTTCAAACAGAAAGGCGTAGAGACACTTTTCCCATTGTATTCTGCAATAAGTTGAGAACCATGGTGTAGAGCAAAGAGACCTCAACAACAGGGCAACAGAGCACAAGAGGAAAAAGAAAAGACTGGAACTTGCTCCCAGGGACTGGAGAAAAATTTTTAAACAGGAAAGTTGGAACCTATCAGTGTTCTAGTAATCTTTTCCTTCATCCTTCTCTCCTTCCTCCCCTTCATCATCATCTTCATCTTCACCTTCATCTTCATTGTCTTCTTCATTAGTATCTTTTTATCCTTCCTCCTCTTCATCATCATCATCATCTTCTTCTCATTCTGCTTCTTCATCATCCATATCGGGAACCAAGTAGTACTGTAATGAGTTTGACCAAATATCATCTTTGGTGACCTCTCATAACTCATCAGCACCTGCATCAGAATGGTCAGTAAACCAGGTAAAGAAGCTCTCTGGTTCCTCATGCTGCCTCTTCCTGCTGGCTTTATTCTGCATTTGACTTGAACATTTCATCAAATCCTTTCCAGATGAACATTTCATCAAATCCTTTCCAGATTTCCATTTCATTTCAGTGGACTTTGAAGATGGATCACCACTCTCATTCAGATGAAATTCTTTGGATAGAAGTTTATTTTCAAAGTAAAGATTTTCATCAAAATAAAAATCTATTCTGTAACCTGATTTAATATCTTCAAATTCTGTCATTTCAACTCTGCTCAAATAATGCAGTGCCTCTTCATCCTCCTCCAGCAGGGCAGACACTTGTGGATGCTTGACAAATGTTGTTACCCCAAAATTTGGGATTTTGGCGATCAATTCTGACATCTTCTGAAAAAATGGTTGGCAGAGTTTGTCATATTTCTGTTCTACTTTCAAAATCTCCTCACTGGCTTCTTCATTAAGTCTGTCTATTTCATTTTGTACTTCATCAATGCATTCAATTGCTTCTTGCTGTTCTTTTTCTCCCTTCCTCAGCAAGCCTGCAGAGGCCAATGTCTCCTCCGGTCCCAGAGCAGGAGGCATTCTTGGTTTCTTCTTTTGAGGCAGGAGTGGAGACTGGCATTTGGGGGCCATGCTGCTAGGGAAGTCCAAGAACCAGACCACAAGTCTCCTTGCTCATCCGGAAGCAGGCAGAACACTCTGGTATAAGATTTATTGGTTAAAATTGAGCAATAACACATGGGTATTTGAAGGATCCCTTTACACTATTAATTCCATTCTTAATTAATAGCATAAATGTCCATTCTTAATTTTATAAATGCAGAACCATTTATAAAAATGGAAAAGCCATAGCTGTTTGGACCCCCCAAGGAAGCTAATCAACCCACCAAGATAGAACAGGAGTTTGTAAACATACCTTTGGCGTAATTGTTTGATAATTTATTATATAATAGTTAGTTCTTTAACAAATGGCTTTTATTTTCCCTGATCTAAATTAATATTAGAAGGAGAATGAGTGCTCTCAAAAAATGGGAGAAAATGCAGAAAATAACATTATTTTCCCTTCAAACATCCATCTTCTCCATATGCTTATGATGGGTGACAGAAAGAGGAGGAAAATCAGGCCTCCCAGGAAATACACAGTTGGGGGGAATCCCTGCCCCAAACATGCATAGGCAGGGCTACCATTTTGCACAATCCCACTTATACTCTTGGTGAAATTTACCTCCAGGACTATGCGGTGCACAATCTGCCTGCTGTGCACAGGGACTCTATCTACAGGCACCCAATAGTCCACGAAGAGGAAAGTGCACCTAGCCCAGGGAAATAATATTGTGTTGCCCTGCGGGCTAGTTCAATCCAAAGGGAGTCAAGGAAAAGAAAGAGAAAGTGTTCACTGACTTTAATAATTATTCAAGATTCAGAAGTATCTGGGAATTATAAAATATTTGATTCTGTAATCACATCAGAGGAAAGCCTTTCCATTTGACTGATTCTCCAACAAACCAAACCACAGAGGGAATGGCTGAGCAAACAGTTTTCCTACCTTCATGCTCACACACATGGTGGAACATACCAGCAAACAAAAAAACATTCACCAGATTTCAATTGATGAAACACACTGGGAAGAGGTGCCTTCCCTTTGGTTGACTTTAAAAACATTAACTGATACAGTTTAAGTTTTTGTTTCAACCTACAAAATAGAGTTGTTACCTTAAATATATGACATTTAAAGACAAGGGATTTCTATCAGACCAGATGAAGAATACGCTGGACCTCAGTCTGGTGACCAAGCATTATTCACATGAGAAACGTTCTTAACCCAAACACTTCAGAATGGCATAGGAAGCTTGCTTTACTGAGATGCTCAAGGATGTGTTAGAAGCAGGATCTCTGAAAAGCAGGAGTGAAAAGGCCAGGACCACTCTAGGGCCAGGTATCCCTAATCAGGGGGCTGATGCTTCAGAATGCCCTCTCCTGCCCTTCTCCAGCCATGCCTCTCCATGGAACCAGCAGTCTGCAGGGCTGTGATACATACCCACCTGCAGGGACAACTTCCCTTCTAGACTCTTCCCCAAGTACTCATGACCCTTGAATTTCCTGCCCCAAGTGGTCCGAAACCAGCTTCCAGGGCCTGGGTGTGTCTTCACCCTCCCGAAGCAGATCAACTCACAGGTGTGCGCACCCCTAGGCCTGAGGGGTGTTCATGGGCAGCTAGTGGATGTGGGTGTGAATAAAGTTGAATGAGCAGGCTGGCTCACCCACACACATTCTTACAAGGATCCTCCAGTTGCACAGTGGAGCCAGGGCAAGAAGAGAAGGAATAGGTTGTGGAATAGGGGGGTCTTGTCCTGGGCCCTCAAATGTTAGGGGTGAGCCTGGAATGGGATAAATCATATAATGAAATGAGTACTATTCAGTGATCCAAAGAAAAATCTCCTCTCTCTGTTTCCTATCCTCACGGTGACCACATAAACGGAGTATCTCAACCAGGACACTGGGGAGCATGAAAGGTATCTTAACTAGATGGGACACCAGCTCAACAGGTGAGGCCAGGACTGTCTTGCAAACTAGGATATAAAGTCATCCCAGCTACACCGAACTGTAGAATAGTGTCTTCCCTTAAGATGATCATTCACTACCACTGAGCCCAGAGTTCCATAAATCATTGCCATCCATTGGCATCCAGCATTTTCCCCCTCATTGGGTTCTTTTCCTCATTAGAGAGTGTTTGTGTTTGGTGTACCAAGAAGTAAATAAAACCTCATTTTCATCATATACAACAGACTTTGGGCATATAATAGAAAGCATCATATGTGGTTCCAACTTCTGTAGTTTTCCTACAAAGTTTGCTCAATCTTTTAAGTTTGTAGGTTGACATTCCAAATAAAAGGAGTAGAAAATAAGAAGGAAACCCGTGAAACAAGAGAACCATCAGAAACCCCTGCAAACTCACCAAAGAAAGTTGGATCTAGGGATTCCTGCAGGAGGTAGAAAATCAAAGATAAATAGTATATGGAATTTTAAAAGAAAACATTGTGGATGGCCTTTTCTGGAGCCCAGCCTGCACTGAGCCTATGCATACAGGATTTAATCAGGACTAGTCAGTGCAATCCAGACGTGCACACCCTAGATGAGGGAGTTTCTAGGAAAGTCTATGGCCACATCCTTGGCGTCTAGTTAATGTGTCTCCCGTGCTGCTTCTTGGCAAATTCCAGTAGCCTGATCTTATCTCATAGCTCTTGCACAATACACACAGACACACACAGACACACACACACACACAATTTCTACAGTGCTTCCAGCCAGTGCTACTGTTCACCATTATTTACACTAGCAGCTCTTAAACATGACCACACATCACAATTATCCTGGGAGCTTCTCTAACATACAGATTCCCAAGCAGCTCCCCACAGAGACTGAATCGGGAGGTCTTGGGTGAGGCTGGGACCTTTCTACCCTTAGTAAACAAACAATCCAGATGACTATAAAAGCAAAACATTCTAACCCCTGGAGAAGCTCTGCTAGAGCAGTACAGGCTGAATTCCATCTGACCAGCATGCAGTCATGCCCTCTTGCTGTTTTTCTTGGTCTATTCCTACTTTGAGGTCTTCCCAGAAAGAGCTGAAGATGTGCTGCCCAACACCATGGAGACAAGGCCCCACAACAAACAGCTGTCCTTTCCTGCCATGGCCAAACTCCAACCAACTGCCAATTCAAACACGTCCTGAAATGGCTCTCTATCCATTGACTTTCATGAGAAACTACTTGAGCTTTATTAAGAAATAAAATACACACATACAGCAAGTTATGAAAATTTTAGAATGGTTCCTCTTTTTTATGGACAGTCTTTAGTTTCTAATCCAACAATAAAATGATTCCTTAAAATGAAATTTTAACCCATTTCTTTCCTTCTTTCTCTCTCTCCCCCTCCCCATCCCACACACACTCATACAATGATCTGTGGGCTTTTTGTTAAATTAGTGATTCTCAATGGAGGTCCAACCCTTCCAGAAGAACAAATCAATGTCTCCAGGAAGCCATGTAATTTTTCTGTTTGTGAAAATGAACCAAGTGTTTTCAAAGGGAAAGAAACACTGCCAGCCTCATCTTTGATTCATCCAGAATATGGATGGGAGAAAATTATAGCAATCAATCAACTTGAATTTCATGTTTTACAAATGGTATAGTGTGATCAGAAATAAGCCAAAATTTATAAGTAATTGGCATAGAAGAATTAATAAAATAAGTAAAATTAGAGAAATGCTATCAGGTAAAAATCCCTCCTTAACAGTAGAGAAGCAGATTATGAGAATCCAGTCATCACTCTGGATATTATCATCACAGGCAAAAATCAGCTAAGTCAGCTGTTGACAGAGCAGAGGAAGTTAAAAAAACTCTACTCCTCTGGCACTGTTTTGAAGTTCAGCGATACTCAGCTTGGTAAGGCATTCAGTGCACTGATTGTTGCTTCCCCTGGAAGCAGTCAGTGCCTGTCTCCTGTGTTATTCCCACAGATCTCAGGGATGGGGCCATTACAAGACAGTCCCTCTGATCTTGGCTGCCAAAAACTCAACATAGCGTGATAGTGGTGCCTCCTCGCCAAGAGAGAAAATCAGTGCTAAACATGGTACCCAAATTTCCACTCATCATACTGTGGTGGCATTAGAGGATATGGAGCTATAAAAGCTAAAAAATAAAAAAGCAAGGCCAGGCCAGGCATGGCAGCTCACACCTGTAATCCCAGTACTTTCGGAGGTCAAGGTGGGAGGATGGTGGGAAGCCAGGATTTCAATACCAGCCTAGACAATAAAGTGAGATCCCATCTCTATAAACTTTTTTTTGTTTTTTCATTAGCTAGGCATGGTGGCACATGCCTGTAGTCCCAGCTATTTGGGAGGCTGAGGCGGGAGGATTGTTTGAACTCAGGAGTTCAAGGTTGCAGTGAGTTATAATCGCACCACTGCACTCCAGCCTAAGTGACAGCACAACTTCATCTTTAAAAAAATAAATAAATAAAAATAAATAATTAAATAAAAATTTAATTTATTAAATGCACCCGCTTGCTTCCTGAAATATGCCAAGCTAAAGAAATATCTCTTCAATATATTAGTCCTTGGCATTATTTCACTAAACTATTTCATTAAACTAACACCTCATTCCTCTTGCTCTATTGTTCTTTTCACTATGCTTTAGATCATTTTCCTAAGTTAGTTTAAAAGTGAGACTAAATGCTCACCCTCCATAAGTCAAGACTTCCTTAAAACATAAGACATAACATACATATTATTCCACTTGTATAAGCATAAATTTGACATGAAATAGCTTGAAACAAAGTTTGGAAGGATGTGCATGGTGACATTCCCATTGGTTCATTTAAGATGGTCCAAGATTTCTGTTCCTGTTACTTACCTCTTTTCTACTAGAAACATTAATTATTTATTATTTGTATGCTCGTCAAGCTTTTAAAAAAAGAGTGGGAAATATTGAAGTTACTTACCAATGGAAGCTATCAATATCTGATATTATAATTACAGAAGCTCCTCAACTTACAGTGGGATTATGTCCTAATAAACCCATTGTAAGTTGAAATATCATTAATTCAAAAATGCATTTAATATACCTATCCTACCAAGAATCATAGCTTAGCCTAGCCTACCTAAACATGCTCCAAACTCACATTAGCCTACAGTTGGGCAAAATCATCTAACACAAAACCTACTTTATAATAAAGTACTGAATATCTCTTGTAATTTTAAATGCTGCAGTGAAAGTGAAAAAAAAAAAAAGAAAAGGAAGAGCAAAATCAACTGCACCGAACAATGAAGGGACAGAGTAATTCAACAGGAAGGGAACAGTTTCTACTGAATGCATGTAATTTCACACCATCATAAAAATAGTTGAAAAATTCTAAGTCGAACCATCATGAGTTGGGAACTGACTGTATTTCGAAACTCTAGGAACAAATGGCTAACATTAGACTTCTGACTATATCATTTCTTTTGCTATTGTTATCCATTGTTTGGGTGATCTGCCATTGCCAAAATGCATCTACTAGGTTGAATGGAAGTATTTGTCCACAATCTTATTTTAAAACATAGGAACGAGATGGTCATAAATGAGAGGTTACTTACCCTCCTGAAACAGCCACTAATTCCACAAATTGGCTGCTTGTTGTTCAAGACAGAGACCCTCACGGATAAAGTAAATAAGGATTTATCCTATCAATGAATTGAAAGATGCATTCATTTAAAAATTACTTGATATCACAATTGGCATTTCAATTTTATAGTTCTTCTTGCTCTCACTTTTCTTAGAGATTGTACAACAGGAGGCAGATACCAAATATGTTCCCTAAGAAAATTTAGAATGGCTCTATTAATCTCTCTCTGACTTCAAGACAATGTTTAAAAATAAATGTCTGGCTTAACATTTTACAAATGCATCTTTTTAAACATTAATATTTTTTCTGTGCACCACAAGAGAGAAATTTTGTATTGAATCTAAGTCAGGAGCAATTCAATGAGATTGAAATCACCCAAGACAGCCTCCATCTCTTTATCTCCATCACTTGGAAGATTTCTTGATTACACTTTGGAGCTCATTATCAACTAGGATTGTCTCATTTTCAAGATCTGCCAGTCTCAAATTTTTCAACATTTCCTACTCTTTCCCTCCTGTTGAATTTATCCTGCCCCTTCGTTGTTCTCAGTAGTTGATTTTGCCCTTACTTTTCTTTGTTCTTCCAGTCTTCTTAAACTGGGATACAAATTCCCAGCCCACCCCCACCCAGTATAGGCCCTTGTCATGGAAAAATATGGCATATATATTTTAGGTGTCTATTTACTGAGAAATCAATCACCTACTAGCATCTACTACTTTATTTTAACAGATCTGCACTGGAATTTTAAATATTTTTTTATTTTATTTTATTTTATTTTATTTATTTTTGAGATGGATTTTTGCTTTGTTGCCCAGGCTGGAGTGCAGTGGCGTGATCTCTGCTCACTGCAACCTCCACCTCCTGGGTTCAAGCTATTCTCCTGCCTCAGCCTCCCGAGTAGTTGTGATTACAGGCACACACCACCACACCCAGCTAATTTTTGTATTCTTAGTAGAGACGGGGTTTCACCATGTTCGCCAGGCTGGTCTTGAACTCTTTACCTTGTGATCTGCCTGCCTTAGCCTCCCAAAGTGCTGGGATTACAGGCATGAGCCACCAGGCCCAGCCCTGGAATTTTAAATATTTTAAAGTTAAAACTTAAGACTTGAGAATTTTCCAACTTCTAAGAGGCTACTTGGAGCCCCAGAAATGTGCTTTCCTTCTTCTCTGTCATTATGGATATTTCACAGGAACCTTGTTCAGCCTCCTCTTGCCTTCACAGCCTATGGTCAACCATCTCCAACTGAATTCTCTCTGAACTCTGAGATTTCCTAGTATTCTTAACCTTTCACTAAAAGCCATGCTTACACTGGCCCAATCCATTTCTTCTGCCTTAATTCTGGGGTGTCACATTTTCTCTATTAGTCCGTTTTCACACTGCTATAAAGAACTACCTGAGACTGGGTAATTTATGAAGAAAAGAGGTCCGATTAACTCCCAGCTCCCCAGGCTTAACAGGAAGCATGACTTGGGGGTCTCAGGAAACTTATGATTGTGATGGAAGGTGAAGGGGAAGCAAGCACGTCTTGGCATGGCAGAGCAGGAGAGAGAGAAAGGGGATGTGCTACACATTTTTAAATACTCAGATCTCGTGAGAACTCACTCATTATCACAAGAACAACAAGGGGGAAATCCACCCCCAAGATCCAATCACCTCCCACCAGGCTCCTCCTCTGACACATAGGGATTACAATTTGATGTGAGATTTGGGTGGGAACCCAGAGCCAAACCATATCAGTCACTAAGGAAAGTCCTATGATAATACCTTGTAGAACCAAGCCACTCAACCAGTCCAAATGCTGGTCCTCCCTCACTGGACAGTCCCCTTTTTCATCTCTAATACACATCCTAACTTTCTTTCTTTTTTCTTTTTTTTTTGTTTTTTTTGAGACAAGGTCCTGCTCTGTCATCCAGGCTGGAGTGCAATGGTATGATTTCTGCTTACTGCAGCCTCTGCCTCCTGGGCTCAAGAAATTCTCCCACCTCAGCCTCCTGAGTACCTGGAACCACAGGTGAGTGCCACCACACCTGGCTAATTTCTATATTTTTAATAAAGATGGGATTTTACCATGTTGCCCAGGATGGTCTTGAACTCCTGAGTTCAAACAACCCACCTGCCTCAGCATCCCAAAATGCAGGGATTACAGGCATGAGCCACCATGCCCAGTCTACATCCTAACTTTTCAAGCCCTTTCAGATTCTCAAATATACTTCTAACTTTCTCAACAAACAGCTTCATTGCCCACTCAACAAAAATTGAGGCAATTCTAGGTGAATTATCTCAATTTTTCCTTCCTTCATATGAAATGTCATAGGTCATCACACACAGTCTCTTTCTTGCCTTCAGTTTTTTTTTTTAAGAGTCAGGGTTACTTTTTAAGTAGCTGGAAGTATAAACATGTGCCACCATGTCTGGCTAACTTTTTTTTCCTTTTTGCAAAGATGGGGATCTTACTATGTTGCCCAGGCTGATCTTGAACTCCTGGACTCAAGCAATCCTCCTACTTCAGCCTCCAAAATTGCTGGGACTACAGGCATGAGCCACCCACTGTGCCCAGCCTTCCCTCCAATCTTGAAGCAGTGTCTCTATTTCTTCCTGAGACCAATCCCTCCAGCCATGCTCCTGATTCTATCCCTGCCAGCTCTCTCCATCGTCCCCACCATTTCCTGCATCTTCAAGCCTTTGCCTTTACCTCCTGGATGACCAAGACAATTGCCTCTTTTGGAGACAGATCATTTCTTTACCCTGTTTCTTTCAAAGTTTTCCTTCCTTTTATTGCCAATCTGCTTAAGGGAATAGCACACATTTATAAAATCCACGTCTTTCTTCCCATTCTTCCTGAGCCCCATAAATAAGCATCTGTCCTCACCAAGCCAATGAACCATTCTCACTATGGTCACTAAGAAACCCACTCATCACTATCCCAGGTCTCTGCTCTGAATTTGTCTGCCTTGTTTGTGTAAAGAATGGCCAAGTCCTTCTTAAGCCCTTACTTTTCTTCCTTTCCTTCACTCCACCCCCTCCTGTTCTGTCTCCTACCTCTCTGACTGCTCCTACCCAGTCTCAGTCACCAGCTCCCCTTCATCTTCATACCCCATAGGCAACATTCTCCAACACTCAGCTTTTTCTTCTACAGCTTCTCTCTTAGTGACTGCATACATCACATGTCTTCAATGATCATCTCCATGTAGAGGGCTTTCAACTCCAGAGCCTCCAGCCCTTATCTGTTTTATTGCACTTTGCTTTATTGCACTTTGCGGATACTGTGTTTTGTTACACATCACAGGTTTGTGGCAACCCTGGTTGAGCAAGTCTATCAGCACCATTTTTCCAACAATGTGTGCTCATTTCATGTCTCTGTCACATTTTGGTAATTCTTATAATATTTAAAATTTTTCATTGTTATTATATTTGTTAGGGTGATATGTGATCAGTGATCTCAGATGCTACTGTTGTAATTGTTTTGGTATGCCACAAACCATGCCCATATAGGACGGCGAACTTAATCAATGAATAATGTGTATTCTCTAACTGCTTCACTGACTGGCTTTTCCCAGAAATCTCTCCTCTCCTCAGGTCTCCTTCTCCCTGAGACACAACAATATTAAAAGTTAGGCCAATTAATAACCCTACAATTTCCTTGAAGTGTTGAAGTGAAATAAACAGTTACATATCTCACTTTAAATCAAAAGCTCGGAATGAATAAGCTTAGTGAGGAGGGCAGGTTAAAAGCCAAGAACAGCCAAAAGCTCCTGTGCAAGTTAGCCAAGGTGTGAATGTAAGAGAAAAGTTCTGAAAGAAATTAAAAGTGCTACTCCAGTGAATACATGAATGATAAGAAAGCAAAACAGCCTTATTGCTCATATAGGGAAAGTTTGGGCGGTCTGAATAGAAGATCAAACCAGTGACAACATTTCCTTAAACCACAGCTTAATCCAGAGCAAGGCCCTAACTCTTCAATTCTACAAGGGCTGAGAGAGGTAAGGAAGATGTAGAAGAAAAGTTTGAAGCTAACAGAGATTGATTCATGAAGTTTAATAAAATAAACTGTTTCCATAACAGAAAAGTACAAGGTGAAGCAGCAAATGCTGAGGAAGAAGTTGCAGCAGGTGAACTGGATAATATAGCTAAGATAACAAATGAAGGTAGCTACACTGAACAACAGATTTTCAATGAAGGTAGCTACACTAAACAACAGATCTTCAATCTAGACAAAACAGTCTTATATTGGAAGATGCCACCTAGGACTTGCATTGCTAAAGAGAAGTCAATTCCTAGTTTCAAAGCCTCAAAAGACAGGCTAACTCTCTTGTTAAGGACCAATACAGGTGGTAGCTTTAAATTGAAGCCAATTCTCATTTACAATTCCAAAAATCCTTAAGCCCTTAAGAATTACGCTATATCAACTCTGCCTGTGCTCCATAAATAGAGCCACAAGGACTAGATGACAGCACATCTGTTTAATTATGGTTTACCGAATTTTTTAAGCCTTCTGTTGAGATCTACTGCTCCAAAAAAAAAAGATTCCTTTCAAAATATTACTGCTCATTGACAATGCACCTAGTCACTCAAGAGATCTGATGAAGAACTACGAGGAGATTAACATTGTTTTCATGCCTTTAACAAAATATTCATTCTGCAGTTCATAGATCAAGGAGTAATTTTGACTTTCAAGGCTTATTATTTAAGAAATATATTTTTGTAAGGCTGTAGCTGCCATAAACAGTGATTCCTCTAATGGATATGAGCAATGTCAGTTGAAAGCCTTCTGGAAAGAATTCACCATTCTAGATGCCATTAAAAACATTCATGACTCATGGGAGGAGGCCAAAATGCCAATATTAACAGAAGTTTGGAAGAAGTGATTCCACTTCTCATGGATGGCTTTGAGTGGTTCAAGATTTTAGGGGAGGAAGTCACTGCAGATGTGGTGGAAATAGCAAGAGAACTAGAATTAGAAGTGGAGCCTGAAGATGTGATTGAATTTCTGCAATCCCATGATAAAATTTGAAGATTTGAGGAGCTGCTTCTTACACATAAGCCAAGAAAGTGGTTTCCTGAGATGGAATCTACTCCTGGTGAAGATGCTGTGAACATTGTGGAAGTAACAACTAAGGATTTAGAATATTACATTAACTTAGTTGATAAAAAGCAGCAACTGGGTTTGAGAGGACTGACAGCAATTTTGAAAAGTTCTGTGAATAAAATGCTATCAAACAGCACTGCATGTTACATAAAAATATTTCATGAAAGGAAGAGTCGATTGATGTAGCAAATTTCATTGTTGTCTTATTTCATGCAATTGTCACAACCACCCCAACATTCAGAAACCACCATCCTGATCATTCAGCAGCCATCAATGTCAAGGCAAGACTCTCCACCAGCAAAAAAATTACAACTTGCTGCAGGCTCAGTGATCATTAGCATTTTTTAACAACCAGTATTTTTAAATTAAGGTATGTACTTTTTTTAGATATAATGCTATTTGCACACTTAATCAACTACAGTATACTAGAAATGTAACTTACATACATTGGGAAACCAAAATGTTTGCATGGCTTGCCCTATTGCAATATTCACTTTATTGCAGTGGTCTGAAACTGAACCCACAATACTCCCAAAGTATGCCTATGCTGAGACACTAGCCCATTACTATGGCCTATTAGGTATCCCCATGTAGCGAGCCCGGGGATAGTCTGGTAGGTGGAACAGAATGAGCATTTTTACCGATAGTTATATGGTTTTGGGCAAACCATGTAACACCTGAGTCCCAATTAGCAATAATAATAATAGTACCTTCCTCACAGATTTGCTGGTGAGGATTCAGTAATATGGGAAAATAAGTTTATTTATATTGATTCAGCAAACACATACAGTGCTTACTATATGTCAGAATGGCTTATAATACTTTATAAATAATAACACTTTACAAATAATAACTAATCTAATCTTCACAATGATCCTGTGAGGGAAACGATGTTAAAATTCCCATTTCACAGATAAGAAAACTGAGGCACAGCCAACTTAGGTCATTTTTCCCAGGTCACACAGCTAATAAGCAGCAAAGCCTGATTCCAACCCAGACAGTCTAGCACCGGAGTTCCTACTCTTGATCACTGCCATAAGCTGCCTCCAATCATACTGCCTTTCTGCCTTTGAAAGCACTATAGAAATCTAATTATTATTATTAAATGAAAAATCTGAAACATAAGCACACCCTTGCACTTCGATTCTCTTTCCTGAGATCCTTGTTGGTTAAGGACATCAATCCTGTAAACTACAACCTCATTACCAGCTTTACTCCCTCTCTTACCCTAAAGCCCATTGTTGCCAAATCTTATTGTGTTCAACTCTGAAATGGCTGTCTTATTCTCACTGTCAGTGCTTCCACTCAAGCCTATTTCATTGTCACCTAGGCTACAAATGGTCTCTGACTTAGGATGGTTCAACTTAGGATTTTTCAACTTTGTGATGCTGCAAAAGTAAACACATTTGGTAGAAACCATATTTTGGATACTTTTTTCACTTTCAGTACAGTATTCAATAAATTACATGAAATATTTATGTAATTTACTTTATTACATGATTTACATTAGGTGATTTTCCCCAACTGCAAGCTAATGTAAGTGCTCTGAACACATTCGAGGTAGGCTAGGCTAAGCTATGACATTTGATAGGTTAGGCATATTAAATGCATTTTCAACTTATGATTAGTTTATTGGGACATAACCCTATCATAAGCTGAGGAGCATCTGAAGAAAGACAGACAGACAGAAGGAAGGAAGGAAGGAAGGAGGGAGGGAGAGACAGAGAGAGAGAGATGAAAGAAAGAAAGAAAGAGAGAGAGAGAAAGAAAGGAAGGAAGGAAGGAAGGAAGGAAGGAAGGAAGGAAGGAAGGAAGGAAGGAAGGAAAAAGAAAGAAAAAAGAAAGAAAGAAAAGAAAGAGAAAGAAAGAAGGAAAGAAGGAAGGAAGGAAAGGAAGGAAGGAAGGGAAGGAAGGGAGGCAGAGAAGCAAGGGAGGAAGGAAGAAAGAAAGGGAGAAAGAGACCTCCTATATTTTGGGACAACTGGTGAAATTTGAATAAAGTTTGGAGATCAGACTTCAGATATTAGATATTACCACATAGGGGTAATGGGGTATGATGTCTGCAACTTACTTTCAAATGGTTTAGAAAAGTGCTCTTAATAATATGTATATGTTAAAGAACAAGAGAATGATAAAGTAAATGTGGCAAAATGTTAACAATTGGTAAATTCAGATGAAGAATATCCTAAAACTTTTTGACAATTCTTGCAACTTCCTCTAAATTAAAATTATTTCAAAAAGTTTTTTTAAGCTAACAAATCTTGCTGCCCTGGCACACACAGAGCTGATGATGGCCTTCCCCTGCCACTCCACTCCTCAGATCCTCTCACCAAAGTGTCAATGGCTCCCCATGCCAACCCAAAAAGTCCAAAGAGCTCATCTGGCATGCAAACCATACTACCATATGCTTTCACCTCTGTCATTCCAATTTCATGGTGTTCTTCCCAACACTATGCACTCTACACCCTCCCCACTGTTTGATGTACCATGCCCCCTGACCCCACCCCAGCCCCCGCCCGCCGCATTATTCTGCTTCAAAGCCTTTGAAGAGGCTACTTCCTTTACCTAGAGTAAAACAACCTTTTTTTCCTAAAGATAAGCATCAGTCACATCCTTGCCTCAAGGCCTAATTTGAATCCTATTCTTTCCAAGTCATCACTCAGATCCACCCAGTTGGAATTTTTTTATCTTCCCAAGGCAGGTGTTGACCTCTGTGTCTGGCTTACTGTCTCAGTCCCTTTGAGCTGCCATATATATATATATATATATATATATATATATATATATATATATAACAAAAACCTTAGACTGGGCAATTTATAAACAACAGAAATTTATTGCTTATAGTTCTGAGAGCTGTGAAGTTCAAAATCAAGGCACCAGCAGATTAAATGTCTGGTGAGGGCTCATACCTTATAGACAGCACCTTCTATGTGTCCTCACATGATGGAAGGGGCAAACAGGCTCCCTCAAGACTCTTTATAAGGGCACTAATTCATTCATGGAGAGAGAGCCCTCACAACCTAATCACCTCCCAAACCCCCTCTTAATACCACCACTTTGGTGATTAGGTTTCAGCATATGAATTTGAGAGGGATACAAAAATTCAGACTATAGCACTTACCTCCACTCCTTATACTGGAAATTTCATTGATGTGTCCTTCACCCACCAAATTAGGAGTTTGCAGAGGCTGGTAAAAATGTGGTTTTCATCTTTATAACCCTTGTCCCTTTTTAAATAATTTAAAAAACGTGTGCTGCCAGGGCTGATCAGCAGATTCAAGGCAACAGGGGAAGTCGCAGTTCTGGCAATGAGCTTCACTAAACATGCGAAGTCATTCAGACACACTTTCCACTCTCCACAGCTCCCAGCTCTGCAAGGAAAGGCAGAGAGGAGAGACATCCTCCACAGGCTCACCTTACCCCCAACAATGTTCCTGTATGGAGCTCCTCCCCTTTCCAGAAGCCCCTTCATTCAGTCAGGTCAGTTTGTCACACCCTGCCTCAGACCTTCCAGCAAGCTCTGTGCAGCTGCTGCTGGCAGCGAAAGGATGTGTGTGAAGCTGCTCTAGCTGCAGGTTAGAGCTTCTCCAGGACTCTAAATGCTTGAATGGCTTTATTTTCAATACTTTACCTTTTTTTAAGAAAAAATAAATTTAAGCCTTTTGAAAAAACTTATGTAAAAGAGTCTTTTTTTAACTCCTTAGAAAGTTCTAGATAGAAAACAAAATAAGGGTGCTCAAAAGGAATAGAAATTCAATTGTTTGCTTTCTAGGTCTTCTCCCCCCTAATGTTATGCTCCCTAAGCACCCTGTCTTTCTTTCTTCTAGTGCCCATAGGTTTTGTTCAAATCAAGGCTCAGTTTCTTCTTCCATCTCTTCCTTCTACTGACAGAGACTAAGGCTCAAGGGCAATTAAGTCACTTGGCCAAGGTTATGTTGCCCTAAAGTGGCTCTAGGCTTGTTAGTGGGTTTATACATCCTACAACTGGAGCTTAGGATCAAACACTGAGATTTGGGGATTGCACATGTAGTTATAGCCAGAAGAGCCAGGTCCTTCAAGGAGAATAAGGAGAAAAATATAAGGCCAAGGTCTGGACATTGGGAAACCTGCACTTAGGGGACACAGGAAGTCATCCTATGACGAAAATGGCTTTCCATTAAACTCCAAGAGATTACTTCCTAAACCTCATTCTATAATAAGGAAAACAAAATATACCACTCTTGAGTAAGATCTAAATACAAGAACCATTCTTTTTCCTTTCATTCATTTAGCAAGTATTGATTAATGTCTATTATATACTAGAAATGTTTCTATGTTCTAAGGAGACAGTAGTGTACAAAACAGACTAAGTTCCTGTTTGCAGAGAATTTACCAGAGCTAATCTTGTAATATCTGAAAAATCAGAGACTTCCTAAAACAAGCTATTTATTCTCTATGAACTTCACTTCTCTCATCTGTTAAATGAAAAAAAAAAAAAAAAAAAGACAATTACCACCCGCATCACATAGCGTTGCAGGGAAAGCTGAGTGAAATGTCATATAGAAGGTGCCTAACATAGAGTGACATTCAGTAGATAATCAATAAGGGGTAATAACTAAATCTGATTACATACTTACCAGAGTTATCCTTCACTATCCCTCAGGACTCAATCTAACAAATAATCCTGTCAGCATGTTCTAAATCCAATCATTCAGATATAACCCTAGAGATTTTTGCTATTTCTGCATTCAAGTCTGCACTACACTCAATACTTTTTCCTCATTCCAAGTAATAACTGTAAAATCATAGTTTTCACATGCAAGTTTTATATATTTCTAATCCACATTAAAATCATCAGTAACTATTAAAATTTAAAAGTTCATGCATGTGACATAGCACCTAAAAGTAACTGAGATGTCACCGGAAGTCTGTTGGGTCTACTTTGGGAGATACTTCTCCACAGGCTCGACTTGGCAGAACTGATCACAGTATCTAAATTTGGCTTCTTTAAATGAAACACATTTTGGAGAGCTCCACAGTCTGCCATCCTCTCACAATCTCCACTGTTACTCTCCTAACACAGCCCCTGCCATGACTGTCATAGCCTCCCAACTTCCACCCTTGCTCCCTATAGCCTGTGCCCCACGCAGCAGCCAGAATCAGACCATGTCTCTCCCCTGCCCCAAATCCACCAATGGATTGCCATGGCACTTAGAAAGAATGTAACGAGCTTACTGTTGTCTACAAAGGCCTTGCGTGATCTGGTCCCTTGTTGTCTCCCCCACCTCATTTCCTACCCTTCTTTCCATTGGAAGTACAGCTGCTGCAGCACCAAACGTCATTCAGACAGCCTTGCATCCACTAATGCCCCTGCGTGCAGCACACTTTGCCCAGATTGTCATGGCTCACTCCCTCACTTCAGAAGCCTTCCCTCAACACTAATCAAAAAAAGCACCTCCGCCATCATTCCCTTTCTGCTCACCTTGCTTTATTTTCTCAATAACCCTTATCACGGCCAAGCATTAAATTATGTATTCACACATTTGTTTAATGTCTGTCAATCCCCATTAGATTATAAACTCTAGGATGGCCTCCATTTTGTCTACTTTTACACTAGTATATTACTAATGCCTGAAATAGTATGGAAGTCACTCAACAAATATATATTTGTTGGTTGAAGGTATGTGTGACTGGGCAAAGTGGATAACCAGTATTCTTTAAAATACGTCCAGTTTGAAGTTCCTCTATGACATGTAGAATAGGCAGGAAGAAATGCAAACCTGGAGTTAAGGAGAGAGGAAATCAAACAGCAAGAACATATGAAAGCATGATCAAAACCCCACGGACTCACCCAGCAAATGCTATAGTAATAGCGGCTCCAAAATACAGAAATTGATTAGAGGCAGAATAGAGCTCAGGGATAGATATGAATAAAACTGAAAAAGAACCAACTTCATTATTCAACAGTTTGTGGCTTAAACTCAATTTGCTTTAAAAAGGAGGAGTTAGGGGAGAAGTGTGTAAGTAAATAAGCAAAATTTTAATTTTAGCCTGTAATAACAACTTACTCCCTGACCAAGCTTTAAAAACAGTGCTGAAAAGTAACCAGGTAAGTTGAGATTTTTCTGTTTGTTTGGTTTGATTTTACACAGTATGTAAAAGTTAAATTTCCAAAAGGGAGGCTGTTAAGATGGAGGAAAAAAGGTGAAATGACTTCTGGTAGACTGAGTGTATTAATGGCCCAACTCATGGCCTTCCTATGTATGCACACTTTGACTCATAACTTTACAATCCTCCACTCGGACTCGGAGTTCCACCACAAACTGCTTTGGCCAGTGGGGTGTTAGCAAATGTGACACACAAAGAGACTTGAAAAGTGCATGTGTGTTGCCAACTACCATTTTACACAACTGGACTTGCCCATGCTTCGACCCCAGACACCACTGTGAAAACATCCCTGAGCTAGCCTGTTGGAGGGATATGAGAGACATGGGAAGGAGCATTGACTTTACCAAGGAAGGTCATCTTGGCTTGCCAGCTAACTCCTAATGCATGAGTAAGGCTTGCTAAAATAATCAGAATCTGCTTAGATAACCAGAACTCCCCAGCCAACTGGTAGACTCATGAAAATCTTCCATGATTATCCTTTTAATCATTTATCCATTTAATCCAAAACTATGTTTTGGAACTGTTTGTTACACAACAATAGCTAACTGATACAACTTGGATAATTCCCTCCAAATAACAAAGGAGATTAAAAGAGGAGGTTGAAGGAGTCCCTTAAATTCAAATTCAAGGTCATAATTCTAAAATATTTTATCTAAAGCATTTAAAAAACAAATTCAGCAAAAGAATTCTGGATTTTCTGGTTAAATCTTTTTAAAACATTTGAAAACAAGTTTATGAGAAAATACATTTAATGTAATTGCAATCCAAAGCTGAACCGTTAGCATCCCCTTAAATTATAAAAATGGGGTGATTTTTTTTACAAGTATAAATAACTTACACTGAGTAAGCTGTCTGGTTTTCTTTATGGCCTCCAAGAAAAACAAAATGGAGCCACGTACGTTCACTTCATCCTTCAGTAATTCTCCTCTAGCCTCATCACAGGGGACTTCTCATTTCCGTAGCACTAGAGTCTATTTTCATTAAAAGAAACTATTCCTTCCTTCATCTTTAAAACATTAACTACCTTCTTGTATATATACCAGATTCACTTAAAGAACTACAGCTAAAAGAAACCAGCAACTATTTGCTTCTATTCATGCTTTTGTATTGGCATAAGCACTACCTCTTTTCCCCTCCAAGGTTATCTTTTCTTTTTTCTTTGCATATTTCCCAGGAGCTCTGCACTAAAGCATAAACTTTCACATTAGAGAAGTGAATAATAAAGCAGACACCAGAGGAATACATATGCTGTTTGAAGAGGCTTTCTCACCCAGCCTCCTTCATGCTTGCAGACTCATACCCAGTGCAGTTGACAATTTTAGTTCACTCAGAATCCATTGTATATTCTTTTCCATAAACATACACATCTTTGTATGAGGAGAAAGTGAACCAAATCGAGAACATTATTAAAGACACAGGTAATAATATGCGCTGTAGAGCCTTCTAGTATGCTGAGTCTCATTTGGTCCTCCTTTTGTGGCAAGCATAGCCTGGATTCCCACCTCTGTTTTACAGGCAAGGAAACTGAGGCTGGCGGTGGCAATGTAACTTGATGTTTCTCCTTTATAAAGTGACTAAGTCAGGATTCAAACCCAAGTTCAAGATCCTTTTCTGTACACTATGCTTCTGAATCTTACAGCGTTGGGGAGGGGGGAAGTTTTCATGTAAAAGAAAAGGACAACAGACATATTTACATTTACTTTGAATAATTGCATGAAAAAAGGAGCTACCAACTGGTAGTATCTCTAGAACAACATTCTACAGCACACAACAGAAAGCTATATAATTTTGCATCATGTTATGTACTGATCACACTAGAGCAACAAATACTAAAATGAAGATTCCCAAACAACTTGGCTTGACAATCACAGCTTCACCACCTCTTAATATTCACAATGTGCTACTGAGGGCTGTTTGTTCTTTATCCAACATAGCCTACTGCAATAAATTCTTGTTTCTCCAAAATACATTTAAGGGATGTGGTGCTGCAAATAATTGAATAGGCAGGTTAGTGGAGACTACTAAATGTAGTAACATCTCATTTATTTCTGTCTCTGTCCAATTTTAAAGCTCTAGAACAGAGTTTGGTAAACTCTTTTGTAAAAGGTCAGATATTAAATACTTTAGGCTATACAGACCATATGGTCTCTGCGGGAACCACTCAATTCTGCCCTTACAGTGTGTGAAAGCAGCAGTAGATGACATATAAACAAATGAGCATGGCTGTGTTACAATAAAACTTTATTTACAAAAAACAGATTTGGCCTACAGGAAGTAGTAGTTTGCCAACCCTTGCTCTAAAACATAACCCTCACCCAGAAGGAAAAAATGCAGTCACGTCTTATTTACTCTCAGGGGAGAACTGACACCCTGAGTGACACCTATTCTCTCATTTTATACATAGGTTTTAGAAACTAGGCTATTTTCTTGCTTACAGCCTATAGCAAAATAGGAGCAGGAATTTTAAAGCAAGGGTACTAGTATAGGCAGTAGACTGAAGTCCAAACCCTTAGAACATCGCCAGAGGGCTGATGCAGTAGAGCAGTCTGGGCCAGTTAGTGCAGGGGCAAACACTCTTCCTAAATCCCTTCATGTCCTCTTAATTATCTCAGTATCACCTCAATCAGTATCACCAAAGGAAGATTCCATTTAATCTCTCTAAAACAGAAGAAACAAAGATACAGGGATCCTTTTGTAAAGACCCATGAAAACTGGCTATATCTAGAAGTTTTGAAACTGACTGAATAAACTTCAGCTATCTAGAAAATATATTTTGTGAAATAATCAGTTCCCCAAATAATAATAAGATGACAAACATTTATAAAGCACTATGAGATATGCATCATTCGAAGCAATTTTGAAATTAATATACGTAAAATGTAAAGCATTTTACGTATATTAATTTACTTAATCTCTACAACAACCCAACCAGATAGGTACTATTGTTATCCCATTTTCCAGATAATTAAATGGAGGTACATGAAGATTAATTAGTTTGTCCAGAGTAACTCAGGTACTAAGTGGCAGAGCTGGGATCTGAACCCAGGCAGTCTGGCTCCAGAGACCACAGAGTTATGGGTTGATGCAAAAGTAATTGCAGTTCTTGCCATTTTCATGACAAAAACCACAATTACTTTTGCACCAACCTTTTGCACCAATAATTGCTACACTATGCTGAGGCATTACTTTATACCTATATGTGGACTGCCTTAGTTCAAAGACTAGAAATATAATACATATACTTAAAATATCTATTAAATAGAATATAATCTTCAGAATCTTAAAACTGAGACATATCAGTGTTTTCAGTGCCTCAGGGTGAAGAATGCAAGTGCCTATTATTATTGTTCAGTTTCACCAAAATAAAAAGATTGCTAGGATGTCAGATTGAGGATATTTTACTCTTTTGGTGTTGTATTTTAAATTGCTTTTGGAATGAGCTAGGGAAATAAACAACAAGTAAATGGAGTTATGGGAAAATTCTTTTTAGGCATTCCTAGTCTAATCAGATAAATATGAGAATGTGACATGAGTTCGTGCTTCTATTTTTTAGGTCAGGATATGAAGATTAAAACAGTTTCTATTTGTTGTCTTTATTTCTTAAGTAGCTTGATTGTAAATTTGGTTTATAGGAGGAAAATAATTTGGTTGTTAAAATAGCTGAGTTTATTATTGGCTTAACACCCAACAAAAATATTTTAACCTACTATATCCAAGATAAAGGACTAAAATTGGTTTGACAGGCTTATGACTTTTATTGAAACTGATGTTTTATTAACAGAAAATTAACAGATTTGGAGAGATTTTTTAAATAGAATAATCTGAAAAAAAATTGTTTACTGAGAGGTAACTGTGTTTTTTTTTATTTGTGATATAAATACTTTTGTTGATCCCTAGAAGTTCAGAGTGGAGAAAAATCTTCTAGCTTCTGAAAAACAGAAACTATAAACCAAGCTTATGTTAGATGCACCATTTGCTCAACTCCATGCAAGAAAAATTTCTCCAAAACCTACCTGTACACTTACTTTATAGCAGTTTTCCCCAATAAGAAGTTAGCATTTACTGCAAAGTTTATAAAATACCCAAGGAACTATGGAGAATGAATGAATTTTGATTAGCCATTTCATCTTCCTTGACAATTGTTCATTTTCTCCCCACCTTTTTATAAAACTACAAAGCAAGGGATTCAAATACCTGACATAGAAGAGGATGGGTGAGGTAAAGAGAGAAAAATATCCCAGGACTACTTTTTCACTATAAGACATAAGTATTAAATCATAGCAATCTCTATAATCACAATGTTCAGTGATATTTTAATAGCCTTGGAAATTTTTTAACATATGGATCAAGAATTTAAAAGTAAAATCATTTTCCTAATTTCTTCCAGATGGTAAATATTATAATTTTTTTCATTACCTTATTGGTTACAAGGCATAGATTCTACATAGACATACTGAAGAACAGTAAGGAAAGAAAAGAGAAAAGAAAAAAAGGTATGGCAGAAATAGCTTAGTGGATCATTGTTGTGGACTGAATGTTCATATCGTCCCAAAATTCATATGCTGAGATCTAATTCCCAATGTGTTGGTGCTTGGAGATGGTATCTTTGGAAGATAATTAGGTCATGAGAGTGGAGCCATCAGGAATGGGGTTCGTGCCTTTACAAAAAGAAGCCAGAGAGCTAGCTCACCCTCTTTCTGCCATGTGAAGATAATAGGAGAAGTCAGCCACTTGCAACCCAAAAGACAGCCCTCACCAGAACCTGACCAGGCTGGCACACTAATCTCAGAATTCTAGCCTCCAGAACTGTAAAAAAAAAATAAATTTCTGTTGTTTATAAGACACCCAGTTGATGATACTTTGTTACAGCAGCCTGAACTAAGACAATCACCAAACCAACTTTTTATTCTTCCCAGACACAAATAGGACTATAGCCCCAGCTTCCCTTTCACTATATGGGGCCATGTGACCAAGCTCTGGCCAATAGAAGGTGAGCAGACTTCTATGAGTTTTCTCCTTTGCCAAAGCACAGACACCAGGAAGCTGGTCGTGACAACAAGGTGATAAGAGTGGAGTCACAAGAACACTGCTTGAATGAATGAGAAGAATCTGCCCATCAAGAATACTCACTTTAGGCTTTGATTGAGTGAGAAATAAACTTCTCAGTTAAGTCAACAAGATTTCAGATTTTATATGTTATGGCAGTTAACATCACCAAAACTAACATGTAGAATCTAATAAGGATATCTAAAGCTCTGGAAATGTATTTCCTGGAATGGTACAACTTTATTCCTTTCTTGTTGATTTTAGATTTTATAACATAATTGTATATCTCAGATGTTATTACCATATCTTCCATTAAATATCATGTTTGTAGATAATTGTCCTAGCTGCAAAATATATAGATGCTTATAAATTTTGTTTTAGCAATTTTAAGTAGCAATATATATTGTCAGTACATCCTAAACTGAAAGGGCAGAGATCTGGATTCTAGTTCCAGGTACTCTAGGTTCCTGTCACAGTTCTACTGTATATGAAACTTAAACCTGGTAACATCTTGGTTCCACCATTTATTTGTCAAATATGGTAACTGAATTAAATAAGGCTGGAGACTCTAAAAAGTAAAATTTTATAAGAAAATTTTTATGTTTCTTTTCTGGGGGTGGGTGGGGGACAGAGTTTCACTCTGTTGCCTGCCCAGGCTGGAATGCAGTGATATAATCATGACTCAACTGCAGCATGGAACTGACAGGCTTAAGTGATCCTCCCACCTCAGCATCCCAAGTAGCTGGGACCACAGATGTGAGCCACCACACCCAGCCAAGAAAATTAATATATTTCTACCCAGTACTTTTTGCATATACTACAGATTGGTCATTCCTTCATTATTAACATAGAAAATATTTTGAGGAGAAAAGTAGCAACCTCATAATAACCCTTTTTCTTTGAGAATTATCCTAAAAGTTCTGCCAACATGAAATAAATGTCTAGTAGGTTATAAGCTCCTTGAGGAAACCATGTATTGTTCATCTTTGTGTTTCTAGCACCTAACTCCTGATTTTTGCTGAATAAATAAATTCCTATTGAGAAGTTAAAAAAAAACATTATTTCACTATAGTTTTAAATTACTGAAGAAGTGTTCTTATCCAATCACCAAAGGCACAAAAAAGTCAGGTCAATGGCCCTAGATCCAGTTTTCAAATACTACTACAAATGAAATTGTTTCATTCCTAGAAAGTTCTCTCATGAATTTCTGGGTGAGCTGTGTGAGATAAAAGTGGAGATAATCCACTCCATTTTAATACGTTTTACTTATTGTGATTCCTCTATAATTTCTTCTATCTTTTAAAAAGGGTTCAACAGGTGAAATGGGGAACTGCTTTAGCATAACCAATATTGCTGTTAGGAAATCATCAAACTATAACAGCAGTGAGCTGAAACCACTGAAATGTAGGATGCAGCTATGGACATTATTCCAAAAAGCATAATGATTTTCTGAAGCAGAACCACCTAAAAATTTGGGATTCAAAACTGCTAATTGATCTTTCAAATCATTCAGAAGGTCATTTTGACCATTCATTGCATCCCTGAGATGAAAAGACTACTAGGAATAAGCATCACCTCAAAACCTACATAATTATTTCCTTAGCAAAATTTAATAATGAGAGTCAAGACAGGAATTAAAAAAAAAAAAAAAACCCAAGAACATCTGTCAGTCTAAATTTCCTAACCCACTTTTTCCTGTGAGGAAAATATGTCCTCTAAAACTTCGTCATTGGCAGCTCCAAATGTAGGCTGTGAAGGAATGCTTATCTAACTATTGGCTTAGTGCTGTATCTAAGTGGAAAGAAAGCTTAACCAACAGGAACATTCATCCTGTTTGAGGGAAGCAAACATAGCTTAGAAAGTTAGTCAATCCAATCAATAAGAAATATATCTGATACTTTCCATTTTAAAAATTGAAAATTTGCAAAGAATTTTTATTAATATACTGATAATTGTTGCAATATGTAATATTTATACGACTATGGCACATGGAAGTTTACTAAATATGTTTTCACATACAATGCCACATTCGTTTATCACAGTAAACCTATCGGTATTTTTAATACTCAAGTAATAGATGGATCAGCATTGAAGCTCCAATGGGAGCTTCAATGGGAGCTTAAACAAATGTAAGGTCCAAAAGCCTTCATAACATTAGGATCAAACAGTGAAGATTTTCTTTGCTTCAAAAGTTTTGTCCATTACTGGGAATATGTTTTAGAAGTAAAGAGTCCTAACCCTAGCGTGATGAGCTACAGTCATAATAATAGTGTACATGTACAGCACATTACAAATTACACATTACAATGTTCTTTTGACAAGCACTTTCTCATTGTGATGTGGATATTCACCAATCTAGTAAAATACCAGAACATATATCATTATTTTCATTTTAAAGACATAGAGACTGAGGCTTAGAAAACGTTTCATGGCCTGAGCGTGGTCCCGTTGACTCTAAGATTAATTCACCAAAATGTTCTGCTTCTTGAAATCAGATATTAGAGGAACACAGTTATAGTTAAGTTGGAATCACTGATTGTCTTGAAATTAAATGAAAGCTCCTCTTCTACCAGTGTCTAGCTCCACAAAAGGAGGGACTTAAAGAAATGTAGGGCATTTAACTCCTTGGTGGTGTGCTTTTTCTGTGGGAAGAGGGACATTTGTTTCATTCGTTTTGTTCTGCTTTTTTAAAAACATGCTCAAGGTAGACAGCAACTCTTTTGAAAACACAAAGTAAGAATTATTAAATTCTTGGGCAAGCTGAAGAAATCAAATCAGTCCTATATATAACACAGGAAAAACGTTGGAGGGAAGAGCAAATTTTTCCAAAAACAAAATTCACCAAAAAAAAAAAAACCCACTGGAAAATGTAATTCAATCAAAAAATTATATTTTCTTCAATTTGGATTTATGTCTTTGCTTCAGTAGGTAGTGTTAATAGTCTCCAAATGCCAGTGTGTATTCATGAACACTTAGCAAGTTCATGATGTGATACATTCCTTTTTGGATACATCTTTCGTCAAATCCATCTGTCTATGGCAGATATGCATAGTTTTACAGAACCTTATCTGCAAAAGAACTTCCACAGTTAGACAAAAATGGTTTTAGAAAATTGAGAGGAGTGGATAGAAGAAAGATCAACTATTGCTGTTTGGGAGATTTTTTTTGCTTTCCCCACCATGCCTTGCCCCCAGCCCACTGTCCACTGGGCACCTGGCACCTCTAGACTCCATTTCTTAAAGCTCTGTTCTTTCACAAGTAAGAGATATGACTCTGGCATCTCAGGAAGAACTGAAGTGATGGAAGTCCCAGAGGAAAGTACCGATGCAAGACGTAAATACTCCTAGTATACACCCACCAGAATTTCCTTGAGCCTTGGTTTTAAACATCCTCTGAATTATATAGGCAGCTGATTAATGTTTGATAATTAAGCATTTTTATGTGATTCATCTCAATAAGAGCCCAAGCAAGGTAATGTAAACAATGAAGGCATAAAAAGGTGGAAGGAGATGTGAATACTACACCAAGTGGGCCACATGGACCTAAGGAAAAAGAGGAGCTGAGTTGAAGTCAGGAGCTGATTCAGATAAAGCAGCTTCAACTCTACTACTTCTTACTCTTAGATGGGCTCCAGACCACCTTGAGGGATGGGATTATATTTATTTTATAGATGCACTCCTTTCTCCCACTAATACAGTCAGTTAGGAATGTATAGCTAAGAATGAGCCAACCATTACTATTCGTGTCTATGGCTACAGAAACTCAATAAATCAACTCACTATTCTGGGTCAATAAATGAACTCATTATACTGTTTCTTCATGAAGTAAATGTGTTTCTAAAGGAATGTATTAAAATTACATTTTTAAAAATCTATGTATTTTGCATATATTTGATTGATACAGAAAAGGAGTCTACGTTGGCTACTTTTCTTTCTTTCTACAAACTTCATTCATTGGTGTGATCTGAAAGGGGATAATATTTCAGAAAGCAAAAATATTTTTAACAACAAAACTTTGTATTTCCAGTGTGATCTAAACACAAAATTATGCAAAACACAACTAATATTTCTCTCCTACTGGCTAAATCATGCCAGTTGTTTAGGTGCAATCAAAAATAAGCCACTAATGTTATTTTTATAGGAATTGGCAAGTAATTGCCAACTATAGCTATTAAAAGTTTATATTTGCCACAGGAGCCTGTGATTTTAAATACTGTTCAAATGATTTATGCTTGAGAGTTATACATAGCACAAATACATACATTTGTATCTACAGGTCTAAAGAGGAAAAATTAGACAAAAAGCAACTTGAAAAGGAACCCCTTTATTTTTAATGACCTACCTTTGTGCTGTATTGAGAAAAAGTATAAAAATTATTTGGGAGGAAGAAAAATATTTCTAAGCACTAATTTCATAGGCAAAAGCCCTATTATTTTTTATGATAGGCTAGGGGAAATCAATAATGATTTAAAAGCAAACAGTAAACTGCTCACATTTACCAGTCTATACTCAGTATTAATTCTACCCTGCAGTGTATGCTATAGAAGGTAATGAAATGCTGATGTTTTCTGGTTTTCCACTTCAATCTGCTCCAGCTTTATCCTAAACCTTGTCAGCAACAGAAGTTACCCCCCAGCAATCATACAAACCTAATAACGGCTTCCCTGGCTTAATTTGATCTGCTCCAATCACAAATTCCAATCCACATACTTTCTTCTGTTATGGTTGTGTCTGTATGTGTTTAATGTACTTTTTATAAGGCTTTTTTACAACAAGCGCATGGTTTTTCATTCAGCCCTCTACCACATAAACAGAACCACTGAAGAGCATTTTTGTTCATATAAAAATGTTTTAGTTATTCATAGTGTATGTCTTCAATTGGCTGCAGATTACAGTGAACAAAAGTATTGCTGCCATCATTTTACATTTCTCCTGTTACTGTGCCCTATCTGCTGTGTACCCCTGTCCCCAAAGCATTTATTATAATATTTGCTGCTTGCTCTCAGTTTTGGACTGAGATGCTTGGGGGTGGGAAAACTTAAAACTTGCCTGACTCAAGTGCTCTCTAAGCTTTGATCCCAGCATCCTGCTTTAACCTGCTCCTGTTGGACCTCTGCCACTTTACTGACCCCATAAAACAAACAGAGCTAGCAAATGCATCAAACAGCCTCCTTCAAAATGCAGCTTGACTGTGATTCATGGCACAAAGCTGGAATAACCCTGCCAGTTCTTAGAAGCTTTAAGATTCATCGTCTTGAACTTGATACACATAGTATAGCACCTTAAAAACGAATCATCTGCTAGTTCAGTATTTTCTACTTACAATCACTCCCTCCCAGGGCATGTAATTAATTTACTGAGCTTAAAAAAAAAATATCAGGATTACTCACACAGTCTTGAAGATGCAATGTCAGCTATTTAGGACAGAAACATCCAAGGCCGTGTCAGAACTCAATTACGACTACATATGCATTAAGGCAGGAACTGGCAGGCCTCAGGGTACGCCAACTATAGGACTCGTGCTTCTCGTACGCTGGGCTATAATCTATGAAACTGAGCTCCAGAGCCAGCCAATCACTTAGCTCCTCATAACAAGTCTAACTGGCTCTGGAAAGCTGAAAGGGCTGCACTGGAACAACACAGATGAGATATTCTACACATTAATCTACTTATCTGGAATCACTTTGCCTCTAAAGGCCAGAGAAAAATCACAGCTTCCTTGTCGGAGGGGAAAAGGACAGGTGATCTGGGGAAAACGCAGCTACACCTGGAGCAAGGTCTCTTCCCGGCTTGGCAATCTCAGCTGTGCCGGCGCTACGGGACCCGAGCCGTCCCAGAAACCAAAGGGCAGGCACGGCAGCAAACGCCTGAGGTAATTTTCATCTTTCTTTTTATTTTTAGTAGAATAATGCAGACTGAAAGTGATAAGCATAAAGTCGCTGAGGCAACTAGATATGCTTCGATTTTATTTTACATTTTCCTATTCTAATCGTGTGCAGGATCATTTGTTATGAAGTCTGAGGAGGGGGAGAATTAATGTACCTGAAATAAACTTGAAACTAAAACGATCATTTGTGGAGGAAAATACAGGATTTTCCAGAACAGTTTCAGAGCTACCTTTGCAGATGGGTAGGCTTTTCACCCACCCACAGAAAGAAGAGTCAACGGGGCTGAGACAGGACAGGGATGGGTTTCAGGAGCACAATTAAAAGTTTTTCGTATCTTAAAGAAAATATCTATGTTCAGAGAGAAAATTGAGAAGATAAGTTACTGCCCAGTTCCTCTGGTCTTTGACACTTAGACCACATAAGAATGTTCCATGGTAGAAGGGTTGGGACAGAGAATCTTAGGAATCCTAAGAGAGAATCAATACTGCTCCCCTACCCCAGGTTTTTCTTGTTTTCTTTACAATAGTATCCTTATTTCCCATTACATTTTAGTGTTAGTCATACCAATTACTTGTTACACCATACTTCTACATTTGCAGTTATTAAAGGATCTGCAGAAAACATTTTAAAGTCAAAATGATTATAGAGGCAACTAAAATAAGAAAGCAAAAAAATATGTGAAACTGACATACACATAACCAGAACACCACACCCCTTAGATACTTAATGTACTTAACCCAATGACAAATCCTTCCAAATCCTTAGCAAATTGTCTGTTTCTTTAATACATTTTGTAGCAAGTGTAACATTAGCAACGAAGAAAAACTTTGGCAATAAACTTGTACATAACTAAATCAATCCTTATGCTTTCATAGTGACGATAGAATATACATAATATTTTATTTGTTTTGTTGGACTTATAAAATCCTAAGGCAAGAAGCTGAGAAGAAAATTTTGCTTTATTTAGTGGTGACATATAAACAGTAACAGAAGAGACATTTATGCACTTTTTTTGGCTGTAGATAATTGACTGAATTCAACTTGAGATTTGACACCAGAAAGAAAAACGTTGCAATAGACAGAAAACAGAAAAAGTAATCCATTGGCAATTTCCCCCCAGGGTTTGTTCTTTGAATTGTCCAATCTGTGACTAGCCAGGGAAGAATATTTCTGCTCTGTTTAAATAGTTTTTATTTAATTAAACCTTTGTTTATTTGACAGTGCTGCTGCCTTCGGTGACTATATGAGAATGGAAACTTCTAAGGAAGCCAGGTTGTTAGAATTGTTACCCCCTTTACTCAGAGATAACATAGATTATCCAGGCTGAGATGGAAAACAAGCCCTTTATTGAATTTTCAACACAGACTCCCTGCTTCTCATCTCCTTAATAAAATTTCATTAAAATCCCCTTGAACTCCCATGTTCAAATCTCCATTTGTTGACAGACAAAGCCAACAATACTCTAAACTGAGGCCTGCAAGTCATTTCATTTGTATTTTTGTCCAGAAATTTCCCATAGGAAGACTTCACCTCCTACAACTCCGAAGAAAACCCTTACTGTCCAAGACCGTCACCAGCAACCATCCGCAGTCATTCAAGTGGAAGCTTTCACAGCTTTTGTACATTCTCTGTGTCAATATACAACTGAGTTACAGACTGTCCCCTGGCTCCCTGACCCTTACAAACACTAAAAGTTTTGTTTGACTCAACTTCAAGCTGCTCATCTGTTAGTAAGTGATGTTCACTCCAGAACACATTCATGATGAGAACTTTCTAAAAGACCAGCACTGCTCTTCCCCTCCTATAATCATAATAATCATGATAACCTGAAACATGTTACTGGGACTCGACATTTTTCTGGGGATTGAAATCTTTAGTCCTTGGAGCTGTCACATAGCAGGGGCAACCTCACACTGAAACAAAGGAAGTGATGTCCCATTATTATCCACCCTGAGCCACCATAATATGCTGTTTACATTTATTTTCTTCAGCCTGTGCAAAACAAAGCAATGGAAAAGGAAACTAAAAAATATACATACTAGTACCATTATCTTCTTTTGCCTAAAATTACTAATGCACCACGTCAGTCTGCTTCCTTCAGGCATCATTCTCAATTCATCAGGACTTGTATTAGCAGGTTCTGGCTAGAGAGACTATCTCCTGTCATCACGATCAATTAATGTTTTCTGGTGATCACATCAGGCCCTATCTAAGAAGCTCATGGTATACAAGGGTCACCCAAATAGCTGAGTGCAGTCCTTGCTCATATTTCCTTCATCTTAACCCCGCAAACAAGAATTAAGATGATCCCAATAAAAGAAAAATTGCTCAGGAAACTGAACCTTTTTCTGAACCAAGCACTGTCAGCAAATCTCAGGTATTAGAGCAACTATGGTTGATTGAAAAGTGTCTCAAAATCTGGGCCAAGAATGATTGCTAGGTCCATAAGCTAATTTGTCTGGCCTTGCCATTTACGTAAGCCAAAGAAAGTCACTCATGAGTAAACTATAGAAAACGTTCAGACCCATCCTGTTAGTATGTCAAATCAACTAAGACTGGCAGGGTATTAACTCCATTCCAGGTGACATGGATAAAGAGCCCCATTATTTTCACAGTGCCAGCCTCTACCTAAGGAAACCCTAGACCTTGGAACCAGTTTCCTGGTAGGGAACTGCTGACAGTTTCAATGCTGACAGTTGGAGCCAATGCCTCATAGTGTAAACTGAAAGAAAAATAGTTGCTTTTTAAAATGTCAGCAAGAAGGCCTGCCTCATCTTAACAAAGCAAAAAAAAATGCTTTAATTCAAATTAAAAATCATGATACTAGAGATGGGAGTCTGTGGTCACTATAAAGATAAAGTTCATGTTCTTGGTTCAGATAACAAAACACTTTATCTGGATAAATGGACCTCAAAATTTGCTCTTGGCACATGGGGGAAATTTTTTGTTGTATTTTGTTGTTGTTGTTGTTCTTGTTGTTATTGTTTAAATTAATCTTCCTAAGGCCATGAATATGAAATCATATTAATAATGCATGTGACAAAATTCTAAAATATATTACACTTAAAATTAGCATAAACCATCAACTTTTAGTACTCATATATTGCAGTCAAAACTCTTCTAGGTAATGAGACCTGAACAGAAGGATCCATTTATCTGTGGTCTTGCTCTTTGTCTAAGTTTCTCGAAAGCATTAGGACAATGACATATACAAAAACTGGCAATTACATTTAATAAGAAAAATGTGGGGAGTGCATTCTTAATATTTGATGCTAAAACCATATCTTTGCTTTAAACATGTAAAGCAGTATAACATGGTGGTTGGTAGAAACTCTGGAGTCAGGCCACCTGGGTTCACATCCCAGCTCTGACTCTTAATTGTTAGACCCTGAGCAAGCTACTTAACAGCATTATGCCTCAGTTTCCTCCTATATAAAAGGGTGCCACACACAGTAACTACCTCCTAGGCTGGTGTGAAGATTAAATGGGCAAATACATGCTTAGAACTGAGCCTATTATATGGTGACTGCTCATTAAAAGAAAATTGTCGGGAGGGATAGCATTGGGAGATATACCTAATGCTAGATGACGCGTTAGTGGGTGCAGCGCACCAGCATGGCACATGTATACATATGTAACTAACCTGCACAATGTGCACATGTACCCTAAAACTTAAAGTATAATTAAAAAAAAAAAAAAAAGAAAATTGTCAGCTAGAAATGGTGGCTCGCCCCTTTAGTAATCCCAGCCCTTTAGAAGGCCAAGGATCACTTGAATCCAGGAGTTTGAGACCACCCTGAGCAACACAGCAAGACCCCATCTCTGCAAAAAAGAGAAACAAATAAATAAATAGCTGGGCATGGTAGCACACACCTGTAGTCCCAGCTACTTGGGAGGCCAAGGTGGGAGGATCACTTAAGTCCAGGAGTTGGAGGCTGCAGTGAGCTATGGTTGTGCTATTGCACTCCAGCCTCAGTGACAGAGTGAGATCCTGTCTCAAAGAAAAAATTGAAAAAACATAAATAAATAGAAATAAAATTGTTTTTATTAGGATTAAGCTCACTGCAATAAATATACACAATATTGAAAATGAAGGTGAATTCCATGGAATACTATGCAGCCATAAAAAAGGATGAGATCATGTCCTTTGCAGGGAGATGGATGAAGCTGGAAACCATCATTCTCAGCAAACTATCACAAGGACAGAAAACCAAACACCGCATGTTCTCACTCATAGGTGGGAACTGAACAATGAGAACACTTGGACACAGGGCAGGGAACATCACACACGAGGGCCTGTCAGTGGGTAGGGGGCTGAGGGAGGGATAGCATTAGGAGAAATACCTAATATAAATGACGAGTTGATGGGTGCAGCAAACCAACATGGCACATGTATGCCTATGTAACAAATCTGCACATTGTGCACATGTACCCTAGTACTTAAAGTATAAAAAAAAAAGATTAAAAAAAAGAAGAAAAGAAAAAAAAAATGAAGGTGAATTAATGAACTGCCAGATGTGGTGAAATGTGTCTACTAACATCACATATTGCATTTCAACTAATATTTGTAAGTAAGATTTTGCCTTAAGGCCTCTAAGATAACAGCACAGTGAAGTGTGTTGGTCACTATTAATCATCAGTTTTTTGCCTGGTTCTCAATTGACACTTTTAACCCTGCCCTGTATTTTGCTGTGTCATGCAAGGACACTAACCCAGGACATGACACACAAGGGGTAACAGTAGTAGACATGATTCATATGATAGTTGGTACAAAGTTTAGACTAGTTTAAACATTCCTGCATGAGGGAAAAAAAATAATGGAAGTCATTAATCTTCAGTCATGGTAACCTAACCAAAAACGATTTGAAGGAGGAGAAAAAAGAGGGTTACCGATCATGAACAGCTATGCTGATTATCCAAAATACATGAACCATGTCTGGAATTCATGCTGAATTCTCAGCTTAAATATGAGCTATGTTGAAGCGAATTATATTTTCTCCTCCCATTGATGAGAAATTTCTCAGAGCAAGAGAATATCAACTGAGACTTAGACGTGCTCACTAAGAAGCAGCAGAAGAAAGAACAGAGTCTGCTTGGTGAAGGAATAGCCACCCCAGAGAAGGAGTATGGACTTCTATACACAATCATTCATTCATTCATTCATTCATTCATTCATTCATTCATTCACTACTCATGCATGATCTTTGTCCTTATCTTCCTCCACTGTCACATGAATACCCACCCACTGCACCTACCTGCTTCCTATTCCTGAGAACCCAGGCTCACACACAGAGCCATGTTTCTGCAAATGCAGCCCCTCTGACTGCACACCCTTCCCCAGCACCCACCATGAAGACCAAGAAAAATGAATTCCTTCACTAGAAACCCCTTCCTAGCCACCCCTTCTCCATGAAAGGTGGTTACACCCTCCTGAGTAAATTAATGAACCAGTACCACTTACCACATAAATTAGCACTAGAGGACAAACGAACATTGGAAAAATTGAGGGATGTTTTCAGTTTAACAAAAAAAATGCTTTAAAATTGAAACATAGGGTACTTTCTGCAAGATTAAAATTCCAATAAAATCAAATGTGAGGCTTATCGGACCCACAGACAAACTCTTGGCTAAAGTTAGGCATCATCTCTGGTCCTTCTCAACAAATGGATAAAGAAATGCAGGGGATCCCAACATAGTCTCTAGAAATGATCGTATATTTGAAAGTTTGAAAGCTTTGCATGGGGCCTGGCAAGGAGTTGAATGAGCTAAGCTAAGTCTCACTTATTCTAATGATCCTGCTCCTGGCAGAAGAATGCACTGGGGGTAGGGGGATCTCAGACTCAGAGGTGGGTAATTATCTCCCTCTTCCCCCTCTGCTGGTGCAGCTACAGAATCCGACATCAAGATTCCCTCCCAGAGCCACTTGTGCCACTGAGCCTCACCACCTGCAGCACTGCTGCAGTCCAGTCCTGTGACTAAGGGGGCAGTTATTCAGCACTGGACATTCACTGAGAGGAAAATGATGGAAGGGGCTGGAGAATTTCAGGAAAACAATGTATTCTGGAGGACAGCCCTCGGAACTGTGACATAGGTCCAGTTTGTCTTTAGAGCCTTTCCTCCTCACTTCTACCCCCAGAATAGTCTCCCTGGGCTCCCCAGATTCTTCTTTGTGGCCCACAAAGGGGCCTAACCTCCCTCCCATCAACTAAATCTTTTTGTGTGCCATCCCCAGAGTAGCAGATTAAAGCAGTCTGTGAAAATATAAGTAAATGGTCCTGCTATCTTCCAAGTGGCATGTCATTTCAATAGGGGCTTTCTAGAGCTAAAGCTGAGAACCAGAGAAATAACCACCAGTGAACATTTCAGGCCTCATGAAGCATGACAACAAAGGCAGAAGGCAGGCAGGTCTTTCTGGGCCCTAGGGAATCACACCTGCATATCAGCTACCTTCCCCTCTCAGAAATGGGCCAGCCCTATTTGCATAGCCCTGAGCCAAGGAAAAGGTCAAGCTTTCCCTTCTCCATGCAGGGTCACCATCATGATTATACAACCTGTACCACACCTGTAAGTCCCACCTCCATGGCCCCTGTGTCTTCCTCTCTACCTCCAGAGCACAGGCCACCACTAAGCAAGGAAAGAGTTCTCACTTCTTTAACCTTCCCACAATACAGATAAATATCACATATAGTGCCTCAAAAGCAATTTGGCCATGGAGATACATTTGCAATCACCAGCAACTAAAAGAGACATGAGTTGCTCTATATCTAACTTCAGTCCATGGTATTTTGTCTAACTTTTGTCATGAAAATTTACACACAGAAATCAGAGGAGTGGAAAGAAAGCAGATTACACTGAGTCACAGTTGCACTAGGAAATAACACAGTGGCTCTCGAATGTCATGTGCATAAGGATGATGACCCAAGGCACCTGCTAAAATGGTAGATCCCTGGCTCCCACTACAGGATGCTGATCCCATGGATCTAGAGTAGAATCTAGGAATCTGCCTTTTCATTGCCCACACCCACCACCATGCGTCAATGTTTGTAAAGCCAGTGATCTATGGACCACTCCTTAAGAATCATTGAGATAGTGCATGCAGACTACTTAACAGAAAACCTGGTACAAATTTTCAATGCTTGCTAGCTAGCATTATTACCAATCAGAATCAATCCCAACTTCATAGATTCTACTTAGACTTGACCTTTTGCTAAGTGAAAATTGCACATGGGTGCGGAAGTATGGTAGCAAGCCAGGAGTTGTTTTAGTGCAGGAAGAGAAATAAGAAGAGGGATACAGTACGTGTCCTTCTAATGATCCTTTAACCATTAATGAAATCTCTTGAGCCCTAATTATCCCCTATTCCACAGTTTTCAACAGCTCTGAAAAGATTACACAGGGGTATCTGAAATAATTATCTATGGACCAGAAATTCCCAATGTAAAAACACTCAAAATATTGCCATTTTTATTTTTCTGCCTCAGACATGGAAAGCAAAACAGGGCTATTTGTTTTGTTGTGCAAAGCAGGCCCCAAGTGAACAGTGAGTTTCAGAATGGCTGAGTCCACCAACTTTGGCACAGTATCAGAGAAGTGAATCCCAAACCTGACTGGCTGTTGTGCTCCTGTGAGTCTTGGCTATTTCCTTTTGCTGCCAATGTGGGCCCTCTGCAGATGGTTGCAGCTGAGTATGTCTACTTACCTCTTGGACTGACTCCTCACCATAAATGGGATGGCCGTTCAGGAAATCTTCTGTTTGCTTTGCACGCTCCTGAGTATAGGACAAAGCGCTGTTGTTTAAGAACATAAATAACAAAAGCTTTGTTCTTCCAAACCGAGAGGGAAACTGTAGATCTATCCAAAATGACTTGGTCTTAAACTGCCTAAGGATGACAAGAATGAAATATTATTTTAGGCTGCCCATCAGCATCCGTCTCTCAATCTCCTGTCTTGGCTTCAGAAAACAATGACTCAATATGGTCTTTTTCTGACACATTGCAGCCTTAGGAAAATACTGTTCCACATATTTGGAACTAGAGCTTTCCCTGCATTAAAATAAGTGGAAGTTATTCAAAAGCCCACTTAGCTTTCTCTCTTTGAATCTGGGCATAGGAACACAGCTGTTTGTACTCACATAATGAAAGAAAAAAAGGAAACTGTGTATGACAAAAAAAAATCAAAATACATTTTTTACTAGGTGCTTGACATGTATTTTATTGCTTGATTCTCACAACAACCTCTAAGAGTTTGGTATTATCTCCATTTTCACCAAGAGTGAGAAAGGTTAAATAAGTTTCCCTAAGGACATAGAGTTGATAGGTGGGAGAGGAAACAGTTAAATAGCAAAGGAAGTAAAGGTAGCCTGAAATTCTAACTGTTCAGATTTAAATTAACAACTTCCCATATTTCTAGTAATATGACTGTATAGAAATGTGATTGTTGTGTTTCATAACCTGTTTTGTACCATTAAATAATTTTTCACATTAATATATGAAGCTTTACACCATCATTTTATTGACTATGCAGGATTTCACAGTAGGTATTTATCATAATTTACTATACCAGTTCTCTATTGATAAACATTAAAGTTATTTCTCATTTTCCCCATGAATATGCTTTTGCAAACATACTACATAAATGTATTTTTACATTTGTATAGTTGTCTTCTTAGGATAAGTCCTAGACCCAGAATTTCTGGGCAAGAAGATTATACATTTCACATTTCAGTAAGTATCAGCCACCTGCCCTCCAAAAGGTTGTATCAGGTAGTTGTATGAGCACATCCATTTCATCAAACTCACAGGCACACCGAGTTTAACCATCCATTCACATTTCTGCCAAAATGATGTGGGGAAATGATAGCATTGTTATCTTTATAATCACAATGCTAATTGGGGGGTTAGGTGTTAGGCATCTTCTCTTATGTATTGGCCGCTTGCAATTCTTTTTTGTCTTTCTTTTTTTTTGTTTTTGTTTTTGTTTTTGAGGCAGGATCTTGCTCTGTTGTCCAGGCTGGAGTGCAGTGGTGTGAACACGGTTCACTGCAGCCTCAACCTCCCAGTTGCAAGTGATCCTCCCACCTCAACCTCCCAAGCAGCTGGGATCATAGGCACATGCCACTAAGCCTGGCTAATTTTTTTTATTTTTTGTAGAGACAGGGTCTCACTATGTTCCCCAGGCTGATCTCAAACCCCTGGCCTCATGAGACCCTCCCACCTTGGCCTCCCAAAGTATTTAGATTACAGTGTGAGTCATGGGGCACACCAGCCACCTGTAATTCTTTCAGAAGTCAATTAGTCCTATCCTCTTTCTACTTTTCTATCAAAATCTGACTCCAAAATTAATTGCAAGTGCTTTCTCCCACCCCTACCTGTTTTCTCATTGTCTGAGCTCTGCAAAGCTGATGTGCTGGTATATTACAGACTTTGATCTATTGCCAGGAAAACTTTGGCAACATATTGCCAGGGCGATTAGTCAAGTTCCATAACATATGTTCCAAGAAGGAACACTGGTTAAGTCTAAAGAATAGAAATCCATAAATTTCTCCTTGGTCGTCTGCTTCAGAAATAGGTCATCCTCTGACTATCAGCAGTTGTTTAGCCGAAAAGAAACAATGATCCATTCAAACTTAAATCTTGTTCTTCTGCACAGAAAAGTTTGGATAACAGAAAGAAGGCAAGAACAGTTTGGAGGAACATCCCCAGAACCAGTGACTGGAGACACACACATGCACACACACACACACACACACACACACACACAATTTTCCATGCCCCAGACAGAGTCAGACCACAAAGATTGTGCTGTGACTCAGGTTAGAGATGTCTTTGCTCAGAGGAAAATGAGGCCCACAAACATAAAGTAACTTGTCTAAAATCAACCAGCAAACAGCAGTCCACTGACTCCCTGGGCAGAGTCCATTCCACTAAAGGACCCTTGCCAAAGGTGAATCCGAGCACAAGTTGAGTCCCCAGAGTGTAAAACATTGACTCTCTCTCCCAAAAGGCCAGAATTGTGTTAAAAAGGCATTATAACAAGAATACCTTCACCCCAGTCCCAGAACTTGTACAAATGGGGCCTGGGCCACAGGGATGGCCAGCATCCTAGCTGCTAAGGTTGGACATGGATCTGACTGGCTGTGGGCAGAGGGCTTCAGGGACAATGTTAGGCTGCCCTCTTGTTCCTGTACTCAAGAGAGTATGATCAAATCCAAACAGCAACACTGGGCTGGTATCCAGCTCTTATGGTATCTAGCTTTTTCTTTACAATATCACTTGTATAATCAGCTTGTTTTTTTTAATCTTGTCTGTTCAAATTTAGCCAATTCCAGGCTCTGAGCTAAAGAAAACCAAGCCTGGCCAGGTAGTGGTCCTATCCTCCTATAAGGGCTTCTGCCTTAGCCCAGCAGAGACTCAAATGTGACCAAGATCTCTGACAGAAGAACTGTACAAGGGCTACCTATCCCATCTCACCTGCAGAAAAATGCATGGATGAGTGGCCCCACATTCATTCCACCTAGGTGATCAGCCACCCAATGGCATTAGCTCCCTCTCTATAAAATCCTGCATCATGAAACTCTTACCAAACCCAAACAAAGATTCTATTCCACCCAACGCAGATCCTTGATGAAGACTAGAAAAGCGGCTTCCTCCATATTTTATCAATTTGAAAGCATTTTTGTGAACCCTTTAGATATCCACATGGGCCAAACAGAATAAACAGTTCACACTGAGACTTAAAAAACAACTGGATCTGTGTATTTAGGAAACTGGCTTAGAACACAACAGTGGTGATTAGTTTGTGCCAGGAGATGTGCATGCATTATGCCATTTAATCTCACAATGACTTTCCAAGGTGCTTCTTTTTACCCACTCTTTATATATAAGGAAACAGAGGAAACAATAAGGAACAGCTTATTTCTAGACTCAGCTGATTCCTCTACAGAATTTCATGAACTTTCATTGAGATTTCAGCAGTTCTTCCAAAAGACCAAGGGAAAAGTCTGCCTTGAATGTTAAAACTGTCATGAAAGTTGATTCCTGGCTGCTTCACAGACTGACTCCCCTCAGCTTTCTCCTTGGGTTGGGGGCGGTTAAAAAGAAAAAAAAGCAATCTCATGCTGATGGCTCTCTTTGGAAATGGATGTTTTCCACAAGAGAAAATTCTTTCCAAAACTTGGTGCTTATTTTAGGAGAGTTGTGTGGATTCCCAGCCATCTTCACACAGAAAATCTTATACCTCAGAATCAAGAATAAACTCTTCAAGTAAATTTCAGCAACCCGATTGGTCATTAAAGACTCCAAAAAATAAACAACAAAGAGCGAGACAGGGAGAGTTGCACTGCTGGCCCAGACCATTTATAAATACAAGAATTTGAAGCAGAGGTTTGAAAATGCTTATGGTATATTTCTCTCCTCTCCTTCAGTTTTCCTGTTAGCCCTCTTGGCTTCAGAGGTTTTTACTTGCTGATTCTCAAGGTTGGACTACATTTAATTGGTTTTGTTTCTTGAAACATTCACTCAATTTTGATTAGCAAATTTGCTTCTTTTCTTTTTTTCTCCAAATATGATCAAAAAGAAACTAAAACCCAGGCTGGGTGTGGTGGCTCATACCTCTAATCCCAGCACTTAGGGAGATTGAAACAGGATAACTTGAGCCCAGGAGTTTGAGATCAGCCTAGGCAACATAGTGAGACACCATCTCTAGAAAAATAAAAAAATTAGCTGGGTGTGGTGGCCATACCTGTGGTCCCAGCTACTGGAGAGGCTGAGGAGAAAGGATCACTTGAACCCAAAAGGTCGAGGCTGCAGTGAGCCATCCATGATTGTGCCACTGCATCCCAGACTGGGTGACAGAGACCCAGTCTCAAAAAAATAAAAATAAAAAAGAAGAAGAAGGAGAAGAAGGAAGAACCTGGTCCCAAGGATGGAAGAAATTTCCACTTGAAAATATTTAAGATTTATTTATAATGCATCTTATGTAATACTACATTAGAGAAATAACTAATTCCATAGATTGTCCAAAATGAAAACTGACTCAGTGCTAAATATCTATAAGGAACTTGGTAAATAGATGTTAAGTAATTTATATTCATCAGTATGATAATAATAACATGCATTTACAAGGAACTTTGCTATTTTCAAAACACTTTCACACATGTCATTTTAAATAACTCTAAAAATTCCATGGAGGACTAAGCGGGGACTTTGTGAACATACATATGAAGTTTATATCCTGGCTTTGCCACTTAGCTGCATGACTTCAGGCAGCTTACTGAAATAATCTGAGCCTCAGCTTTCTCAGCTGTAAACTGTGAATGACAATTGTTCCTTCCTTGCAGAGTTGATGAGACTTAAAGATAATATGTGCCAAAGACATAGCAAGAACCTGACCCATGGCAGGCATTTGGAAATGGGAATTATTGCTATGATTATAAGGCAGGACTGATATAATTAACTCCTCTAACAGCTGAGGCAACTGAGGCTGAAATAGATTAAATCATTCAACCAGTCACTACAGCCACTATGATACCAGAGCTACAGGTTTTCTTTTTTTTTTTAATTTAATTTTATTATTATTAAACTTTAAGTTTTAGGGTACATGTGCACAATGTGCAGGTTAGTTACATATGTATACATGTGCCATGCTGGTGTGCTGCACCCATTAACTCATCATTTAGCATTAGGTATATCTCCTAATACTATCCCTCCCCGCTTCCCCCACCCCACAACAGTCCCCAGAGTGTGATGTTCCCCTTCCTGTGTCCATGTGTTCTCATTGTTCAATTCCCACCTATGAGTAAGAATATGAGGTGTTTGGTTTTTTGTTCTTGCGATAGTTTACTGAGAATGATGATTTCCAATTTCATCCATGTCCCTACAAAGGACATGAACTCATCATGTTTTATGGCTGCATAGTATTCCATGGTGTATATGTGCCACATTTTCTTAATCCAGTCTATCATTGTTGGACATTTGGGTTGGTTCCAAGTCTTTGCTATTGTGAATAGAGCCGCAATAAACATACGTGTGCATGTGTCTTTATAGCAGCATGATTTATAGTCCTTTGGGTATATACCCAGTAATGGGATGGCTGGGTCAAATGGTATTTCTAGTTCTAGATCCCTGAGGAATCGCCACACTGACTTCCACAATGGTTGAACTGGTTTACAGTCCCACCAACAGTGTAAAAGTGTTCCTATTTCTCCACATCCTCTCCAGCACCTGTTGTTTCCTGACTTTTTAATGATCGCCATTCTAACTGGTGTGAGATGGTATCTCATTGTGGTTTTGATTTGCATTTCTCTGATGGCCAGTGATGGTGAGCATTTTTTCATGTGTTTTTTTGGTGGCATAAATGTCTTCTTTTGAGAAGTGTCTGTTCGTGTCCTTCGCCCACTTTTTGATGGGGTTGTTTGTTTTTTTCTTGTAAATTTGTTCGAGTTCATTGTAGATTCTGGATATTAGCCCTTTGTCAGATGAATAGATTGTGAAAATTTTCTCCCATCCTGTAGGTTGCTTGTTCACTCTGATGGTAGTTTCTTTTGCTGTGCAGAAGCTCTTTAGTTTAATTAGATCCCATTTGTCAATTTTGGCTTTGGTTGCCATTGCTTTTGGTGTTTTAGACATGAAGTCCTTGCCCATGCCTATGTCCTGAATGGTAATGCCTAGGTTTTCTTCTAGGGTTTTTATGGTTTTAGGTCTAACGTTTAAGTCTTTAATCCATCTTGAATTAATTTTTGTATAAGGTGTAAGGAAGGGATCCAGTTTCAGCTTTCTACATATGGCTAGCCAGTTTTCCCAGGACCATTTATTAAATAGGGAATCCTTTCCCCATTGCTTGTTTTTCTCAGATTTGTCAAAGATCAGATAGTTGTAGATATGTGGCATTATTTCTGAGGGCTCTGTTCTGTTCCATTGATCTATATCTCTGTTTTGGTAGCAGTACCATGCTGTTTTGGTTACTGTAGCCTTGTAGTATAGTTTGAAGTCAGGTAGTGTGATGCCTCCAGCTTTGTTCTTTTGGCTTAGGATTGACTTGGCAATGCGGGATCTTTTTTGGTGCCATATGAACTTTAAAGTAGTTTTTTCCAATTCTGTGAAGAAAGTCATTGGTAGCTTGATGGAAGCTGTAGACCAGAGCTGTTCCTATTCGGCCATCTTGGCTGTCCCCCTGCTACAGGTTTTCAATCTGACAAAGGAGAGAGTTTTCTGTGCTGATCCAGAACTGAAAGTATGAAGGTAGAATTATTGCCAAAACAGCAGTGTCAATCTCTAAATCTCTAAAATAGTTGATCCATGCTTTTGGAGGGAGCTTATCCCTTCAAAGCAGTAATAAAAGTGTTTTAGGGATCTCTTGTAGCCTCTAGCACATGACAGGCAGAACTTTTCTATCTGTATTTTTTTCAGTTCTAGATTTAATATCAGTTCTATAACATAGTTGATATGTCTTATTTTCTTAGAATTTCTTTATAATAAGTTACTATATTCAGCATTATAGACAATAATTTTAGACCTGCCTCCTAAGGTTAGGAAATTTTTAGAACCTTACAACAAGGGCAAAATTCACTTATGCTCTCAGCAGCAAGCCTAACTGAGCTTTTGTGAAATCACTGAACTAAGCTACTGAAGTTGAGTATCACTCAAACGTCCATATCTTTTTGATGATGTGGATTGACTATCTGGAGTAAAGATAGCCATACTAGTATCAATATTAACCATCACGAATAAAAATGGAAGAGAAAGAAAGTGAGGGAATCCACGATACTCCTTTCCCTAATAACTCAGCAGAAAACAAGACAAAACATAAACAGGGCAGAATACCCTATAGACAGAATACTCTGTCTATAGAATATCCTAGAGTATTCTGTCTATAGGATATTCTACTCACTACAAGAACACCAACATTGTCAATATTTATTTGATACTCTGCTATGTGTGCTGTTTAGCCAACAACTGTTCCAAGTTATTAGTAAGTTCTCCCTCAATTTCTTTATTCTTGGCTATTATTTTCTTTGTCTTGCTTTGGTCCTCTTGCTTTTTCATGTCTACATTCCTTTGGTATTCCTTGCATTTATATTTACTCCTCCCTTTATCCCTCTGTCCTTTATTATATGAAAGTGCTTTTAGAGGAATCAAGAATCTATGGAAACGTAAGGTTGTTGTATCTTTATTACTGGTATGTTTATTATTCATGTCAAGGCATTATTAAATGCCTTTTACACGCTCACTATTGTATCTACAACTTGTTTCTCCTGCTTTTGTCTTATCTGGTCTTCTACGGGTTTATCAGAATATAGCACATAAATATTAACAATGGAAGCAGAGTTGAAGATCATTCTGTTAACTTTTTTTAAAATCTGGAAGTATCCAGTGAGCCAGGCAACATTTGTTAAACACCATCTGCAAACACAATCAGGGTATCAAAATTACAGAGGAAATTCCAAAGATATGAAAGATGTGTTTCTTGACCTTTGTAAGCTTCAAACCCAGTCAGAATGACAAGTCACATGATAAGCAACTGAAGGGGACAGCTGTAAGATATACAGATAACTAGAGTTCAAACCGAGAACCAAATTTGAGTCAGCCAGGTAGAGTTGATCATGTAACTATTTCCTGAAAGTGAATTTTAAAAAGAAAAGAAAGATGATAAGTCAAAGGGAATAAGGGCTTCCTATCCGACCCATCAATGTTATTAAATCCATTTCAAAGCCTTCTGCAGTCTCCTGGGGACTATGCAATTCTCTGATGACTTTCCCATTTATGTTTTGAATGTATTATCAAAAGCTCCCTTGGAACTTAAGAAAGCTCTAATATGTCTTTATGCATTTTTTTTTTGCTTCCATGATCTTGCATATAGCTTTTGTATAACTACAGCCTGCTTCTCTAGTTCTTTTAAGGTTTTTTTTTTTAGGTCTTTTTAGGTATATATTTTTAGCATGACATGTGAAAGGCAACATTTTTTTAAAAGCAGTTCTGTAACATCTGCTGTTTGAGGTAGGTGGTATAGTACAAGCAGCTCTTGAGACTTTATTTCATCCCTCTCCAGTGCACTGTATTGTCCCTCAGGCAGTTTCATTCTCTCTACAAAAAAAGATCAGGTAACAAAACAGCCTCTGCTACACTAAAATGGGGAAACTAAAGCAAAACCATCTAAGTGCAGTCGGAACTGCAGCAAGCTCCAGGTTGAAGTTGATTGACTTCAGTAAGCTCCAAGCTTAGGTTGTAATCATTTCCACCATCTTTTCAACAGTCTGCATCTTCTTTTTAAAATGTATTTGACATTAAAATTGACGTAATGGCTTTTACTTGAAAATTAAAATTTATTATGGTTAGAAAAATGGGGATATTCTTTTAAATGAGAAGCCAGATTCCCAATCCCAGAAGAGTTTCTGTCTGTTTAATTGATTTCTTCATGCCACGTGGGGTTTAAAGCCGGGTTGCAAATGGGAGAGCTCCCCTAAACCTATCCTCCCCCAACAAAAGCATAAAATGCCTCATCTGTCTGCATGTAGGTGACATTCATTTTGTTCCAAAATAAAGGATACAATGTCAAAATCAAATATCTAAATAGAATGAACATAAATCTTACATTTGCTCAAAGGTGTGCTTGATTGATTATTCCTGAAAGCTAGCATTTCTTGTGAAGGGGGCTTTGGATAACTCCCTAGAGGGAGAAAAAGAGAGGAAACACTGTAAGACTATACAGACAGAATAGAAAAGGTTGACTTTTTCACAATATTTCCAAAGGTCAATGAAGGCAAGGGGCACTGTTAGGACATAAGCATTACTCACTATTCTCCATGCTCGTCAGGGCTCTCTCCTTGCCATTTTGGCACATTTAGGAATCTTGTACAATTTGCATGTTTGTTTCCAATCAGGCAAATTTAATAAAGTCCCATTTTCACCATATCTCTTTGAGTTTTAAACATATAATATTGGGATAAAGCCTTTGTCTTGCTGGTTATCCTTTTCTCTACCCAGCTCTGTCTTCTGGATGAAGAAGGAAGAGCTCTCAAACCCAGAAAGCATATCAACGTACGTTCTTCTCCACTGTGAAACACTGAGCTGAGCACTCTATAATACAGCCACGGGACTTGCACACTGCAAGACAGTGTTATTTGCCTGGTTCTTTTCATCATAGGTTTGATTTAGCAGGCAAATTTACAAGGCTCAGTGCTGACGGATATACCCTGAGGCCACTTCGAAGCCAGACCTTAGGTTTATGGAAATAAAATAAGCATAGTACTTCAATTACAAATACCTACTTTACATTCTAATGTACACTTAAAAATGTTCATCCTATAAATCCTGGCCTTGATTTCTGACTCAGTTAGAGGGTCTCCTGATTTGGTCCTTGGCTTCTCCCTTAGGGTGCCATTTTAATTCAGTCTGCATTCATACATATATAAATCGAGATCCACCATCTTATCTAATACATGTATCTCTTTGCCAGTTGGCAGGCTTTTGGAGAGATTAAAAGTTATGCTGCCTGTCTCTAGCCCAGTCAGGAAGCAGCTGAAAAGCCCACACAGCCAACACAATTTGCATCTTCTTCATCAAAGCTTTCAAAGTACAGATGCCAGCCTGTTGGTACCAGGGTGGATTAGAACATTCCTCTCCTCTGCATACTGTCTGAGATCCAGATGGCAAGCTCTGAAAGGTGGCTATACAGAGACAGGCAAACAGGCAGTCAGCATCATTGCAGTGTCTACTTGCGTAGGGCATATAGGAAAGGACACAGTTCCTGTTCTGGAAGAACTGGAACATGTATTCACTCACAAGTGCACACCAACTTGCACATGTATGCACCAACATGCACACAAACATGAATGCATACATGCACACGTGAATACACTCATTCTCATGCATACCCTATGTATGCACATATACACATGTGTTCCTGATATAATGGGAAAATACTTTGGGAAATCCCAAAAAGAATACATACTTTTTAATTAATGCAAAAGCACTACTGAGGCTCTGAGGTTTGGAACAGACTATTCCATGAATGCTTCCTCTACCTTACAAAATTAAAAACCAGGATAAAGAAACAAAGGGAACAGTGGTAAATATTTGAAAAACTGAATAGCAAAAATTATATTCTGAGCAGAGGAGAAAAAAGGCTAATGCTGTCAAAGAAAAGCAGACAGAATTTAGTATTTTTTTTTAATCAGAGAAAGAACAAAAAGGAATGGAAAGCAAGAGAGGCCAGAGTTGCAAAGGAGGCTGAGTATGAAGGTTTAAGATGAAATGATACTGTGGGAAGAGAAGGGCTTGTAATTGAATTAACGTGAAATAACTGAGATTGCATTTTAACTTTCAGCCAAAATGAATGATGAGACATTTTAAAATGTAGAAACTAAGAAACAAGGATAGGACTTCCCGTAAGTAAATCATAGTTCAACTGGGACAAAATATGGTTGCAATATTTCTTCTGATTATAAAAATATATAGTCTTTTAGACAATTTGAAAAATACAAAAAGAAAAAATAAAAAGGAAAAGAAACACCTCTAGTCCTATTAGCAAAAGATAACCTCTGTTAACATGTTATTCTGTTCACACATAAACAAATTGTGATTATGCTATATATGCCATGATTATTTTCACATCATGTCTTGTCATAAACAGTTTTTCATAATATTAAGTGATTTTTTTTTTTTACATGGAGTTTCACCCTGTCGCCCAGGCTGGAGTGCAGTGGCACAATCTCGGCTCAACCTCTGCCTCCCATGTTGAAGCTATTCTCCTGCCTCAGCCTCCTGAGTAGCTGGGACTACAGGCACCCGCCACTATGCCTAGCTGATTTTTGTATTTTTAGTAGAGACAGGGTTTTGCCATGTTGGCCAGGCTGGTCTCGAACTCCTGACCTCAGGCGATCCACCTGCCTCAGCCTTCCAAAGTGCTGGGATTACAGGCTTGAGCCACCGCACCCGGCCTAAGTGATATTTTAAAACTGTAATTCTTAGACACTTTGATTCCTAGTTTTCATATTATGAACAAAAATGCTATAAATATCTTTATACATAATTTCTAATTACTTCCTTTTTCTTATTGCTTTCTTAGAATATATTATTGAAAGACAAATTTGGTATCTGGTGCAAAAAGTGGAAAATGTCTTTTTAGAAAATTCATACCAATTTATACTGCCACTGACAATATAGGAAGTTTTGTTTCACCACATCCTAGCCAAGAGTGAGCATTTTCTTTATTTAAAAAAAAAAATCTTCTGCTAGATTGATAGGGATACAAAATACAATGTCAAGACACCACCCCAAATAGAATTTAGTATTTGTGGTGCACAGTTAACCTCAGAATAAGCACAGAAGTTCTTAGACTTTTTGGAATCATGAACTCCTTTGAGAATCACATGAAAATTTATGAGCTTCCTTCTATAAAAATATTCATATACAGCAAAACAGACCCCTTGGAGCTCATCCTGGAACAACCTCAGACTGACTTATAAACATCTGACCTAAGTGGAATTTCTGGAACATGAGCTCATTTTAAGCCGGGACTCCAATAACTAGTTCGAGCGCATAGAGCCTGTATGGTTTAGTGGGAAAGGATTCAGTTTCAGCCATGAGGCTTGGTTTTCAGTTCTAGCTCTACATCTAAACATGCTCAGGTCCTTGTCACATACTGGGCCTGTAGGATCCCTTCCATCTATAAATCCCCGAAGCTCTAAGATAATGTCAACCTTCACTAGCATGTTGTAGACACCTACTCTATGGACAATATGTGGTTATTTTGTGAACCTACGTTGGGTTCCTTGTTGTTCAGGACCAGCCAAAACCTTCTTTGACTCTAGTCGATACCTGTTCCAGGAATACAAATTAATGTCAATACTGTTGATTACACACATCTCCTGTCTTCCATGATCAATTGAGAATTCCTTGGGAGCAAAAACTGTGTCTAGGTCAACTTTACCTAACTTACTCAACACATTTGCCAGTAAACACCAGTAAACATCTGCTAAAATAAACCAGAACAAAAGAGGATTTTATTTAGAGTTTTGTTTGAAACAGAAGAGAATAGAGCAACTTCCCAAGTCAAATAAAAGGAGTTCCATTTCACTTGGGTTGACTATAATTCTACAAAATGTCTAAACATGCATATCCATTGACCAACAAAAATGTTTACAGAGTTGATTCTTGTTATTTGTGGCAGTTACATTCTATAAAGTCACTGAGAACACTGAATTAGCAAATACTGAACCATTGCTCCCAGGGGAAATGTAAGATCAGGTTTCTGCAAGTTCTGGTCACAATATTTTCATCACCTAATCAATACATAACTTTGTTTTTTGTGTGTTTCTATTTAAAGATAGCTTATTTTAATATATATTGTTAATTCATTAACACTAAACACCCTGCCAGCAGCTCTATAACTCATGTTTGAACAAAGTTTATCCAACATGCAGATTTCTCTTTTTTTTTCTTTCTTTCTTTTCTTTTATTTATTTATTTATTTATTTATTTTGAGACACAGTCTTGCTCTGTCATCCAGGCTGGAGTGCAGTGGCATGATCTCGGTTCACTGCAACCTCCGCCTCTCGGGTTCAAGCTATTCTCATGCCTCAGCCTCCCGAGTAGCTAGGATTACAGGTGCACACCACCAGGCCCAGCTGATTTTTATGTTTTTAGTAGAGATGGGGTTGCACCATGTTGGCCAGGCTGGTCTCATGCACCAGGGCACCTGGCCAGATTTCTTCTTATTACAGCCTTCTTGTGCTTAGGAGCACTGGAGAGCACTTCAGCACTATGCTTGGAAGCCATTTCACATGACAAAATCACCAGTGAAAAACACAAGAATTCAAAAACACAGCATTAAACGTATCATGGAAAGGACCCTCGCTTACAGCATGAGGGCTGAAACACGATGGCTGAGCATCCCTTGTTCACCCTCAGCTGGAAATACACATGTGGCACTGCTTAAATTTTTCACTGCTTCACGCTCGTCCACAAATGACTGCAGAAGCGCCGCAAGGATTGCTTTTGGGATTACAGATAAATTTTAGCAAGTAGGTGGATTTGCAAACACATAATCTGTGATAATGAAGATTGACCATACATTGATTTTCTCTCCATTCAACTATTATTAGATCATTTCTCGCACCTGAGTTCCCCCTCCAATGCTAAGACTCCTAGGATTTTTTCTCTCATTTCATCTTTCTTTCCCTTCATCCACCTTTGACTTCACCTCCTGCTTCTTGGCTACACTTCTGGCCTTGCATGCCCACAGCTTCTGCATTTTTCTCTCCCAGTTGTACCTGACCTTTTCTTGCAGTCTTCTTTCATACTCTGTCCTGCTCCACCCCTTTCTTTTTTTTGTACTCAGTCTCCTAGAAGGCTACACTCTTTGGAGATATTTCTTTTAAAATTAGGTTATATTTATTAACATTTGTGATGAATACTTGGCCCAGTGAGCCTCCCTGGTCCAAGACAGGACCTTTGGGTATGGAGGACGATGAAAGGGAATTAATCGGGTCAGGGCTGGTGCCAGTGGGACCAGTATAAGGGCTGAGGAACCAACCCATAGGTGAAGCAGGAAGAAGAGAAACATCACAGCTAGTTCCAGCACAACAGATCCCATCAGAAGTCAAACTCTGAGGAGAGATAAGGAGAGGCCAGGCCTTGAGCTAAGGGGAAGACAACGTATAGGGAAGGTCCAGACAATAAATGGCTCTGCAGGAGACCAGGGAATCAAAAAAGAGTGGAGTAAGAGAGCCCTAAGCAGCAGCTGCTGGGAGAACAGTGAGACATTCTCTGGCTTCCTACATGCAATAATTCTCAGCAGCCCATCAGAGAAAGAGAACACAGAAAGGAAGAACCACTTCCAGCTGAAAGACAGGGCAGGCAGCCCACAGAGACAGCATTCTGCAAAAGTTTCTCTGTCCTTGGTTTCCATCTCAAGGTTTCTTTCTATACCTAGTCTCCCTACCTTAGAACACTACAACGCCCACCTCTTGCTTTTAACACTCGAATTCATCCTCTACATCTAGGGAGACTATAGATAAGATGGTGTTTCTCTTATATCTTAAAGAATGAGTACAATTTTGAGAGGCAAGAAATGGCTAAAAAAACATGTCTAGCTAAAATAACAGCTGGGAAGGACACGGTACTAATGGAGATTTGCAATTAGTCCTATGGCCGGAGTATAGGCTGCAGGAAAGGAAACAGGAGGTGATACAGCTGGAAGGGCAAGAGTACGGAGGGCCTTACATCTTAATGAGGCTGAAGTGTTTTCCACAGACAACAGCTGTCTATGAATGTGTGAATGATGATGGCATGATTTTGTTTTAGAAAGATAATTTCTGGAAAAAGTATAAAGGATGGATTGGAGAGACAATAAATGGGAGTTAAGTGGTAAGGCAGCTACTGTGAAAACCCAGACAAGTGATACTGTGTGGGTTCCAGCACTGACAGCAGAGATGGGGAGAGGCAGACACCTGTGATGGAGGCACAATTATCCTTGGTAACAGCTTTCACATGCTTGAAATTCCTCCTGCCGTGGTAGTTTTTTTGTTTTGTTTTGTTTTGTTTTGTTTCTTTGAGACAGTCTTGCACTGTCGCCCAGGCTGGAGTGGAGTGCAGTGGCGAGTTCTTACTGCAACCTCCACCTCCCTGATCCAAGCAATTCTCCTGCCTCAACCTCCCAAGTAGCTGGGATTATAGGTGCTTGCCACCATGCCGAGATAATTTTTGTATTTTCAGTAGAGACGATGCTTTGCTATGTTGACCACACTGGTCTCGAACTCCTGACCTCAAGTGATCCTCCCACCTTGGCCTCCCAAAGTGAGGGATTACAGGCATAAGCCACCATGCCCAGCCCTGCCATGGTGTTTTAAACACTGCTAAGCTTGTTGTTAGAGACTCAATAAATGCTTGTTAAATTAAGAATACAGAATTTATTATAAGCTGTTGACTCCCATGTTCACTAAATATACCTATCTTGGTAAACTCTAAAGAATAAAGTAAGTTACTTTAATTTATTTTATAAGAATAATTCTCCTACTGGAATATTATTTGCCAATACATTATTCTATGAACAAACTTAGGCAATAACATACTATAGAAATTTAATAATAATAATAATAATAATAATAATAATGGCTGCCATATATGAATATGATACTAACTCATTTCCCACTTCGTTTATTCTTAAAACAGCATTGTAAGGTAGAAATTATGGACCCTGTGTTACAGATAAGGAAACTAATGCTTAGAAAGTTGGAGTTGTTTTTCCAAGGATACACAACTAGTAAGGAACAGAGCTACTATTCCAGCCCAGGTTTGTCTTAATCTAAAATCCATATTCATAATTGTCACATTATATTGTAGTGCATTTTAGTACAGAAAAAATATTTTAAAATATCAAATTTTTAAATATCAAAATTTTAAAATATTTTAAAAGTAAAAGCACTAAGTTCATATTTCAAGCACTCTATTAATGCTAAAAGAATTTAATATTGTATCCAAAATATTTTTTAGGTGAAAATATAAGTCGTAAGTCAAATGCACACGTATAGACCCAATATGCTCAGTAGGAAGGTGTCACATTTAGTTGTTTTGCTGAAAACTGATACCCAAAACTGAGAATATTCAATGAAACACAGCTAATCAACATCTATGTAAAAATAAAAGTGTAAATTATCTGGAAAACACATACAAGGCAGGATCTCTTGAATGACTTCACAAATGAGAAAGATATAAAATAATATGACATGAGATTCTTAGAGAATGAACTACTCCAAGTCAGTGGAAATCAAGTTCAAGCAAAATATATGCATATATGCTTTTTGCATTATTTTTAACATACTTTTACATACTTCTTTTAACTTAGGTTTATGTACATTTTATGCTCCCTCTCTCTCTCTTCAAGAGTTAGAAAAATACTTCCTAGAATTGTTTTGATAGTCCTGGACCAACCCTTAGTCTATATGTAAAACAAAGGTCTCTATTTTGAATCATCAAATACTTGATTCCTTTGATCATCTGCATTCAATCTGCAGATGTAAAAATACTTTATACTAAATATCTATAAACTTTAAATCCCATTAAAAAAAGAAGTATGGGTTTGTGGATACATTTTTATTCATCCTTTGAGTTAAATATTTCTACCTACCTACCTAGGGAAGTTTTAGAAGACTTTGGATGGCAATGGAAGCAGAAAACAATGAAACATCTTCAAATGCCTAAGGAAAAGGAAATTCAACCTAGAATTCTATACCAAGTGAAAATGTATTTCAGAAACAAAGCTAAAATAAAGACATTTTCAGAAAAATAAAAGCTGAGAGATTCCTCAGCAGCTTTCACGTACTCAAGGAAGCACTGCAGGTACTCTTCAGGCAGACAGAAATGATCGCAGCTGGGAAACTGAGATACAGAAAAAACGAGGAGTCAAAAAGGGGGCTAACTATGTGGGTATATCTAAATAGATATTGACTGTCTTTGATAATAATGTCCTGAGGGGGTTAATATTGATGCCAAATGAAAACACATAAACAGAAGTGTATAAGTTGGGAGTGGTGGAAGTCAACAGAGCAGGAAAAGTGGAAAATAATAATAAATTTTCTAAACCTCAAGACAAAGAAAGTAAAAAAGATTTTAAAAAAGGGGAAACAAAAGATGAGACAAATGGAGAGCAAATAATAATGATAGATTTAAACAAAACACAAATATAATAATTACATAAATCACAAACATTAAGATTTTATTCAAAAGACGAAATTTGCCAGGCTGTATTAAACAAAGCTATATGTTTCTTACAAGAGACATTTCTTAAATATATAAGATTGAAGGTGAAAAGAATAGAAAGAGGTCGCTATGCAGGCACTACCCCAGAATAAAGCTGAAGTAGCCATGTTCACACCATACAAAGTAGATTTTAAGACAAAACATTAATAGATAAAGAGGAGGAAATACATGGCTGAATTTACTAGGAAGATATAATAATTTTAAAAGTATATGCTCCTAATAACAGAGGCTTAAATTATTTAAAGCAAAAATGAACAGAATTACAAAAACTGATAATCCCACAAATCATAAGACATTTTAACACACCTCTTGTAACAGACTAATAAGTGGGAAAATAGTCACCAGTTATAGAGAAAATGGGAACAACATGATTTTAAAACTTCAACATATATAGAACACAGCCCTAGTAATGGCAGAATTCAAATTCTCTTAAAGTGACCAAAGTGGAATTAAACTAGATATCAATAACAAAAAGACAACTGGAAAATCCCCATATATTTAGAAATTAGGTAATATATTTATAAAGAACATGTAGCTCAAAGAAGAAATCAAAACAGATATTGGAAAACATTTTGAACTGAATAAAAGTGAAAATCCTACAGTAGAAAATTTGTGCCATATAGCTAAATCCAGCCTTTGAGGGAGATGTATAGTCTTAAATGTAAATATTAAGTGAGAATAAAGCCTAAAAATCAATTATCTTAACATATATTTCAATAAATTATATAATTATAATTATATAAGAACAGCAAATTAAGTCCAAAGAAAAAGAAGAAATGAAATGATAATATAAGAATAGAAATCAATGAAAATTTTAAAAACATACAATAAAGAATATCAATAAAAAGCCAACAGATGGTTCTTTGAAATGACTAATAAAACTGATAAGCCCCTAGTGAGACTGACTGATAAAGGAGGAAATAACAAAAGGTACAAATATCCAATATCTGAAATGAAAAAGGGACATTAACTGAAGATCCTTCAGATATATTAAAATTATATTCTGAGTAACCTTAAGCAAATAAACTTGTTTATATGAAATGGACGATTCACTGTTGAATTCTGCCAAACAGATAAGGAAGAATTAACAGTAATCTTACATAAACTCTACAGAGAAGAGAAAAACAGGAACCACTCCCAACTTGTATTATGAAGTCAGCATATCCTTTACACCAAAACCCAACAAAGTTATTAAAAGAAAAGAAAAGTCAAGCCAGAACTCTCTTACATGTGACAGTGCAAAATCTTAAATGTTAACCACCTGAATCCAGTAATGAAACACAGTGTAACTAAATTCAGTTTAGTTACTACAAGGTTGGAGACTAATACAGTTGGTTTAACATTCAAAATATCAATTTAATATAGTTAACCAGATTAACAGAATGAGGGAGAAATTTCTATTATATCAACAGATTCAGAAATGCCATTTGATAAAATTTAACGTCTAACAAGAAAACTCTTAGCAAACTAGAAACAGAAGAAAACTCTTTAAATGTAATAAAAGGTGTTTACAAAAAAAATTGTTAACACCACAAAAAAAATAACTCAATATTGAAATGCTACAAGCTTTTCTTCTGAAATCAGGAATGAGAAAAAAATGCTTACCATCAACATTTCTATTTGACACTGGAAATCTCAGCCAAAGCAATAAAGCAAGGGGGGGAAAACAAGAAAAGGCATAGGATTGAAAAAGAATAAGCAAAATAAAAATATTCTTAGACAATGTGATTGTGTTATTGAAAAGAATCTATAGCTGAAGTGTTTCCATTAACCACAAAGTTTAGCAAGTTTGCTGGATAGAAAAATCAACTGTATTTCTGATACTTGCAACAGGGTAAAAATTACAAAACAATAAAATTTGCAACAGCATCAAAAATATCAAATACATACAAATACATCTAACAAAAGATGTATATGATCACTGCAGTGAACCATTTTTCTTTGTGTCAGTACCACACTTAAGTATTGTACTTTATAGTAAGTATTGATATCAGATAGTTTTAAGTTTTTCCTCCGTGTTCTTTTACTTTAGGGCTATATTGCCTCTTCTTGGCTACTTGCATTTCCATATAAATTTTGGAATAAGATTGTGAGTCTCCATTATAAAATAAAGACTGTTGACCCTTTTATTGAAATATCATTGATTTTATGGGAGAACTGATGTCATTATAATAAATAGTCTTTCTATCCATGCATAATTTAGTCCCCCCATTAATTTACATCTTTACTGTCTTTCAAAAATGGTTTCTAAATTTCTAATACATGGTGTTATAAGTTATTAGAGTGGTTTCTTTTGGACAATCGAAAAAGAATAGTTATTAGGAAAGAGCATAAGGTAAAGGAGAGATTATATGTTTTAAGATAAGGTGTTAGTTCTTGATCTGAGCTTTCTTTCCTTTTCTTTTTCTTTTTTTTTTTTTTTTTTCTGTCAGGATGAGAAGAGGCAGTGCCTCAAAATAAAACTGAGATGGCCACAACCCATTATGTATGATACGGATGATATGTGGATAGTGCGTAAGAACTCAAGAGGCACCCACTGGATGTTCCTCTAGATCAGGGTTTTTCAAACTGTAGGTTATGTGTTTACTGGGTTACAAACCAGACTCATTTTCAATAAAAAAGAAGAGAATACAAATCATGAAAGTACATTGTGTGCAATAGGTTGAACATTGTTTCATGACACTTTTGCTTAAGCTATGCCTACATACATACATATAAATAAATGTACATCTGTATAGACTGTGATGTGAAATCTATCTCTTATTGATTACAGCCAAAATATTTGAAAAACTATGCTCTAAGTGTCTATAAATTCTAAGTGTCATCATGTTATAACACCTAGTACCTACCACTGCCAGGTATTTCGCAGCTATACCATTTCACTTGTGCTCAGATTAAGCCTGTTTTGTGAATATTAAGTTTGCGATGGAATAGAAATGAACAAAAGTTAATGGTGAAAGATTCATAATCAATATATCAATGTAATAAGAAACTGTAGGTTATGAGTGAGTTAACTTGAGAAAAATATGAGAACAACAATGTAATGAAGGTTACCAGGGCTCAGTGTCTTTGAAAGAGGATGTTTGAGAACTACTGGGCTTTAGCTCAGGAAGGGCATTAGAGGCAACATACATTCGCTTTCTGAAGGAGGCAGCAGGAGCTGCAGAGGCAGTGAGTGAATGATAAAGGACAGCTGTCTGGAGGACACCTGTCTCTGTCTGGCTCTCCATCCCTACCCTCAAGAACCACCTTAGCAATTTGCTCTCCCATCTCTCTGGTTCAGGACCACCCTTTCCCATATGATGTCTCTAGCCATCCTTAACTGGAATTTAGGCAAAAGACAGTAGGGTATTGAGAGGTGAGGAGAGCCACTTTACCCTGAGCTATGCCACTCAGAAGAAACCCTGTAGGTCAAAAACCTCCATATGTCACAACAATATGTAAAAGATTCAAATTATAGCAAAAATGATACCAACAATAATGAGAATTAATATTTATTGAGCTTCTATGTTATGCCAGACATTGTTCCCAGCATTTTACATGGATTAACTCATTTAATTTTCACAATAACACTAAGGTAGGTAATGTAATTGATGACAGTGGTGGCCCATCTGGAGTGGCTGCTGAGAAGACGCCAGCTGCAGCAGGCAAGGCGCAGCCAGGGCTGCACATTCCATGGAGCTGTTGGGAGCTGGGAACAGGCAGAAGCCCCACCCACTTCTGAGTGTGAGGGGTGGGAGTCCTGCCCTCCTGGGCACAGCTGCAGCCACCCAGCTGTGGGTGCAGACCCAGGCATCCCTGTACTCTCAGAAGCCCAGGAAACCCCCCTACCCCCACAGGCTCAGAAATGCCTGCTCCCACTGCCCAGCCTCTCCCCACTCCTAGCTCCCACTCCAATTTCAGAGCAAAGTTAAGTGCAAGCTGGGGCACTGTCACGACCCAGCTGTGTATGCCCGTGCTCAGAGTACCACTGACACACCAGCCCCCTGTTGCCTCGGCCCCCTCCAGACTCTGTGCACCAAGGAGCATGGGAGGGGGGCCAAGGGGGAGCTGAGAGTGGCTCAGTATGGGCTGCAGGTGCCCCTTGGCATGAACAGCCTGGGTGCCAGTGCAGCAGGTTGATGGCAGCGGGAGGCAGACGGACTCCTGGACAGAAAGGGGCAGTTTCCGTGAAGCCCCACCGTTAGGCCTGGGATGGCCTGAAGCCTGGGGGCCAGGCTGCTAGTTCCACAGACTGGAGTGAGAACTTACGCTGCCCACAGCTGTCCATAGACCAATTAGCACTCACTTCCCCTTCTCTGAAGCCCATAAAACTCCCTGGACTCAGCCAGACTGGGCAGAGGTTGGAACAACTGGCCTGCAGAGAGGAGCTACCCACTGTAGGTCTTCTCTCTCCTGAGAGCTGCACATTTGAAGGGATGACCTGCCTGCAGAGAGGAGCTACCCACTGTGGGTCTCCTCTCTCTTGAGAGCTGCAGGCTTGACAGGACAACCTGCCTGCAGAGAGGAGCTACCCACTTCAGGTCTCCTGGGAGCTGTACCGTCGCTCAATAAAGTTCCTCTCTGCCTTGCTCACCCTCCAGTTGTCCCTGTACCTCATTCTTCCAGGACACAGGACAAGAACTTGGGACCCACTAAATGGTGGGACTGAAAGAGCTGTAACACAAACAGGGCTGAAACACACCCCTTGCTTGCCATGTTGCAGGTGAGAAGAGGGAGAGAAGAGAGAAGAAGAGAGGAACTGCAGCCCTTCAGGGAGCCCAGACCTGGGAGCTCCCCAAGCCAGGGATGTGACACCCTCTTTGGGGCTCTGTAGTTCCTGGCGTCTCCAAGCTTCCAGGCACCACCACATTCCCGGGTGCCAGCAGTGGAAGCCATCTGTGGTACACCTGGTCCAGCCACAGCCTCACAGGGAGCTAGCACTTGTGTCGGCATCTGGAGCTGCCTGCCCTGCTTCAGCTGGCATGACTGGCTGTGCACAATGGGCAGCTCCCTTGTTCACATACCCCTTGCCTTTTTGTGCCTGGCTCACCCTTGGCAGGCATAAGATCTGGGCCAGTAGCGTGAGCCCAGCACAGCCTGCCCAGGCTGAGTGGGCAGAACCAGCCCAGTGGGCCCGAGCAAAACTCAGGCAAAGGCACCATTAGCCACAAAGGTTTCTGGCTGGCAAAGCAACACCCCAAGGATCCTGTGACATTTTCCCCATTTTGCAAGTGAAGCAGATGAGGCACAGAATTTTTAAGCAACGAATACACAGCCTCACAGCTAAAAATTGTAGGAAATATAGAAAGAGAACAACTAAGAGTGGGCTATAAAGCAACCAGGAAAGAAGAGGATACTGAATTGTCAGCTTGACAAAATGGGACTCTATACAGTTTCCATTTGCCTTTAGTTAGAACTACAAGAGTTCATACACACACTCAAGGTAAACAGATGCGTGAACTCCCACAGCCTTTACCTGACCACTTGTGTATGGTATTTGTGGAAATGCCTGGTGTTATTTTTTTTTCTTCAAGAAAGATACTGCCTTTGAGGCTTCCAAACTAGTCTTCATAATGTTGAAAGTTGCTAGGGGCTCATCAGGACACTAATGCACAACCCAAGAAACTATCATCAGATGACTAAATTTCACCCTGCTTATTTGAGACACATCAGTCTCCTACCTTATTTTGGGAAATACAGCAAAATGGCTGGTAGACAGATGGTATTTTGCAGACCAACAAATTTAATCCATGCATCCACAGTCACTGGGGAGAAAACGTCATCAAAACCCCAAAGCCCAGTGAAATACCCATTCCAGAAACGGGGCTAACGTCAACCAACTGGGTTAAATATTGATCATTACATGGTGGTTTCTCCACAGAGCTGTTAAAGGAACTTAAAAAGTTGCTCAAAGGTGAGAGGAGAAGCAAGAAAGAGACAGAGGGCTAGCTATTACTAACGAACTTGAAGTACTTATTTAAAAGAGAGAGAACATTCAGCCTGACATTTAGACATTGCTTATGTGATGTGCACAGTCGTATTAAAGCCCTGACCTAAATTTAGCAGTTTAAAAAGAACTCAGTTTCTACTTCCACCCTTTTCCAAATGCCAGCTGAGAACTGATTTCTCAGACCCTTTCCATCCATAGGAAATCCCTGAGAACTTTACAAAAAATTTAAGAACAAAAAGGTCAGAAAGTTAAAACACAGTATGCAGTCTCTCTCCTTCCTAAAATGGCCATTTGGTTAAAATCCATTATAATGAAAGAGTTAAAATTCTGCACAGTTTAAGAACAACCAGTTGACCTTTAAATGTGCTGGTTTGAATCCAATCACCTTTCAACAAGCATGAAATCTGGCACAAGGTGTACTAATGCACACCAATTATTTTCATAGTGTACATGACTGATCTCACAGCGTCCTGTTTGGAAAAAAAAGAATAGTGTTCATTTTCCAAAAGCCAAACTTAGAGGCTGAGTGTCTCTGTTGGTGGGTGGGATTTTCCTTTGGTAACTGTCTCCAAAAGTGCCTTTGGAGGAGGCTTTTCCTTGAAAAAGCACAGCAGAATACCTTAAGGAAAATAACTTTTTCATTTTGTTTAAATTCTGTTAAATGAAATAGTTTCCTCCAACTTTTAATACGTCAAAGGTAAAAATAGCTGGGAAATAATTAATTACTATCCTTTGTTAAGAGCTTTCAAGCCATATATGTAGGAGAAAAAACAATCCACTGCCAGTGAAAGAGTGAAATACTGAATCCTACTTGGAGTAAATGGATTTAAAACCCAGAGATTCAAAACCAATCGTTGAGAGACTTTCTATTCCCTAAAATGATTATTTTCTTTTTAAAAAGTAATTCCCATGAGATTCTTCTAAATGATAGGATCCTCTGATATCTTCAAAATATAGTTCAAATTACAATGTACCTTCACAGGACTTTTAAGAACACACTGGATGGTTGTTTTTGTGCAATGTACAGACATAGGTGCCCTGTTATGGGGACTACACCATACAGCCAGATACACTCTGGTCAACTGCCAGACTATGTTCCTTCTCACCTCCTTTCTCTTCTACCTCTATGGTTCCTCCTGTACCCCAACCCACCCCATTTCCATCACAGTGGAATGCTCTCCCATGTCAGACAGTAACATGGACTACTAACCCCACACCTGGACCATATTCAAGCCAGAGTCGGATTTTCCTTTGTTGAATCCTTTGCCTGGGAGTGAGACTTCTGACATTCCCTCCCCAAATCCTTCTCTCAGCTCCTCACTTTGGTGGGAGACTTCTGTTGGCCATGCCTGTGTTTGTCAGCCCCTCCCTGCCACAATATTTGATTTTCCTCCTCATTCACTCTCTTTATCTTGTGAGTCCAGAAAAGAGAAAGGTCAGGATCTCACAGCAATATGGGTAGTGGCCCATGGCTTGTGGCCCCGGGCCAGCACTCAGATCTTCACCCACCCAGCCACTTCTGCTTTGGCACTGAGGAGGAAAGGGCTTGATTCAGGAAAAGAAGGCACCGCCTAGGTTGGGCACTATTCACAGACCATGTTAGGAAGACACCTGCTGGCCCACGGCCCTGGCCCAGGAGGCCCCCTTGGAGATTCCCATCAGGAAAGTCTGGTTATGTGCATAGTCCTAAAGATTCCCCCAAAATCAAAGGCTTCCTCCCAGAGTCCTGGCAGAGCAAGGTCATTCCACAGACATGCCAGGAAAGACAGGCAGCCAGAGTCTCTGTGGGCCTCCCTCACTGCCCCTGTCCTAATCTGCACTCATTCCTAAGCAGACCTCCATCACCAGCTTCTTCTAAACAGCACTAATTCTGTTCCTTTTTCCCTACTCCAGGACTGAGAAGACGTCAAGGTCCAGACACTCGTCATTAACACCTACTCACAACCGATTCCCCCACCCACTTTGGCCTCACCAAGATTTGGCAAGCAGGAGAATTAAATGTCACTTTGCTACCATCCTCTGCTGAACCTCCAACAGAAAAACCCATATTGCCCAAGTACAAAGCATGAAATACTGCTGGCCTACCCTGACTTTTCAGCTATTCTCCTTGCATATAGTAAATGACTCCCCAGGAGACATCATCTTAAAGTCTGAGACACAAAAAAGGACCCAAAGTCCTATATGCTTGAAGAATTGCATGGCAATATATTTAGTTAACATTTTCTATTTTATTAGAAAAAACAGACAATTCAATTGTCGATGTGATCGTTTCAGGCTTCCCAGCCTCTCCTTTCTGACATCATCCTATATACTACAACCTCCACCAGAAAAGCAGTATGGTACTGGGAAAAAGAGATCTAAAGGCAGAACACTAGGGCTTCACTCTCAGCACTGTTAACTGAGTGACTTGACTAAGTCACTGAAATTCACTGAAACTGCAGTTTCCCCTTCTGTCAAAGGGGGATAACAATATCAGCTTCACAGGGTGCTGTGAAGGAAGCAAATGAGAAAATGAAAGTGAGCATCCTTTTAAATTATAAACAGAGAATAAGGGAGAGGGGAGGGGGAAGGGGAGAGGAGGAAGAAAGGAAACAATCTGCCCTCCCTCACCCCTTCACACTAGGTAAAATAAAATGTTTAGACAGAAAAACCTAAAGAAAAGGATCCAAATAAAATATTCTTAGGAACTGTCAAAGGGAGAAGACATTGGAATCTCCAAATCTGGCCAAGAGCTCAGCCTAAGCAGCATGTTTTGAACTCCTGAGTCCTTGGAACCCTGCACTAAAGCTTTGGGACTCTGACCTGCAGGAAAAAAAAAAAAAAAATGCTTCCCTCAGTTCATTCCCTGTAGTTTAAAAACAAGAGCAACTAAAGGGCAAGCTTCGGGGGCAAGGGGAGACAAACACCTCAGACCATTAACTTACTTTATCCCCATTGGAAATCAACTTCTGGAGAACATTTCAGCTTTGTATGCTCTTCTTGGTCCCACTCAAATGGGAAGTTCTGCTCGAGGCCAGAAATAGAAAACAGGAAGTCAACAGAACTGATTTTCCTAACTGCCCAAATGCAAATCACCACACTCCGTTATGGATGAGAATTAGAGTAAAATGTAAACTTCTTTTTAAAAAGAAGTTCACATGCTAACTGTGTACAGAAAACATCCTACTCCAGGGAAGAAAGAAAGAAAGAAAGAAAGGAAAGATCCATCAGCTTCCTTCCTTAATAAAGGAGGATTGACAGAGCTGGACTGACAGTGAAGTAAAGGTTACCGACGGTGTGCTCATCAGAACCATGCTGCCACTAAAAATAATGAAGTGTCCCACTTTGATGCGACACTATTCTCCAAGTTGGTTCCTCTAAAGGTGCTTTTCTTCAAGGGAAGCAGATACTAAAGTGACAACTTTCTCATTACCATTCAGACTATTTTCTTAGAGTCCCAGGTTTGAAACTTTCAAGTTGAAACTCTAAGCTGCACCCACTGCATACAGACTTCTTAGTCAGTTTCTGTCACGTACCATCATATCTACCTTATTTGCATCAGTCATAAATTCTGCTCATTCTTCTATCACAGCTCCTCTGACATTTGCCAGACCTCACCATTTCCTCAGCCATTTCTGGTCTGAATCATCAGCCCCCCATGCCTGCTGCCTGCTCTCTTCTATAAACATACCAGATGAATCTTTCCAGCATGCTGCTTCCCCTGCCCCCAAGTCAGCCACAGTTCCCTACTACCTATTGATCACATCTGAGTTGCCTCAGCCAGTGGTCTTGCCATATCTACCTAGCTTAGGCTGAGTGTTATAGGAGAAAGTGCACTAGCCCGGGCACCAGATGGATCAGGTAAGACTCTAGCTTAGGTAAGCTTTATCACATCATATAGTGGCTGTGTGGATTGAGGAAAATTATGAAACTTCTTTGCACTTCAGTTTTCTCATTTGCAGAATGAAGATAATAACACCTACCTATACAGTTACTAAGGATTAAATAGGATAATATGCACAAAGTGACCCTAGTGAGTTTCAGTAAGAAGAATTAATGCTTATGAAGTGCTTATCACATTCCAGCTTCTGTTCTGTGTGCTGTGCATGTGTTTATGCAGGTATTATTATTAACCTCATTTTGCAGAAGAGGAACTTGAGGCAAGAGAGAGCGTGTAAAGTCACATAACAAATCCACAGAAGAGCTAGCCTTTGAACTCCAACAGCCTGACTCCAGTGCCTGCATATGTAACTCCATGCTCTACTGCCTCCCATTTCCCTTTCCCTCCAACTTTCACCGGCTAACACAGCCCACAGGTCCACCTCAGTCCTTCTCATCCTTCCAGTCTTCCCTCCACATTCCAACTACCTGTGACAAATGCTATCCTGCATTTTCTCTCCAATCTTACCTGACATCTTGAAGGGAGCAGTTCAGTTACAGCATTCTCTCCATACCCAACTATACCATCTCTCTACTCTTTATCTTGCCCTCACATACACATAAGTTTGTCATTGTTCTTCAGTTCTTTGGGTAATCTCTTCCTAGAAACTGCATCTAACAAATAGACCACATCCCCAAATTCCATCATGTCCAAAAAGAAGCACGGTATTTCCATCAACACCCCAGCTGCCATCACCAAGCCAACTCGCCTGACTTCCATTCACTTACTAGCAAACATTTACCAAGTATCTGCCATGTTCATTTTGTCAATGAGAATGACATGGGACTTGTTCCTCTAGGAGATCACAGTCTAATGAGATCAATGTTTATATAGAAAATGTAAATAGGTTGTGATAAGTACTAAATGCACGCTGCTAATGGCATCATCACCTCTGGCTCTTCTCAATCCTGCGTTTCCCATGTTGTGTCATGCAACAGAGCTGTCACACTGCCTCTTCCTCTTCATCTCTGGTGCCACCTGTGATTTACTTGCACACTACCTTGTTTCTGAACTATTGCAGCCCCTCCCAACTTATCTCACTGCCTCATTCACCTGCCTTTCAAAACTGGCCCACCTCCTGCTGCCCAATAACCTGATGTTGTCACTCTCATATTTAAAACCCATAAGTGCTGCCGGGAGCGGTGGCTCACGCCTGTAATCCCAGCACTTTGGGAGGCCGAGGCGGGCGGATCACAAGGTCAAGAGATCGAGACCATCCTGGCCAACGTGGTGAAGCCCAGCCTCTACTAAAAATACAAAAATTAGCTGGGCGGGGTGGCACACACCTGTAGTCCCAGCTACTTGGCAGGCTGAGGCAGGAGAATTGCTTGAACCCGGAGGCAGAGGTTGCAGTGAGCCGAGATTGCACTACTGCACTCCAGACTGGTGACGGAGCGAGACGCTGTCAAAAAAACAAAACAAAACAAAAAACATATCAATGCTGATGAACCAAGTGCAAAGCCCTGAGCTTGGCCAGGCAACATAGCCTGGAAACCTGACTTTTAATCCTTACTTTGCTCTATTCCCCCAACATACACACACTTCATACACCACACCTAAAAGAGACTTCCCACAGTTTTCCAAAAATGACTCACATTTATATTTCCTGTTTTTCCCTTTGCCCACCCTGCCCTCTCTCCCTCTGCCTTCATTTTTTTAATTAACCTCTGGAACTCAGGTGCTCCTGCTCCAAGGTTTAGGTCAAAAGTTACCTCCTCCATGAAGCTTTCTCTCATTCTCCCACAATGTGTGAAAGCCCCATTCTCAGATTTGCTTAGTTGTGCATTTGTATATTCTACCTTGCACTACAGTCATTTGTATATTTATCTTATGGTTTCTGTGCCTTAGGAAAGGTACACTGTCTTAATCATCTTTGTTCAATACAGTGCCTAGCAGAGTGCCTCAAGTATAATATGTGCTCAATAAATAATAGATGCATTTTTCCATGCATATTTTCTACTATATCGAAGTGGAAAATATATCCATGTGATATAGTGAAAAATATCTCATGAAGAGAGATACAGTGAGGAAAATATCTCATGAAGACCAAAAAGCAGAAATCCAAGTTTTTTCTTTTCATTACTATCATCAGTGATTATTAATTTTATGTGTCAACTTGGTTGGGCTTAGGGATGCTCAGATAGCTGGTAAAATATTATTTCTGGATGTGTCTCTCAGGGTGTTTCTGGGGGAAATTAGCATTTGAATCAGTAGACTAAATAAAGAAAATCTGCCCTCACAAATGTGAGCCAGCATCATCCAATTTATTGACAGTTTAGATACAACAATAAGGCAGAAGAAGGTGAACTCTCTTTCCTTGAGCTGGGACATCCATCTTCTCCTGCTCTGACATTGGAGTTTCTAGTTCTTGGGACTTCAGATTCTCCCCTGAAGTTTCTCAGGCCTTTTGGCATCAGACTGGAAGTTATGCCATTGGCTCCCCTGGTTCTCAGACCTTTGGACTCAGACTGAATTATACCACTGGCTTTCCTGGTTCTCCAGCTTCAAGATGACATATTGTGAGACTTTTCAACCTCCATAATTGCATGAGCCAATTTCCACAATATATCTCCTCTTATGTATCTATATATTTCCTATTGGTTTTGTTTCTCTACAGAATCCTAATAGATCATCTAATTGTTTATCTAACAAGTATTTTCCTCCCTAGACAATATGTTGGGCACTAGGGACACAAAAATAAAAACACAGACATCTGCACTCAATAAACTTACATTCAATATCAGAGAGATTGGCACAGAATACAAATAAAATGAGATACATGCAAAATAATATGAATTGCAAAATTACGGCAATTCACCACCAACTAGGTGTGTGACCGTGGGAAAATCACACTGTGAGCTAAATATTAGCAAGTTTAAAATGCAAAATCAGAGGCAGTCTATGAATTGGACTTTGCTAATGGCCTCCTTTGCTGATGGATGGCACATTGGTGTTAGAAAGTGCTTATTTTTGCAAAGGTCCATTATTGATGCTTTAATTCTAAGGAAATTATGTAGGCAGAAACTAAAGAAAGGTTAAAAAAACAGCAGCTAAAATTGATACTTAGACAATAAAAAACTAATTATAAGTGATTTATCAGCACCACTAGATAACTACATTGGTGAAATTTAAGGCCATGAAATGCAGGACAAGCCTCGTAGGAAGCAAGGTCCCAGTGGATGAGATGCTGTCCTCTGGGCTCCTAACCTTCCACCACTAGTATTCACCATATCTGATTGGAAATGTGTGCATGTGAGTCGGCCTCCCCTCTATGATGTGAGTAGGGACCTATTTTTGCTCATCTCTGTATCCTCTACACACGATGCTTGGCACACAGCAAGTATTCAATAAATGTTTATGAATGAAGCAATCAGTCATTGTCACCAAGAATTTACTGGGAATTTCACATGCTAAATCTAGAACAAATGATGTGGTTCCTACCATCAAATAAAATCTGTGAAAACCCTAAGACGTAAACTGCAAACCATGACTTGGTATTAGAGAGGGGTCGTTATCAAATGAAAACAACTCAGCCGCCAGGAAGTCATTTCAAAATAACAAATTCTCTTTCTGTTATTTCTCAAATGCTGTGAAAAGGAATCTCAGTCTGCCGCAACAATTCACAAAGCCCCTTCCTTTCATGTGGTCACGTCACATCACACAAGCCCTGTCATGCGCCTCTCTCCTTCATACCCTCCCACCAAAACTGATCTCCCAGACCTAGTCCTCAAACCTGTGCCCTTCTAACCCTCTACCTTTTCCAGTGATTCTGTATCACAAAAGCCCAAAAGAACTGCTCTGGCAAGATCTAACAGTGTCTGAAATATCGGGAAGTAAAAGAAAATAAATAGGCAAAACTAGAACAATTCTTTGTAGGCAGTAAAACAACATCTCAGATCTACCATATGTTATAAATGTTGGCCTGATGGCATATAAAAAAAAACTTAAAGGTGCCCAAAAAATCAAAAATGGTAAAAAGAAACAAAAGTGTTTAAATGTTTTAAGCATCTACAATGTTTGGGAGATTTGAGATGCTCAATCACAAAATATTTATTAAGAACCTACTCTAAGAATTTGTTTTGAAAGAGATACTGTGTCAGGGGTACCCAAGACCCCTGCCCCCTACATTTGGACATCACTAGAAGGACCCATGGGACTCAGTGTATGGCAGTACTTAAAGCTAAGATTTATTCTAGTGATGTAATAAGGATACACAGCCAGATCATAAGGGAGAGCCACAGGCAGCGTCTGAATGATTTTACGTGCAGATTTCCTTATGCTTCTGCCTACCACGGGAGATCACATAGAGTACAGCAAGGAAAATGTAGCAACTTGTATATGACGTTTCAGCCCACAGAAGCTTCTTTTTAGAAACTCGGTGCCCAAGGTTTTTCATGGAGCTGATCACATAGGCACCCTCTGCCTAGCACATCAAAATATTCCAGACTCCAAACAGGGGAGCAGGTGTTCAAGCATAAACTGTGTTGTTTGCACAAAAGTCTAGGCACAGTGAACCACACTTATCAATTGACTGTTGACTGAGAGCCCTCCAAGGGCTCAGTTCCCAGTTACCAACCAAAGGCTAACCTGGCAAGCAGGCCTTTCTAAGGGTAGCAGTGTCAAGCCTTTGTAGCCTGCACAGATACAAAGGCCCAGTTTTTGTTTCAAGGCAACTAACATAGACAGAAATAAGATTTATACATAAAAATATGCATTGTATACAGTACTATCCTAGATAACACTAAAGAAAAAATTCCCAAAATGTCCTTGAGCACTTTTATCAGCATCATCAGGATGCTCGTCAAGAGGATGCTCGTCAACCTAGTGGCTACAGCCCAAAGCACCCTGAGCAATAGAAGAATGGGGCATCAGTAAGAGCCACAGGCTGAGGGGAGATTACAGAAGACCTTGAATACCACGATGAGACTTTGAATTTGATTTCATCGTCTTAGAAAGCCACTGAAGGTTTTATTTTTTCTTCACCAGATGACAAGATCAAAACAGCATTGTTTGAAGGTGAATCTGATTACCTATGTAGAATATGTTGAAAGAGGCTAAGGCCAGAGGCCAAGAAACCAGAAGCTCAAAAGGAAAGAAAATGATCCTAATATGTAAGGACCACTCATTAGGAATTAGACTCTGCTCAGGGTGCTTCCCGTGAATCCTGTCAGCCTTCTAAGGCAGTTGCTATTGTTCCCATTTTGTAGCTTGCCAGTGTCATGCAAGTCAGGACAATAGGAAAGGAGCAGGGAATAGAAAAGTAAATAGATAAAGAACTGAGAATAGAAAAAGGAGTGGTGGGCCAGTGCCCGAGGCAAGGGAGAGGAAGTCATCACAGGTAACTCCTGAGCATATCTTGTTCTTTTCTTCCTTTGGACCTTTTATTCTAAGAAGACAGGGAGAAAGTCATCTTCCAAAAATGGTGGACCGTAAAAAGGGAGCTAAAAGAAGAAATAGTCAAAATTTTCTAAATGAGGTAATAGAGGTGAAGAAGGAATAGGATGTTCCACCTTCTTCCTGACTCAGACAGTAAGGAGTGGGTAAACTGGTAGCATTCTTTTATCTTCACTATCTCAGAGAAATTTATGCTATTAAAATAGTTTCTTCTTGATTGTTTCCCTGACATGATGCAACCCCAAAATCACTTAATAACTGAGCTACTCTTGAGACTAATTATTAAGGTATCTAAAATGAACACCCAGAAGCATCACAGTCTCATGAGGACACATTTATTAATCACTTGATTCCATAAAAGGTGTTAGTGATGCTACAGTGAGACACTGACCCCAAGGGCTTTAGAGGACACAACACAGAAATCTGCTCGATTGATAAATATCCATCTTAGTTCTTACTTTATAAAACCCAGAACTAAGTAACAAGACATGACAGGCCACTATTTAAGGGGAATTAATCTGTTGCCTCAATTGACATTTAAGCAGGAGGCCAAAGACCATTAGAACAAACTGAAATTAATTAATGTAGCAAAATAACTCAATACCAGGATGCTGATCTTATCTTGTTGAAAATCACTCCAAGATCTTTATTAGTCCTTAACGTAACTTCCAAGTGAGCTGCCTGTATCTTTCTTATTCAGAATCCCTATTAGCCAATTGAAGTGCTGGGCAGTGTGGCCAGGAAACAAGAAGGAGGAACTTGAACAAAATCCTTAAAATAGACCTCACTCCAAAGGCTTATGGAATGTCCCCCGTGATTGGGGAGAATTCATTCTGATTTTGGTAACCAGCTCAGTTACAGCTTGCTTGAGAATTCTTTTCCCCTAAGAGGTAATGCCAGGAAAAAGTTATATGAAAGGATTTGCTCTTCCTCAGTGTAATTTATGTATTTCTTTACATTTCAGCCTGCCTTGTACTTCATGCAGGTTGAACAGAAATGTTTTCTGAGCATGTATTGTTACAGCCCTCTGAGATGGTATAAAAGAATGAAAGAAGACACGACCTGCCTTCCAGGAGTTTCACAAAAAAGATGGGATGAACACAGGTAAAAGCAAGATGAACATATGCAGGTGACTATTTATGAACAGCAACTAAATGCATAGGTTATGGGATGTTGAAGAGCCAAGGTTTAAATCCTCTCTCCACTAGTTACCACTTGGAGCAAGTTGTATATTCTTTATAAGCCTCAGTTTCCCCTTCTGAGAAACTGGGTTGATAGTACCCACCTCATAAGGTCCTTGTCAAGGGTGGTAAGATAATAAACATAAAATGCTTGGCACATAAAAGGAGTTCAACAAATGTTAGCTACTATTATCATAAAAATTATTATTCTTGTTTGTACTGCTATTACTACTACTCCTAATGCCTTGCTACTCTCATCTATATTTTGTCCGATACCTTAAAGACAGGGAGGCTCCCAAGCTGCATGCAGTGGTCCAGGTCAGAGAGACTATAATGCGTCTCAGGCAGGGAGGCCAGGAGGCTCAGGGTCTGTCAAAAATGGCAGGGAAAAGCATTTCTAATGGAGGAGATGGCTGTGGAGAGGAGAGGAGTAAGCAGAGCCTGGATAAAGTAAATAAGTACATTTGCTCTAAATGGCTTTCTGAACTGAGAAAGGGCACATGTTCACAGATCGTATTGAGAGGTGACAGCGTGCTGGCAGCCCTTGCAGCCCTCGCTCACTCTCGGTGCCTCCTCGGCCTTGGCGCCCACTCTGGCCGTGCTTGAGGAGCCCTTCAGCCCGCCACTGCACTGTGGGAGCCCCTTTCTGGGCTGGCCAAGGTCGGAGCCAGCTCCCTCAGCTTGCAGGGAGGTGTGGAGGGAGAGGCGCTGGCGGGAACCAGGGCTGGGCACGGCGCTTGTTCTGGGTGGGCCCGAGTTCTGGGCTGGGCATGAGTTCTGGGTGGGCGTGGGCTCAGCAGGCTCTGCCCACAAGGCCCAGGAAGTGAGGGGTTTAGCACCTGGGCCAGCAGCTGCTGTGCTCAATTTCTCACCAGGCCTTAGCTGCCTCCCCGCAGGGCAGGGCTCGGGACCTGCAGCCTGCCATGCCTGAGCCTCCCCTCCTCCCACCCCCGCCCGCCCGCCCCTGCCATGGGCTCCTGCGCGCCGGAGCCTCCACGAGGAGCGCCACTCCCTGCTACATGGCGCCCAGTCCCATCGACCGCCCAAAGGCTGAGGTGTGCGGGCACACAGCGCAGGACTGGCAGGCAGCTCCACCTGCGGCCCCCGTGCGGGATCCACTGGGTGAAGCCAGCTGGGCTCCTGAGTCTGGTGGGTACTTGGAGAATCTTTATGTCTAGCTAAGGGATTGTAAATACACCAATCAGCACTCTGTATCTAGCTCAAGGTTTGTAAACATACCAATCAGCACTCTGTGTCTAGCTCAGGGTTTGTAAATACACCAATGGATGCTGTTATCTAGCTAATCTGGTGGGGAGGTAGAGAACTTTTGTGTCTAGCTCGGGGATTGTAAACGCACCAATCAGCACCCTGTCAAAACAGACCAATCAGCTCTCTGTAAAACAGACCAATCGGCTCTCTTTAAAATGGACCAATCAGCAGGACGTGGGTGGGGCCAGATAAGAGAATAAAAGCAGGCTGCCCAAGCCAGCAGTGGGAACCTGCTGAGGTTCCCTTTCATGCTGTGGTAGCTTTGTTCTTTCACTCTTTGCAATAAATCTTGTTGTTGCTCACTCTTTGGGTCCACACTGCCTTTATGAGCTGTAACACTCACTATGAAGGTCTGCAGCTTCACCCCTGAAGCTAGCAAAACCGCGAACCCGCCGGGAGGAACGAACAACTCCCGACATGTGGCCTTAAGAGCTGTAACACTCACTGCGAAGGTTTGCAGCTTCATTCCTGAGCCAGCGAGACCGTGAACCCACCAGAAGAAAGAAACTCCGAACACATCCAAACATCAGAAGGAACAAACTCCAGACACGCTGGCTTTAAGAACTGTAACATTCACTGAGAGGGTCTGCGGCTTCATTCTTGAAATCAGTAAGACCAAGAACCCACCAACTCAGGACACAGTGTGATTTTCACAGCCGGAAATTGACTTGGAAATCCTTAAGTTTTTTTTAATGCAGCTTTTGGATAGCCATAAAAATCTTATACCTTCCTTTAATGTTATTTAAATTTTTGAAATAAGTTCAGTAACAAGAAAACAAGATGGACACAACAGTAACTTTAAAACGATTTTCTTTAGATCTTAAAAGATACGTATTTCAGCCAGGCATGGTGGCTCACGCCTGTAATCCCAGCACTTTGGGAGGCTGAGGCGGGCAGATCACGAGGTCAGGAGATTGAGACCATCCTGGCTAACACGGTGAAACCCCGCCTCTAGTAAAAATACAAAAAAAAAAAAAAAAATTAGCCCGGAGTGGGGGCAGGCGCCTGTAGTCCTGGCTACTCGGGAGGCTGAGGCAGGAGAATAGCATGAACCCAGGAGGCGGAGCTTGCAATAAGCCGAGATTGTGCCATTGCACTCCAGCCTGGGTGACAGTGTGAGACTCCATCTCAAAAAAAAAAAGATATGTATTTCTTCCTTTGATTATGTGGCTACAATGTGAGCACTGAATCTGCTTGCTGACGGCCAGCTTTTCACTCCTAAGGAAATGGAGAAAACAGAGCCAGAGGTAGGCTACTCTCCATGTCAAGCTTATCTGCTGCTTTATTTTCAAATACCTTAAGACCCTTTCACCCTGACTCTGATACACCCCATAGCAGGCCAGGACCCTTCTTATTCCAAAACCATAGTTTTACAGACAAAGGGACAGTGAGACTCCAGTGACTTACTCTTAGCCACACAGCTAGTTGGCAAAGAAAGAAAACAGAAATCGTGCTGATGGAGAGGAAGATTCAGAGGAGGAGGAGAAACAGGATAATGCAGGCTTATAATAATTTGCTGTGGGAAATCAAATGATGTGGGCAGCAACAAAGGGACTTAAGCAAAAAGATTTTTTAGGAAAAGAGACATAAGCAAAAAAGGGACTTCAGCAAAAAGAATTTTTAGGAAAAGCATTCTTGCTGCTGTATGCAGAGTGCAATAAATAACCCATGTCATTAACCCATGTCCTTATCTCTGCACCTTTTGCTACCAGAACCTAAAATAATACCAAGAAAATATATTTAAAGGTAAAATCTGGTGGTGGTTTGTTTTCATTTGAGTAAATTTTCTATGTATAATCAGTGATTAACCCATTTTAGGAATGAAGTAGAAATGAAGGGTTTTCTCCCCAGTGGTTATAACAAACTTGAAGGCTCTATGGCTAAAAGTACAAATTCCCTTTTGTTGCTTCTTTGTTGTTGTTGTTGTTTCTGAGATAGGGTCTTTGTGTTGTCCAGGTTGGAGTACAGTGGTGCCATCACGGATCACTGTAGCCTCAATCTCCCAGCCTCAATCAATCCCCTCACCTGAGCCTCCCGAGTAGCTGGCATGCAGGAATGCATCACCACACCTGGCTAATTTTTGTATTTTTAGTGGAGACGGGGTTTCGCCATGTTGCCCAGGCTGATCTTGAATTCCTGGGCTCAAGTGATCCACCCACCTTGGCCTCCCAAAGTGCTGGGATTACAGGTGTAACTGCACCCGCCTATAGTTTTTTCAAGGGCAAAAAATTACAAGTTGAGCACTCATGAGCTTAGAGTCTTTTGAATGTTCTCCAAATCAAAAGTCAAGTTTTAGTCCTACTTCCCCTAAGCAGAGAGTTCTTCCCAGCTTAGAGTTTCATTTCAAAGAACTGATGGCAAAGATTTTTCAGGTACAGTTCTCATATTTGAAAGCTTCATTCCTTCCCAGCACAACTGTGTGCATATTGACCTAATACAGACCTGTGTTTTTGGTAGATTCTCAGAAAATGTTTGATGGTGACCTTGGCCTTTGGGACTTGGCCACCACCCTTAGCTTTCATAGCCTTTTCCCAGAGGGAACCAGATGAAAAAGGAACTTCAAGCCTGGAATTATTCTGTTTAGCCACTTCTGTTGCTTACCAAAGGCTTTGCCAATGATAATACTGATAAAGGGCAACATAAACACATCTATGTGTGAGTTGCCATCTGAAACTGAAGTTAAACACACTTGGTGCTGACCAATAAACTGTAGTGCTTTTTCAGAAGAAAAGAGAATATTCCTTTTCTCTTGGAGCCATGGAAAACAGGCAATAGTATGAGGTAGGGGAAACTCCAGAGTTTCTATATAGGAAGGGACTGAAGCAGGAATCTACCTAGAAGAGAAGCCTAGGGGACTTGACTTTTTTTTTTCTTGATATGATTTGAATGCCCCCTTCAAAACTCATGTGGAAATTTAATTGCTAATGTAATGGTATTGGGAGGTGGGCCCTTTAAGAGGTGATTAGATCACGAGGGCAGAGCCCCATGAGTGGGTTCCTGATAAAAGGATAAGTTCAGCCTCCATTTGCTCTCTGTTTCTAGTGTTCACTTCCACCTTCCACCCTTTCACTATGAAGGACCCTCACCAGATGGTGGCACCATGCTCTCGGACTTCCCAGCCTCCAGAACTGTAAGCCAAATAAACTTCTTTCTGTATAAATTGCCGTTTGTGGTATTCTGTTATAGCAACAGAAAACAGACTAAGACAATACCTAACACGATGTTTTGATATACATATTGTCAAAAGGCAAAACTATAACAAATTTAGTTTTAAGATCTAATTGGCTTCTATTTGTGATTCTAGAATTCAGCAGTATTGTATTCTATAAATAGAATGAATGCTCCACTGGGCATGGCAGAACAATTGGTTTTTGTAAAGTGGGAACAAGGAAACAGAATAATAGAAAAAGGCAGATCGGTTAACATCAGATTACTTCAGGTTACTTTTCTTATAAGGGTTAAAACTGTGGAGATTTCCTTATTATACTGACTTAGGCTGACTGGGCCCTTTCTAATTGGTTTCTGTGAATCTTCTGTTTTCAAAAATATCTGGTCTGTTTGGAAATTTACCTGCTTTCTTAAAATTTCAGTTTAATCATGTGGCACTTAGCGTGTGGGACTCCATTTTGCTTTGGTTTGTTGGGATCTAGAATGAGAGCTTCCATAAATTTTATTTAACAATATGCATAATGACATGATTACCACATCAAGCAAATTAGCATATCTATCATGTTACACAGTTACCTTTTCTGTGTGCGTGTGTGTGTGTGTAGTAGAATTACCTAAAATCCACTCTGTTAGCAAATTCCCTTATGAAATAAAATATTATTAACTACAGTCTTCATGCTATACATTAGATCTCTAGGCTTATTTATTCTACATAAATGAAACTTTATACCCTTTGACCTCCATCTCCCCACTCCCCCACTTTTCCTACCCCTGGTAACCACCTTTTTACTCTGTTTCTACATCTTTGAATTTTGTTTCTTTTTTTTTTTAATTTCGCATATAAGTGAGACCATGTAGTATTTTTCTTTCTGTGTCTGGCTTATTTCACATATTATAATTTTCCTCTTGGTCCATTCATGTTGACACAAATGGCAGGATGTCCTTTTTTAAGACTGAATAATATTCCATTGTGTATGTGTGTACACACACACACACACACACACACACACACACAATTTCTTTATCCATTCATCTATTGACAGCCAAAGGTTGTTTCCATATCTTGGCTATTGTGAATAATGCTTTGAAACATGGGGGCACAGATATCTCTATGAGGTGATTTCATTTTCTTTGGATCTACACTAAGAAACAGGATTGCTGGCTCATATAAGAATTTTATTTTTAATTTTTTGTAGAACCTCCATATTATTTTCCACAATGGCCTCTGTATTCCCACCAACAGTATACAAGGTTCCCTTTTATGCATATTCTGGCTAACACTTGTTATCTCTTGTGTTTTTTATAATAGTCATTCTCACAGGTGTGAGGTAATACTGTGGTTTTGATTTGCATCTGCCTGATTAGTGATATTGAGCACCTTTTTATATACTTGCTGTAGGAGGCTTTTCTTGCAGCTGTGTTTGCAAACACACTGCTTTTACAGAGATTGCATATGTATTGGGAAGCTCCTGGGATCTTTTCAGAAGAACAGCAACAGCTTCAGCTGAATGGAGCTGATGAAGATGGAGGTGGTTAAGCCCCTAAATCCAAGCCATCCCCTGGTCTCTCTACTGAAGACTAAATGAATAAATGAAAGGCCAGAGGGGAAAAAATCTTGAAAAATGAGGAAAATCAAATGTTTGTGAGTCTGATCTGGTATAAATCTCCGAAATCTTACAGTGTTTAGACCCTGGGAGCTTCCAAACACAACCATGTGAATAGTTCAGATGCCTTGCTTGGAGTGATCCAAGCAAATCATTCCATATCCATCCTATGTATTATCTACTTTGTTAATATTCTGTGCTGGGTTTGAAAAAAATAATAAAATAAATTGCCTTTTTAAAGAAATAATACCACAAATAGTGCAAAATTCAAAGGTACACAAAAAATATAGTGAAACATAACACTACTTCCTACCCCATCACCCAACAACTGTTACATTTCTTGAATATACTTCCAAAGCTGTTCTATGTATATGCAAGTATATACGTGCATGTATTTTTATGTAAAATTTACATATGACATACATAGGAAAGTGGTTTTTCAAGCTATTTTTTACTGTGATCTGCAAAAAAAAATGAATTTTCTCCTCTGTTCCATTGATGTAGCTATCTGTGCACCACTACCATAGTGCTGTAACGATTATAACTCTATAATATGTGTTCATCAGAGCATTCATGCTTCTCATTACTATTCTGATTCAAGATGTTTCCTAGCTATTCTTGCTTTTTTCATTTTTCCATATAATCTGTAGAATTAGCTTCTCTGGGCATACAGTCCTTTCTTGCATATCTTAGCACCAATTGTTGTTTATGTGTGTAAAGACTATTCTAGCCACACTACTCAATTCTCTTATTTTTTTTTTCTTTTACTATTGTTGGCAGTGATCTTTCAGTTAATTTTCTTGGGTTTTCAAGGCACAGAGTTACATTATTTGCAAATATGATTATCTTACCTCCTCCTTTCCAACTTGTACATACCACTCTTCTTTATCTTATCTAAAAGTTTGTTAGCACCTCAAGACCAATGTTCAATAATGTTGTGGTAATGGCATCTTTGTCCCAATTTAATGTGAGTGTATGGTTTGCTAGTTAAACATGACCTGGCTTTTGAGGTAAGACAAATATATTTTACTAATGTGATAAATTTAGTTCTATTTGATGAGGTGTTTTTTCATAATCAATAATGGATTTTAATTTTATAGCAAACATTTTCAGCAACCATGAGTGCGGGCATATGGTTTTACTGTTTTTTACATATACTAGGATGTTAAACAATATCAATAGATTTCCTAATATTAAACTATCCTTCCTTTCCTGAAAGGAAGGACATTCTACTGTCCTCCTGGAATATGTTTGCTAGTATTCTATTGAAGATGTTTGTATTGATAGTCACAAGAGACATTAGACTTTCTTTTTATTATTTTTGTTGTTCTGTGGCATACTGACACCAGTGTAACCTCCACTTTATAAAAAGTAACTAGAGTCTTTTCTTCTAGAAGAATTTTAAAAGCTTTAGAGTGATTGAGTCATTAAGGTTATGAAGAGCTCACCTGTAAAAATATCTGTGCCTGGTAGTTTGGAAGACGGATAGCCTGACTTTCCTGTTTTTTCTATTGTAATTGGTCTCTTTAGATTTTCGAACTCTTCTGGGGCCAGCCTTAGAACTTTATCGTTTCTAGAAATTACATATTTTATCCAGGTTTTTACATTTATTTGCTTATGGTACATATAAGTCCTATAATCTCCTTTAATTTTCTCTATCTATAATTATTTCTCAATTCTTGTTTTCTTATATCATCTATTTCTGCTTTTTCCCTTTAAAAAAAAGATGGGTGTTGCACCATTATTCACAATAGCTAAAAGGTAGAACCATCCAAGAGCACATAACAAAATCAATTGTATAAACAGAATGTGGTATGTTATGTACAACAGAATATTATTCATACATAAAAAGGAATGAAGTTCTGATACATGCTAAGTGAAATAAGCCAAACAAAAAATGACAAATATTATATTATTCCACTTATATGAAACATCTAGAATAGGCTTCATAGACACAAAATGTAGACTGAAGGTTACCAGGGGCTAGGGGGTAGGGAGAATGGGGAGTTACTGCTTAGAGGACACAGAGTTGCTGGGGTGATGAAAAAGTTCAGAAATCAGTACTGGTGATGATTGTACAACATTTGCATATAATTAATGCCATTGATTTGTATATTTTTAAATAGCTAAAATAGCAAATTTAGGTTTATATTTTTAACCACAATTAAAAAGTTATCATTTCAAAAAAAGAGCATAGCACACATTTTTACTTAAAAATTTTTCAAACACAACTCATAGACTTTATTTTGGCATTTTTTAAATTTTCCAAATTAATTAATTTCTGTTTTTATCTTTACTAATTTCTATTCTGCCTTGTCTTTATTTTACTTAATACATTCTGATATTGGATGCTTAATTCATTTAATTCTTATTTGTTACAAGTATTTAAAGTTATGAACTTTCCTCTAAGTACTGCTGTAACAAGATCTCATAGTCTCTAATATACAGTGTTTTAATTCGTGTTGCTTTCCAAATATTCTGCATTTTTAGCGATGACTTTCTCTATGAGACTGAAAAATTATATAGAGAGTGTTCTTTAATTTCCAGGAGGTAAAGTTATTTTTTTTTCTCTCTTTAACATTTGAAGTTTTGCGTTGGCATGACATAATGTCTGTACTATTTCTATGTGATCGACTGCATTGCAGTTTTCTTTGTGGCTTCATATGTAGTTAATTTTTGTAACTGCTCCATTAATACTTGAAAGGAAAGTGTAATCTGTCTTCATAGTATATAGTTTGTTGTAAAGCTATTAAAACTATCCTTGCTTTTTTTCCATATGATTTCTCCATAGTTAAAAGATAAGCGTTAAAGTTTTCTACTGCTAAAGGATTTCTGCCTATTCCTATTTTCTGTAGCTTTGACACCATGTTTTCCATGCCAATTTATTTATCATATTGAACTGCATTGTGAGTTACATCCTTTATTATTATCAAGTTCCCCTTTTGTCTTATTTCATGTTTTTTGTTTTGAATGCAACCATAGTTATGACAGCTGCTCTTTTTTTTTTTGCATTTGCTTTGCATGTCTTTGCCTAATTTTTATCTTTATTATCCTTTCTGAGTTTCGTTGTTTTAGATGCATCTCACATATTACAAATAATTTGATTTCCCTTTTTTGTAAATTTGAGTCAATAGGTGAATTAGACAATTTAAACTTTTTATGGTAATATGTTGAAATGTTGTACTCTCATTTATGTTAGGATTCCTTTCTCTTACTTTTGATATTCCACTACATAGTCTATTTTGTTATCATGCCAACTTAATTTTTCACTCTTATTTTTTATTTTTGCCTGGATTCTAAAATTTTTCATTGGCCTTGAGGGCCAGTATGTTTACTTGGATACCTCTCAATGTTGATCATTCTGTATCAATTTTTTCTGAGCTACAGTATGCCCTTTCCATTTGTAGATTCAAGTCTTATTTTATTTCTAAAGAGTTTTACTGAGTAATATCTCCAGACTTCTTCTTAAAAGATACAAATAATGCATATGTTGCAATTCTTTTGTTTTCTGTATCTTTCATGTTCTCTCTAGTTCACTCTAACTTTGTTCATTTCTGGTTATTTTGCTTATATCTTTTGTTTATGTGTCTTAATGTTGCCCTCCTATTCCTCACTGTGATGTCAGCAGTGTTTCTTCTTAGTGTTTATTACAGTATGCTTGCATTTCCATGGTAGCTTTATTTTTCTCTTCTGCTTCCTTCCTGACCTTCAGAAGTTCTTGTTTCATTTCCTCCTGTGGTGGTGCTAGTATTTCCCCTGATCTCTCAATTGCTCTGCTTCCAGCCTCTTCATTGTTTCATTAAATTCATTGTTCATAGACATTTATTTTGTCATAATTTTCTACTTAATGGCAACTTGTTATTGGTGAGGATTCTTTATGTTCCCCTGTCCTCTTCCTCCTTTTGTCTTGTAAGTTATTTGTATAGATCCTGTGCTAGTTGCCTTTTTGTTACTCATCTTTAAATGAAGTGTGTTCTTCCTGATGTTGGAAGTGATCCAGGGTCTTGTTGAGAAGGGGATGAGCAGTTCCAGGCTAGCAAGAATTCTCCCTGGTTCAGGGACAAACTCATGATGACAAGACTATATGTGCGGGTTGTTTGAATTTTTACCTCTCTCCAGCCAACAGGCATTGGCAGCTACAGAGCAGGAGGCAATTCAGCCTCTCTCCTCCACCCTGCCTCACTAGGACACAGACTGATTGCAGCATTTCTGCACATTTTCTGCAGTTCTGCTTGCTCCACTTTCCTGTGAGGTCAAATGCGGTAAAGGGATGCTCCAACCCTACCCTCCATGTACCTGCCTTTCCTGTGATTCCGAAGAAGGGGTGGTTGGTTTTGCCCTCAAAGTGCCATCTACTTAAGAAAACAGTTTCCTGCCAGCTTTATCTGAGACCTGTGTTCCCAAGCACTCCCTCCAGGAGCCTTTGTGCACCCATATTTGATCTTCACTGCATTGAGAGCCTCTCCAAATATTATCTTTTGGGAGTTAGTCTTCAAGGTTTATCAAATATGAAATTCATATTTCTGTCCCTGTTTTCTGGCAAATTCTAAGGAGAAGGGTAGAAGACATATCTTTTGTCTGACCTTTTAAATGGAAATCCCAATATTTACAAGAGGTAAAAGGAATTTTGAAGTAAACATAAAGAGCAGCCTTAAAGTTGGGAAATGTCCTATCAGGGGAACATATATCCTGCCAATTAGTCATGGAAGAAGGTAGAACAATTACTTGACCTTTGCTTCAGTGGTTAGGGACCAGAAGAGCACCATGCAGACTATGTTCTTGCTGTGTATAACTGTTCCCTCCCTGTGAAACTTATTTCCCCCAACCCCTGCTTTCCGTTATGTTTGTCCTTTAGAATCTTTGGTACCAGCAGCATCAGCATCACATGGCAGCTTATTAGAGATGCAGAATTTTAGGCTCCTCCCCAAGCCCCAGAAGCAGCACAGGAATCTGCATTTAACAAGATCCCCAGATATTCATATGCACATAAAATTTGGGAAGCACCACTGTGGATCTCAGTTCAAGCACCAATTTGCTTCACTGATCAATCACATCAGGTTCCTGTTACGCATACTCATAAAATGATCCTTCAGAGCTCTCGCTCTGTAGCTGTGCATTTATTATGATAATTTTTTTCCTATTCCTGTGTATCTCTCTCACTAAACTAGTGTCAGGCTCTATGGCTTATCCCACAACCAATCAATAAATATTTGCCAAATGACTAAATGGATGTGCAAAATTCATATTTGTATCTGAGTATTTTTAAAGCCAGTTGGCACTGCCCATTCTCCTGCTAGTGGTCTCCCTGCCTCAGACTCATCCATGACTGCATCAGCCTTGGACTCCTCAGCCCAGCTCTCAGACTGGCCCTTCCAGAAGTGAGTGAGTAAATGAAGGAAAAAATGACATTGCTGAAAAATCCAAGAAATTTCATCATTCAGACCGCAGTTCCTCAACATCTCACATATCTGTAAATGCCACAGAGAGATTGTTTCCTGAGTGCTATTTTGGAAAATATAATCACGATTTTTGTGTGGGAAGAAAAGACACTCCCCACAGACATCAGAGCAGACACATCCCCCCAGCCCTAGTCCACAGAGGGTATATTGCAGGAAAGTCTTACTGAAAGAAAGAGGGGCTACAACAGGGCTGGATGGGTGCTGAAGATGCTGAACTCAGGCAATGGAATTGCTTTTGTCAGTTGCCCTCACCAGGTGTGGCTGTATGACTGAAATTGCCAGTCTCCCCTGCTGGTGGTAGGGACTGTTTTGATTAACCAAGTAGAAGGTGACGGTTTAAAACTAGTTTCCCAATTTGGGTAATTAAACCTCTGCTAAATATAGTAGGTTTAAAATGAATGTTCACAACATTGAAACAGAACATGCTAATTCTAAAAATACAGACTCCCTTGCTGTGAAAGACCTCTCAGGGGAGAACCGACATTGAAGCAAAACAATGATTTCATCCCTCCCGCCCACCATCCCCCAGCCTGTGAACCAATTTGTTTGAAGAGATGAGGCTCACCACACTACAGCAAAGGAACCAGAGCTGTTACCAGACACTAAGGAAACTAATCACAGAAAGTCAAAGGAAGAAAGGTTACAAGGCTGAAATTTCTTTTTGTGGGATCCTGTCCTGCACCAAAACAGGCCAACCAGCACTTCTTATGTCTACTCCATACAAGGTATATAAAACTCAAGTTAGTGGGGAAAGGAATTTTCATTAAGTCACTTAGAAATGAGAGACATGCAAATGAGAGAAACTGACTTTCTTTGAAGAAAGTGTAAACTTTCTAGGAAGCCTCTTTCCTGAATAATTAAATCACAGAGAACCTTGACTCTCTGTGGACTCAAAAGCAATTACACCCAGTTCTTAAACAGAGCTGTTCCCTCATCATAAAATCCCCTGTGCATTTCCCTCTGTATAACAACAAATGGTCCACAAACCTCCTTCAAAGAGTTGTCCTCACTTGGTGACTCCACTTCTCTCCCTGTTCTCTTTTATCTCATTCCAACCACAGAAAAAGCTTGTATTGAGGTCACATGCCTTCATGTTGCTCAATCCAGTGGTCAGTCCTTTCATATCAGCAGCATGTGACAAGACTAATGACTCCCTGCCTGAAAAATCTTCCCTTTTCATTCATTTGGCGTTTAGCCTACCATCCCCTCTTCTTTGTACTCTGACCTCAGTAGGGACGACTTTGCTGGAAAAGAAATTTAGAATTTGATTATGTGTGACCTAATCTCCAGTACCCATGTATTCTATTTTTGAAAGACTTGAATTTTCAATTATATTTGTAACAAAACCGTGTATGTGGAAATGATGGAATAACAGCCTCTTTTTTTCCAAGATGATATGTGCATCTTCAGACCTTTATACAGATGAGCTCTTTACCTCCATCTTCTAAAACTATTAATTAATCCAGAGAAGTGTGTTGCTATAAAATATTCTGTGAAGCATTTTCACTTATTTTTCTTTTCTTTCAAAGAAAACAATATGGCCCAGTTCCTGGCTTTTGAAGAACTAGAGAAAATCATCATCATTGGTGCCTCCAAGGCTCTTTGGTTGGTTCTGCAATCATAGGAACCCTTACCTGGTCTCCTGAGACATTCTCCTCTCTCCACACCATAGTACAACACCACCCACACACCTGATGGCAGAGCTTTTAGGTGAGCTTCTCCATCTTCTGGCTTAGAGTTACCCAGGAATAAAGAATAGCTCCTGTAGCTCTGAATCCTTCAAATCCCCCGATTGGCCCTTAACTGACTTCCTTAGTGAATCTGCAGACTTTTGGATGGGAGACAAATATGCACAAACTATACCTACAATTCAATGTAGGACAAAGGCTACCTGGTACAATATTAATATGTGCCTGCATTGGAGATTTTGGAATCTTAGGACTTAAAGAAGGGTCTAATTCGATTACCTCAGTTCCAGATGAGAAAATGAAGGCCCAGAAAAGCAAGTGATTTGCCTAAGATCTCACAGTGACCAGTGAAGGACCAGAGCTGGACTAGGCTCTCCCGTCAGCAGTTAGGGCTCTTCCCAGTGTCCTTCCTCTTCCACATGCTACTTGCCCTTCACTTTATAGAGTCCTATCTTCTGCAGGGAAATGCATTGATACAGTCCCCTGTGCTTTGATCTTGGTGTTACAGTTACATCTCTAGAGGATTCTTATATAGCATAGTATGTTTCACAGTTGGTCATCATTGGAACTCTCTGTTTTTCTGTGCTCTTGCCTGGACTTCTTTCAAAAGGAATCCATTCATTAACAAATCTTTCAGAAAAAAAAATGTCTGCAGCATTATCAGAAGTTAATCATTTAAATCTAAAGGAGAGAGTAAAAGGTTAGGTATAGTGGATTAAAGAGTTCTTTTTTCGAATGGGCACGGTGGCTCACGCCTGTAATCCCAGCATTTTGGGAGGCTGCGGTGGGTGGATCATCTGAGGTCAGGAGTTCGAGACCAGCCTGACTAACATGGTGAAAGCCTGTCTCTACTGAAAAATGCAAAAATTAGCCGGGCGTGGTGGTGCACGCCTGTAATCCCAGCCACTCGGGAGGCTGAGGCAGGAGAATTGCCTGAACCCGGGAGGCAGAGGTTGCAGTGAGCTGAGATTGTGCCATTGCACTCCAGGCTGGGCAACAAGAGTGAAACTCCGTCACAGAAAAAAAAAAAAAAAGAGTTCTTTTTTCCAGCTGAAGATAGTCAAGCGGGTTATTTTCTACTGTCTTCCTCGGAAAGGTGAGCATTCATTTGTTTCTCTGGCACATTAACATTCTCAACTAAGGTCAGTTGACTGGTTAGAACTACAGGTCTGATTTTCTTCGAGAGAACCCTCAAGATTTCTGATTTTACTTTCTTCCAAAGGAAATGTGTATTTTTTCTTCAAGTAATGATATTCAGGGGTATATTCCCCCTAAGTAATAGGTTAGCAAATTCTGTGAGCTTCAGGACTGAAGACTAATTCTTTTGCAATGCTGAGGTGGGCCTTCCAGCCCCAGACCTGGCCACACCCATCATAAAGATTTTTACTGATGTAATTAATAATTTGTATATGTATGAATTCTTTGGATTATTTCTGCTTTCTCAAGGGATATGTCACATTTATTTCCTCATACTCCCAGACCTGGCATAGAATAGTTAGTCGGTAAACATTTCTTGTGTTAAATTGTTGACTTTTCTTCACTTTTTATGGAACTTAATCTTCTGGCTCAAATCATACTGGCTTAATCATACTGTTCCATACTATACGTGTAGAGTAGATAAAGGCAGAAGGCAGGGCCTATTTATGCTTTTGAAACAAATGTAGTGAGCATGAATTTGTTTCACAATCCACAGGTACATGAAATAACACATTTCTTTACCTTTTACATATCTAATTCCAACTGAAGGAGCCTCTCCCATTCGAGTTGACAGAAAACCCAATCTCAGTCATTCTCTGGCCACCATCTACCCCACCCACCAACATAAGAAGGCTGAGGCTTGTGAAATCTATTTATGGAAGGGCCGCTGGTGTGTCCCACAATCTTTAATCACAGAACCTTGAAATACATTGTCCACCCCAACCTGATTTATTCCATGGTGGGTGACGCTGTTGCTCACTGAATAACAGACTCCACTGGAGTCTTTGCTCTGCGTCTCAAAGTCACTGTATTTATCTACAGGTACCACATTCAGGGATCTTAGCACTCCAACATCCTCCATGATTCAACTTCTCCCCTTCAACTTTCTAGTCCTCCCTAAACATCAATCCAGTGAAGTAGCTCCAGAAGCACAGATCTAGGTAACAAAAGCATCTCCTGGCACAAGGGACACTCAGACTTCTGCACAAAACCATCTAGCTACCCTTCAGTTGATGTGGATGGAGAATAAAAACAGAAAAAAAAAAGAGAAAATATATTTATTTTTTCATCATTTCATGCCACCACAGATTAAGCTGTTTTCACCAGTTACCACATTCATGCTTAAACATTTGGTAAATACAACTATGAAATTATTTTATAATAGAAAAAAATGTAGGAAGGTTTTTTTTTTCTTTTGTAAGGAATTGGAGACAATTAATGAGGAAGATGTGTGGCCAGGAAAATTATATTTCAGCAGTATGAAAGGTTGGTCTGCTTCTCCCACTCCACAATTCTCAAAACAATGTAAACTATCATCTTTTTTTAGATGGGAAAAAGTCATGTTCACAATAAGCCGACTTCATTTCCTCCTGTTTCAGCGTCTGCTTTCTTGACCTGTCCTCCAATTCTGCATATTTGAACCAGATTGATTGAGGGACACTGGGATGATTTTGAAAGTCCTCCTGCATGTCATCTCACAATTTCTCAGATAAATTACTCAGGAAGTTAGACTTGAAAGAAAACTCTGATTGTTTCAAAAAGCCTTTCACCTTTGTGTATAAATTCTTGAACCTGCCAGTTGCTCTGTTGCCATCTCCAAATGACCATAACTCATTCATAATCTAAAAGTTTATATAACTTGAGGATTTTTCTAGGATAAACTACATAAAGCACATTCTTAACTTCTAAAAATTGATGAGTGTTTTATGCTGTGTTTACTTTTTCCATGGGAGCGAGAAAGAAATCTAGCATGTCTGACACTTTTAAGAGTTGTGCTTGTTCCGTGTTCTGAATCCAATTCAAATGTCGAAAGTTCAAGAGAAAATGCTTAAAAGGAAGTGATTAGGAATGTCTATTTATACCACAGATAATTAGATTTATAGTACATGTGATATATAATAAATATCTCATGTATAACTGCTAGAATGTAATTACTTAGTAAATTTTCAAATAGGCATCATTTTCAATCTTAGCTATTTTAAGTCTATCACTATTTATTAAAAGATGGGAAATGAGTTGTGAGATATATTTTCTTCATTTTTTACTATACTACCCTTTTATAAGCAGAATGCCATCTCTTTGTTTATTGTCTTCAGGGACGGGTAAATTGAAGCAAAAAGCAGACAAGTTCTATGGGATTTGCTGGCATTGATTTCCCAGGATGGCAAAGTGCTAAGAACTAAACCTTTAAAGCTAACAAAATGTACTGATGTCTTTGCAAAGTATCCAAGACCAACAAGAAAGTAATTTCCCACCTCACCCTACCACCACCCAGAAAAGGAGCACAGAGATGGGGAAGAGAGTGGCTGCATCTGGCATCCAGCCAGAGGAGTCCGTGCAGGGATTCTGGATCCCTCTTCCCCCACCCCACTGCCCTTCCCCCTCCACCCCAGCGTTTTGGAGAAGCAAGAAACTGTGATGATGCAGCTCCCTCAAGTATCACATGAAGATAGTGGAAAGAGCCTCCTGAGGTAAATATGCCATGTAGACAGAAACAAGCAATGGCTCAACAGCAATGTATGAGGTCCAAGGACCAGGACCAAAGGGAAAAACAGCCATCTCACCAGACACCTGCCTACGACCAGATGCGTCATCTCCAATATTAGCTAACTCCCTGGAACCTGGACTCAAGGTGTGAAATAAAGGTTAATGGGAAACCGCAGGAGTCAAAAGGAGGGGGCAGGATTATTGAGGATTCAGGCTGTTGAGAAATGAAAGTTTGGATCACTCCCCAGATAAAGAACCTTGACCATTTAAGGGCAATGGAAATACAGAATAGGCAGTAGAAGAAGGAAGCCATAGATACCAACTATGGCCTCTCAATCAATTACAAAACTGAGAATTCTGACAGTTTTGTGTATTTCCTCTTTGCATGTGATGTATATGTGTGTATTTGTATATATTAACCATTTTCCTTTTTCTCTCTTCATTATTTTATGAAAGTTGTTGAATATAAACTCTACAATTTAGCCTTTAGGTAAGAGAATATTCAGTGGGACTTTGATTTGAGGAGTATTTAAGACAGCCAGATGAGACTACGATAACTGTTGGAACTGTGTGTCTCCTCATTTGGGGAAAGGGGTGAGAACTCTGCATTTCTCTGAAGAACAGAGTTGACTTTGTGTTATACAGAGTTCAAATATATATATAAAATGGTGCATGTGGAAGCTAAGAAGCCAAAGGAGTTCACCAAGACAGTTATCAATATATTGCCTCTCCGCTCCAAATCCACCCTTCTTTGCCCTGTTCCACGATACTAATCTGGCTCCTCGGTCAGCCAGTGCAATGTCATCTGTTGCTGGTAGAGTGTAGGGGAGACACTACAAGGTATAGTAAAGGGGTCAGATGCGGTGTCTCATGCCTGTAATCACAGCCCTTTGGGAGGCAGAGGCAGGAGGATCACCTGAGGCCAGGAGTTTGAGACCAGCCTGGACAACATGGTAAAACCCCATCTCTACTGAAAATACAAAATTAGCACGCACCTGTAATCCCAGCTACTCGGGAGGCTGAGGCAGGAGAATCACTTGAACCTGGGAGGTGGAGGTTGCAGTGAGCCAAGATCGCATCATTGCACTCCAGCCAGGGAAAAAAGGCAAAACTCTGTCTCAAAAAAATAAATAAATAAAATAAAATAAAACAAGGTATAGCAAATAAAGGAGCATTCCTTCTTGATTCTTCCTGGTTCTTGTTACCTGTGGCCGCCACCAGTGGTGTATGGGAGAGTCACCCTACAGTGAGTTCCACCAGCACCTAGTGAGGGCTTCCTACTGAGTTTTATTGTCACCCGAGCAGGCAATTTCCTTGCCAGCAGTATGCAGGAGACCCAATGGTGACCACCTTCCAGTGGGTTTTTCCAGCACCCTAGAAGGCACTTTTTTGACCACAGTGCTGATCCACTGGCACCCAACAGCCAGTACCCTACTCACCAGGCCTGGCCTGTGGCACCTCAAAGAACTTTTCTATCCTGCGGGCCACAGCACCACCCTCTCCAACAAGGTCTGAATCTCAGCCTTCAGGTGTGAAAGACCCTTCCATGTTTGTTCTTTTCTTGGGTATCCTCCCTCAGTCCTAGAAGTAGCAGCTCTTCCCTATGTTTGCTATTTCTGTGTTATTTAGCATACAATTTACCCCTTTTGTAGTTTATCACATTTTGCCAGTTAATAATTCTTTATAGTAAATGTTCCCTCTTCAAATTACTATCTCTCACCAAACACTGACTTCTATATCCTCATCAGACACTGAGTGACACAACCTCCTTCAGAAAAGAATCCCTTTCACCCTGCCCTTCATGATGAACACTCTCAACAAATTAGGTATAGCAGGAACATACCTTGACATAATAAAGGCCATATATGACGAGCCCACAGCTAACATCATACTGAATGGGGAATAACTGAAAGCCTTTCCTCTAAGAACTAGAATAAGACAAGGACACCTACTCTAAGCACTCTTATTCGGCATTATACTGGAAGTCCTAGCCAGACTTTCTCTTTCCGGAAAGAGAAAGAAATGAAAGGCATCCAAACTGGAAAACAGGATGCCAGCCAGTTGTGGTGGCTCAAGCCTGTAATCCCAGCACTTCGGGAGGCTGAGGTGGGCAGATTGCTTGAACCCAGGAGTTCAAATCCAGACTAGACAACATGATGAAACCCTGTCTCTATGAAAAATACAAAAATTAGCCAGGTGTGGTGGCACACACCTGTAGTCCCAACTACTCAGGAGGCTGAGGTGGGAGGATCACTTGAGCCTGGGAAATAGAGGATGCAGTGAGTCAAGATCACACCAGAGCACTCCAGCCTGGATGACAGAGAGAGATTCCAATTCAAAAAAAAAAAAAAGGAAGAAGCCAAATTGTCTCTACTTCAGATGACATGATTTTACAAATTCAGTAATGTTACAAGACACAAAATCAATATAAAAAATCGGTTGTGTTTTTATACACCAATAACCAACTATCTGAAAAAGAAACCAAGAAAGCAACCTCATTTATAACTTCAAAAAAGTCTCAGGGATAAATTTAGCCAAGGAGGTGAAAGATTTCTATGAAAGCCAAAACAAAACAAAACAAAAAACACTACACCCTGATGAACAAAATTGAAGAGGATACCAAAAATAGAAAGACATATTATGCTCATGAATTGGAACAATTAATATTGTTAAAAATGACTATACTACCCAAGGTAAGCTATAGATTTAATGCAATTCCTATCAAGATACTAATGACATTCTTTGAATCAATAGAAAAAACAATCCTAGAATTCACATAGAACCATAGAAGAGCCCAAATAGCAGCAATACTCAGCAAAAAGAACAAAGCTGAAGGCAATCACACTAACACATTTCAGAATATACTACAAAGCTATAGCAACCAAAACACTATGCTATTGGTATAAAAACAGATACACAGACCAGTGGAACAGAACAGAGAATCCAGAAATAAATTCACATATTTACAGCCAGCCAATTTTTGACAAAGTTGCCAGGAACATACACTGAGGAAAGGACATTCTTTTCAATAAATTGTGCTAAGAAAACTGGATATTCACATGCAGAAGAATGAAACTAGACCTCTATCTCTCACAATGTATAAAAATCAATTCAAAATGGATTAAAGACTTAAATACAAGACCTGAAACTATAAAACTACTAAAAGAAAACATAGAGGAAATGCTTCAAGATATTGATCTAGGCAAAGATTTTATGGCTAAGATCTCAAAAGCAGGGGCAACCAAAACAAAAATAGACAAATGGAACGACATTAAACTAAAAAGCTTCTGCGCAGGAAAGGAAACAATCAACAGAGTGAAGAGATAACATGAACAATGGAGAAAAAATTGCTAACTATTCATCCAACAAGGGACTAATATCCAGAATATACATAGAACTCAAAACAATTCGACAGCAAAGAATCAAATAATCTCACTAAAAAGTGAGCAAAGGACATGAATAGACATTTCTAAAAAGACAAATGGCTAACAGGTTTAGGAAAAACTGCTCAACATCACGGATCATCAGGAAAATACAGATCAAAACCACAATGAGATACCATCTCACCCCAGTTAGAATGGTTATTATCAAAGTCAAAAAATAACACATGCTGGTGATTATGTGGAGAAAAGGGAACTCTTTATGCATTGTTGGGAATGTAGATTAGTACAACGACTATGGAAAACAGTATGAAAGTGTCTTTAAAAACTAAAAATAGAACTACCATCTGACCCAGCAATCCCACTACTGTCTCTCTGTCCAAAGGAAAGGAAATCAATAAATCAAAGGGACAACTGTACCCCCATATTTATTGCTGCTCTATTCACAACAGCCAAGGTATGAAATCAACCTAAGTGTCCATCAACAGATGAATGAATAAAGAAAATATGGTATATATACACAACAAAATACTATTCAGCCATTAAAAATGAAATCTCATCATATGCGGCAACAGGGATGGAATTGCAAGTCATTATGTTTAGTGAAATAAACCAGGCACAGAAAAACAAGTATCACATGTTCCCACTCATATGTGGGAGCTAAAAAGTTGACCTCATGGAGGTAGGGAATAGAATGATAGATACCAGAGGCTGGGAAAGGGCTGGGGGGATGAGGACAGATTGGTTAATGGGTACAAACATACAGTTATGTGGAAGAAATAAGTTCTAGTGTTTAATAGCACAATAGAGTGTCTATAGTTAACAAAAAATATATTGCATATTTCAAAATAGCTGAAAGAGAAGTTCTGAAATGTTCCAAACACAAAGAAATAAATGCTTGAGGTAATGGATTTTCTAAATATGCTGATTTGATCATTATATACTGTATGCATGTATCAAACTATCACATGTACCTGATACATAGCAATATTATGTATTAATAAAAATTAATAAATAATAAGTAATAAACTTTAAAAATAATGTCCTTTAGAAAAGTTCTAATTTTTTCCACAAAAATTGATAGTGTTAAAAAATTATAGCACCTCAAAAAAGACCTTTCACAAAATAGATGCTCAAAAAATTCATTGAATTTTTGCCAAATAATTATAATTGTAAAATTTTCCTTTTTACAAGGCTGTGAAGAAATTGGAATCCTCATGCCATACTTACTGGTGAGATTGTAAGATGATGCAGTCACTTTGCAAACAGTCTGGGAATTCCTCAAAATATTAAACATAGAGTCACCCTATGACCCAGTAATTCTATTTCTAGATATGTACCCAAAAGAAATGGAAACATAATGCCACACTAAAACTTGTTCACAAATGTTCATGGCAGCATTGTTCATAGTAGCCAAAAAGTGAAAACCATCCAAATATTCATCAAGTGATGAATGGATAAATAAAGATGTGGAATACACATACAATGGAATATTACTCAGCTATAAAAGGGAAAGACACTTACAAATGCTACATGATAAATGTGAAAGCATTATACTAAGTGAAAGAAGCCAGAGCCAGTCACAAAATACCACATATCGTATGATGCCATTTATAGGAAATGTCTAGAATAGACAAGTCTATGAGGACAGAAAGTTGTTTAGTGGTTGCCTAGGACTGAGGGTACAGGGTGGCAAGAGGGAGCTGCCAGGAATGCAACATGCTAATGAATATGAAGTTTCTTTTGGGGTTCTAACATGTTCTAGAATTAGATGGTGGTGATGTTTGCACAACTCTGTGGTTATACTAAATAAATGAACTGTACACTTTAAATATATCTAAATGTATGTAAATTATATCATAATGTCTGGGTTTTATTAATTGCCTTTTAAATGTGGCTTTAGTTCTGTCTGTATACTTCATGAAATGTATCAAAGTAATGCTAAAATAAAACCAATAATTAAACCCAATGAATCACAAAATCTTTATTTTAAAAAGTTTACCTGGCATTTTCTGTTTCATTTTATTAGCTCTTAATACAAATTGTTTTGAGAACATCTGAAAGGATAGTGGATGGTTTTTCTCGGATGTCTTATAATAGACTGTTACATCAGACTGCCTGAAGGGTAGGCCTTGATGAATGCAATGTAATGTGCAATAATTCTAATTCAGTGTTAAAGACAAGCTCATGCCACATAATAAGCAGGAAAATGTGGTGGGAAATGCCAAGGGCTGTCCTGGTTCCATGTCTAGAAACAAGTGCTAGAGCTTTGGAAGGCGTCCTCACCTCTCTGGGCTTCTCTCATCTATGAATGAGGCTGTTGAGGCAGAGGGTCTCAGAGCACCTTCGTGGCTCAAACATTCTGTGAGTGAGATTCTGTTATGTAGATGTTAATATTATCTTATAAGTCATAAGAGGAAAGGTAAATATAGGTGAGTTCTAAGCAAATTTTGCAAATGGAAATAAATCTTTGACATTGAATACTGAAGTATGATGGCTTTGAAGGCCATCAATTATGCCGAGGAGAACAGTCTCTCAGTGGTCAGGAGTGCTACCATTTTTCAGGGAACAAGATAAATAGATATATATTTTTTTTACTATCGCCTTTAAAATCAAGACTTTTGAATGAGTTTATAAAATTATAATTACCGTTATTAACTATATTTACTGCCACTTTTCCTAAGAATAGTAACCATTCCTTTAAAAATAAATAAATAAAAGTTTCTACAGTTATTCCTGCTTGAAAAAAAAAGCAGGCACTAAAAAAACACCCAGGCAATTTGGAAATAATTAAATCCTTTATATAGTTTTCTTTCATATTACTCATGTATTCTCTTTCTTTCTGAGGATGTTGCAAAGCATTTCACTTCTGGAAAAATGCAGAAAAATGCAACTCATTTTTCTTTCTCATGTTTCTCTTGGTGTGCAATAAAAGAGTCCTCACCAGAGTTTTCCATTATACCTCCAAATATATAAGCTAAATCTCATTCTAACTGCTACTTACATTAGCTAATTTCACATTTAAATCATGTTGATGACCTCTTATCAAGGTTTTAAAAACTGCTTAAGCAATTTTTGTTTTCTTCAATGGATTGTATGCACTTAAGAATTTTTAAAACTTAATCTTAGTTCTTCAAATTTCATATTTATTTGACTAGGTATGTAAAATGATCAGGTACTCAGTGAATTAAAATCCTCTACCTGAAAAATAAAAAGGAAACTAGAGATTTAGCCTTTAAGAAATAGAAAAATTAATATAAAATGAATAAAATTATAAATATAATTATATATTCTTACAAATTAAGGTAAAATGGGGCTGGATGTGGTGGCTCATATCTGTAATTCCAGCACTTTGGGAAGCCAAGGGGGGCAGATCACTTGAGGTCAGGAGTTTGAGACCAGCCTGGTCAACATGGCAAAACCCATCTCTACTAAAAATACAAAAATTACCTGGACATGGTAGCGTGTGCCTGTAACCCCAGCTACTCAGGAGGCTGAGGCAGGGTAATTGCTTGAACCCGGGAGGTGGAGGTTGTGGTGAGCCAAGATTGTGCTACTGCACTCCAGCCTGGAAGACAGAGTAAGACTCTGTCTAAAATAAATAAATAAATAAATAAATAAATAAATAAATAAAATAAGATAAAATGAATATGAAGTACATACAGAATATTTGATACAGATATAGAATATTAGATACTATTACATAAAGACACAGAATGATAGATACAAAATGGACATTTATTTAAAAATTTTAAAAGTGACAATAAAATGCAAACTTTTAAAAGGTGATAAAGATGACAAACACTGCAAGATCTTTAGAAAAATAAAATATTGTGTTAATTAGCTGTCTGACACATTTTTAGAATACTTCATTTCTATAGGTTTAGCTGACTACTCTTTGGTTGTCTTGTCACACGACAATGATTTTTTTCCAAAATATCTAATTAAGAAGTATCTCTTTTTTCTATTGTAAGTTCTGTTTGATTCTCAGTAAATATTATGGAGTAATGATTTGGAAAAAAGTCATTAAACACTGTTGAATGAAATATGGCTCATAACAAAAGATGACAGTACTTACCAAAATAAATAATGTGGTAGAAATGCAGCTGTGTTGGCCCTCCTGCCCACCCCCCCGTTGACTGTGTGCAAATTAAGTTCTTCTTCACTGCCATGCACATCTTCTCACTCCTTTTTCACCCCCTGTTTGAAAGGACCCTGGTTCTCATAAACATCTTGATGTCTTCTGTCTTCATTTTTATTAACCATATTTTTTGGTTGTCTTGATTCTTTTTCCTATCTTCATGATTTTGAGCATCAGTTTTTAGTTTATATTGCCACACAGTAAGAGAGTTTTTGATATTTTGAAGCTTCTGCTAGCCTTCTTTCTTTCCATGTTTGTTTTTGGCTTTCCCTAGAGATACTTCTTTTGTATCTACAGTTTGTGGCATAGTGAATAATTCTTAAATATATAACATATTAGATATATATGTGTATATCATATATGTATCATAAATAACATAAGATATAATTAATATGAAATCAAAGCATACACAAGGACAGGAGTTAGCAAACGCTTTTGTAAAGGATCAGATAGTAAATATTTTTGACATTGGGGGTCTTATATTACAGTCTTTTTTTTTTTCTTTTTTTTGGAGATAGGATCTCACTTTGTCACTCAGGCTGGAGTGCAGTGGCATGATCTCAGTTCACTGCAGCCTTACTTGACCTCCCAGGCTCAGGTCATCCTCCCACCTCAGCCTCCCCAGTAGCTGGGACTACAGGTTCACACCACCACTCCCGGCTAATTTTTGTACTTTTTGTAGAAACAGGGTTTCACCATGTGGCCCAGGCTGGTCACTAACACCTGGGCTAAAGTAATCCACCCACTTGAGCCCAAGAGTTAGTGACCAGTTAGTGATCCACCTTGGCCTCCCAAAGTGCTGGGATTATGGTATGAGACATTGTGCCTGGCCACAGTCTTTTTTTCAACTACTCAACTCTGCTTTTCTAGAACAAAAGCAGTGATAAACAGTAAGTTAATAAATGGGTAGGACTGTGTTCAAATGTAATTTTTTACAAATAAAACAGTAGGCTGGATTTGGTTTCCAGGTCAGAATTTGCTAACCCTCACCCATGAGAAATGCAAATGCATTTAAAAGTGATACTTTACTGTGTTAAGCTACAGACTTACTCATATTAATTACTCTTAGCTACTCTTGTAATAACTATTTTACTGCATATATTGACTTATTGGTGAATTTTATGAATCGGGTCACTTGAACACTTTCTTTGGTTGTTTTATCACATTGCTGGAAATAATGTTTGCCATTTCATCTGGAAACACAGGATTTTAGCAGGACACAGTGCCTCTGAAATGCTAAAACATAATCTGATATATAGGAAAGCATAAAACATATGACTTCACACATACATACACACACACACAGAAAGAGAGACGGAGATGTAGGCATATTGTTTCTATTATGACAGCATGTTTCAGCCCTACATGGAAATTCAGATATATTCTATTTTATACATGTTCCAGCAAAAAAGAAAAAAATGGTATAGTGAATTTGTAGCTCATATTAGGCATCATCAAACATGTTGACGACAGGAAAGAATTTCAAATTTGAGTAGAAATCAATGAAAACAATTTTACAAGCTTGAAAATTGGAATTGCTTTCCCCCAGACTGACTTCTGGCTATCTACATTTCAAACTTTGCTACACTGCAGGGTGCAGGACAGTGGGTGCAGTGCACCGAGTGTGAGCTGAAGCAGGGTGAGGCATCGCCTCACCTGCGAAGCACAAGGGGTCAGGGAATTCCCTTTCCTAGCCAAGCGAAGCTGTGACAGACGGCACCTGGAAAATCAGGTCACTCCGACTCTAATACTGCACTTTTCCAATGGTCTTAGCAAACGGCATATCAGGAGATTATATCCCGTGCCTGGCTCGGAGAGTCCCACGCCCACGGAGCCTCGCTCATTGCTAGCACAGCAGTCTGAGATCGAACTGCAAGGCAGCAGCAAGGTTGGGGGAGGGGCGCCCCACCATTGCTGAGGCTTGAGTAGGTAAACAAAGTGGCTGGGAAGCTCGAACTGGGTGGAGCCCATCTCAGCTCAAGGAGGCCTGCCTGCGTCTATAGACTCCAACTCTGGGGGCAGGGCATAGCCAAACAAAAGGCAGCAGAAACCTCTGCAGACTTAAATGTCCCTGTCTGACAGCTTTGAAGAGAGTAGTGGTTCTCCCAGCAAGGAGTCTGAGATCTGAGAACGGACAGACTGCATCCTCAAGTGGGTCCCTGACACCCAAGTAGCCTAACTGGGAGGCACCCCCAAGTAGGGACAGACTGACACCTCACATGGCCAGGTACCCACCTGAGATGAGGCTTCCAGAGGAACTACCAGACAGCAATATTTGCTGTTCAGGAATATTCGCTGTTCAGCAATATTCGCTGTTCTGCAGCCTCTGCTGGTAATATCAGGCAAACAGGGTCCAGAGTGGACCTCCAGCAAACTCCAACAGACCTGCCGCTGAGGGTCCTCACTGTTAAAAGGAAAACTAACAAACAGAAAGGACATCCACAACAAAACCCCCATCTGTACGTAACCATCATCAAAGACCAAAGGTAAATAAAACCACAAAGATGGGGAAAAAACAGAGCAGAAAAGCTGAAAATTCTAAAAATCACAGCACCTCTCCCCCTGCAAAGGAATGCAGCTCCTCACCAGCAATAGAACAAAGCTGGATGGAGATTGACTTTGACAAGTTGAGAGAAGAAGGCTTCACATGATCAAACTTCTCCAAGCTAAAGAAGGAAGTTCGAACACATCGCAAAGAAGCTAAAAACCTTGAAAACAGATTAGACGAATGGCTAACTAGAATAACCAGTGTAGAAAAGTCCTTAAATGAACTGATGGAGCTGAAAACCATGGCACGAGAACTAAGTGATGCATCCACAAGCTTCAGTAGCCGATTCGATCAACTGGAAGAAAGGGTATCAGTAATGGAAGATGAAATGAATGAAATGAATTGAGAAGTTTAGAGAAAAAAGAGTAAAAGGAAATGAACAAAGCCTCCAAGAAATATGAGACTATGTGAAAAGACCAAATCTACGTCTCATTGGTGTACCTGAAAGTGACGGGGAGAATGGAACCAAGTTGGAAAGCACTCTGCAGAATATTATCCAGGAGAACTTCCCCAATCTAGCAAGGCAGGCCAACATTCAAATTCAGGAAATACAGAGAATGCCACAAAGATACTCCTCGAGAAGAGCAACTCCAAGACACATAGTTGTCAGATTCACCAAAGTTGAAATGAAGGAAAAAATGTTAAGGGTAGCCAGAGACAAACATCGGGTTACCCACAAAGGGAAGCCCATCAGACTAATAGCGGATATCTCTGCAGAAACTCTACAACCCAGAAGAGAGTGGGGGCCAATATTGAACATTCTTAAAGAAAAGGATTTTCAACCCAGAATTTCATATCCAGCCAAACTAAGCTTCATAAGTGAAGGAGAAATAAAATACTTTACATATAAGCAAATGCTGAGAGATTTTGTCACCACCAGTCCTGCCCTAAAAGAGCTCCTGAAGGAAGCACTAAACATGGAAAGGAACAACCGGTACCAGCCACTGCAAAAACATGCCAAATTGTAAAGACCATCAAGGCTAGGAAGAAACTGCATCAACTAACGAGCAAAATAACCAGGTGACATCATAATGATAGGATCAAATTCACACATAACAATATTAACCTTAAATGTAAATGGGCTAAGTGCTCCAATTAAAAGACACAGACTGGCAAATTGGAAAAAGAGTCAAGACCCATCAGTGTGCTGTATTCAGGAGACCCATCTCATGTGCAGAGACACACATAGGCTCAAAATAAGGGATGGAGGAAGATCTACCAAGCACATGGAAAACAAAAACAGTCACAGGTTGCAACCCTAGTCTCTGATAAAACAGACTTTAAACCAACAAAGACCAAAAGAGACAAAGAAGGCCATTACATAATGGTAAAGGGATCAATTCAACAAGAAAAGCTAACTATCCTAAATATATATGCACCCAATACAGGAGCACCCAGATTCATAAAACAAGTCCTTAGAGACCTACAAACAGACTAAGACTCCCACACAATAATAATGGGAGACTTTAACACCCCACTGTCAACATTAGACAGATCCATGAGACAGAAAGTTAACAAGGATACCCAGGAAGTGAACTCAGCTCTGCACCAAGCAGACCTAATAGACATCTACAGAACTCTCCACCCCAAATCAAAAGAATATACATTCTTCTCAGCACCACATCACACCTATTCCAAAATTGACCACATAGTTGGAAGTAAAGCTCTCCTCAGCAAATGTAAAAGAACAGAAATTATGACAAACTGTCTCTCAGACCGCAGTGCAATCAAACTAGAACTCAGGATTAAGAAACTCACCCAAAACCGCTCAACTACATGGAAACTGAACAACCTGCTCCTGAATGACTACTGAGTACATAACAAAATGAAGGCAGAAATAAAGATGTTCTTTGAAACCAATAAGAACAAAGACACAACATACCAGAATCTCTGTGACACATTCAAAGCAGTGTGTAGAGGGAAATTTATAGCACTAAATGCCCACAAGAGAAAGCAGGAAAGATCTAAAATTGACACCCTAACATCACAATTAAAAGAACTAGAGAAGCAAGAGCAAACACATTCAAAAGCTAGCAGAAGGCAAGAAATAACTAAGATCAGAGCAGAACTGAAGGAAATAGCGACACAAAAAACCCTTCAAAAAATCAATGAATCCAGAGGCTGGTTTTTTGAAAAGATCAACAAATTGATAGACCGCTAGCAAGACTAATAAAGAAGAAAAGAGAGAAGAATCAAATAGATGCAATAAAAAATGACAAAGGGGATATCACCACCGATCCCACATAAATACAAACTACCATCAGAGAATACTATAAACACCTCTACACAAATAAACTAGAAAATCTAGAAAAAAATGGATAAATTCCTGGACACATACACCCTCCCAAGACTAAATCAGGAAGAAGTTGAATCTCTGAAAAGACCAAAAACAGACTCTGATATTGAGGCAATAATAATAGCTTACCAACCAAAAAAAGTCCAGGACCAGACGCATTCACAGCCGAATTCTACCAGAGGTACAAGGAGGAGCTGGTACCATTCCTTCTGAAAATATTCCAATCAATAGAAAAAGAGGGCATCCTCCCTAACTCATTTTATGAGGCCAGCATCATCCTGATACCAAAGCCTGGCAGAGACACAACAAAAAAAGAGAATTTTACACCAATATCCTTGATGAACACTGATGCAAAAATCCTCAATAAAATGCTGGCAAACCGAATCAAGCAGCACATCAAAAAGCTTATCCACCATGATCAAGTGGGCTTCATCCCTGGGATGCAAGGCTGGTTCAACATATGAAAATCAATAAACGTAATCCAGCATATAAACAGAATCAAAGACAAAAACCACATGATTATCTCAATAGATGCAGAAAAGGCCTTTGACAGAATTCAACAACCCTTCATGCTAAAAACTCTCAATAAATTAGGTATTGATGGGACGTATCTCAAAATAATAAGAGCTATGTATGACAAACCCACAGCCAATATCATACCGAATGGACAAAAACTGGAAGCATTCCCTTTGAAAACTGGCACAAGACAGAGGGATGCCCTCTCTCACCACTCCTATTCAACATAGTGTTGGAAGTTCTAGCCATGGCAATCAGGCAGGAGAAGGAAATAAAGGGCATTCAATTAGGAAAAGAGGAAGTCAAATTGTCCCTGTTAGCAGATGACATGATTGTATATCTAGAAAACCCCATCGTCTCAGACCAAAATCTCCTTAAGCTCATAAACAACTTCAGAAAAGTCTCAGGATACAAAATCAATGTGCAAAAATCACAGGCATTCTTATACACCAATAACAAACGGAGAGCCAAATCATCAGTGAACTCCCATTCACAATTGCTTCAAAGAGAATAAAATACCTAGGAATTCAACTGACAAGGGATGTGAAGGACCTCTTCAAGGAGAACTACAAACCACTGCTCAATGAAATAAAAGAGGATACAAACAAATGGAAGAACATTCCATGCTCATGGGTGGGAAGAATCGATATCGTGAAAACGGCCACACTGCCGAAGGTAATTTATAGATTCAATGCCATCCCCATCGAGCTACCAATGACTTTCCTCACAGAAATGGAAAAAACTACTTTAAAGTTCATATGGAACCAAAAAAGAGCCTGCATCACCAAGTCAATCCTAAGCCAAAAGAACAAAGCTGGAGGCATCATGCTACCTGACTTCAAACTATACTACAAGGCTACAGTAACCAAAATAGCATGGTATTGGTACCAAAACAGAGATATAGACCAATGGAACAGAACAGAGCCCTCAGAAATAATGCTGCATATCTACAACTTTCTGATCTTTGACAAACCTGAGAAAAACAAGAAATGGGGAAAGGATTCCCTATTTAATAAATGGTGCTGGGAAAACGGGCTAGCCATATGTAGAAAGCTGAAACTGGATGCCTTCCTTACACCTTACACATAAATTAATTCAAGATGGATTAAAGACTTAAATGCTAGACCTAAAACCATAAAAGCCCTAGAAGAAAACCTAGGCAATACCATTCAGGACATAGGCATGGGCAAGGACGTCATGTCTAAAACACCAAGAGCAATGGCAACAAAAGCCAAAATAGACAAATGAGATCTAATTAAAGAGCTTCTGCACAGCAAAAGAAACTACCATCAGAGTCAACAGGCAACCTACTGAATGGGAGAAAATTTTTGCAACCCACTCATCTGACAAAGGGCTAATATCCACAATCTACAATGAACTCAAACAAATTTACAAGAAAAAAACAAACAACCCCATCAGAAAGTGGGCGAAGGACATGAACAGACACTTCTCAAAAGAAGACATTTATGCAGCCAAAAAACACATGAAAAAATGCTCACCATCACTGGCCATCAGAGAAATGCAAATCAAAACCACAATGAGATACCATCTCACACCAGTTAGAATGGCAATCATTAAAAAGTCAGGAAACAACAGGTGCTGGAGAGGATGTGGAGAAATAGAAACACTTTCACACTGTTGGTGGGACTGTAAACTAGTTCAACCATTGTGGAAATCAGTGTGGCGATTCCTTAAGGATCTAGAACTAGAAATGCCATTTGACCCAGCCATCCCATTACTGGGTATATACCCAAAGGATTATAAATCATGCTGCTATAAAGACACATGCACACATATGTTTATTGCAGCACTATTCACAATAGCAAAGACTTCGAACCAAGCCAAATGTCCAAAAGTGATAGACTGGATTAAGAAAATGTGGCACATATACACCATGGAATACTATACACCATGGAATACTATACAGCCATAAAAAATGATGAGTTCATGTCCTTTGTAGGGACATGGATGAAGCTGGAAACCATCATTCTCAGCAAACTATTGCAAGGACAAAAAACCAAACACCGCATGTTCTCACTCATAGGTGGGAACTGAACAATGAGAACACATGGACACAGGAAGGGGAACATCACACACCAGGGAGTGTTGTGGCGTAGGGGGAGAGAGGAGGGATAGCATTAGGAGATATACCTAATGCTAAATGACGAGTTAATGGGTGCAGCACACCATCATGGCACATGTATACATATGTAACAAACCTGCACATTGTGCACATGTACCCTAAAACTTAAAGTATAATAATAAAAAATAAATAAATAAAATAAAATAGGAAATCTGCGGCTTAGAGACATCAAATAATCCCCATATGTTTACAATTTAAGAAATATATTTCTATATAATCCATAGGCTCAAGAAATCATAATAAAATTAGAATATATATTTCAAACTGATTTATAATAAAAACACAGCACATCAAAATTTGTTGGAGGCTACTAAAGCTGTGCTAAGGGGAAAATGTATAGCCTTATCATATATATATTATATATATATTAGAATAGACACAATTTTGATAATCAATGATCTAAGCATTTATCTCACAAGCTTCAAAGAAAACTAGCAAATTAAAGTCAAAGAAAACAGAATGAATGAAATAATGCAAATAAATAAAAAACAAATATACATACGTAGATCAACAAAGCCTAAGGCTGGTTCTTTGCAGAAAATAAACAATTTGCCTAAATGACAGAGCTGAGACGCCAGTTCAAAGAGCTGTTTGACTCTCTAGGCTAAGCTCTGAAGCCTTAAAGAGCTGCTTATAACCTCCATCTGGTCCTCAGGTCACTGAGTGTATGATCTTAATAAAAGCAAATCTGAGCATTTTATAGAAGGCAGGACCCAAAATATAAGCAAAGCCTGCTTTCACAAATGGATTTCAACACTGAAATCATTCGTATTATTGCAACATATTTGCAAAGCTTTTTTTGAAGCCCACATCTTTTCTATTTTAAAATAACTTTCCCTTAGATTATAGGGGGAAAATCTGAAAAAATAGCTGCTTGCTGCTTGTGTAAAATAAGATTTCATTTTTATATTAAACAAGAAACTATTAGATTGATATTATATACAAAAAGGAAGAGGATCTACAGGATCATTAAAATTACTTGGAAAACAAAAATACTGTCTTATAGTTACTATGAACATCCTAGGTGGCAAGAGTTATATATACTTACCTAAAATATTCCCCAAAGCCCTTATGTAATACTATGCTCTCTGTGATATTGAACAAATAGTAATTCAATCACTCACTGCACTGGTTTTTCCATTTTCTTTAGGATGTTTACTTCACTATTTGAGCTGTAGATCGCAGGTCAGCTCTTAATCCAAGGCAGTTCTTAATCTCAAAATATAGTCTCAAAACCAGCAACATCAGCATCACCTGGGAACTGGTTAGACATGCACATTCTCAGGCTTCACCCCAGACTTGACTCTGACACCCTGGAGGTGGATCCCAGCAATGTGTGTCTTAACGAGCAATTCCAGGTGATCCTCCAGTGCTGAAGCTTGAGAACCTCTACGCCAAGATAAGTGGGTAAGACTTCAGAAGCATCTGAAAATTTTACTTGCAATAGTAGCTATAGGAAGCTTACGGGGTTCTGCACATCCACAAAGTGTTGGCAGCTTATATGGAGTTCTTAATGGCACTGCCTAAAGCAAGAGACTAATTATCAAATAAGGAACTTCCATGGCTCTCACAAAAGAGAGGTTCTACATTGCAAAAACGGGCCACAAACAGCACTTCCCAGCACACTGCAAGAAATGACAAGAAATTTAATGAGCTTATAACACCAGGATATATTTGCCTAAACATTTGATCGTTCCCCAGGGTAGAGTTGCCCTGCCCCCAAAACAGGATAGTAGCAAGAAAATAGGAGTGAACAAGTACAAGCAATGAGCCACTGTTTCAAGAACATCCAATTAGAAAACGACTTGATAGAATGAAAATAAGATGCACCTGCACTTTATCACCAATTATTCCAAGGTAACAAGGATTATATTTACTCATTTATATTTTTCCATGCCTTATTCCTACCTCTATTTTGAGAAGTAAATGAGGAAAAATGTTTCCCCTGGGTTTCCGTACACTCACAGTTCTCAACCTTGTAACAATGGTCCCAGCGACCAGGAGAGGTTCCTAGAGAGTCAGCCTCCTAATGAAATGGAACAGAACACTTGCCTTCCCAACTTTTGTTTCGTTTTTGCTTTTTAACTTTTTTTAAAAATGTAGTTTGGATGGGCGCGGTGGCTCACGCCTGTAATCCCAGTACTTTGGGAGGCCAAGGAGGGCAGATCACCTTAGGTCAGGAGTTCGTGACCATCCTGGCCAACATGGTGAAATCCCGTCTCTACTAAAAATACAAAAATTAACCGGGTGTGGTGGCGGGCACCTGTAATCCCAGCTACTCAGGAGGCTGAGGCAGGAGAATCACTTGAACCTGGGAGGGAGGATGCAGTGAGCCGAGATCGCACCAGTGCACTCCAGCCTGGGTGACAGAGCAAGACTCCGTCTCAAAACAAAAAAACGTAGTTTTCCCTTTCCAAACCAGAAAAAGGTGAAACTTAAGTTGAGGTAAAGAGTGCCCAATGGAGCATCACTTATGATTGGAGGGGCGGGTGGGGGCGAAGAGGAAATGTGTGGGCATTTTATGGCCATTTCTTTCCTCTTCTTACTTGATTTCTCCTACCAGCTTACACTGCATACAGGTTATTGCACCATTAAGTGGAATGTTCTAAAGGTCAAGGTTCTATGCTCCCTGCTGGGAGAGTGTGGAGCAATGAACTGAGGTGTACAACCCTCTCTAGTGTACCCTATATCGAAGCAAAGAGACTATCTCTGTACCTGAAACTTGAAAGAATAAAAATCTCTCTTTTATAATTATTATGTACTCGACTTAAAATTACAAACGTAATATATGCTCACCTTAACTAATAAAAGAATCCAAAGACACTTCTATAATGTCAGTAATGCTTAATGTAAAAGATTTTTAATGGGCAATTGTGGGGAAATGCTACATTGTGTATATTTTGGTGGCAAACTGTGCTCTGCTACCTAACAGATTCACACACCCCCATCCACTGACATCTGGTGCATGGCACATAAGCTTGGCTTGCACGAACACTCCCACCTGGGATGACTGCATCTAAAGGAAGTGGTACAACACTCCATTGCCAATTGGTGCTAGTGAGGATAAAGTCTAATGGTGGCCATGCCAGTGAGACATGCTACACCAGATTGCTTTGTGGTGTGACCTGAACTGTGTCACCTACTGCCAAGATTCATGCCAAATTTCTGAGCCTAGATCTTCAGTCTCAGTCTTCCAATCAGTTCTGTGATCCCCATTAGGCCCATTCTTTGGAATATTCTCAATTGTGTGAATTTTTTTTTCCTTTAATGGTAGATTTGAGTTTTGAAACAGACAAAAGGCATTTGGAAACAAGCAATGATGCTAATTAATACTTTATGTGGACACATACACACAGAAATAAGACATGATTATAAAGTTTTGACACTGGTTTTCCTGCCTGAAAAAGACAAATAATGCCAAAAATGTTTTGCACAATGGAAACATTGTTAAAATGAGTGCATTTTAACATTTCTTAATCTCACTCTTTAAAATAATGGAATTAATTTGAATGTTTACTTATATATTTACAGATTAAAAGCAGTCTCATTACTGCCTGCCTTGTGTGCCTCATACGTGAGCCCAGACATAACAGGACTTCACAGAGTCCCTGGGAATACTTTATAATTAATAAGAAAAATTATAACTTATAAAAATTATTTGGGCTTGCAGATCCATAATTTAATTACTTTAAACCTAGAAAATACAACTCTATGCTAGACATGGTGGCTCATCCCTCTAACCCCAGCACATTGAGAGGCTGAGATGGGCAGATGGCTTGAGTCAAGGAGTGCAAGGCCAGCCTGGACAACATGATAAAACTCCATCTCTACAAAAAAAAAAAAAAAAAAATTAGCCAGGCATGGTGGTGCATGCCTGTAGTCCCAGCTACTCCGAAGGCTGGGGTGGGAGGAGCCCTTGAGCTCCTTTGGCAAAGGCTGCAATAGGCCATGATCAGGCCATTGCACTACAGCCTGGGTGACAGAGCTGTTTTAGGTTGCTGTGCACTTTTGATTTTGATACTCATATATCTGTCCATTTGTAAGTTTCTAGTACACAGTAGGCACTGAACATCAATTTTTCTTTTTCATTATATACCATTAACTCGGTACGATTTTTTTTCTCCTGTGATTTTCTTGGGGTGTCAGCTTTATTAAGATGTATTTTACATACCATGCAACTCACCCAATTAAGTGCACAATTCAGTGGCTTTTCATATATTCATAGAGCTGTTCAACCAACACAACTGTGATTTAAGAGGCATTGCCAAAGGAAGAAGGGACAGGAGAAGAACTCCTTCCCAAATTATGTACAAACCCATATTGTGGTTATTTTGCCTGACCCATTGTAGATAGCTTTGAGGTGGCAAATTCATTCACCCTACATTAAGGTGGCAGGAGAGAAAAGAGAAGGAAAGACAAAAAAAAAAAAAAAAAGCTAGTTATGTTTGCTAGTCCAAGCTTCTGAGCAAGCCTCTACCCTGCTGGGCAATAAAAAAGTTGAGATTTTTCAATTAACAAAACTTAATACACCAGATGCCTTCTTATCTGATGAAATCAAGACATATTTAATTAAAAAGTCAAAGTGAGAAATAAAGTATATAACACAAATACTATATTTTCATTTAAACTAAATGTATATACATTTAATAAAAATGAGTTCAAGTTGTTAAGATGATAGATTTTTTTCACAGCATAGTCCTTCCACCTTTTTAATTATATTCTTGACAGTTGATTCCATCTGATGTTTAATATATGGTAATATTTAGGTAGTTATTGGCCACTTTTGGCTCTAGATTTGATTATATCTCTTCATTGTTTTCTGTTTTCCAAATTGAGATCAATAAGTTTAATTCAGAGTATATATTATTCTGCATTATTCATAATTTTCTAGTAAATCAAATTAAATATTCTATTGTTTGATGTCTTATAAATCATTAGTGCTGTCAATTTTCTGAGAACGATTAACAAATTATGTTCATGATTAGTCTTAAAATTCAGGATTTCCTATAACAGAATTTAGCAAAATTTTTCTGTAAAAGGCCAGATAATAAATATTTTAGGCCTTATGGGCCATATGATCATAGTTGCAACTACTCAATTCTGCTATAGCAGAACAAAACCCATAGACAAGACATAATCAATGAGTGTGTCTATGTTCCAATAAAACGTTCTTACAAGTGCATTTGACCCATGGGGCCATAGTCTGTCAACTCTTGTTTTATAGTATTATCAGCCCCAGGCCATCCCTTTTTTCAAGATGTAGTACATGTTCACTGAGGACTTTCATTTGTCAAAGTATAATTTTAAAAACCTGACTCTCATATAAAATAAAGTAAGCATGTATCAAAGATTTATTTAACTCATTATTATGGGAACCAATAAAATAGAAAAGGTGAGAAAAAAGAATACAGCAGAAGCAGAAGTATTTATAGTTATTGAAAAAAGATGACTGAATAAAAAATGCTAAAAGAGATATAAAACTGGTTAATGTCTTGCATTAACTATATCCCCTGGAGTGTTCTTTTCTACTGGGAAGAATTTATTTGCACCACTCTCAGTTTTCATAAGTCACCATCTATGCATAGAGTTGTAAATATCCCAATCAATAGCGTTAAATCAAAGTTAACAGCCTTAAATAATTAAATCATCAATGATGGATCTGTTGCACATTTCTCCAATATGGCTATTTCCAAGTTTAGGAAATCTTTTTCTTAACACATTTCACTCCAGTACTGCACTGTGAATAGTGACCTTTGATGTTAGTCTTTTCTTACATTACTATAAAGAACTACCTGAGACTGAGCAATTTACAAGGAAATGAGTTTTTTGTTTGTTTGTTTGATTTCTTCTAAAAAATGGGATACATGTGCAGAATGTCCAGGTTCCTTACATAGGTACACATGTGCCATGGTGGTTTGCTGCACCTATTGACCTATCCTCTAAGTTCCCTCCCCTCACCCCCCACATCCCAACAGGCCTGGATGTGTGTTTTTCCGCTCTCTGTGTCCATGTGTTCTCATTGTTCAACTCCCACTTATGAGTGAGAACATGCGATATTTGGTTTTCTGTTCCTGTGTTAGTTTGGTGAGGATTATGCCTTCTAGCTTCATCCATGTCCCTGCAAAGGACATGATCTCATTCATTTTTATGGCTGCATAGTATTCCATGGTGTATGTGTACCACATTTTCTTTATCCAGTCTATCATTGATGGGCATTTAGGTTGGTTCCATGTCTCTGCTATTGTAAATAGTGTTGCAATAAACATACGTATGCATGTGTCTTTATAGTAGAATGATTTATAATCCTTTGGGTATATACCCAGTAATGAGATTGCTGGATCAAATGGTATAAGAAGAAAGTTTTAATTGACTCACAGTCCTGCAGGCTGTACAGGAAGCATGGCTGGGAGGCCTCAGGAAACTTATAATCATGGCAGAGGTAAAGGGGAAGCAAGCATGTCTTACCATAGTGGAGCAGGAGAGTGAGCAAAGGGGGAAGTGCTACATACTTTTAAACAACCAGGTCTCATGAGAATGGCAAGGGGGAAATCAGCCCCCATGATCTAATTACCTCCCACAAGGCCCCACCTCCAACACTTAAGATCACAATTAAACATGAGATTTGGGTGGGGACACAAAGCCAAACCATATAATTCTGTCCTGGCCCCTCCCAAATCACATATCCTTCTTATATTTCAAAACACAATTATGCCTTCCCAACAGTCTTAACTCATTCTAGCATTAACTCAAAAGTGTAGGTCCAAAGTCTCATCTTTTATGAGAGACAAAGATGAGACTCTTTGAAGAGACAAGGCAAGTCCCTTCTGCCTATAAGCCTGTAAAATCAAAAACAAGTTAGTTACTTCCAAGATACAATGAGAGTACAGGCATTGAGTAAGTTCTCCCATTCCAAAAGAAAGAAATTGACCAAAACAAAGGGGCTACAGGCTCCATGTAAGTCCAAAACCCAGCAGGGGAGTCATTAAATCTCAAAGCTTCAAAATTATCTCCTTTGACTTCATGTCTCACATCCAGGTTATACTGATGCAAGCAGTGGGCTCAAGTCCTTGGGCAGCTCCACCCCTGTGGCTCTGCATAATACAGCCCCCATGGCTGCTTTCACAGGCTGGTGTTGAGTGCCTACAGCTTTTCCAGGCACACAGAGCAAGCTGTCAGTGGATCTGCCATTCTGAGGTCTGAAGTATGGTGGCCCCGTTCTCACAGCTCCATTAGGCAGTGCCCTAGGAGGGACTCTGTGTGGGGGCTCCAACCCCACATTTCCCATTTCCCCTCTGCACTGCCCTAGAAGAGGGTCTCCATGAGGGCTCCACCCCTGCAGCACACTTCTGCCTGGACATCCAGGAGTTTCCATACATCCTCTGAAATCTAGGCAAAGGTTCCCAAACCTCAACGCTTACCTTTTGCACACTCACAGGCCCAATACACTTGGAAGCCACCAAGGCTTGGAGCTTGCACTCTCTGAAGAAACAGCCCAAGCTATACCTTGGCCCCTTTTAGCCACAGCTGGAACTGGAGCAGCTGCGATGCAGGGCACCATGTCCCAAGGCTGCAGAGAGCAGCGGGGTCTTGGGCCTGGTCCATGAAACCATTTTTCCCTGCTAGACCTCCAGGACTATGATTGGAGGGGCTGCCACAAAGGCCTCTGAAATGCCTTGGAGGCATTTTCCCCATTGTTTTTGCTATTAACATTCGACTCCTTGTTACTTATGCTTATTTCTGCAGCCCTGAATTCCTCCCTAGAAAATTGTTTTTCTTTTCTACTGCATGGTCTGGCTGAAAATTTTCCAAACTTTTATGCTCTGCTTCCCTTTTAAATACAAGTTCTAGTTTCAGGTCATTTCTTTGTTTATGCAAATGAATTAGGCTTTTAGAGGCAGTCAGGCCATCTCTTGAATGCTTTGCTGCTTAGAAATTTCTTCCACCAGATACCCTAAATTATCTCTCTCAAGTTCAAAATTCCACAGATCTTTACATATGTATTTATTTTTATATGTAAAACTTCTTTTTTTTTTATTTTACTTTATTATTATACTTTAAGTTTTAGGGTACATGTGCATAATGTGCAGGTTAGTTACATATGTATACATGTGCCATGCTGGTGTGCTGCACCTATTAACTCATCATTTAGCATTAGGTATATCTCCTAAAGCTATCCCTCCCCCATCCCTCCACCCCACAACAGTCCCCAGAGTGTGATGTTCCCCTTTCTGTGTTCATGTGTTCTCATTGTTCAATTCCCACCTATGAGTTAGAATATGCGGTGTTTGGTTTTTCGTTCTTGTGATAGTTTACTGAGAATGATGATTTCCAATTTCATCCATGTCCCTACAAAGGACATGAACTCATCATTTTTTGTGGCTGCATAGTATTCCATGGTATATATGTGCCACGTTTTCTTAATCCAGTCTATCATTGTTGGACATTTGGGTTGGTTCCAAGTCTTTGCTATTGTGAATAGTGCTGCAATAAACATACATGTGCATGTGTCTTTATAGCAGCATGATTTATAATCCTTTGGGTATATACCCAGTAATGGGATGGCTGGGTCAAATGGTATTTCTAGTTCTAGATCCCTGAAGAATCGCCACACTGACTTCCACAATGGTTGAACTAGTTTACAGTGCCACCAACAGTATAAAACTTTTCCTATTTCTCCACATCCTCCCCAGCACCTGTTGTTTCCTGACTTTTTAATGATCGCCATTCTAACTGGTGTGAGATGGTATCTCATTGTGGTTTTGATTTGCATTTCTCTGATGGCCAGTGATGGTGAGCATTTTTTCATGTGTTTTTTGGCTGCATAAATGTCTTCTTTTGAGAAGTGTCTGTTCATGTCCTTCACCCACTTTTTGATGGGGTCGCTTGTTTTTTTCTTGTAAATTTGTTTGAGTTCATTGTAGATACTGGATATTAGCCCTTTGTCAGATGAGTAGGTTGCAAAAATTTTCTCCCATTTTGTAGGTTGCCTGTTGACTCTGATGGTAGTTTCTTTTGCTGTGCAGAAGCTCTTTAGTTTAATTAGATCCCATTTGTCAATTTTGGCTTTTGTTTTTGATGGGGTCGCTTGTTTTTTTCTTGTAAATTTGTTTGAGTTCATTGTAGATTCTGGATATTAGCCCTTTGTCAGATGAGTAGGTTGCAAAAATTTTCTCCCATTTTGTAGGTTGCCTGTTGACTCTGATGGTAGTTTCTTTTGCTGTGCAGAAGCTCTTTAGTTTAATTAGATCCCATTTGTCAATTTTGGCTTTTGTTTTTGATGGGGTCGCTTGTTTTTTTCTTGTAAATTTGTTTGAGTTCATTGTAGATTCTGGATATTAGCCCTTTGTCAGATGAGTAGGTTGCAAAAATTTTCTCCCATTTTGTAGGTTGCCTGTTGACTCTGATGGTAGTTTCTTTTGCTGTGCAGAAGCTCTTTAGTTTAATTAGATCCCATTTGTCAATTTTGGCTTTTGTTGCCATTGCTTTTGGTGTTTTAGACATGAAGTCCTTGCCCATGCCTATGTCCTGAATGGTAATGCCTAGGTTTTCTTCTAGGATTTTTATGGTTTTAGGTCTAGCATTTAAGTCTTTAATCCATCTTGAATTAATTTTTGTATAAGCTGTAAGGAAGGGATCCAGTTTCAGCTTTCTACATATGGTTAGCCAGTTTTCCCAGCACCATTTATTAAATAGGGAATCCTTTCCCCATTGCTTGTTTTTCTCAGGTTTGTCAAAGATCAGATACTTGTAGATATGTGGCATTATTTCTGAGGGCTCTGTTCTGTTCCATTGATCTATATCTCTGTTTTGGTACCAGTACCATGCTGTTTTGGTTACTGTAGCCTTGTAGTATAGTTTGAAGTCAGGTACCGTGATGCCTCCAGCTTTGTTCTTTTGGCTTAGGATTGACTTGGCAATGCGGGCTCTTTTTTGGTTCCACATGAACTTTAAAGTAGTTTTTTCCAATTCTGTGAAGAAAGTCATTGGTAGCTTGATGGGGATGGCACTGAATCTATAAATTACCTTGGGCAGTATAGCCATTTTCATGATATTGATTCTTCCTACCCATGAGCATGGAATGTTCCTCCATTTGTTTGTATCCTCTTTTATTTCATTGAGCAGTGGTTTATAGTTCTCCTTGAAGAGGTCCTTCACGTCCCTTGTAAGTTGGATTCCTAGGTATTTTATTCTCTTTGAAGCAATTGTGAATGGGAGTTCACTCATGATTTGGCTCTCTGTTTGTCTGTTATTTGTGTATAAGAATGCTTGTGACTTTTGTACATTGATTTTGTATCCTGAGACTTTGCTGAAGTTGCTTATGAGCTTAAGGAGATTTTGGGCTGAGACAATGGGGTTTTCTAGATATACAATCATGTCATCTGCAAACAGGGACAATTTGACTTCCTCTTTTCCTAATTGAATACCCTTTATTTCCTTCTCCTGCCTAATTGCCCTGGCCAGAACTTCCAACACTATGTTGACTAGGAGTGGTGAGAGAGGGCATCCCTGTCTTGTGCCAGTTTTCAAAGGGAATGCTTCCAGTTTTTGCCCATTCAGTATGATATTGGCTGTGGGTTTGTCATAGATAGCTCTTATTATTTTGAGATACGTCCCATCAATACCTAATTTATTGAGAGTTTTTAGCATGAAGGGTTGTTGAATTCTATCAAAGGCCTTTTCTGCATCTATTGAGATAATCATGTGGTTTTTGTCTTTGGTTCTGTTTATATGCTGGATTACATTTATTGATTTGCATATATTGAACCAGCCTTGCATCCCAGGGATGAAGCCCACTTGATCATGGTGGATAAGCTTTTTGATGTGCTGCTGGATTTGGTTTGCCAGTACTTTATTGAGGATTTTTGCATCAATGTTCATCAAGGATATTGGTCTAAAATTCTCTTTTTGGTTGTGTCTCTGCCAGGCTTTGGTATCAGGATGATGCTGGCCTCATCAAATGAGTTAGGGAGGATTCCCTCTTTTTCTATTGATTGGAATAGTTTCAGAAGGAATGGTACCAGTTCCTCCTTGTACCTCTGGTAGAATTCGGCTGTGAATTCATCTGGTCCTGGACTTTTTTTGGTTGGTAAGCTATTGATTATCGCCACAATTTCAGATCCTGTTATTGGTCTATTCAGAGAGTCAACTTCTTCCTGGTTTAGTCTTGGGAGGGTGTATGTGTCCAGGAATTTATCCATTTCTTCTAGATTTTCTAGTTTATTTGTGTAGAGGTGTTTGTAGTATCCTCTGATGGTAATTTGTATTTATGTGGGATTGGTGGTGATATCCCCTTTATCATTTTTTATTGCATCTATTTGATACTTCTCTCTTTTCTTCTTTATTAGTCTTGCTAGCGGTCTATCAATTTTGTTGATCTCTTCAAAAAACCAGCTCCTGGATTCATTAATTTTTTGAAGGGTTTTTTGTGTCTCTATTTCCTTCAGGTCTGCTCTGATCTTAGTTATTTCTTGCCTTCTGCTAGCTTTTGAATGTGTTTGCTCTTGCTTTTCTAGTTCTTTTAATTGTGATGTTAGGGTGTAAATTTTGGATCTTTCCTGCTTTCTCTTGTGGGCATTTAGTGCTATAAATTTCCCTCTACACACTGCTTTGAATGTGTCACAGAGATTCTGGTATGTTGTGTCTTTGTTCTCATTGGTATCAAATAACATCTTTATTTCTGCTTTCATTTCGTTATGTACCCAGTAGTCATTCAGGAGCAGGTTGCTCAGTTTCCATGTAGTTGAGCAGTTTTGAGTGAGTTTCTTAATCCTGAGTTCTAGTTTGATTGCACTGTGGTCTGAGAGACAGTTTGTTATAATTTCTGATCTTTTACATTTGCTGAGGAGAGCTTTACTTCCAACTATGTGGTCAATTTTGGAATAGGTGTGGTGTGGTGCTGAAAAAAAAAATGTATATTCTTTTGATTTGGGGTGGAGAGTTCTGTAGATGTCTATTGGGTCCGCTTGGTGCAGAGCTGAGTTCAATTCCTGGACATCCTTGTTAATTTTCTGTCTCATGGATCTGTCTAATGTTGACAGTGGGGTGTTAAAGTCTCCCATTATTATTGTGTGGGAGTCTAAGTCTCTTTGTAGGTCACTCAGGACTTGCTTTATGAATCTGGCTGCTCCTGTATTGGGTGCATATATATTTAGGATAGTTAGCTCTTCTGGTAGAATTGATCCCTTTGACATTATGTAATGGCCTTCTTTGTCTCTTCTGATCTTTGTTGGTTTAAAGTCTGTTTTATCAGAGACTAGGATTGCAACTCTTGCTTTTTTTTGCTTTCCATTTGCTTGGTAGATCTTCCTCCATCCCTTTATTTTGAGCCTACGTGTGTCTTTGCACATGAGATGGGTCTCCTGAATACAGCACACTGATGAGTCTTGACTCTTTATCCAATTTGCCAGTCTGTGTCTTTTAATTGGAGCATTTAGTCCATTTCCATTTAAGGTTAATATTGTTATGTGTGAATTCGATCCTGTCATTATGATGTTAGCTGGTTATTTTGCTTGTTAGTTGATGCAGTTTCTTCCTAGCCTTGATGGTCTTTACAATTTGGCATGATTTTGCAGTGGCTGGTACCGGTTGTTTCTCTCCATGTTTAGTGCTTCCTTCAGGAGCTCTTTTAGGGCAGGCCTGGTGGTGATGAAATCTCTCAGCATTTGCTTGTCTGTAAAGTATTTTATTTCTCCTTCACTTATGAAGCTTAGTTTGGCTGGATATGAAATTCTGGGTTGAAAATTCTTTTCTTTAAGAATGTTGAATATTTGTCCCCACTCTCTTCTGGCTTGTAGAGTTTCTGCCGAGAGATCTGCTGTTAGTCTGATGGGCTTCCCTTTGTGGGTAACCCAACCTTTCTCTCTGGCTGCCGTTAACATTTTCTCCTTCATTTCAACTTTGGTGAATCTGACAATTATGTCTTGGAGTTGCTCTTCTCGAGGAGTATCTTTGTGGCGTTCTCTGCATTTCCCAAATTTGAGTGTTGGCCTGCCTTGCTAGATTGGGGAAGTTCTCCTGGATAATATCCTGCAGAATGTTTTCCAACTTGGTTCCATTCTCCCTGTCACTTTCAGGTACACCAATCAGACGTAGATTTGGTCTTTTCACATAGTCCCATATTTCTTGGAGGCTTTGTTCATTTCTTTTTATTCTTTTTTCTCCAAACTTCCCTTCTCACTTCATTTCATTATTTCATCTTCCATCACTGATACCCTTTCTTCCAGTTGATAGCATAGGCTCCTGAGGCTTCTGCATTCTTCACGTAGTTCTCGAGCCTTGGCTTTCAGCTCCATCAGCTCCTTTAAGCACTTCTCTGTATTGGTTATTCTAGTTATACATTCGTCTAAATTTTTTTCAAAGTTTTCAACTTCTTTGCCTTTGGTTTGAATTTCCTCCTGTAGCTCAGAGTAGTTTGATCGTCTGAAGCCTTCTTCTCTCAACTCGTCAAAGTCATTCTCCATACAGCTTTGTTCCGTTGCTGGTGAGGAGCTGTGTTCCTTTGGAGGAGGAGAGGCGCTCTGCTTTTTAGAGTTTCCTGTTTTTCTGCTCTGTTTTTTCCCCATCTTTGTGGTTTTATCTACTTTTGGTCTTTGATGATGGTGATGTACAGATGGGTTTTTGGTGTGGATGTCCTTTCTGTTTGTTAGTTTTCCTTCTAACAGACAGGACCCTCAGTTGCAGGTCTGTTGGAGTCTGCTAGAGGTCCACTCCAGACCCTGTTTACCTGGGTACCAGCAGTGGTGGCTGCAGAACAGCGGATTTTTGTGAACTGCGAATGCTGCTGTCTGATCGTTCCTCTGGAAGTTTTGTCTCAGAGGAGTACCCGGCCGTGTGAAGTGTCAGTCTGCCCCTGCTGGGGAGTACCTCCCAGTTAGGCTGCTCGGGGGTCAGGGGTCAGGGACCCACTTGAGGAGGCAGTCTGCCCGTTCTCAGATCTCCAGCTGCGTGCTGGGAGAACCACTGCTCTCTTCAAAGCTGTCAGACAGGGACATTTAAGTCTGCAGAGTTACTGCTGTCTTTTTGTTTGTCTGTGCCCTGCCCCCAGAGGTGGAGCCTACAGAGGCAGGCAGGCCTCCTTGAGCTGTGGTGGGCTCCACCCAGTTCGAGCTTCCTGGCTGCTTTGTTTACCTAAGCAAGCCTGGGCAATGGCGGGCTCCCCTCCCCCAGCCTCACTGCCACCTTGCCGTTTGATCTCAGACTGCTGTGCTAGCATTCAGTGAGACTCCATGGGCGTAGGACCCTCCGAGCCAGGTGCGGGATATAATCTCCTGGTGTGCCATTTTTTAAGCCCATCTGAAAAGCACTGTATTGGGGTGGAAGTGACCCGCTTTTCCAGGTGCCATCTGTCACCCCTTTCTTTGACTAGGAAAGGGAACTCCCTGACCCCTTCCACTTCCCAAGTAAGGCAATGCCTCACCCTGCTTCAGCTCGCACACGGTGTGCTGCACCCACTGACCTGCGCCCACTGTCTGGCACTCCCTAGTGAGATGAACCCAGTACCTCAGATGGAAATGCAGAAATCACCTGTCTTCTGCATCGCTCACACTGGGAGCTGTAGACCGGAGCTGTTCCTATTCTGCCATCTTGGCTCCAGCCGCTCCACTGATCTTTAGAGCAGGGGCACAATGCTGCCAGTCTCTTTGCTGAAGCATTGCAAGAGTGACCTTTATTCCAGTTCCCAACAAGTTCATCTCCATCTGAGACCACCTCAGCCTGGACTTCACTGTCCATATCACTATCAGCATTTTGGTCATAACCATTCACCAAGTCCCCAGGAAGTTCCAAACTTTCCCATCTTCCTGTCTTCTTCTGAGCCTTCCAAACTCTTCTAACCTCTGCCCATTACCCAGTTCCAAAGTCACTTCCACATTTTCAGGTATCTTTATAGCAATGCCCCACTTCTCTGGTACCAACTTTCTGTATTAGTTCTCAACTAAACTAAAAAGAACCACCTGAAACTTGGTAATTTATGAAGAAAAGAGGTTTCATTGACTCATAGTTCTTCAGGCTGCACAGGAAGCATGGCTGGGAGGCCTCAGGAAACTTACAGTCATGATAGAAGGCGAAGGGGAAGCAAGCATGACTTACCATGGTGGAGCAGGAGACAGAGAGTGAGAGAATGGGGAAGTGCCACACTTTTAAACAACCAGGTCTCATGAGAACTCACTATCATGAGAACAGCAAGGGGGAAATCTGCCTCCATGATCTAATCACCTCCCACCAAGCCCCTCCTCCAACACTCAGGATCACAATTCAACATGAGATTTGGATGGGCACACAGAGCCAAACCATATCAACGAGGAATTTTATCAATTCTATAAACTCATCTTCTCATATTCCATCTTTTCAAAATGGAACTAAAACACTTTCTCATGATATTCAGTGGTAAAAATATGGCCTTTACATATCTTCATCCTTAAGGTTCATACAGTTAGGAAGTAAGATTGTTCCCAGTGTGTGTGTGTGTGTATGTGCACAGATTGCAGTTTCCAAGACTGCCACAATAGTATTTCCCATCCTGCATGACCATCTTACAGTGTGACTTTGATACCCACCCTCCTATCAAGATGTGGTGTATATGGTCCCTCCACCTGAATCTGAGCAAGATGGAGCCTACAAAGGGAGTAAAGCTGTGAGACTTCCAAAGGCAAGGTCCTAAATGGCAATACAGCTTTCTTCTGGTTTTCTCAGTGATGTTTATTCTTGTAAGGCACCCACCCTGCTGTAAGGAAGCCCAAACAAACACAGAGGTCACATGGAAGAGCCATGTGTATGTGCTTTAGCAAGACCAGCTGGAATTCCAAATGATAAGCAGAATCAACTGCAATACAAGTGAATGTAGATTCCACCAGATGATTCCAGACCCCCAACTGTTGAGTCATTCCCAGCCTACAAGTCTTCCTAGATGAGGCTCTATACACAGTGGGAAAATAACCCATCATCCCTACTGTACTCTGTCTGAATTCCTGACTCACAGAGAGCCCGAGAGATAATAATATGATTGTTGTATAAACCATTTATTTAAACTACTAAATTTTAGGGTGATTTTGGTTAAGCTACAATTGAAAACTGATATAGGCACCATGGCTTGGGTGGTTGTTTTTTGATTTTTTTTTAATCTCTACTGTCATGATAGATGAAAACTTCAGTATTCTTCCAAATTTATTTTTGGTACTGTAGTTAGATTAATAATATATTTTTTATTTCTAAAACCTCTTTTGTCAATTTGCCAATAACAGCAATTTTTTACTCTAGTTGCATTGCTGCAAATATTACTGATTGTTGTAAAATATTATTTATTAAAACCTCATACCTATGCTCTTATTACCATTTTTGTAGATAATAGCTTATGATGTGGTATTGTAGACTTGTTCTTCAATCAAATGTTATCTCTCAAGAATTGACATTAACTTCATTACTCTTTAGAACAGCAAGATAATTTCTCCCTAATGGTGCTTAGTATATGGGTATCATGCTGGGTTGGGTATTTTTTTCCCTTAACATTCAAGCCATTTATTACTCCAAAACTTTTTGCATCACCAATTAATTTCTTTAAAGTGGAATAAAAAAAGTTCATGTCACTTGCAAAGTTACTTGGGAGCAGAATCCATCCAGATTTTTACAAAATATCCTCAATTTCTTAGTTGTCTTAGCCTCATTTTATACAACAGATTTTTTTATACTTTAAGAAGTTTTTTGAAAGCACTTAGTTTTTATAAAAAAATACTTTTATATTCATATTTCAATTGTTTTTATGGTATTTAATTAAATTTTGTGATTACAATAACAGATATTAGTGTGGTAGCCAGTAGCCAAGACAGCTTCCAGTGGCCTCTCCTGGTATTAACACTTTTGTGTGGTCCTCTTCTACATTAAAAAGGGTGAGCTGTGTAACCAACAGGATATTGCAGAAATGACACTTCGTGACTTCTTGAGACTGTTATAAAAGGCATTGTGGCTTCTGCCTCACTATCTTTAAGATCACCCAACTTGGGGTAAGCCAACTGTCATGTCATGAGGGTACTCAGTTAGTGGAGATATCTCCATGGCAACAAACTGACGCTCCTGGCAACAGCCCTCATCAGCTTGTCAACCACATGAGTGAGCCATTTTGGAATTCCTTCCTACAACTGCAGTCAAGTCTTCAGATGACTGCAGGCCCATCCAGTAACTCGAATGCAACATCTGAGAAACCCCCAAGTCAGAACTACCCAGATTATGCAAAACAGAATTCAAGATTTGCAGAAACTGTGGCAGACTAAATGTCCACTGTTGTTATTGTTGTTTTAAGTCACTAAGTTTTCAGATTATCTGTTATAAAATAGAAATAAAAATATGTTAGAAAATAGAAAACTAATACAACTACTATAAATAGACTTGGAATAAATAGATACTTAATACAACTAGTATAAACATATGGAGAATAAACACAGCTCCCAAATGGTATGGAAACATAGGTACAATGGTATACTAGAGCACAGCCAACTGGCTATGAGTCAACACCACACAGTGGACATGAATCTATATACAATTTTATGGAGGATACAGAATGCATTGGTTAATCCAACAACTCTGTTCATTGGAAGCCCATTAAAAGAGTGCCAGCTGTTAGAATTTCTTTTGGATGATTTAGTCTCTTCTGAATAAAGATTTATTGTGCCAGTTATCAACTTACCACCTTTCAGTTCCAAATTCACCATTCAATACATGCTCTGTGATAATGAACAGAATTCCTTTAAGCATTTCTCCTTTATAGTGTGTATGATACTAAACTCTCACAGTTAAAGGTGCTGGAGGGGCAATGCCGGAGGAAATGACTCTTCTGCTGTTTCTTGCTGCTGCACAGTGGGCCAGCGGTGTGGGTGTGAGGACTCCAGTGGTGTTCTGCCTCAGCCATTAGTCCAGAAGGTGCAGTCCCTTGGCCACCTTACAGCGTAGGCCAGGACTCCTGATCACCTTCCCACACCCTCACAATCTGCATACTGCACACTCTAGGCCTCTTGCCTACACTGGTACCCCCAAACCCTCAGCACACTCCTCTTACACAGCCATGGGTAACTGAAAACTGCCACTCCCCAGAGGGTTGCCACCAGCATCCCCATTCTCTCTACATGCGTACCCACCCAGCCACCAGCTGCAGCTCACCTGTGCCCCACCTGCACTCCAGAGGATTACTTCTGCTTGCCCAGTGACTACAGACCAGCTCTGGCATGGGCAAACCAGGGAAACTCCTCTAACATCCAGAGATCTGCATCTCGTGTTCTCCAGTGAGGTCTGAACTCCAGCCTCAAGAAGAGGGCTCTCCTTCCGAGTTTGTCTTTCCTGACTACTCTCATTCAGTCACAGGGTACAATAATGTGTTTTCTTACATCTTATAGCTACTCTTTTATTTTTGTTTAGTAATTATATTTATATTAATAGTTATCTTTATATTAAAATTCCCCTGTTCAGATTACTGTATGTTCTCTATCTTCTGATTGAACCCAAACAGATACACTTGCATTTCAGAGTTCTGTCCCTACCCTCTTCTCCTCCCAAAGATGGCATCTAGGTATGTGAAGACATTTACTTTATTCTTTTTGGAAGGAGACAGAGACAGAGTAAGGGAGAGACAGAGAGAGAGAGAGACAGAGACAGAGAGAGGCAGACCTCAGATTCAAGAGATGTTCTCTGAATCTCCACTGTATTCTACTGCAGGTAGGTAAGTTGCTCAGCTCCCTGGACCAGTTACAATGAGTAAAACTGTTCACACTTGGTTTGGGGTGGAAAATGCTGACAAACACTACTAGAAACTGATCCTGGCCTCTAGTCTTAAAGGCTCCTTCTATTACAGTCTCTTCACTCTGATACAGCCTTTTCTGATCTGTTGGCCTCAGAGGTCCCTGAGGCAGTAGAAAAGCTCCAGGCATGGAAACCCACACAATACCCTGCACACCAAGCGCAGGCCCTGGAGAGCCAGGAGCACATCCTCAGTCTCAATCCTTCTAGCTGTCTCCAAGGTTACCTCCATGTCATTGCTCTCTCACTATTGATTGTGTCCCAGACCTGAAGCCTGAAGTGGAGCCAACTAATGTCTGTGTGCTCCCTCATGCTTTGACAGAGGAGCAGACCACTAGCTCAAATGTTCTCAGACTCCTCCATGCCTTTCCTGATGTTTCTACATTCACCCCATTTGAGACACAGTCCTAAGAAGGGGAAAAGCAAGGACCTTAAGGAAAAAACAGGGACTCTTATTCCATGAGACCAAAAGGGGAGGGCATCTACTTGCTCTAATCCAAATCATTCTTTCTAGATAAACCAGTACCTTGAGACTCTGGAAGAAATTCTAGAAATTTTTCTTTTACTACATATCTGAGCTTTAAAGAAATTTAGAAAATCCTTCCTTCTCCTGACAAAGTCAAGCTTTCCTCATTGCCAGCATTATTAGAAACATCCTACAGTAATTAAAAGCTGAACACTGGTTCTTCTTTGCATTCTTGTTATAAAAGTCCTAATCCCACCACTATTCCCATAATTTCTCCTTCTCCCATCCCCTGCTACACAAAAATTCTTTGGCCTGACCAGGTATAAAGTCATATGCATAGAAATTTAGGAGAGCAGAGTAAAAAAATTTCAAATGTTTTTACCTTCTGTTAAATACTTCTACTAATTGCAGAGAATGAATAAATAAATGAACAAGATAGAAGATAGACTTGCATAGAAAAGATTGGGACAGAAAAGAAGCTCAGAGAATACTCAGGAATGCTTACTCAAAGCATAAACAAATGAACCACCTTCCATTATCTGTCCTTGGAAAATAAAAATAAAATGCCACATTTTATTAAATCTAGGACACAACTAATTTTTCTACCACTACAAAAAAAATGCTTCCAATTAAACTGTGATACATCCTTAATTGAAAGATGCATTCTAGTTTCAGAGATGCTAAAATGTGGAGAAAAAAAATATGTCTTCGAAATAATTTAATATGGTAGTAAAGATGACTGAATCCAGAAAACAAAAATTAACTGATTATTTTAAATTATACTGGAGATATACCCCCCAAAAAAGCCACACAGATAAAAAAATTACTGTAAGAGCTTATTGGGATAATGAAATAATATATTTTTAGCATTTCTTTTTTTGCCATTCCAACTTTTATTTTAGGTTCGGGGGGTACATGTGCAGGTTTGTTTTATGGGTAAACTGCATGTCATAGGAGTTTGGGGTACAGATTACTTCATCACCCAGAAAATGAGCATAGTACTCCATAGGTAGTTTTCAATCCTCACCCTCCTCCCACCCTCCACCCTCAACTAGGTCTCAGTGTCTCTTGTTCCCTTTTTTGTGTCCATGTGTACTCAATGTTTAGCTTCCACTTATGAGAACATGTGGTATTTGGTTTTCTGCTCCCATATTAATTTGCTTAGGTTAATGGCCTCCAGCTCCATCTATCTTCCAGCAGAGGACATGATCTCTCATTCTTTTTTATGGCTGCATAGTATTCTGTGGTATATATGAACCACATTTCCTTTATCTAGTCCATCACTGACGGTCATCTAAGTTGAGTCCATGTCTTTGCTACTGCGAATAGTGCTGCAATGAACATAAGCATGTATGTGTCTATATGGTAGAACAATTTCTATTCCTTTGGGCATATACCCAGTAATGGGATTGCTGGATTGAATGGTAGTTCTGTTTTAAGTTCTTTGAGAAATAGCCAAACTGCTTTCCACTGTGGCTGAACTAATTTACCTCCCACCAGCAGTTGTATAAGCATTCCCTTTTCTCTGCAACCTGACCAGCATGTTATTTTTTTACTTTTATTTAAGAATAGTCATTCTGACTGGTATGAGCGGTATCTCACTGTGGTTTTAATTTAAACTTCTCTAATGATTAGTGATGTGGAGCATTTTTATATGCTTATTGGCCATTCATCCATTCATCTCTCTTCTTTTGATGAGTGTTCATGTCCTTTGCCTACTTTTAATGGGTTGTTTTTTTGCTTGTTGATTTGTTTAAGTTACTTATAGATTCTGGATATTTGACCTTTGTCAGATGCATAGTTTGCAAATATTTTCTCCTATTCTGTTGGTTGTCTGTTTATTCTGTTTAGAGTTTCTTTTGCTGTGCAGAAGCTCTTTTGTTTAATTAGGTCCCTCTTGTCAATTTGTGGTTTTGGTGCAATTGCTTTTAGAATCTTCATCATAAAACCTTTGCCAGGTCTGATGTCCAGAAGGGTATTTCCTGGGTTTCTTCTAGGATTCTTATAGTTTTAGGTTTTATATTTAAATCCTTAATCCATCTTGAGTTGATTTTGCTATATGGTGAAAGAAAGGGGTCCAGTTTCAATGTTCCACATTTAACTACCCAGTTATCCCAGCACCATTTATTTTCAGCATTTCTAACAACCACAAGTTACTATAGAAAAATACCACAAAGATGTGAAGTTTTGAAGTAAATGTTTAAGTGCTCCCAAAATGTCACAATATTTAAGTGGCATAGGTAAGAAACAAAAAAGCATATGCAACTAGAATTATGGAAATAGCACTAATATCTGAAGAGGCCACTGAGCAGTGAAAATGGGTGGCAATAGGAAAGCACAGGCCTCTGTTGCAGCAGAATGACTGGTTCCAGGGGTCTGAGCACACAGAGCTACTTCTGAAAGATATTTTCTGAGAGGCCTTCCACAAGCTAGAAAAAGTTTGATTAGGTTGACCAGTTTGCTTTTGCCTAAAGAACAGCAATACAAGTCCTGCCAGTGATATTCTTCCCAACAATCTGCAAACCAATGACATGCACAGTGATAGGAAAAAATTAACTTATATTAAAAGAATATAAATGAAATATTAAAATAATAATTTTAAAATGACATCATTGTAGACTCTGTTAAAATAAATTGAGCTATCAGAAAGCAATAGCATCTAAGAATGATCAATATGAACTGTATATAACTCAGTTCCCTGTTTATTTCTACTAGGAGCTATACAAGTTTATAACATTGAACTGACTATGAATAGTCAACAATGTAATTGGAATATTTTACATCTTTCAGTGCACAAAAGGGCTATCAAATCAAGAACATTTTAATGAAATTGGGAATAATTTAGAGATGCTTATTTAATACTCTCATTTTATATTGAGGCAATTAAGGAAAAAAACCCATATAACTTTGGTCTTGACTTAATGATAAAGCTTGAAACCAGGCATCATGACATGAGTCATTTGAAAACTTGCAGCTCTGTGCCAACTCTCATACCCAGCTCCCCAAGCTACTGAAAATTGCCATGAACATTGATAATACTATAAAAAGGAAGTCTGGTTTATATAAATGCAAGTCAATACAAATGAGAAAAGGACCATTTATTGTGATGGATGTGTTCACTGAATGCAAAAGCAAATTATTGAAGATAGAGTGAAAGGGAAAAATCTATAAATATCCAGGCTCCCTGCAGTAGTGACATTAACCACATGGAAATTAAAGAAAACCTAAAGGAAAACACTGAGTTCACATGTGGAGAAAATATTAAAAGCATCTCACTGCAGGCAACAAGATTAAGGCAATGCATTTGCAGAGCCACTTCTAACATTCATTAAATGTTATGAAATGGAACAGTATGGACCCAGAGGCATGGAATATCAGGCTGTTGATGGAAAAATAGAAACTGGCAATAAAAGGATCACTCTTTTACATAAAGTGCAAGGAAGGTTCATCAACACCAACAATTATTGCAACCATTGTAAACTCATCAGTACAGACTAATGCAGGAATGCCCTGTGAAAATGTGGAAAGAGAAACCATGGTGTAGCAGCAACCTACTAAGAATCCAAAAATTGCAAAGAGCATTGAGATCTGGATCAACTGACCTGGAATATGTAAAGGAAGCCATCTCGGAGATGTTATTTGACAGGTGCCAAAAAACTCCTTACTTAAAAATAAGTCCGCTGCCTGCCTGGCCACAGTTCATGAAATCCCCTTATTACTCAGTCCTTTACAGAGAGCCATGTCAGACTTTATATTGAAGTATTAGCATTACCTGGACCACATGGAATGGTAAGTCATTTCTAGTTGTCACCAGATCCTATTTCATGCTATTTCCTCTGAGAAAATGCCTCTGCCCTGCCTTCCTCACTAGTGGACACATTCTTCAGGGTTCAGCTTGAATATTAGCTCCTCAGTAACACCTTGCATATCCCTCCACTGCCCTGGAAAAATTATCTCTCCTCTGTGTACCCTGCACACTACAGGGGTCTGATTTCATCATCTAGAGTTACACGTAGACATATTGCTTTCCTCATTGGGCTGAGGCTCCTTCAGAGTTAAAGCCGTCTTTCTCCCTTCATCATTGCCCAGCCTAGCATCTGCAGTATTAAGGCTCTACAATAAACTGAATGAATGAAAGGGCTCTAAGTACTTGCTTAGCTAACTAGTCTTCATGAAGAAACATAATGCAGCCTGGTATAAGCTCTGTGGAGGGCAAATGTCAACATCATAGTGGGGAGCCTGAAAAGAGAGGTGGGGTCTGGGCTGTTTCAGCTCCTGAAATGTGTCGCCTACAAAGCTCATGCTCAGGAAACACCTGAGCACAACTAAGGATGTAGTGGATAAAGAGAAAGGGACCCAAAAAATAAAGAAGGGGCATAGATGGAGGATAAAGGGAACCAAATATAAGCCCTCTCTTTCAGAGATTTGCTTAGATCAAGCCCACACACTCCTGTCAGCGACAAGACTTAGTGTGGCGAAGTGGGAAGAACTCCAGATCATCGGACAGAAGACCAGAGTTGAAGTTTTGCATTTGTAACTGGGCACCTCTCTCCCAGTTTTCTTACCTGCATCTGTCTGCCCACCTCTACATAAAGCATAAGTTTGGCCAACATAGAGCATTCAACACTTTGTTTCTATCAGATACCTTATTGTAAGGTCTGCACACTCCATTTCTCCACTGACCCCTCCATTCTCAGCAACTTCTAATATCTTCCTGTCCTGGAAAACACTGGAGTTTGTTCCTTCCATATCCAATCCCTTCACTTTACTGAGAAAAAGACAAATCTCAGAGAGGTTGTGACTTGCTCAAGGTCACTTGCCCAACTGGCAGTGCCACAAGTTAAAATCCAAATATTCTGATTTCTAACTAATATTGGTGCTACAAATTCTAATAGGAAGGACCGTTGGGTAATAATTTAGTTCGAAAGAAGGAACTAGGAGTCTTGCTTTTAGACTGTATTTGCATAGCAAACACAGTTTACTTAATTATGTTTATTTAAGGTGTGGGAAATTAAAGCCTCCTCAAGCTATCTGGTGGCAGAACCACTGCTGCTAACACACTGCTCTTTCCATCACACCATCTACCTGCAGTAAAGTCATTTATCATCTCAGTAACCTCAAAGATGTTTCCTGGGCTATGCTGGTTTGACTGCTTATTGTATTTTGGCATCAACAACTCCAAAGGCATTACTTGTAAACATATGCTTTATCTCCGATTGCCATCTCCGCATTTATTATAAAATTCTCGGTTTATAGACCAAAACATTAGTCTGAGGAATAAAACAAGATTTATCTGAGGGAAAGAGAACAAGCACAGTTGTCCCCATATTGCAGAGAAGACAGCTAAGGTGAGGGGCTGATGCGTGAAATTATCCTACCTCTGTGTTTCTCTTCTCAAACTGAAATTTGCAAGAAATATTTTCAGTTTCAAATCCAATAATCTGACATTTATCCCAAATTATCTGTTGCTACGTTTAGATAATTGTTCATTTCTACCATTGGTAAGTTCCTTTTAGGGAGTATTTAGCAAGCAGTTAAGCTTTCTGGGGTTTTGAGGAAAACATATGGTAATAAAGGACCCAAAATATTACCCACAGTAATTTTTGTTACAATAAAGATGACCAATCTTTAAGTTTCTTTCTTCCACAATTAATGGCTTACTACCTATATCAAATATACTGGACTTAAACATAAAATCCCTAGTTTTTCCTTTATGATACAATAACTATCAACACAAGACTGACCTCTACTGGGAACATCTGTCCTTGTTAGATGGATTGTGACTTGTGAAAATAGTCAAATATGCTAAATCAGACACCTGTTGTGCCTTAATAGATCATCAAATTAAATTCTCTGTGAAAAGGTAAGAGTGATGAACTTTCTGAAATCAAAACCTTCATCATCTTTAAGCAGTAATTGTGTATAATTATATTTGGCATTTTGATAAGTAGAAAGTAGAAAAAAATTCAGAAATGATGTCACTGCATGTTTTAAATGTTAATTATTGCCTTAGACAATTATTAACTTAGAACACTGATGCATTATTATCCAATCAGATTGTACCATCTTGTATATTCTATTTAGAAAAGTCTTAAATTTTTTTTTCTAAGTATCAAAACGCTTTCAAAAGATGGAAATTTTTAGGACAAATTTGCATATGGACAAAAACCCAAATTTAATTTTTAAAATTATGCAGAATCAGTAGGCAAGAAGGCTGATTTCATTTGTTATATTTCCTCTGTGCTTCTTATCATGGTCTAATAACGCATGTGAATCAGCTACATGATTCTAATCTTCAAAACATCACTCCCATCATTTGACTGAATTTTTAATAACTTCTGAGTCCAAAACACACCTGATTAAAAAATATACAAACATAGATATGGATATTAGTAATTGGAGGTAAACTAGAATCACAGGTTCTCATAAAATTATAGATTGCATTTTATCCTGCATAACTATTTTTAGCAACAAACAGTTCTGCTATCTTGGTAAATTATCACTGAAATGTCTGTTGTCAGGACCCTTCAAAGGTCTTGAGTTCTTAGTGGGAAGAGTGAGCAAAAGGCCTCTACATTCGCATGTTGTATTAGTCTACACTAATCAAAACTGAAGTACTTCAATTTTAAATATTGATGTGGTTGGCTGTGTCCCCACCCAAATCTCATCTTGAGTTGTAGTTCCCATAATTCCCACGTGTCGTGAGAGGAGCCCAGTGGGAGGTAATCAAATCATGGGGGCAGTTATCCCCATGCTGTTCTCATGATAGTGGGTTCTCACAAGATCTGATGGTTATATAAGGGGCTTTTCCCCCTTTGCTCGGCGCTTCTTCTCCTGTCGCCTTGTGAAAAAGGATGTGTTTGCTTCACCTTCCACCATGATTGTAAGTTTCCTAAGGCCTCCCCAGCCATGCAGAACTGTGAGTCAGTTAAACCTCTTCTCTTTATGAATCTCCCAGTCTCAGGTATTTCTTCATAGTACCATGAGAATGGACTAATACAAATATCAATTATATTTTACTTAGTTCTCATGAAAATAATTTTTAGTCCTCTAGTTTTTTTAAAAATTAAGTTTCATTTGCTTTATTAAACATAGAAAGAAATCCATTATAAACTACTCAAGAAGACTACCTTGTTATTATTTTGAAAGATACGCTGGCAGCAAGATGTAAAATTTGTGGGGGCTAGAAGAGGGAGAAAAGCTTTTGTTATATTCCCTAGAAAAGGCTCTAGATACTGTAAGTGTCCTCAGTTCTGACAGAAGAGCCCCAAAAGAGGTATTACAAAGTGAGTAGACCTAGCCACATACATAATTATTTTTTGTTTGGAAATAAGCACTGTTGGTGACATTTTATGGAAAATATAATTTATTCTACATCCTCAAATGAAGCAAACAATTCACTCAACAATTCTCCAAGGTGAAATTTGCAAAAACTGTAAACAGAATTTTAACTTAGATTCACTACTTAATTATGAAACTTACATTGCAACATAAATATGCACTAACAAACTGAAAGTGACTTTTTTTATTGGGTTAGCACCCTGTTGTCCCATTACTGTTCCCAGTTTATTTCTTCAAATTGAAAATTTAAACGTTAAGTTAACTAGACACTGAAAAAATTCATCAGAGGGTACTTAATATATCCTCCACTTATCCCAGGAAGTATATTTGTTCTACAAAATTAAATAAGAAATATATTTCCAAGTTGATACAAAGTAGCAAATTCTGTTCATTAACGTGGTCTTAGATCCCAACTTTCAAATCACTTGAGTACCCATGAGCAAATAATTTCTTTAAGACTCAATAATCATAGTTTATGTTTTACGGCAACTTGTTTGGAAGACCCAGTGATGTCAAGGTATTACACTCTGCAGGTTATATTGTCTTAAGCAAGAAAACGCACGATCGCAAATGCTGTAAAATTGGAATTTCCTATGTTTCATGCTGAAGTGAGTACTTCAAAATACTATGATGATGAATATAAATACAGTTGAATCTCTCCTAAATACTGATTTTTGATAGGTAATAAAACTCTTACTTTTCCCTAGGTCTTTGACATATATAGGGTTTTGTTCTTGAGGGTAAAAGTAATGATTTACCACAGCCACACCCATATAACTAGGGACCATTTTAACTGATTCCTCTTTTAATCATGATTTAAGATTTGTGTGACTTTCCAAACATAAGACATTTTTAGTTTCTTCTTCCTGTACACAAGCAGCTCACAAACATCAGCTTTTTAAAAGTTATATTTCCTATAACAATGTGCAGAAACTCTTCTATATGTGGGAATCAAAACCAAACTCTTGGATAACATAAGTGCTAAGTCGTGACCCATATGTCTATTAAATTTGCTAGACTCCCAGACACGACTTCCCTGAAGGCAGATGCAGGAACACAAAGACGTGTGAGAAATAAAAATGAGAAATGGCTGAATTCCATCACCCTGCTCATACAGAGTGTCTTCAACCTTGAAAATTTGCTGTAGTACTCTTTCAAAATTTTCTGTATGGAACATTCATTTGATAAATTTCTTACCAGAGTCTCTTAGGGCAATGATACTCCCTATGACATTTTTGACTTATCATACCTAAAAATAAAAGCAATTATACATAAAAATGAAAAATACTATAAAAATCATACCTAAAAATAAAACAAATACATGCTTATGTCTATAGAGCATCAAAGAAAGACTTTGTTTTCATCACTGTTGCAGTATCTTTTGTGGGAATTTGTGGAAAATTCGATGAAAAATCTTTAGCATATATTTGTAGAAAGAGACCAAAAGAAATTGGAAATGAATTTGGCAAAGCTGGTTAAGACAATGAAAATGCTGCAAATCAAAAAGAAATTTGAGATCTTAAATTTTTTAAAGTATAGGTTGAAAAATGACAAATGAGCTTATACATAAGTATCCAAAGTAAATGTGCTAAAAACCATAAAACATTGCTCACTGGAAACACATTAGTCAGGAGCCTGGGGTTTGCAGTTAGACAGTGCTTGTTTTGACTGCCATCTATTTTACTTGCAAGCTGAGTAATCTTAGGGATATTACACAACCTGACTGAGCCTCAGTTTCCTGAGCTGTAAAATGGACAGTAAAATGAATGTAAAATCCATAATAGTGGATATATGAATTGAACAGGAGACTAGAAGTGCTGAAATATAAGAACATTCTGAAGAAATTATCCAGAAAGCAGCATAGAAACACCAAAATACAGACATACATTGAGATTAAGAGACAGAGTGAGAGCTAACATATATTTAATTAAAGATTCAAAAGCAGAGGAGAGATTGTGACAAAGGCAATATTTAAACTGACAAAAGACCTCAAACTTCTGATTCAAGAAGCTCAAGAAATCCCAAGCAGGATAATTATTTAAAAAGTACACACCAAGATATAGCAACATCAATGAAAGACCACGAAAGACAGAGAGAAAAGCAGCCTGCCAAGAAAGGGGCACATTATTGATAAAGAAGTGATATCTAGAGTGGCAGCTGACTTTTAAACAGCAGTAATGGAAGCCAGCTAACAAAGGCATAACTGCAGTATATGGAAATAAAATAGCTATCAACCTAGAATTCTATACACAGTGTATTAGTCAGTTCAGGCTGCTATAACAAGTACCATACACTGGGTGGCTTATAAATAGAAATTTATTTCTCATAATCCTGGAGGCTGGAAGTCCAAGATCAAGGTGTGAGCATGGTCCATTTCTGGTGAGGGCTCTCTTCCATGTTGTAGACTACTGACTTCTTATTGTATCCCCACACGATAGAAAGAGGGCAAGAGAGCTCTGTGGGTTCTCTTTTATAAGGGCACTCATTCTATTCATGGTCTACTCTCTTGGCCTAATCACCTCCCAAAGGCCTCATCTCCTAATACCATCACTTTGGGGGTTAGGATTTCAACACATGAGTTTTCTGGGGAGACAAATATTTAGTCCATAACTTACAGTTAAACTATCTTTAAACAATGATGGCATTCTTTACACTAAATTGTACACTGAATGGCTAAAACACAAATTTTCTGCCATATATATTTTACCACAACTTAAAAAAAAAGTAACATACCCCAAATCACTGAATTATACATTGTAAGTGGGTGAATTGTATGGTTATGTGACTTATATCTCAATAAAGCTGTTAAAAAGAATAAGGGCAAAATTTAAAAAGTTTTCAGACAAAAACAAAGCAATCCCTTACTGCAGATAAATTCTAAAGAATTTACTTTAAGAAGAAAAAAAGTGGTAAAATGCATGGGTAAGTCTAGTAAACAAAGACTATATAAAATAACAACAATATATTATGAAGTTTAAAAAGCAATAAAGCATAATACATTATAATAATATCTAATTGGAAGGGTGTTCTTACTGCATTAAGGTCCCTAAATAGTCTGGGATGAGGGAAAAGATACTGACTAACTTTAAACTTTGATATGTTAGTATAAAAGACATAATTCCTAGGGAATCCAACAAGAAGACTGGAAACAGTGCATAAGTTTCAAAATTAGCAGGAGAAACCATGAAATTATTTCCAAAATCCAAACAAAGGCAAGAAAGTGAAGATAATGTTAGAAAGCATCAGTAAAGGTGCTTTTACCCAAAATTAGAGTAGATTTATACCCAAAATTAGAGTAATCGTATTAAATATAAACTGTCTAAATGCTACAATTAAAAATAAAGACTGTGAAGCTGGCTTCTTAAAACATAAACTACATGCTGTTTATAAGAGATACACCTAAAATATAATACAGAAAGACTACAGACAAACACATTACTAATGATAAAGAATGACATTTTATAATGATAAATAAAAAGGTCAGTCCACCAGATAAATATGAAAATTCAAAATGAATTTAATCAGAAATCTATAATAATTCTCTCAATAATAAATATAAATGCAGCCAAGGTGGGAAGATCACTTAGGACTAGGAGTTTGGGACCAGTCTGGGTAACAAGCACAGCAAGACAAAATCTCTAAAAAATTTGAATAAAATTAGCTGAGCATAATTAGTCCTAGCTACTTGGGAGGCTGAGACAGGAGCATCACTTGAGCCCAGGAGGCCAAGGCTGCTGTGAGCTATGACTGCACCACTGCACTCCAGCTTAGGCAACAGAGTGAAACCCTGTCTCTAAAAAGAAAAGGGGGAAAAAAACATACACACACACACACACACACACACACACACACACACACACACACACATATATATGCAGGCAAAATAAATCAGTAAAATTGTAGGAAATTTAAACAAGATTTTATAGAGAGAGAAAAAAACTGTAATCAATGCAAAATTCATATTCTTTTCATGTGTACAGAATATTAACAAAAATTGACCATATACTAGGCTATGCAACAAGTCTCAACAAATTTCAAAGACTTGAAATTATACAAACCATTTTTCTGACTTCGGTGTAATTACATTATTTATTTTTTAAAAGTTAACTAAGTTTCACCCAAGATTCAAGAAAGAAATAATTCCAACCATATATAGAAAAAGAGAGTAATTTTCAGCTTAATTTATAACCTTGATCAGAAAGTCAACAAAGATAGTAAGAGAAGGAAATTTTCAGGCCAATTTTACTCATGAACATAGATACAAGAACTATAAACTAAATATTAGCAACAGAATCTAGATATATATATTCAAATGATAATACATCATAATTAGATTTATGCCACTCCTAGAATGCAAAGTGGCTTAATATTAGTAATCAATTAATGTAATATAACCCCAATGATAGACTAAAAGATAGAACTTATAAAATCCTCAAATGTAGGAAAGGTAGTTGATTAAGATTCAACATCAACTTATGGTTAAAACGAGCAATAAAAATTTTTTGACAATAGAATAGAAATAGAAAATAACTTCTTTTAAAATTATAAAAGGGTATCTACAAATACTCTAATGCTAAAAACCTCCTCTTTGAAATTAGGAGCAAGATGATGCTGCTGCGATCCCCACTCTATTCCACATTAAACAGTAACTCCCCCTTATCTGCTAGGGATATGTCAGACCTCCATAGGTGCCTGAAACCATATAGTTTTGTTTTGTTTTGTTGATACAGGGTCTCACTCTGTCACCCAGGCTGGAGTGCAGTGGTGTGATCTGGGCTCACTGCAACCTCTGCCTCCCAGGTTCAAGTGATTCTCGTGCCTCAGCCTCCAGAGTAGCTGGGACTAGAAGCGCCCGCCACCACACCTGGCTAATTTTTAAATTTTTAGTAGTGACAGAATTTCACCAGGTTGGCCAGGCTGGTCTCAAACTCCTGGCTTCAAGCAGTCTGCCTGCCTTGGCCTCCCAAAGTGTTAGGATTACAGGCATGAGCCACCATGCCTGGCCCTGAAACCATATAGTATTGAACACTATATACACAGGCATATCTGGTTTCATTGCACTTCACAGATTATATTGTATATTGTATCCAGATCACTGCATATTTTACAAATTGAAGGTTTGTGGCAACCCTGCATTGAGAAAGTCTCTTGGTGCCATTTTTCCAACAGTAATGTGCTCACTTCATGTCTTTGAGTCACATTTTGGTAATTCTCACAATACTCAAAGGTTTTTCATTATTATTACATCTGTTACGGTGATCTGTGATCAGTGAACTTGATGTTACTATTGTAATTGTTTGTTGGTGTCACAATCCATGCCCATATAAGGCTGAGAACTTAATCGATAAATGTTGTGTGTTCTGACTGCTCTACCCACCAGCCATTCCCCCATCACTCTCCCTCTCCTTGGGCTTCACTATTCCCAGAGACACAACAATATTGAAGTCAGGCCAATTAATAACCCTACAATGGCCTCTGTTCAGGTGAAACAGAGTTGCACGCCTCTCACTTTAAATCGAAAGCTATAAATGATTGAGCTTAATGAGAAAGGTATGTTGAAAGCCAAGATAGAAGGAAAGTTTAGGTCTCTTGTGCCAAACAGTTAGTCAAGTTGTGAGTGGAAAGGAATAGTTCTTGAAGGAAATTAAAAGCACCACTCCAGTAAACACACACGATACAAAAGCTAAGCAGCCTTATTGCTGAAATGGAGAACATTTGAGTGGTCAGGACAGAAGATAAAACCAGCGACAATATTCCCTTAAGCCAAAGCCTACTATAGAGCAAGGCCCTAACTCCTCAATTCTATAAAGACTGAGAGAGGTGAGGAAACTGCAGAAGAAAAGTTGAAAGCAAGCAAAGCCTGGTTCATGAGGTTTAAGGAAAGAAGCCATCTCCATTAACTGAAAAGTGCAAGGTGAAGCAACAAAGGCTGGAGAAGCTGCAGCAAGTTATCCAGAAAATCTAGCTAAGATCAATGATGAAGGTGGTTGCACTAAACAATAGCTTTTCACTGTAGATAAAACAGCGTTCTATTGGCAGAAGATGTCATCTAGGACTTTCATAGCTATAAAGAAGCCAATGCCTGGCTTCAAAACTTCAAAGGACAAGCTGACTCTCCTGTTAGCAGCTGGTGACCTGAAGCTGAAGCTAATGCTCATCTATCATTCAAAAAATCCTTGGGCCCTTAAAAAATACACTATATCTACTCTGCCTGTGCTCTGCAAAGCCTGGATAACAGTACATCTGTTTACAGCATAGTTTACTCAATATTTTAAGCCCACTATTGAGATCTGCTGCTCAAAAAAAAAAAAAAAAAAAAAAAGATTCCTTTCAAAATATTACTGCTCATTAACAATGTACCTGGTCTACCAGGCATGGATCCATGAAACAAAGGGATAAGTCATTTTCAGAGTGGACAAAGCAGGACAGTCCAAGATTTCATCATGCTATAAGAACAGCACACAATTTAAAACTTGTTTATTTCTGGAAATTTCCATTTAATATTTTCTGACTGTGGTTGAGCGTGGCTTACTGAAACTGTACAAAGTGAAACAGCAGATAAATGGGAACCAGGGAACTGCTGTACTGAAGATCTCCAGTGTCCTGAGACAAAAAAGAAGGAAAGGATGGAGGGAGCCAGGGAAAGGAAGGAAGGAAAGGAAGGAAAGGAAAGAAAAGAAGGAAAGGAAGGGAGGGAAGGGAGGGAAGGGAGGAAAGGAAGGGAAGGGAAGGGAGAGAAGGGAGGGAAGGGACGGAAGGGAAGGGAGGGAAGGGTATGGAGATTGGAAAGTATATTGTATCTAGGTCACTTTATAACAAGTTATTCTTCAACTAAGTGGGTTAAAACAATAAACATTTATTATATCACAGTTTCTGTGAATAAGGAATCCAGGCACAGCTTTGCTAAGTCCTCTGGCTTAGAGTTTCTCAAAAGTCTCCAATCAAGGTGTCAGCTAGGGTAGAGTCACCTCAAGGTTTGACCAAGGGAAGATCCACTTCCAAGATCACTCGTAAAGCTGTTGGCAGGCTTCATGTCCACGCTGGCTGTTGGCCAGAGACATCAGTTCCTTGCCTGGTGGGCCTCTGAAAGGGCAGCTCACAACATGACAGCTGGCTTTCCTCAGAGCAAGCCAGGGAGAGAATAAGAAGGAAGACAAGCAAGATGGAAGCCAGAGTTTTGGAATCTAATCTGAGAAGTGATACCCCATCACTGATGATATATTCTATTATTTAGAAATGTGTCATTTTAGCTCCACCCACACTCAAGGACAGGAAATTACACAAGGCATTAAATACCAGGAGGCAAGGATCACTGAGGACAATATAGATGCTGTCTACCATGGAACGGAAAAGCAAAAGCTGTTTTTTTCCTAATACGTAGACAATGCCAAAGAATCATACTAAATGTTTAGAATTAACAAGTCTAGCAAGGTTCACTGTAAACAAAACTCAGGAAAAATCAGTTTTATACCATACAGAAGCAACAAACACTATAAGGAAATTTACAACACCAGCATTTACAAAAGAATTAAACGTCAACATTGATCAGCTGAGTAACTGTTGAAACAGGAAATGGGTACTACAGTCTTTGAAAATTTTGATACTTTTTTTAAAGTATCAAATACTTGGGAACAAATCTAACAAAAGATTTGTAAATCTTCACAGAAAAAAGCAACTTTTTTTCTCATTTATTTCAAATAAAATGGAAAGGTAAACCATGGTCATGGACTAGAAGACCTAATATTGTAGACAGCAATTCTCTGCAAATTGATTTATACATATAATACAATCAAAATTAAAAAAAAAAACTCAACAGGGTGAGTGTGTGTCTCTGCATGTGTGTGTGTGTGTATGCAGGCTTGACAATCTGATACCAAAATTTGTACAAAGACGAAAAAGTCAAAAAAATGGAAAAAAATGTTCAGCCATATTAATAATCATGGAAATGCAAAATAAAACCATAATCAGACACTATTAATAACCACCACATTGACAACATTTCAAACTCTGACGATAGCAAGTTTCGGTGAGGATATTAAACAAAAGGAGTTCTCATACACTGTTAATGGGAGCGTTAATTGGGACAACCACTTTGGATAACTGCTATTATCTATTCATCAATTTCACACTTAATTGGTGCTTATGTTTTATGATCTCTCCATAAATATGTTATATTTTTTTAAAAAAGTAATCTTAAAAAAAAAAGGAAAGAAAACAACCACATATACTTCCAAAGACAAGCAACAGGAAAAGAGATTCTGAAAAATAAACTCTACCTCGGAGTGAAAATAGAGCAGAAAGAAGAATTATTCTTGGCTCTAAACAGAATGCCAAAGTCTGAGAATGAATCCTGAAACACTAAAAATCTCCCATTACATTATGTATTTGGAATGTAAGGTGGTACCCAAACCAATAGGAATACTTTGGTCCATTTTTAAAAGCAAAATCTGCATCAGATGTAGGAGGTATTTTGCTACAAGAGAACAGGAGCAAATCTTAAGTGCAAGGAAAAATCAGTCCAAGGAGTACTGTAAGCCAATTAGTGGGTGTTGCTCTCAGCTTTCTGGGTAATTGCGCTCAGAGGAAGACTTTCAGATGCTCCATAATCCAAGTGCACCACAATTTTACAAAAGGACAAAGCAATGCTAAAAAATTGGCAAAGTGCTCACCTAAAGACCAGTCAGTACAAAAGCCCAAATCTTACTTTTCATTTTCTCATAGAAATAAATGACTGATGAAGACCATTGGCAAAGGCATTTGAGGATGCTCTCTAACTGATCTAAATAAATGCCAAAAAAGAAACACGAGGTATGGCATTTTTAAAAAAAATAAGTTTATTTACATTTCACTTACTTTCAAAAGGATGAAAATATATTTATAAAGGAAGTAGTCTCATTTTATTTAACCCATTTGCATTTGACTTAGAATCAGAGGTCTAAGGGTACCCAAAGAATTTATCCAGTTCAACTTTCCATTTTTAGCTAAGACTGAAATTATACCATTGCAGGCAGATGAAAATCTACTCCACTTATAGGTAAACATCAACTAATATATATGTTATAAAAACACTAGCTTTAGTAAAATCTGTCATAACATCCAATAAATCTGCAATAAAAGACATAGCTATCACAATATAAGACATTAAAAAATTTATGTGCAGCAATAAAAACTGGAATTTATACAGGAGAAATGATAATTGGCTACTAAGTCAATAGCATCACAGTAACAGTACCCAGTGTCTTTCTTATTCAAGTATACACGCTATTTTTAAGACTTAAAATTAAGTCTTAAGGCTATAATAAAGATATCAGTAGCTAGGATGTATATACACAATTATTTAATAAACACCATGAAAAAGAAAGCACAGAGATAAAAATACCCTTAAATTCTGTAGCAATTACAAACATGTTAACATTATCACTATATATTTGACTCATAAATTTTAACCAATTTATACACTTTAAAACTAGCATTGAGTTTTATAAAAATACTAATGGCCAAACATTTTTAAAAACTAAGGCAATCTTTATCTATATTTCAGTAGTCTTTGTTTTATGCTTTTCTTTCTTCCACCACCAAAGTCTTTCTCCTAACCACCATTCACTCAAAACAACAACAGTGGTCTCTAGCACCTGTTGCTGTGGAAGTATTATTACATTCGAAAACTTCTAGTTCTTTGAAATGGTTGGAAAGGCTTCTTTAGTGCCCACATTAGCAGCTGTGGTTTCGGTTTGGGTTTTTCAGGAAACAGAAGTGCTGCACTTTCTGGTGTAGGAAATCGTTCTTGATAGACTTCAGGATAGGATTTCTGAAACTAAAAAAATGAATGGTCCAAGAAGAGTAAAAAAAGACACATAAAAGCCAATAAAATTTGGCAGCCAAATTTTAAGAGTTTCTGAGCCTGTATTTTCCTGTTTTTGTTTATTTTTGTTAAAACATTTCATTCCAATTTCTATAGAGCTAATCCATCTTTCCTTTGATCTAAGCTTCAAATAAGTTCCCCTTTTAATCATGTTTCTGAAAATTCCCCCCACTGCCAACTATAAATAGACCTCACTTTTTATATATTCACAAGTAACTCTGACTTCAAAATAACTTCTGTTCTACACAGTTAAATAAAATTTTGGCCCAATTACATTTCATCATTTCTCTGTTTCTCCAACTCAGCCCCACCAGCTTCTGCTCAAATGGAAGAGGGAATATTCTGGTGTATATTACTTTGTGAAAAGCTTAAAAGAGAGGCAGTATACTTTCTGTTGATCTTTACCACTAAACTCTCCTCCAAAATTACTCTGAGAATAATATGATCAGAAGCCCAGAACTCTGGTGCTCTGTGTGTAATCCCACATGTACGGTGTTCCCTGAATCCAACTATGTAGAGTTCAGTCTTTAAAAACAAAAACCACTCACCTGATCATGGATCAACCTTTATGAATAGTCAAAAGTAACATATTGTGAGTTAAAAACGATTCGCTGGAACCCTAAGCTGTGTTCCCTAACATAAGAGGAACTAAAAACTTGTACTGATACCTGAGGCAAGAAACTAATTTGATAGTGGCTATCTAAAACCAACGGCTTTTAAACTCTAAACATTTTACACCTGTGAATTCCATCTGATTTGCCTTTTGAAAACATGAAAAGAAATCCACCCTCACTGATAGCTTCTCTGAGATTAAAGCAGATGCTCTGCTAATTCACATCATGCCACATACCAAAACAAAGGACAAATATTAGAGAATAGCTCCAAAAATGAAGAGTTTGGCAATGGTAACAGATTTACACTGAAGAATAAAGATCTAGGATACTGACCACAAGTGTGTAAATCAGTGAGACTTCTAGAATGTATGAACTAATATACTTAGAAAACTGCTATGGCTCAGAAGATGAGATTTACATGAAGCCTATTAAAATAAAAAAAAAAACATAAAAACAGTAGGGAGGAGAAAAAATGGCTTATAAAGAATATCCTTTTACCTGCTTCAGTTTCTTCTTTTTCTCTTTGTTGGAGAGTTTGGCATCTGTTATGACTTCCTCCAACAAGGCTGCCAGAGGTTCCTGAGAGCCATATGATCTTTGATATTCAAATTCCTCTGGACTAATTTGACGGCAAAATGATGGAGCAGATAAAGTGATATCCATATCAGCTCCTGGGTATTTTATCTGAGGCAAAAGGATTAGTAGTGAAAGAATATAGCATATTTTCAAATAAATTATAAGAATTAGTTTAGATCAAATACAGGATATCTCCTTGTACCGTAGCAATGCCATGTTAGTCCTCAAAATTTGATTGGGGGAAACTCTATATTGAAAAGTAAAAGTATTTCCATAACTTCAAAATATTATTATTTAAAGCCACGGTTTTAAATTGGATTTTTACCTTTGTAAACCCAAGAGCCATTTCAATAACAAAAAAAGCTTGTGCCCTCGTTGGGAACAGGCCCCAAAACTGGCCATAAACAAAATCTCTGCAGCACTGTGACATGCTCGTGATGGCCTTGATGCCCATGCTGGAAGGTTGTCCGTTTACAGGAATGAGGGCAAGGAACACCTGGCCCACCCAGGGCGGAAAACCGCTTAAGGCATTCTTAAACCACAAACAATAGCATGAGCGATCTGTGCCTTAAAGACATGTTCATGCTGCAGATAACTAGCCAGAGCTCTTCCCTTTATTTCACCCACCCCTTTATTTCCCATAAGGAATACTTTTAGTAAATCTTATGACTGGCTTGCTGTCAATAAATATGTGGGTAAATCTCTGTTCAAAGCTCTCAGCTCTGAAGGCTGTAAGACCCCTGATTTCCCACTCCACATTCTATATTTGTGTGTGTGTGTGTGTGTGTCTTTAATTCCTCTAGGGCCACTGGGTTAGGGTCTCCACGACCGAGCTGGTCTCGGCATTCCCTCTTTTAACAAGATCTGAAATTCAAGCATAAATTAAACACATTGACTAAAATGATTCAAAACATTGATAATGTTGGATATCCACTGGAACTATCCAGGCGCATTCCCACATCTGAAGAGTGTGATTCTCAATGCCTTGGGGATGGTAGTGGCATGCATTTAGCTAAGCTTTTAGGAAGAGAGGGGTACTACAATCATTTCCTAACATCTTACCCATGAGAATCAAGTAAAACAACAAAGGTGCAGACATTGCAGAAGGGATAAGGGAGAAGAGAGAAATAAGAGGAAAAAGGAAACCAAGGCCTGTGAATAAATGAACATACATTAAAAATATTTAATTTCAGAGCCTGGAGTCCTTTGAAATAGAAGGTTGCAGATGAGGATCATAGAAGGCTTGTGTCAAAAACATTGCCTACCTAATAATGTATCCCAGGGTCAGCCCTGAAACTGTCCTAAAACAATCACTGGAATAATCCAAGCAACACTGCATTTTCAGAGAAGCACTCCCCTAAATGTGATACAGTGTAGAGGCTTAGGAGCCTAATCAAAAGAACAAAGATCTATAGGTTCTGAGGGCTGAATGGAACAGGTGCTTGGCAATTCTAATATGTACTTGCAAGAGAGAAAAGGTAACTGGACAAATGAATCACTACTGATTTTATTCAGAGCACACTGCAGTGTCTCTTAACAAGATCATGTTTACCTGCAGTTAAATTAATCACCATAGCTCAGCCTTCTGAACTTCAAGTAATAGCAAAGGGCTCACAAGGCTAAGTTACTACAATATATGCCTGTGCTATGCATGTGAATACACAAACCTAGCAAGTATACAGGGCAACACAGTTATTGCTTGATATTGTTTGGCTGTGTCCTCACCCAAATCTCATCTTGAAATGTAGTTCCCATAATCCCCTTGCTGTGGGAGATGGGAGGTAACTGAATCACAGGGTGGTTCCCCCCATGCTGTTCTTATGATAGTGAGTGAGTTCTCATGAGATCTGATGGTTTTATGAGGGGCTTTTCTCCCTTTTGCTCGGTGCTTCTCTCTCCTGCTGCCTCATGAAGGATGTGTTTGCTTCCCCTTCTGCCATGATTGTAAGTTTCCTGGGGCCTCCCCAGCCATGCTGAACTCTGAGTCAATGAAACCTCTTTCCTTTACAAATTACCCAGTCTTGGGTATGTCTTTATTAGCAGCATGAGAGCAGACTAATACACTGCTATAACATTTCCTTGCAGAAACTTGGTGAAGTATTTCTGTTCATTTTTATTTTCTTTAGGGTTGGCTCATAAAAATATCAGAGGAAAAAATTAAACTAAAACAGCAGTTAAAATTACACTTTTCACCCATGCAAGTGGCAAAGATATATACAAGTGTTAATGATAATATCCAAAGTAGGCAAAGGGGCAAAGAAATGAACACTCTCTTATACCACTGACAGAAATGTAAATTGAAATGATCATTCTAAATTTGGCAATATGCTATAGATACTTAAAATATGTTCATGGCCTTTGGCCAAGCAATGCTGCCCCTAGGAGTTTATTCTTAAAAAATAATCACAGATTAGCCAAAAAAAATCTACCTTTAAAAATATTTACTGCTATATTGCTTCCAAAATGGGGGAAAGCATGAAAACAATCTAAATACCAACCAAAAAGTATCATTTAAATAAATTATGGTATATCCATATTATGGAATACTATGTTGCCAATAATATTATTATGGAATAATATAACAATAATGATGATACCAACAACAAAGGCAGCTACTAATTGTAGGTTTACAATGTGATAAACATTATTGTGAGCATTTCACATGTATTAAGCCCACATGTATTTTAATCACATGTTTTAATTCCCCAGAAAAACTCTATGAGGTAAATATTAACTACTATTATTCCCATTTTACAGATGAGAAAAAGAAATGTTGGGACAGATGTTGAAGCACAGACATGTTATATAATTTGCCTAAGGTGACACAGCTAACAAAAGGCATGTCATGAATTCAAAGGCTCCTGAGTCTGTGCTCTTGGCCATTCTCATGCCAATCAACAATATTTAATGATGGGGGAATTTTTTTCTCATTGTTAACAGAATGTAAGTGGCAGGAAGGGAGGCAGGCAGGAAGGGAGGCAGGCAAGAAGGAAGCAGGGAAGGTGGGAAGGAGGGAAGGAAGGAAGGGAGGGTGGGGAGGGAAGAGAGAGGGAAGAAAGTAAGGTAGGCATGGACATAGACAGCAGACAGACACAGAAAAAAAAATCTGAAAGACTATATTACTGACTATGAACATTTTAGTGTAACTCTGATACTTTTTGGTGTGTTTTTTCTATATTTCCCAAGTTTCTTCAATGTGTTAGGTTGATAATTGCAAAAAAATAGAAAAAATTTTAATTTTAAAATTGCCTTCTAGAAACAGCTGGACAATTAATTATTTTTGTAATACCTCAGAAGGAGGCAGTTCACTGGTCCTTGATTGTGGTGCCTCAAAAAGATCTCAAATGAGAAGAGGTCCAATCAGTCAGAAGGAGTCAAGTGGACCTTCTGCCTGCCTTTACCAGGTTTCTGCTCCCACAGGCTGACATACAAACCCCACTTTGGGGTCCACACGATAATAATATATTATATTTCTTTTGCATTGTTTTTATATAACCACCATGACAACAGCAGCAGCTACCTTTCAAAGAATACCTGACATATGTCAGAAATTCATCCTAGGAATTGTAAAGTACAGTGTTCTAATCTTCACAACTTTATAAAGAAAGAATAGCCCATTTTAACGCCTGAGGAAAGAAAGTAAAATCCAAAGCGGTTAAGGGACTTGCCCAGAGTCACACGACAGAAAGGATACAGCTAGGAATTTGGCCAGGGATTCATGGCTCTCATGCCAGTGTTCTTCTACTGTACTATGATTTTTAGACAGGCAATATGGAATGATAGTTTAGAGCACTGATTACAGAGGCTGACTGCAACAGTCAGAATTCTGGCTCTGTGGCCTTAAGCGAAGTTATTTAAGTTCTTTGTGCCTTAGCTTTTTCATGCAAAAAGTGGGAATATTAAACTAGGTCACAGGGCAATTATGAATCAAGACACTTACTGCACATAAAATCATTTCCATCAGTAGGTGTATGTAGATTCTAAACAAACTCATTCAAGGAATTAGCAATAAAAAATATGCCACATGGATTGATACACAAAACCAAATGTGCATTCTGTAAACTTTTCAATGATAATACAAACACATGCAGGGGATTACTATGTGCCAAGACCTGTTGTAAGTACTTTATAAACATTAATTCACTTAATCCTCATAATAAAATGCCCCAAGAAGCCTAGCAAGCTTACGTGACTTTATATTGCCAATTTCATAGAACTGATAATATCCTCTCCTTTACCTGGACTCTTCGTAGATGAGCCACACGCTCCTCTATAGAGGTCTGCAAGGCCAAAGGGACTTTCAGAATTTCCTGGTAATTGTCCATCAGAAACGTTACCAATCTAGCAGCTAATAACTCATCCAAGTCCACTTCATCCTTGGAACACAAGATGCAACGGGAAAATGTCTGAACCATCTAAAAAAAGAGCGGGGTGGGGGGTAAACGCAGATGAGTATTTTTCTGAACTGAGTGCAATCTAATTTGCAAAAGGCAAATATGAGAAATGGTCTAAGGCACAGGGTGCATATTCTACCAAGAGTACCCAGCCATCTCAGATGGGTTGACGGTCTCAACAACCAGAACAAACAAAATGTGCATCTTCCTGTTAAGAGACTGCAGAGAGATGCTTATCTGAGCAATTTTTAAACCTCCTTTTACACGATTTTAAATATACATATATATATATATATATATACACACACATACACACATATAAATATATGAAAACAAATTTTGAAAATCATTATCACCATGACTTGAATCATGTAGCACTACTAAGTTCAAAGCACTTTATAGCCATTTAGTCAATTATTATTTATCCTAATTTCATTATTGATTTGTTTTAAACCGCTAACACAGTCCACATGCCTCAACCATTACATCTTTTCCTAGTTAGCTTATTTTCTCTAGGATTTTCGATGTATATTTGACAATCATCTTTGAACAAAGCCATGGGACTTTTCAAGAAGTACATTAAGTGATGAGACTCTCTTTGAGGCAAGCAGAAATGCAAAATATATTATAGCATCAATGTAATAATTTCCATAGAATTGAAATTAACTATTCTTTTTTTTTTTTTTTTTTTTTTTACGGAGTCTCGCTCTGTAACCTATGCTGGAGTGCAATGGTGTGATCTTGGCTCACTGTAACCTCCGCCTCCCAGGTTCAAGCAATTCTCCTGCCCCAGCCTCCCGAGTAGCTGGGATTACAGGCGCCTGCCACCATGCCCAGCTAATTTTTGTAATTTTAATAGAGACGGGGTTTCACCATGTTGGTCAGGCTGGTCTAGAACTCCTGACCTCAGGTGATCCACCTGCCTCGGCCTCCCAAAGTGCTGGGATTACAGGAGTGAGCCACCACGCCCAGCCTAACTACTCCATTCTTAATACTGTTCTTTGGACTGGCTTTTGTTTTGTTTTGTTTTTTCCTACTACTTTTATCGCTGACAATCTTCCTTCAAAATCTTTAAGCAAAAAATCATGTAATTCTGCTTAGTAACACTTCATTAACACACTGCAAATGATCTTCACTTACATTTACATGTACAGAGAGACACACAGGCAGAGAATTTTTTGCCTGGAGACCATGGACCCCAGGGACTCTGTGATCGCCTTGAAACTGCATGCAAAGTTTTGCATGTGTATTTTATATGCAGAATAGATATAAAGTTTTCTTCAGCTTTTCAAAAAGGTCTATTAGCCTCTCTAACCATCCACTCACTCCAAAAAAATATAGAGATCAAGAATCCTACTGGGCACTAAGTGCTCCTCTGATCTCACTCTATTACTTCTAAAACTGGGCCAGTGAATCCCCAGGGAGTACACGGTGTTTTAACAGGATATGGAAAGCACATACATTCCACTGAAGCACCAGTTTTGCTCAAAGACATTTTTTGAGGAAAATCAAGAGATTTTGCTAGTAAGTAAATTCTAAAATAAACTCTCTTTAAAAACATATGCCAATAGAAGCAGAGATTAGATGGTAGGTACCACAGGCTGGGGGATACAGGGACATGGAAATAGATGTTGGTCAAAGGGTACAAAGATCCAGTGAGACAGGAGGATCAAGTCTTAATGCTCTAGTGCACAGCACGGTGACGACAATTATAATAATATATTGTATATTTCAAAATTGAGAAAAGAATAGATTTTTAATGATCTCATTACAAAAAAATGATAAGTTGGTATGGTAATGAATCTGTTAATTAGCTTGATTGACTCTATAATGTATACATGAATTAAAACATCACATATGCAATTATTAGTTGTCAATTAAGAATAAATTTAAAATAATTTTAAGTGGGAGAACAGGATGTAGCAGATCTCTCTACAGAGTCTGCCCCTACTCAAGTCTCCATTTCTCATTATGTTCTTTAAGACACTTAGAACAAAAGCACGACACAAGTCTGGGTGGACACTGACTGTGGCTCTTTTAAGCAAGTCTGCTTTGTACTTCCCTCTGATCACCCAAACTAATACACCTTACTCAGTCGACTTTCATTCCAAAAAGTCATACCTGATGTTAAAAATCAACCTACCAGTGTTCGGGTACCAAAGCCATCACACAGGGGTGGCATCTCTTTGTTTAAGCAAATCCTTGCCATCATCCTCATCAATAGCTGTAACTTTCTCCTATTTTCAGGAGGTAGGAGAAGGCAGCAAATCTGAAATGCTTCAACTGCCACTTTCTCCTTCTGTAACAAACCTGATTTAGAAAAAAAAAAATGTTATCTTTCAACACCTATAGCCTAGTAGATTCTATATGGTTGTATTTTAACAAAATATATATTAGTAAAATTACATAAAATATTTTCACATATTCAACTATACTGGGTCAATTGAATATAGATCCATTGTCACTCACAAATCACTATAGAAAATACAAACCATCAACCAGGCATGACAAATATATAGAACCAAATACAGCCATTTTCTCCTCCCATACACTAGACAGATATATCTCAATTTTCATAGCACTCTTTCCCGAACCAGGAGCAGCCAGGCTAACACTATCATAACCCTCAACACTCACGTTGTTAATAAGTCCAAAATAGCAAGAACGTGAACGTGTCATCACTCCCCTGAATTCTCCCCTCTGTATTATTTCCTCATTATCAGCAGGCTCACCACCTTGCATGACTCTCAGTGACTAAATAAAGGACTGATGCCCACATAGTCAGTCCACTGCCAAATGGCTCCCCTTCTTTCTAAATAATGCCTTTCAAATAACCCTTCTTTCCACTTAGGCTATCTTTCTTAGTTAAGTGTGCTGATTCAATCATGTTATATGCCATCCTTCCTCATCTCAGGTATGATTTTGCTAAAAGTTAGGATATTCTAGCCAGGCACAGTGGCTCACGCCTGTAATCTCAGCACTTTGAGATGCTGAGATGGGAGGATCACTTGAGGCCAGGAATTTGAGACCAGCCTGGGCAACATAGTGAGAACCCATTTCTACAAAAAAAAAAAAAAAAAAAAAAAAAAAAAATTTAATTAGCCGCCATGGTGGCACACACCAGTAGTCCTAGCTATTCAGGAAGCTGAAGGAGGAGAACTGTTTGAGCCCAGGAGTTTGAGGTTACAGTGAGCCATAATGGCACCAGCCTGGGCAACACAGCAAGACCTGTCTCTTTTTTTTTTTTTAAAGGATATTATAATATTGCTCTCTTTTTTACTATATTTGTCCCTGGACATACTTATATCCAAGCCCTCTAATGAGGTAAAACTGCTTCTATCAGTTTATCTGTCCTATATCCAACCATTTCAAGTTACCACTAGTCTTTGGAAGGCAAAAAACATCTTTTACATTGAATAAGTATTTACTGACCATCTACAATATACAAGAACTGCGCTAGATCCCAGAAATACAAAGATATACCAGGCCTCTTCCTTTGAAGAGCTTATGCACTGTGAGGAGAAACCCATAAACAAATAAGTGACAAATGAAAAGCAATGCAAGAAATATCTGCAAGGGCCACAGGAGGGGAACTATAAGCCACTCAGTATGACATGCAGTTATGAGGGGAATGACTTGGTAGAAGTAAAGCTAGAAAGATCAACAGAGATGAGGTCTCAGAAGGCCCTGACTGCCAGAGGAAGGAGATTGGGTTTGATCCCAAAGGCAGTGGATGTGCATGGACGGGAAAGGAGGGCAGAAGACAGATCTTTTCTAGACCAAGTGCTGATCCTAGACGTACTCAGGAATGCTGTTGATTATATCACTATCATCTATGTAGACCTGTTTTCAATTCCACATCATCAAATCATGGAAAGAAAAAAGGTTTATGATAATATTTTAATATATTCTTTCATTTACCCAACAAATATTTATGAACCCCCACCTGTATTCCAGGAACTGTATTAGGAGGGGACATGCAGTGAGGAATAAAGCAAAATCCCTGTGTGATCTCATGGAGCTTGTTTTCCAGAAGATAAAAAGCAAAAAGATATAGAAATACAAGGTCAGGCAGAAAGATGCTATGGAGAAAAATACACTGGAGAGGAGCTGGGGAGTGAGGGGATGTGCTCCAAAAAAAACACTTCTATCATTTTCAGGAAGGCCCTCTCTAAGGAGGTAACATGTGAGCAGAGATCCAAAGGAAATGAGAGCAAGCCAGGGAAATACTGCAGAGACAAACTTTCAAGGTGGAGGGAATGGCAATTACAAACATTGTAATGTGAGAGCATGCTGGGAGTGTGTGACGTACAGGAATGCGTCCAGCATCAAGAGACAGTGTGTGTAAGGAAAACACAAGTCAGAAATCAGGTTAGAGAGGCAGCCAAGGGGGCAGATCATGCAGAACTTTGTAGGCTATATCATTAAAGACTGAGGGGTTCATTATAAATGACCTGAGAAACCACTGGTGGGTTCTGAACAGAGGAGTCACTTGATCTGAATTGCTTTTTACTGTGGCACCTGTATAGCAAATAGATTGCAAGGGGAAAGCAGGGAAAAAGGAAGACACACAGTATGCTGATGGTCTGAATGGGGACGTAGCGGTTGAACTGGTAATAACTAGTTAAATTCTCTTTCTCCACAAAGCCATCTAGTTTTTCTGTAAAGCCTTCTATCTCATTGTCCCACAAATCCCTTCTTTTTCCAAATTAAAAATCCCTTTGCAAAGGCAGATTTCACCTTATCCTTACTGCATTGTATCTACATTGCTTTATGAATGAGACTACAAGCTAACCGAAAGCATAATGCATTTATTTTGGCAAGCCACATTTCCTAGTATAATACAAGGCAAACAGATAAACACTCAAATACCTATTTATCAATAGACTATATATTATATTATATTATATTTATTATATTATATTATGTTAATTATTAGCCAGTATTATATGGCTACTAAATGATAATTTTTGAAGTTATGCAACAATATTAGTAGTACAATATTTTTAAAAAATAAAAGCATGCTGATTATAAAGCCTTTATGAAAAATAATGTATTAAAAAAGAAATATATTTTAAAATTAAGAGTACCTCAGGGCTGTAAAATATCAGAATTCTATAAAAGAAATTTAAAAATTTCTTTGTGAGGATGCTATTAAACAAATATGTAAAAATTATATCCATTATATCTTTTCAAAAAATTATTACTAAACTCTAAACAACCAGTTGCTTGCCAAACTTAGAGTAGATAATAATTTCAGACTTTATGAAAATTAAATGAGGCTAGGCATGGTGGCTTACACCTATAATCTCAGCATTTTGGGAGGCCAAGATGGAAGGATCACCTGAGGCCAGGAGCTTAAGACCAGCCTGGACAACATAGCAAAATCCCATCCCTACAAAAACATTAAAAAATTAGATAGGCATAGTGGTGCATGCTTGTGGTCCTAGCTACTCAGAAGACTGAGGCAAGAGGATCACTTGAGCCTATGAGTTTGAGTCTGCAGTGAGCTATAATTGCACACTGCACTCCAGCCTGGGCAAAAGAGCAATACCCTGGGAAAGGAAAAGGAAAGGGAAAGGGAGAAAGAAAGAAAAAGCAAAAAAGAAATCAAGCAAGAAGGCATAGGTAAATTCATCTCAGGAATTTATCTACAGAAACCTACATACTGGGTGATAAGCGACCATCCTTGACTCATAAACATCCCAATAACTCAACCTTCCTGTGAGACCAGGGCCTCCCTTTTCCTCCCTCCTGTCACTGATCCCAGCTGGGACTCCTCTACGATTTCTTCCAACTGTCAACCTTCCTATTTCCTGTGAAAACAGAAGCCTATGCTACTATCTCTTCCTCCTTTAAATCCATAATCATTCCCCAAGATCATCCTCCTGCTTCTAGCAGTGGAGGAGCCACTATCAGTATCTTTAATGGAAGCAAGTCTCTGCCGCACAATATTGGATAATGTGGAAGGAGAGGGAGTTGCTTACTCCCAAAGCTAAAAGAGCAGCATGAAAGGATGAGGTTCCTGTCACCTGCAGCTGGAGCATGGAATACAGTTTACCAGACTGGGGAGAAAACCCACTGTAAGGACTGGTTAGGTCTATAACACTACTAGATTTGAACCACAGTTGAGCTACATAATGAATTAAGTAGGACTCTGTAAGTTGATCTTGTAATTTAGCTATCTTTTATAGCAATGTTCTGAGTAGTGGGGAGAGAGGAGAAGAGCAGAACACTTGTTCCAGGCTACCTGCTTGGAAAGGCTTGGGACAAAACCTATTATTTTGACATAATTTATGAGATAAAATTGAAAAATTAATTCATATCTCCCTCCAAAGAGGTATAAAATTGGTATGCCCAATTCCATTTACCTGCTTACTTTTTTCCAAGTATACATTACTACCACTTAATATACTACAGAATTTACTTATTATGTTATCTGCCATTGTTTCCCCTCTGCCCTACTGGAATGTAAGCTCCACAGGGTAGGGGTTCTTATCATTTTCATTTGTTGATATGCCTCCCATGGCTAGAAAAATACCTGGTACATCATAGGTACCAACACATTTCTGTGTAAAGAATGAATGAATGAATGATATGAATGAATGAATACATGAATGAAGGATAAGAATGACCCATCTCTTATTGGGATTGTAGCCAGAATATCTGGATTAAATCCCAGCTCTCACCGATTGTGGACAAGTCAACCTTCATAAATCAGAAAATGGTGTCAATAGTCATAAAACCAAATCAATGTACTACACTGGGTATCCATGGGCTATATAGAGGAGTCAAGTGAACTAAAAGTTTCAGTGGCATCAATCATAGCTACTACTATCTTAAAGCATTAAAACTAACATCAGGAGGAAGATACAACATGAATCACATACAACTTTGGCTAGATTTTCTTTAAAATCTGGTTAAGAAATATATTGTGCACTAATAGATAAGATTAAATTTGGCTCCGGGCCTCACAACAATAGCAGGTAAAATTCCACAATGTCCCAACACAAGCATATTATTGAATAATAAATCATTTAATTATACCCTCCTAAACCCTAATTACCTAAACATTTGTAGAACCACATTACATAGTATGGAAGAAGATATAAACTTATGTAAACATCATCCACATATTATGTTTTTGTAAAATTCACCATGTGTAATTCAGAAAGCCTCTGTCACAGTTATTACTCTGTGAGTCACTGGAAGATTTTCAGGCTTGCATTATTATTACATACAAAAAGATATGTCTCATTCCCTGGTGTTAGAATGTCCTATACAACTCAAACTTTTTTGATTTTTCAGCTGAAAGTTTGTAGATGTTTTTGTTAGCTTCAGTGAGAGAACTATCTTTGCAGTTGCCATTTGATAGTTGGCTCCTTGTTATAGATTACCGAAGTCTTTATTGGAGTCACCTATTAATATACAGGTATAACCTCGTTTTACTGCACTTCACTTTAGTTGCTTTGCAGGTATTATGTTTTTTACAAATTGAAGTTTTGTGGCAACCCTGTGTTAATCAAGGCTATCACCACCATTTTTCCAACAACATGGGCTCACACCATGTCTCTGTATCACATTTTGGTAATTCAGAATATTTCAATTTTTTAATTATTATTTTATCTATTATTATGACCTATGATCAATAAGTAATCTTTGCTGTTACTACTGTAAGTGTTTGGGGGAACCACACAATATGCCCATAAGACTGTGAACTTAATCAACCAATGTGTGTGTTCTGACTGCTCCACCAACAGGTGGTTCCCCTGTCTCTCTCCCTCCCTTTGGGCCTCTCTATTCCCTCAGACACAACAATATTGAAATTGGGCCAATTAATAACCCTACAATGGCCTCTAAGTGTTCAAGTGAAAGAAGAGTCACACATCTGTCACCTTAAATCAAAAGAAACTATTGACCTTAGTAAGGGTGGCAGGTCAAAAGCTGAGAGAAGTCACAAGCTAGGCCTCTGGTGCCAAACAGCCAAGTTATGAATGCAAAGAAAAGTTCTTGAAAGAGACTAAAGTGCCACTCCAGTGAGCACACAAATGATAAAGCAGTGAAACAGCTGTGTTGCTGATAGGGAGAAAGTTTGAGTGGCCTAGATAGAAGATCCAACCAATCACAACATTTCTTTAAGCCCCACCCTAACCTAGAGAAAAGTCCTAACTCTTCAATTCTATAAAGGCTGAGGGAGGTGGGGAAACTACAGAAGAAAACCTGGAATCTAGCAGAGGCTGGTTTATGAGGTTTGAGGAAAGAGGCTGTCTTCATAACATAAAAGTGCAAGGTGAAGCAGCAAGGGTTAATGTAGAAGCTGCAGCAAGTTATCTAGAAAATCTAGCTAAGATCATAATGAAAGTGGCTACATTAAACAACAGATTTCCAATGTAGACAAAAACAGCCTTTAATGGGAGAAGATGCCATCTAGGACATTTGTAACTAGAAGGGAGAAGTCGATATTTGGCTTCAAAGCTTGAAAGGACAGCCTGGCTCTCTTGTTAGGGGCTAATACAGCTGGTGACTTGAAGTTGAAACCAGTGCTCCTTTACCATTCCAAAAATCCTAGGGCCCTTAAGAATTATGCTACATCTGGCTGGGTGCAGTGGCTTATGCCTGTAATCCTAGCACTTTGGGAGGCTGAGGTGAGTGGATCACCTGAGGTCTGGAGCTCAAGTCCAGCCTGGCCAACATGGTGAAACCTTATCTCTACTAAAAATACAAAAATTAGCCAGGCATGGTGGCATGTGCCTGTCGTCCCAGCTATTTGGGAGGCTGAGGCAGGAGAATTGCTTGAGCCCAGGAAGTGGAGGTTGCAATGAGCCAAGATTGTGCCGCTGCACTCCAGCCTGGGCAACAGCACAAGACTCCACCTAAAAAAAAAAAAAAAAATAGAATTATGCTACATCTATTCTACCTGTGTTCCAGAAATGACAACACATGGTTTAGTGAAGATTTTAAGCCCACTGTTGAGATCTGCTCAAAAAAAAAAAAAAAAAAAAGAATAGTAAGTAATAGTAAGTAATCAGTGTTACTTTCCTGATTTTTATGCTTGTCTGAGGGTCCTGCAGGGAAGTGACCTAGTTTGTAGGAAAAACACACAGAAGTATTTATAGGTGATAGAACATTTGATTAGCAATTTACTTTCAAATGGTTCAGAAAAAAAAAAAAAAAAAAGGTCTTTGGACTGTGCTATAGCCGTTCTTGTAAACTGGAGATTGTTAGAAAATTTAAAAATTTGTTTAAAAGAGAAATGGTGAAAGGTCTGAGGGAATGCAAGGTCACATGCGAGCTAAGAATAGTGTTATGAATACTCTAAGGATGTCAATCATATTGTTCTGGTTTCCATCATTGCCACAAATAACTGAAGGATATAAAATAAAAGTGTGACAGCTGGGAGATATCGTCACTCTTCTAAGCTTCTCTTGTGCTATACACACACAGGAGCAACATGCTACTTTTTAAATGCATTGCTTTTTTGTAGTCTTCATTATGCTTCTCTTCTCATGAGATATTCATTGCGAGATTTCAATTTCTCTAAATCGATTTGAAGGCCATGATTTGACCCTTACAAAGTCTGCATAACAAAAACACATTTTAAAATAGGGTGCTAAGATAGGGCAACTATGGACAAATAAACTGTGAATCTTCAGCTTTAAGGGGGCCTACTTCAAAAACAGTGGAGCCAGAAGGGGCTGCTGATTTGTCACGGAAGAGAAGCAGTTTGGGTTTGTGAAAGATAGTAGACTCATGGAAATATTCAACAGGAAGATGATGATAGCAGCTCTGGAATTTAGGGGACAGGTCAACACTTGAAATATATACTTGAGAATCATTAATGTATTCATTCAACGAAGGTTTGAAAAGAGCATAAAATGTTCTAGGACTGTGCTAAGATCTGAGAATCCCAAAACAGTGAGACAAAGATCTTGTTATCAAGAAGCTCACAGTCTGGAGAAGAAGATGAACGAACAGAAGCCATCACAAAGCAATGTGGAAGACAACAATAGAGATGTGTCAAGGGGATATCATGGAAACCCCAAGGAGACTGACAGGTAATCGATAATGATCTGCCTCAGGAATATTAAAATATAATAGCCATAAGAGGAAGTTACTTTTTTAAGTCTGTATTTGAATACTTAATACAATGTCACAGAAACACACAGAAGTCATTCAACAACTATTTCCTCAAAATGAGATGAACTAAGACAGTCCATGAAAAAAGGTTGTTACATATGTATTTGTGTGTGTGTGTGTGTGTGTGTGTGTGTGTGTGTGTGTGTATACATAAAAAACAGATGTAGGGTCATTGTTTTGCCATTAATTGGGTCTGAGGTTTTAAGCATTCCTGTATGACCACCCAAGAGATTACTTATTGATATATTTCAATCAGTTAAGTTCTTTGTACCAGTGATACTTAGTCACAAATTGCACCTATGTTGTACTTTCAGTTTTCAAGTCTTACAGGAACCATTCTCTGCTACACCTCTGTGGTCCAGGGGATGAAAGGGATTTACACCTTTGTAAATCTTTCCTTCCTTTCTCTTTCACTCCTATAAAAGAGGGCAACAGAAGTCTGAACTTGTTTGTTTAAACTCCACCAAATCTTTCTGAGCATGGTTCTAAAAGCAGCACCATGCGTTTCCCCATCTGAGCCTTGATTTTATCTTTTCTGACTGTAGAGCGGTCATGCTCATAGTTAACAAATAAACAACCCAACTTTTAAAAATCACTTTAATTTCTGTGAGTTTTGGGGTGTTTTTATTTTTTTACACTTTCTTTCTAGTTTCTGTCTTCCTCCAATTGTCTCTGTTTTGTTTTGTGTTTTGTTTTGTTTAAGAGACAGGGTCTTGCTTTATTGCCTGGGCTAGGTTCAAGGGATCCTTCTGCTTCAGCCTTCCAAGGAGATGGAACTACAAGCATGTGCCCCAACACCCTGCTAATCCATTCAGTTTTGTAAAGTTTGTTTATATTTGTTTATGTTTCTAAGCCCCTGCTTAATCTCTTCTCTTTTTTTTAATTTATCATATGATAGGAATTTTTTAATATTTAGATGTAATATGTTTATTAAATAATGTTGTATTTCCCTTTCAACTGGATATGAGTACTGCATTTATTTATCAAAATATGAAATGTTAGGTTTTTTAAAGTTATTATTAGCAGGCCAGGCATGGTGGCTGATGCCTGTAATCCCAGCACTTTGGGCAGCCAAGGCGGGTGGATCACCTGAGGTCAGGAGTTCGAGACCAGCCTGGCCAACATGGCAAAACCCTGTCTCTACTAAAAATACAAAACATAGCCAGGCATGGTGGCACATGCCTGTAATTCCAGCTACTCAGGAGGCAGAGACAGGAGAATCACTTGAACCTGGGAAGCAGAGGTTGCTGTCAGCCAAGATCATGTCACTGCACTACAGCCTGGGTGACAGAGCAAGACCCTGTCTCAAAAATAAATAAATGAATAAATAAATAAACAAAGCTATTATGAGCAAAGTTATGAAGAACAAAACCACCACTGCAGCTAATACTTCATGCACATACATGACTTTTTACTCAAATTAATACTTGAATAAAATGAATCAAAGGCATCCCAAGTTTAAAATCTCAAAAGTAGGGGGGATGGAACCAAGATGGCCAAATAGGAACAGCTCCAGTCTACAGTGCCCAGCGTGAGCAACGCAGAAGACGGGTGATTTCTGCATTTCCAACTGACATAACGGGTTCATCTCACTGGGGAGTGTCGGACAGTGGGTGCAGGACAGTGGGTGCAGCACACCAAGCGTGAGCCAAAGAATGGTGACGCATCGCCTCACCTGGGAAGCACAAGGGGTCAGGGAATTCCCTTTCCTAGTCAAAGAAAGGGGTGACAGACGGCACCTGGAAAATCGGGTCACTCTCACCCTAATACTGCACTTTTCCAACAGTCTTAGCAAATGGCACACCAGGAGATTATATCCCGTGCCTGGCTCGGAGGGTCCTACGCCCACGGAGCCTTGCTCATTGCTAGCACAGCAGTCTGAGATCAAACTGCAAGGTGGCAGCCAGGCTGGGGGAGGGGCGCCCACCATTGCCCAGGCTTGAGTAGGTAAAGCAGCCGGGAAGCTTGAACTGGGTGGAGCCCACTGCAGCTCAAGGAGGCCTGCCTGCCTCTGTAGACTCCACCTCTGGGGGCAGGGCATAGCCAAACAAAAGGGAGCAATAACCTCTGCAGACTTAAATGTCACTGTCTGACAGCCTTGAAGAGAGTAGTGGTTCTCCCAGCACGCAGCTTGAGATCTGAGAATGGACAGACTGCCTCCTCAAGTGGGTCCCTGACTCCCGAGTAGCTTAACTGGGAGGCACCCCGCAGTAGGGGCTGAATGACACCTCACATGGCCGGGTACTCCTCTGAGAAAAAACTTCCAAAGGAACGATCAGGCAGCAACATTTGCTGTTCACCAATATCTGCTGTTCTGCAGCCTCTGCTGCTGATACCCAGGCAAACAGGGTCTGGAGTGGACCTCCAGCAAACACCAACAGACCTGCAGCTGAGGGTCCTAACTGTTAGAAGGAAAACTAACAAACAGAAAGGACATCCACACCAAAACCCCATCTGTACGTCACCATCATCAAAGACCAAAGGTAAATAAAACCACAAAGATGGGGGAAAAACAGAGCAGAAAAACTGGAAACTCTAAAAATCAGAGCACCTCTCCTCCTCCAAAGGAACGCAGCTCCTCAGCAGCAACAGAACAAAGCTGGATGGAGAATGACTTTGACGAGTTGAGAGCAGAAGGCTTCAGATGATCAAACTACTCTGAGGTAAAGGAGGAAGTTCGAACCCATGGCAAAGAAGTTAAAAACCTTGAAAAAAAATCAGACGAACGGCTAACTAGAATAACCAATGCAGAGAAGTCCTTAAAGGACCAGATGAAGCTGAAAACCACAGCACAAGAACTACATGATGAATGCACAAGCCTCAGTTGCTGATTCGATCAAATGGAAGGAAGGGTATCAGTGATGGAAGATCAAATGAATGAAATGAAGCGAGAAGTTTACAGAAAAAAGAATAAAAAGAAACGAACAAAGCCTCCAAGAAATATGGGACTATGTGAAAAGACCAAATCTATATCTGATTGGTGTACCTGAAAGTGACGGGGAGAATGGAACCAAGTTGGAAAAAACTCTTCAGGATATTATCCAGGAGAACTTCTCCAATCTAGCAAGGCAGGCCAACATTCAAATTCAGGAAATACAGAGAACGCCACAAAGATACTCCTCAAGAAGAGCAACTCCAAGACACATAATTGTCAGATTCACCAAAGTTGAAATGAAGGAAAAAATGTTAAGGGCAGCCAGAGAGAAAGGTCAGGTTACCCACAAAGGGAAGCCCATTAGACTAACAGCTGATCTCTCGGCAGAAACCCTACAAGCCGGAAGAGAGTGGGGACCAATATTCAACATTCCTGAAGGAAAGAATTTTCAACCCAGAATTTCATATCCAGCCAAACTAAGCTTCATAAGTGAAGGAGAAATAAAATCCTTTACAGACAAGCAAATGCTGAGAGATTTTGTCACCACCAGGCCTGCCCTAAAAGAGCTCCTGAAGGAAGCACTAAACATGGAAAGGAACATACGGTACCAGCCACTGCAAAATCATGCCAAATTGTAAAGACCATCGAGGCTAGGAAGAAACTGCATCAACTAACAGGCAAATTAACCAGCTAACATCATAATGACAGGATCAAATTCACACGTAACAATATTAACCTTAAATGTAAATGGGCTAAATGCTCCAATTAAAAGACCCAAACTGGCAAATTGGATAAAGAGTCAAGACTCATCAGTGTGCTGTATTCAGGAAACCCATCTCACATGCAGAGACACACATAGGCTCAAATTAAAGGGATGGAGGAAGATCTGCGAAGCAAATGGAAAACAAAATAAGGCAGGGGTTGCAATCCTAGTCTCTGATAAAACAGACTTTAAACCAACAAAGGTCAAAAGAGACAAAGAAGGCCATTACATAATGATAAAGGGATCAATTCAACAAGAAGAGCTAACTATCCTAAATATATATGCACCCAATACAGGAGCAGCCAGATTCATAAAGCAAGTCCTTAGAGACCTACTAAGAGACGTAGACTCCCACACAATAATAATGGGAGACTTCAACACCCCACTGTCAACATTAGACAGATCCACATGACAGAAAGTTAACAAGGATATCCAGGAACTGAACTCAGCTCTGCACCAAGTGGACCTAATAGACATCTACAGAACTCTCCACCCCAAAGCAACAGAATATACATTCTTCTCAGCACCACACCACTCCTATTCCAAAACTGACCACATAGTTGGAAGTAAAGCACTCCTCAGCAAATGTAAAAGAACAGAAATTATGACAGACTGTCTCTTAGACCACAGTGCAATCAAACTAGAACTCAGGATTAAGAAACTCACTCAAAACCGCTCGACTACATGGAAATTGAACAACCTGCTCCTAAATGACTACTGGGTACATAACAAAATGAAGGCAGAAATAAAGATATTCTTTGAAACCAATGAGAACAAAGACAAAACATACCAGAATCTCTGGGACACATTCAAAGTAGTTTGTAGTGGGAAATTTATTGCACTGAATGTCCACAAGAGAAAGCAGGAAAGATCTAAAATGACACCCTAACATCACAATTAAAAGAACTAGAGAAGCAAGAGCAAACACATTCAAAAGCCAACAGAAGGCAAGAAATAACTAAGATCAGAGCAGAACTGAAGGAAATAGAGACACAAAAAACCCTTCAAAAAATCAATGAATCCAGGAGCTGGTTTCTTGAAAAGATCAACAAAATTGATAGACTGCTAGCAAGACTAATAAAGAAGAAAAGAGAGAAGAATCAAATAGATGCAATAAAAAATGATAAAGGGGATATCACCACCTATCCCACAGAAATACAAACTACCATCAGAGAATACTATAAACACCTCTATGAAAATGAACTAGAAAATCTGGAAGAAATGGATAAATTCCTCGATACATACACTCTCCCAAAACTAAACCAGGAAGAAGTTGAATCTCTGAATAGACCAATAACAGGCTCTGAAATTGAGGCAATAATTAATAGCTTACCAACCAATAAAAGTCCAGGACCAGACGGATTCACAGCCAAATTCTACCACAGGTACAAGGAGGAGCTGGTACCATTCCTTCTGAAACTATTCCAATCAATAGAAAAAGAGGGAATCCTCCCTAACTCATTTGATGAGGCCAGCATCATCCTGATACCAAAGCCTGGCAGAGACACAACAAAAAAAGAGAATTTTACACTAATATCCCTGATGTACATCAATGAACAAATCCTCAATAAAGTACTGGCAAACCGAATCCAGCAGCACATCAAAAAGCTGATCCACCATAATCAAGTGGGCTTCATCCCTGGGATGCAAGGCTGGTTCAACATATGAAAATCAATAAACGTAATCCAGCATATAAACAGAACCAAAGACAAAAACCACATGATTATCTCAATACATGCAGAAAAGGCCTTTGACAAATTTCAACAGCCCTTCATGCTAAAAACTCTCAATAAATTAGGTATTCATGGGATGTATCTCCAAATAATAAGAGCTATTTATGACAAACCCACAGCCAATATCATACTGAATGGGCAAAAACTGGAAGCATTCCCTTTGAAAACTGGCACAAGACAGGGATGTCCTCTCTCACCACTCCTATTCAACATAGTGTTGGAAGTTCTTGCCAAGGCAATCAGGAAGGAGAAGGAAATAAAGGGTATTCGATTAGGAAAAGAGGAAGTCAAATTGTCCCTGTTTGCAGATGACATGATTGTATATCTAGAAAACCCCATCGTCTCAGCCCAAAATCTCCTTAAGCTCATAAGCAACTTCAGCAAAGTCTCAGGATACAAAATCAATGTGCAAAAATCACAAGCATTCTTATACACCAATAACAGACAAACAGAGAGCCAAATCACGAGTGAACTCCCATTCACAATTGCTTCAAACAGAATAAAATACCTAGGAATCCAACTTACAAGGGATGTGAAGGACCTCTTCAAGGAGAACTACAAACCACTGCTCAAGGAAATAAAAGAGGATACAAACAAATGGAGGAACATTCCATGCTCATGGGTAGGAAGAATCAATATTGTGAAAATGGCCATACTGCCCAAGGTAATTTATAGATTCAATGCCATCCCCATCAAGCTACCAATGACTTTCTTTACAGAATTGGAAAAAACTACTTTAAAGTTCATATGGAACCAAACAAGAGCCCGCATTACCAAATCAATCCTAAGCCAAAAGAACAAAGCTGGAGGCATCACGGTACCTGACTTCAAACTATACTACAAGGCTACAGTCACCAAAACAGCATGGTACTGGTACCAAAACAGAGATATAGACCAATGGAACAGAACAGAGCCCTCAGAAATAATGCCACATATCTACAACTACCTGATCTTTGACAAACCTGACAAAAACAAGAAATGGGGAAATGATTCCCTATTTAATAAATGGTGCTGGGAAAACTGGCTAGCCATATGTAGAAAGCTGAAACTAGATCCCTTCCTTACACCTTATACAAAAATTAATTCAAGATGGATTAAAGACTTAAATGCTAGACCTAAAACCATAAAAACCCTAGAAGAAAACCTAGGCAATACCATTCAGGACATAGGCATGGGCAAGGACTTCATGTCTAAAACACCAAAAGCAAGGCAACAAAAGCCAAAATTGACAAACAGGATCTAATTAAACTAAAGAGCTTCTGCACAGCAAAAGCAACTACCATCAGAGTGAACAAGCAACCTACAGGATGGGAGAAAATTTTCACAATCTATTCATCTGACAAAGGGCTAATATCCAGAATCTACAATGAACTCGAACAAATTTACAAGAAAAAAACAAACAACCCCATCAACAAGTAGGCGAAGGATATGAACAGACACTTCTCAAAAGAAGACATTTATGCAGCCAAAAGACACATGAAAAAATGCTCACCATCACTGGCCATCAGAGAAATGCAAATCAAAACCACAATGAGATACCATCTCACACCAGTTAGAATGGCGATCATTAAAAAGTCAGGAAACAACAGGTGCTGGAGAGGATGTGGAGAAATAGGAATGCTTTTACACTGTTGGTGGGACTGTAAACTGGTTCAACCATTGTGGAAGACAGTGTGGCGATTCCTCAAGGATCTAGAACTAGAAATACCATTTGACCCAGCCATCCCATTACTGGGTATATACACAAAGGATTATAAATCATGCTGCTATAAAGACACATGCACACGTATGTTTATTGAGGCACTATTCACAATAGCAAAGACTTGGAACCAACCCAAATGTCCATCAGTGATAGACTGGATTAAGAAAATGTGGCACTATACACCACGGAATACTATGCAGCCATGAAAAATAATGAGTTCATGTGCTTTGTAGGGACATGGATGAAACTGGAAACCATCATTCTCAGCAAACTATCTCAAGGACAAAAAACCAAACACCACATGTTGCCACTCATAGGTGGGAATTGAACAATGAGAACACATTGACACAGGAAGGGGAACATCACACACCGGGGACTGTTGTGGGGTGGGGGTAGGGGGAGGGATAGCATTAGGAGATATATCTAATGTTAAATGACGAGTTAATGGGTGCAGCACACCAACATGGCACATATATACATATGTAACAAACCTGCATGTTGTGCACATGTACACTAACTTAAAGTATAATAATAAAATTTTAAAAATAAAAATAATAAAAATAAAAATAAAATGTGGCACATATACACCATGGAATACTATGCAGCCATAAAAAAGGATGAGTTCATGTCCTTTGTAGGGACATGGATGAAGCTGGAAACCATTATTCTCAGCAAACTATCGCAGGGACAAAAAACCAAACACCTCATATTCTCACTCATTGAACAATGAGAACACTTGAACACAGAAAGGGGAATATAACACACCGGGGCCTGTCCTGGGGTAGGGGGAGTGGGGAGGGATAGCATTAGGAGACACACCTAATGTAAATGTCGACTTAATGGGTGCAGCACACCAACATGGCTCATGTATACATATGTAACAAATCTGCATGTTGTGCACATGTACCCTAGAACTTAAAGTATACCCTAGAACTTAAAGTATTAAAAGAAAAAAAGAAAGAAATGGCTTTCAGGAAAAACAAACATGCATTAAAGAACAGTTTTTGGTTATTACTCATCTTTGTATAATTATATACTACTTTCTTTTCTTAGTAATTCAAGTCTTGAGCCTAAGCTCTTTCAGACAATGAATTCAAATGTTTTCTGAACGTTTTTGGTGAATAGCAACTATGCTTACCGTCATATGATATACTGATTTTCACAAATAGTGCTTTTGACTTCTTTATTACCTTTAGGATATTGGCAATGTAATTTATGAGTTATATTAAATAAAACCCTTGTCTGCAAAAAATAAAAATAAAACATGATGCTTTAAAAAAAAAAGTCCTCAAATAACATGTGTTACTTTTTTGTTCAATTTTGATTTATAATTAAAATACTACAAAAATGTACCCATTTTAAATGTAGAGCTCAGTGAGTTTTGACAAATGCATATCCCCATGTAAACAGCACAACAATGAAAATATAAAACTCTTCCGCCCCCCCAAAGAATCTACTGGTGCTGTTTGGCAGTAAGGCCTCTCGATCCCCTAGACCAAAGCAACCTCTGACCTGCTTTCTGCCTCCATAGATTCCCCTTTCCTAGAATTTCATGTAAATGGAACCAGAATGGCTTTTATCACTCGGCATATTTTTGAGATTCATTTATATTGTTGTATGTACCCATAGTTTATTTTTATTGCTGGGTAATATTTCATTGCATGGATATACTACAAAATATTTTTCCATTCACTTGCTGATAGACATGTAGATTGTTTCCAATGTTTTGATATTATGAATAAAGCTGCTATGAACACCACACAATTTGTGTGAACACATGTGTTCTTATCCCTTAGATAAATACCTAGGAATGAAATTAAGGTATGTGTATGTTTAACTTAGTTAGAAATGATGAACTCATTTTCCAAAGTGGCTGTGTCATTTCACAGTCCTATCAGCAATGTCTGAGGGCTCCAGGAGCCCCACACTCACCAAAAATTTATGTCAGTGTCTTTGGCTTTAGCCATTTTAGTGTGTACATGGTAGTATCTCATTGTGGTTTTAATCTGCATTTCCTGTATGATTAATGATGTTAATAATCTTTTCATGTGCTTATGAGTATTTCATATATATTCTTGTTGTGTCCAGTTTTTTTGTTTTTTTATTGCATTGTCTTAGTATTGAAGTGTTCTCTACATATCCTAGTTATAAGTATTTTGTGAGCTATGTAATGGGAATTTTCTTGTCTTTTCATTTTCTTAACAGTATATTTCAAAGAGCAGAAATTTCCAATTTTGATGAAGTCTATTTGATGTAATTTTTATTTTATGGTTATGTTTTCTAGGAACTAAGATATCTTTGTCTATGCAAAATTGCAAGAATTTTTCTCCTATACTTTCTTTTGGAAGGTTTTTAGATATCTCTATTATATTTGAATCTGTGATCCAGTCCAAAGTAAAATTTGAGTGCATACAGTATACAGTATAAAGGTTCACTTTTTCCATAATAGATATCCAGTTGTTCCAACACTACCCTGAAAAGATGATCCCTTCCCTTGGCTTCTTTGCTGAAAATCACTTGACTACAGATACATGAATCTACTATTGGACCCTCTATTCTATTCCATAGGCCTAAATATCTATCCTTATGCCAACACCACACTAAATATCAATATACTTTACAGGAAGACTTTACAGTAAGATACCAATACCACACCTGAAAGTAAGATTTTATAGTAAGTCTTAAAAACAGGTAATGTAAGTTCTCTAATTTTTTCTCCTTTTCTCCACATTGTTTTGGCTATTCAGATTATTTGTATTTCCAAATAAATTTTACAAAATGCTTGAAAACTCTACAAAAAAAAGCTTGGATTTTTACCAAGCTAAATAATCCATGTATCAATTTTGGAAGAATTGACATCTTATCAATATTGCATATCTTTCAGTCCATGAACATAGTATGTCTCTCCAGTTATTTAAGTCATCCTTAGTTCCTCTCAACAACATTTAATAGTTTTCATTGTCAGGTCTTGCACACACCTTGTTTATCCCTACTTATAATTCATCCCTGAGTATTCCATGTTTTTTGGTGTTATTGGAAACAGATTATTAGGTTGGGTTTTTTGGGGTTTTGTTTTAGTTTTCCAATTGATTTTTATACAGTGGTCTTATATCCTGCTTCCTTGTTAAGTTTAATTATTAATTCATAAGTGCTTTTTGGGGGCAGATTTCTTGGGATTTTTGATATCAGCAAACGTAGTTTTAGTTCTTCTTTCCAATCTTAAATCACTTATTTCATTTTCATGCCTTTAAGGCATGAAAGCACTGCTGACCTCTCATGAAATGTTGTATAGCAGTGATGAGTTTTGTCTTTTTCTGACCATAGGGGAAAGCATTCAGTCTACCACCATTAAGAAAAATGTTATCCATAATTTTCTCACAGGTACCCTTGATAAGGCTGAGGAAGTTTTCTTCTATTGTAATGTATTTAACATTTTTATCATTAATGGGTGTTGAATATTGTCACATACATTTTCTGCAATCGTTGAGATGGTCACATGAGTTTTTTTCCTTCATCCTATCGATATGATGAATTATACTGATTGATTTTAGATGTTAAACCAGTCTTACCTTGCTGGGATAAACCCTACTTGGCCATGATGTATTATTGTCCTTTTTATCTACTGCTGCATTCAATTTGCAAATTTAATGTATTTTTGCATTTGGTTTTATCAGGGATATCATGTGCTACAATTTTTTTGTGTAATGTATTTGTTGGTTTTATTACCCATGTCAATACTGGCCTCATAAAATGGTTCAGGAAATATTCCCTCATCTTCTATTTTCTGAAAGGACTTTCATACAAATGTCATTATTCATTCCAAAGTGTTGGGTAAAATTGATCAGTAAGCCATCTGGACCTGGAGTTCTAGCTTAATTCTAGCGTGGTCAGAAAACTTAGTACAATTTCAATCATTTTAAATTTACTGAGCTTTGCTTAATTACATGTCACCCTTGACATACATGTTATTTTATTATTATTATACTTTAAGTTCTGGGGTACATGTACAGAACGTGCAGGTTTGTAACACAGGTATACATGTGCCATGGTGGTTTGTGGCACCCACAAACCAAAGTAATGTCAAACCAAAGTAATGTCAACTACATTAGGTATTTCTCCTAATGCTATCCCTCCCCCTGCCCCCGACCCCCCACACAGGCCCCGGTGTGTGATGTTCCCTGCCTTGTGTCCATGTGTTCTCATTGTTCAACTGCCACTTATGAGTGAGAAGATGTGGTGTTTGGTTTTCTGTTCTTGTGATAGTTTGCTGAGAATGATGGTTTCCAGCTTCATCCATGTCCCTGCAAAGGACATGAACTCGTCATTTTTTATAGCTGCATAGTATTCCCTGGTGTATATGTGCTACATTGTCTTCATCCAGTCTATCACTGATGGACATTTGGGTTGGTTCCGAGTCTTTGCTATTGTGAACAGTGCCGCAATAAACATACGTGTGCATGTGTCTTTATAGTAGAATGATTTATAATCCTCTGGTTATATACCCAGTAACGGGATGGCTGGGTCAAATGGTATTTCTAGTTCTAGATCCTTGAGGAATTGCCACTGTCTTCCACAATGGCTGAGCTAATTTACACTTCCACCAACAGTGTAAAAGCGTTCCTATTTTTCCACATCCTCTCCAGCATCCGTTGTTTCCTGACTTTTTAATAATCACCATTCTAACTGGTGTGAGATTTTATTGGTTAGAAGCAAGTAACAGGTCCCACATATACTCAAGGGTACAAGGTAGCAGGAAAATTGGGGGCCATCTTAGATTCTGTGCATCCATAAGTACTTTCAAGTATTCTATTTTAGCTCCACCATTGGTTGATAAGCTATACCTCTGTTTAAACAACCACACCAAGATATAATGCAATTCCTAAAAATCAATAATAAAATCTTAACAGCAGTCATAGGGGACAAAAAAAGATACATTCTACCCCCCTCCTCCTTCAGGGATTCCAATTACATGTATATTAGACTGCTAAATATTTCCCATAGGTCATTGAGGCTGTATTTTTGGTTGGCTTTTGTTTTGTTTTGTTGTGGGAGGTTTGTTTTGTTCTTTTTTCTCTCTGTGCTTTGTTTAGACTAGCTTCTATTGTGTGTATTCAAGCTCACTGATCTTTAACTTCTGGAGTGTCTAATCTACCCCTAATCCTATCCAGCAAAATTTTCATTTGAGATACTATATTCTTTTTAACTCCTAAAGTCAAATTTAGTTATTTTTTCTTGCTTGTTCTTTTTTTTATGGGAATATCTTTTTTAAAGTATATGATTCTAGTGATTTTTTTTGTATAGTCACTAAGTTATACCCATCCCTATTATCTAATCCAGAACATTTTGTCACCTTCCCATTCTCTCCTCCCCACAACCCCTGGAAACCACTTATCTTTGTCTCTATAGATTTGCCTATTCTGGACATTTCATAAAAATGGAATCTTTTACTTAGAATAATGTTTCCAAGATTCATCCAAGTTGTTGTAGCATGCAACAACATTGCATTCCTTTTTATGGCTGAATATTTCATTGTACGGATATACTACATTTTACTGCTTCATCACTTGATGGACATTTCAGTTGTTTCCACTTTTTGGCTCTTCTGAGTAATGCTGCTATGAACATTTGTGTACAAGTTGCTGTGTGAACATATGTTCTCAATTCTTTTGGGTGTACATCTAAAAGTGAAATTTCTATATCACATGTTAACTGTATGTTTAACTTTTTGAGGAACTGCCAAACTGTTTTACCAAACGGCAGTGCCATTTTATAGTCCCACCAGTAATGTACAAGAGTTCCAATTTATCCACATCCTCACTAACACTTATCCAAATTAAGAAATACATTTTACACTGCAATAATAAATATATATGTGTTTAATTAAAACAAAAAGTTTACGAAAATACCTACTCTTGCTACATACAATGCACTCTGATATTTTGCATACTATTCTTTCTTTTTTTAATGTTATTCTACAATACAGATTTCACATCCAACATAAAGTTTCAAAAACAATGGTTTAGGGAATACTGAGTTTGAGCTGAGGTTCTTGTATAACATCCAGAAATACACAGTCAGAAGTCAGAAAGATATTCTGATCTTGAGTTCAGGAGATCTAGAATGAACATACAGAACTGAAAGTCTTCAGCACATGGGTGATCTATGAGGTAGGGATGTGATCAAAGAGATACATGGGAAAAGGGCTGAGGTTGGGGGTATCTATAATACTTGTGAAGTCCTTCTTTACATACAGTTCCAAGGATGTTAATTATTTTTCAATTCATTCAAATATCAAAGCAGTATTCCACTTTTAGTTTTGCATCAAATGTTGGAGTGCTACATTTTGTTTTCCATGATTCAAATTCATGCAGAAATGCTTAGATTCTAAAAACTAGTTTAATCTGAGCTCTTTGTTCCTTAACTTCTTCCCCATTGCTGGATGATTACCTAATCTTTTTTATTTCATCACTAAGAGGTTACTGACAAAGGTATAGAAAAAAATGATTACAAGATAACTTAGCTTTTAAATACACAAGAAGACCTACAAATAAATTCAAAAGACATCTTCATCAAATACTTTTAAACCCTTCAAGATCATAAACTATTATGATTTTTTAAAAGCTTCTCTTTTTTTTAAGGTTCTGGTTTAAGAAGTTCTGAAGGACATTAGCATTCTATCTTTTTTTTTTCTCCCAAAGAGATTCAATGTTGTAACTGTTTTATTATTTGGGTTCATTTCATTTTGCTAAACATAAGCTAGAATAACTTTTTCACCTTCATCATTTCTACAATCTCAACATCATCATCAAAATGCTGATGCTTCCTTCTTTTGAGAAAATGACAAGGGCCTCTGTTGCCCCAAAGGTAACTTGTTTCTTGCATTTCCAAATGATATAATAGTGCTTTCTCTAACTACAAATTGTTAAGATCTCTCACAAGTAGTTTCACATAAAAATCTTCCTATCATTTGAGAGAAGAAATGGCTGGATATCAACATATGATTATTCCATCTTAACTAATACATTATGCCAATTTTTTATCTTTTTCAAAATAAAAAAAAGATAGGAGGAAAGTATTACCCAATACTTTAACTTTCATGTTTTTATATCTGTAAGTATGACAGGTTATCACTGCCACTTAATGAGAAAACTGGGTCCAGAAAGGCAGTGATTTGTCAAAGTAGGTACAATCAGGTCAACAAACCAAAGAACTTAGTGATATTTTCATTGGTGAAATAAGAATAAATAATAAAAAGAGCATAAACAATCCAACCAAATAAACTGTGCAATCAATCTGAGACTTTTGCCATCAGGGAAACAATCATTTAGCTGGCTTGAAGTGGAATAAGTGAATAAATAATTTAACACTCAAGGAAACCCAACTGTTCCTATGATACACATAAATGCAATCAAGTACAGAATTATTCAGAATTGTTAAGTGCTTTCGGTGATACCTACCTTCGTCACCTTCTTTCCCAATATCTAATAGTTACATCAGATTTCTATTTTCAAATCACTAGAAACACAAATTTTTCATCTTTGCAAAGTAGTCCTGATCATTCCACTAACATGTACAACGTCAAGAGCAAGCTATTCTTTTTGGGAGCTCTGAAAAGAAATGAAACATGAAGGTTTTTGAGACGGCCTGGAGTTCCCTGAAAGGCCAATGGGACCATTGTTTGTTCAGCCAGAGAAGAAACTCAGAAGAGTTAATTGTAGTTTTTGACCAACAAAAGGAATTAAAAAAAAAGTCACAGTTTCATTTTCACTAAGAACAGGTATAAAAAATAAAAGGTTTATACTTAGCCAGGATTCAGACTACACATCAATTAGTAAAAATTCTTGCCTAAAGAAAGACACAGCAAGAGGAACTATTTCTCCAGAGATTTTCAAAGAAAAGGAAACAGGCACCATTGGAAATTGTTTAAAATTAGATACAGATTCATCCATGCACGTGATGATGCCCTTTCCTGCATAGAGTCTCAAACTGCTATAGCATTTTTATGACTTTTTTTTGCTTTTATGCTTAGAAAGTCCTTTAGACACCTAAACACCAGGCAAATATCAACTGTATTTTATATACAGATATAAATATGTACTTATTTGCATTATTAACATTTCATTTTCTAATCCAGTTGGAATTTATCCTGCTGAAATGGTGGGAGAAAGGTCTTAAACTTCTTTCCCAAAAGTTCTATGGATTATCCTAGTGATCACTGATATAAGTAGCTTGTGTAGGATTCCTCAGGACCCGACTGAGGGGGTGCCATGGCAGCTCTGGGATGACTTGGGGCCGGCCCTGTCCTGGGGTAAAAACAGCTCCGGTACCTGGCCCTGACTGCTGAGGAGGCAGCTTCTGTACAGCTTCTCCGGGGAGCTTTTCTTACATTGTCCACCATGTTGCTGCAATGACATGATTCCGTGAATTTTTTATGGTGAAGAGCATTCCACTGTGTATACACACTGCATTTTCTTTATCTCTTCATCTGTTCCTGGACAGGTAGGTTGATTCCACATCTTGAGTGCTGTGAATAATGTGTCAAGAAATGTAGGATTTCACGTATCTCTTCAATATACTGATTTCATTTTCTTAAAATGTATATTCAGTGGTGGGATTACTACAGCAAATGATAGTTGTATTTTATTTTTTGAGCAAACTCCAACTATTTTTCATAGTGTGTATACTGACTTAAATTCCACCCTACACTGTGTAGTAGTGTAATAGTACCCCTTCATCCAACTCCACACTGATCATTTCATTGTAAAAAATTTGTTTCTTTTTTGTAACATTAATTCCAATTAGAGTGGAGAAGATATCTCAGTGAGTTTTAATGTACATTTTCTTGATGATTAGGTATGTTGAGAACCTTTTCTTTTACCTGGTAGTCAAATTCATGTCTTCTATTCAGAAACATCTATTCAGGTTCTTTGCCCAATTTCCATCTGGTTATTTGTTGTTTTGTGTTGTTGTTTTTCCTACTTAGTAGTGGTAATTTCTTATACATGTTAGATAACAACCCTTTCAGATATATAATCCCCCATAATTTTGTCCCAATCTACTGGATGCCTTCTGTATTGGTTCATTCTTTTCTTTCCTATGCAGAAGCTCATCAGTTTTCTATAGTCCCACACTTGTTTTTGCTTTTGTTAGCAATGATTTTTGTGAAAACAGAAAAATTATTTCCAACTCACTTTATTGGCAGAATCATTTTCCTCTATGTTTTTCTCATATTTTTCTTTTTGCAACCTGTGAACATAAATTTGAGTTTCCCTAAACATACATTCACCCTATGTTTTCTTTTAAAAGTTTCATCATTTCTGATATTAAGTTTAGGTCATTAATTTATTTTGAGTTGATTTTTGTGTATTGTGCAACATAACAGTCCTCTTTATACTTCTTTATATGAATATCCAGTTTTCTCAAAATGGTTTATTAGACAGACTCGCCATTCCCCATTTTGTCTTTCAGATGTTCTTTCAAAAAATGTGTTGACTATCCATTTGTGTTTATTATTTGGTTGCCTCAATTTGTCCACTGCCGAGTCAGCTCCTTGCCCAGAGTAGGAGCTATCAGGAGATGTGCGCTCGGCACGGCTGCAAGGACCAACGGAGCAGCCCAAGCCAGTGACGGCCTTGGACGGGGAAAGGGAGGACATGGAGACCAAGAGCAGGCAACCTGGCCCCACCAAGCAGTGAGGGCTTTGCTTCCTCTTGGGATGCCTTGCACATCTGCAACAGGCACTGTGCAGGCCCTGAAAAGCATGGCTGTTCTGGAAAGAAAGGCATTTCTAACCAAAAACCAAAACAAAACAAAACAAAGAAGCAGAAAAGCCTTTAGAAGTTTCCAAAACTCTGGTTGCCATGAAAGAAATTCTGCAAGCACAAATAAAAACCAGCCACAGACTGAAACTGCACTCAACCCACTCAGGAACTCTGCAACTGTGGGCTCTTTAGCACTTAGGAGCTGATCCACAGCTTGCTGACTTTGAGAATCAAAAAGACATGTTCAAATTTTCAACAATATTCTCAGAAGACAAATGAGCGCAAGAACTCCTACTGCTGAAGACATCTGTACCTAGCAGAATATTGTGCTCCTGTTATTGAAAGGGTGTGAACCTCCAGAAATACCTCTACATTGTGGATAATGTTAGAAGAATGCATCAGACATGAACCACCTACAAAGAACATTTTGTGGTGGGAACAGTTTTATGATTTCTTCAGAATTTTGCCTTGAGAATATGAGAATGTGTCTTCAGTGGTCCAGAAGATCCGCTGCCCACGCCAAGCAGTGGGTGAAAAAAATCCACATCTGGTCACATAACAGAATACACCCTGGGGAACAATTCATTGAAGCTCAGGCTGAAGACCTGGTGGAGGAGCCTCCAGATGACAGGTCAGAGGAGGAGACCTTATTTGAGGTCAAGGTAGACTCAAAAGCAAGTGAAAACCTTCCCATTGAGGAAATATTGGAACAGCTTCCTCATTACTGGGCATTGGAAAAGGTCCCATGAAAGACAATGGCAGCCTCAAGAATCAATGAATATGATTAGCCCCTGGACATCATCTATGAGGGCAGCTGTAACGACGAAGACTCATCAGCTGCTCCTGAGGATCTTCTCAGCAGAAATGAGGAAGATTTCTTCTCAGGGAAATGACATGTTCCCACACGTTGTCAACTTCATGTGACCCAGAGTGGATTCTGGAGAGCATAAGTGATGGGGAGGACTCTCCAGCTCCCTGCAAGGACCATGTGGAAACCAGATCTGAAAAGGAAGAAGGCACTGGCAATATATCATCAACTGCCAGGGAAAGCAAGTGGATTCTGGAAAGGATAAGTGATGAGGAGGACTCTCCAGGTTATTTCTCATCCTGATAAGTCTCATTTGCATCATATGGGTCCTATTAGCACAGATATCTCCAAATGGGCCACTCTTCTATTACATAGAATAAATTGCTCAGTACAGGGCCTCCAATTATAGCTATTTTCCTCCTTGCCATCTACTATAAAATAGTCAATCAACACAGGGTTCTAGGGTCTCACTGAAATTGTGGTCAGCCTTATTCATAGGATCACAGAGTTCATCCACAGAACAGAAAACTGGTTGGTGGCTAGTGGCTGTCCTAAGTTAATAAGTGGGGCACACTATCTGAACTTTGCCATTTTTCTAACCATTCTGGCTATCCTGGGAATCTCCCCATACACTAAACCCATTCCTGGTGTACGTAATGTCAAAACTGTTCAACATGAATGATGTCCTGTGCTGATGAGGATGAAGAGACACCCTCACTCTCCAAAGCTGTTGGAAATAACCTATATAAAGGACCAGTGGAACAATTTGTCTATTTTGTTGCTGTTTCATTAATTCACTATGAGACTGCATGCCTGGGCACTGTGCCCTCTGCCTGAACCTGGGGCACCAGGGGCACTAAAAGGCCATCTGTCGGGGCAGCCCAGGCCACTCAGAGCACACAGGGCCACGGCGATGGCAATGCTTGGCTGGAGCACTCCATGCCCGTGTCCTGGAAGCCACTCCTCACCCCAAATCGGCTGCCAGGCATCATCCCAGGTGCTAGGATCATTGATGCCACCACCACAGGCACGCTGGGGAAAGGCGGCTGCTGCAAACTGAGCAGCAAGCCAGGCCACCTGCCTTGATTGGAGCCTGGTCCCACTCAGCCCCAAATCCTGCAACCTCCACCCATCTGGCCAGAGCGCCCCCTCTGCGAAGTCAGGCCCAGCGGCCACACGGAACTTTGCCCAGAATATCCAGCTCCTGCCTAAGAGCCATGGGTGCATCTGCCCCCACAAGACCAAAGCTGGACAGCAGTGGCTACTCCGACCTGGCCTCTGCCTTCTGCAGTGCCCAGCACAGGCCTTGCTTCAAGGGCCCATGGCCTCCGAAGTGCTCAGCACCCAGGGCCTTGGACATGTGACCACCAGGGACCACTGGCAAACTAGCAGGGGTCCCTCTAGGCTGGGTCCCTGGTACCACTTTATATAAGCCAGCCTGGGGAATGGAGACCTCCACAGCTGTGGGGATAATGCAGCATCCAGGTCTGGGATTTTAGGTGGCTGTGGTGGTGTTGGGGACAGGAGACTGAGGCAAGTTGCCAGTGGACTTCTGGAAGTGAAGAGAAGTCAGGGGAAATGTCTGTCCCTGTCCTTGTCCTGACGCCAGCAGAATAAGCCACAGGCTGGGAGATTCCTTTTAAAACCTGCATTATGCCCTCACCTAAGTACTACCACAATCATTTCCTTGAGTGCCTGCTGTGTGCCAGCTGCTGTGCCAAGCTCTTTGTGTGTATCTGAACTTCACAAAGGCCTTAAGGCAATAGTTAATAGCATTATGCCATTTCACTTCTGAAGAATCTGAGGCTAGGGGATAACTTGCCCACAGTGAGTGCAGAAGCCAGGACTGGAATCCATGTCTGCTTCTCTCTAGAGCCTGGACTCCTTACCCCTGAAGTTACTCTCCTGCCTTCTCTATGGTAGGTACTGTTCAGTTAGTGTTCACACTTTAACAAGAGGAGCTGGCCCTGCTGCCTTCCTTGCCTCTTCTCTCCTTCCTTACTCTGGTGACTTCCTCTGGCCAAGGAGAGGATCTGCAAGACTCTCTCTCTACTCCATGTAAAATGACTGGATTCTTGTGGAGAAACTGTGAAGTAGACTTGGGAAGCACACAAGAAAGCTATGCTGGAGGCTTGGGAAAAAAGAGTAGCTGTAGGCAAGTACTCCAATAGAAGCTCTGCCTTCACCGTGAGAACATGCCAGGGTTGGCCTGCTGGAGGGAGACATGTGGAGCAGAACTGAGTCACCCCAGCCAACCTCCAGACCTGGGAGGCCCCTACCAATAGCCTGCAGTCCTGGGAGTGAGCCCAGCTGAGACCTGAAGAGCTGCCCAGGCTAAATCACCAGCCTGTAGATTTGTGAGCTGAAAAGAGAAATGATAAAGAAAGTGTTCTTGGAATTCATTTCTGGCAGAGACTTGTGAGCTTTGCTTTCATTTGTTAGTGAAATGCTTGACATTTTTCCTTCACTTTACAAACATTATGTGTAAATTACTCAGAATCCTAATTGAAAGTAATTTCACATTAATGCAGGCTATAAAATACCATTTTATTTGAAACTATGCCTCAGAAATAGATAGTACAGGGCACCCCTTTACATTCGCAAATTATACCCACAAATCCAGGAAGCACAATGTTGGGTGTGTGAGACAGAGACTTAAAGCTACTACCAAGGAAAATGCAGAAGAGGCAACCATGGACAGGTATAGGCAAATGGCAGAGAGTGGCATGCAGTAGAGTCTGCAGCAGTGAAAAATCCAATTATGGGACGCTAAACTTTAAAAGCCAACTTTTGCACATCTGCAATCTCTGGGTGACCAGTACCCTTCTAAGAATTTAATCTGCCTAGACACCAAGCAAGGGCCAAGAAGGAGGAAACAGAAGCACTGGCATGCATGGTCTGAATGAGGAAGCCAAAGAACCCACTGTCTTATCAGTGTTTTTTCCTTCCAAGTCAGACACATACAGCAGACTTCCTTTGCAACCACTTGCTGACCATACATTATCTGCAATCGTGAATCTTGGAAATAAATCATTCCAAATGCTCTTAAAAAATAAAAACAAATAGGCCGGGCACAGTGGCTCATGCCTGTAATCCCAGCATTTTGGGAGGCCGAGGCGGGCGGATCACGAGATTAGGAGATCGAGACCATCCTGGCTAACACGGTGAAACCCCGCCTCTACTAAAAATACAAAAAATTAGCTGGGCATGGTGGTGGGTGCCTGTAGTCCCAGCTACTCGAGAGGCTGAGGCAGGAGAATGGTGTGAACCCAGGAGAGGGAGCTTGCAGTGAGCCGAGATCATGCCACTGCACTCCAGCCTGGGCAACACAGTGAGACTCTGTCTCAAAAAAATAAATAAATAAATAAATAAATAAATATAAAAATAAATAAATAAATAGCTTGTGTATTTAGTTACAGCCAGGTAATACCTAGGCATTTCCCTAAATTTCCACCTTTAATGAGTACCTAACTCCACTTTATTCTGACAATCTTGGTAGGCAGCAACAGTCATTATGTTTTGAGGTAATTCAACATCCTTACCTTGGCCCATCTGCATCTTTAAAAGCTCCAGCCAATACAAAATTAGCTGGGCATGGTGGTGCATGCCTGTAATCCCAGCTACTCAGGAGGCTGAGGCAAAAGAATCACTTGAACCCAGAAGATGGAGGTTGCGGTGAGCTGAGATTGCGCCATTGCACTCCAGCCTGGGCAACAAGAGCGAAACTCCATCTCAAGAGAAAAAAAAAAAAAAAAACTCCGGCCATAAGCCCTGGGCTCTGAGAGCAGATAGCACCATTGGCAAGAACTTTGGACTAACATGGGCAAAAGCCCTCTGTCTGGTCAAGCACACAAACTAGGCACTCTCTGCAAAAAAACAAAACAAAAAAAAATTGTTTTCCCTTAAGAATTACCATGGGATAGGGACCCTGACATAACTTGAAGAACATAAGGGCAGAGAGGTAATAAGGCAAAGATTTCACTGCTCCAGAGGGTCTCCTTGAAGTCACTAGACAAAAGAACCAATGAATGGAAACCCTAACCTTAAGGATGTTTCTAGGTTAAAAATCACAGGCGAAGATCTCAACCTATTGAGTTAAATGATCCAGTGCATAATCAATCTAGTGAATGTCTATGGCATTTTCTATATTTAACATTTAGGAGAAAGGGAACAGCAAAGAGCTATTATCTCAGTATTCCAGCCTCCTAACAAATAAACCAGGAGTTGCAAGCTCAACTGCCTACGGGAGCAGACAAATGAAATAAATAAGTGAAGAGAGTCAAGTGAACTTGGCTTCAGAGTCTGAGAAGCATGAGGAGTATTAGAGATTTGGCAAATTGGAGTTCACGCTCCTTGAACACTTGCTGCTTCTAGTGGGAGCACTCACTATGCAGCTGCAGCAGTTTGTATCACCAAAAATTCAAGCCCAGGGCTGCCAGATCTTCTAAATTTTTTTTAAAAAAACAGAAATATGAATTCTGATGTGAATCTCCCATTTCTTAAGGATTGGCAATTTAATTAAATTCTCTTTTTAAAAACACAGGTCAAATCAGACGTTTTCATGGTGAATTTATGTGGGCCATATTTGGCCTACAGATGAACAGTGTGGGTTCTCAGATTATACAGCCTACAAGTCACTCAATTTTCCAAAACAGTCTACCCTGCTCCTGTAGCCTTTTCTGCTTCCTATCTGCCTCCCTCCTTTCCTCAATATGCCAAATTATTGCATGCTACACATCTCAACAGACTCTAGGTTGGGTATGGAGTGTGAGTAAAGAATGCTACTCTATCTCAATCACCACATTCAAGAGTCAGCTGAGCTCTGATCTCACTACAAGGAATTGCTATTTTGGAAATGAAGATCAACTACAATGGAGTCATACTTGCAGGTCAGACAGCTGGGCCAAATTAAATAATTTTTTTAATATAAGTAACAAATAAGTCTTTCATCTCCAAAACTGCCAAGTCTTTTTTAAAGAATCTTTAGATGTCCTATCTCATGTATCAGTGATGACTAACTGCTCTCATACAGCTTTGCCACCAAGCCCAACCGTGCCACAAGCAAAGGAAGAAACCTCAAAAGAAGTTTATTAACTAAGCTGAACATCACTTCCATTGAAAACACTGTAGAATTTTTAGCTTCTCCGCAAAGTAGACTTATTATTTACTTTAAAATACTTTAATGATATCCTATTCCAATCAAAGTAAGTAAAAGGTTTAAAGGATGGGTCAGCCCCACTGGGATCCAACCTACATATGTAGATATTTACCTTTTCCCACAGAATCTAACAGGATTGCTATGTTAGATACTTTGTTAAACAGATAAACTGTGGTCTTCCGTATCTAGAAGGCCTTCTTCTTTCTTCTTCCACTATGAAAGGATCTAAGAAAATAGTTTTCGATGTAAGATATCTCAAATATATTCACTTGAACAGGACTGGATGAGGCAAGGTTAATGTATTACCATCCATATGCATTAGTGCATTCCTGCTGATACCTAAAGGCAATAAATTCCCCCAATCTGCCCATCCTTTTCCACCCTGAAGCCACTAAAGATGATATATTAGAGGGCAGCTGACTCCGATACTAATTTAGAAGCAGCTTTCATGCCTAGCTGAGATCAAAATGAATAATTGTGATAAAATAGAGCAGTGACATCGTAAATATAACTGATACAAATTGGAATTTGTTTTTGAAAAAGTTTCCAAAACAGATACTTTTACTATAGAACATTATAAAAATAGAAAATGAGAATGAAATCTAAGAAGTTATTTTTAATACAATCTTTAAAACTCTTATTTTGCCAGTGGCATAAAGGCAGTAAGTGGCTGGTATGGTTTGGATCTGCATCCCCGCCCAAATCTCATGTTGAAAGGTAATCTCCAGTGTTCGAGGTGGGGCATGGTGGGAGGTGATTGGATCATGGGGGCAGTTTCTAATGGCTTAGCACCATCCCCCTTGGTGACACTGTTGCAACTGTGAGTTCTCCCAAGATCTAGTTATTTTAAAGTGTGTAGCACCTCCCCTAATCCTTTTGGTCCTGCTCCCGCCATGTAAGATGCCTGCTCCCGTTTTGCCTTCTGCCATGAGTAAAAGCTCCCTTAGGACTCCCCAGAGGCAGACACTGCCATGCTTCTTGAACAGTCTGCAGAACCATGAGCCAATTAAACCTCTTTTCTTTATACATTACCAAGTCTCAGGTATTTCTCTATAGCAATGCAATTCCTAATACAGTTGCTGTAATAGGAATCTACCCAATTAGTCCATAAGCATACTAAGCAACAGCAAATATTCATCATTAGCCATGATGCTCACAAGTCCATGGGCCCCCAATTCTCCTCAGTTGGAGCCAAAATACCAAGAAGGTCCAGTAGTCTCAAAACCCAGTAATAGGCCTACTCTTTTAATTTGTTCCAATGTTGTTCTGTGGGAAAACACTGACTCTTATTTACATGATTGATAATTGTTGTATTTTGTTATTATCAGGAAATCTATAAAAGCATAAAATCCAAAGTATTTCTCATGAGATCAAGTAACTTATTTACATATTGCTGATACTTTGTTACAATACAATGGCAGCATCCATAGTTTCCAAAATGAAAGAACGACATAGAGAAGGAGGAGGAGGAAGAGTAAGCAAGTGAAAAGAAGGGAAAGGGAAAGATGGCTAAACCCAACAACAATCAAAAACAAAAGTGTGCTAATTCCTACAACTTTACCTAACAGAATATGATACCCACACAATAATTTCATCCTTAAAGCTCTTTTGACAAGAAAACAATAATACTTAATGAACAATTACAAGAACAAGAAAATCTGATTTCCAAGAAGAAAGGAATATCGGAACGAACTATAACAATATTGTTGATTTTTTTCCTTTCTACCATGTTCCTTTCAGTGTAAATTCTAAAGTATAAATCTATATGAGGAATAGCTACATGTTTTAATTAATGATAAAGTCACTATATTTATTTCATGTCTCAAATTACAAAATACTACAAAAAACCTGTTTCTTCTATAAAAAGAAATTAGATTTCTAAATGAAAATATACCTCCCACACTTGACTATTCATGAAGTCATAGCCAGAATAACAGATTTAACCAGGAATAGTAAATGTCAAACTTACATTCTCCTCTGCCAATAAAGTTATAGTCTTTTGAATAAAAGTGACATACAACATATTATATTCTTTCTTAAGAAACAAAAACTACTGGTCCTTGCTTTGAGTTTCTTAATAGAGCTTAACCACTTTCTTTTACTTCTTCACAGAGCAACAGAGCAAGACTCTAGCTATGCCAAATACTCTATCAGTTTTTATTTTTAAAATGGCATGAGTTTTGGCTAATGGAAGTCTCAAAATAGTGAAAAATGAAACGATTCAATATCAGTGATGTAGATATATGTTCATTATATTCCAACTTACCCAGTACACTGACAAAAGCATCAAAAAGATGAAATGTAAGTAGAGGCTCTTTCAAGTGACCATAGTAATCAGCTATGGTTTTAAAGACATCTTTTTCAAATCCCAAGTACATAGGCTGCTTCAAATCAGAACAGTTGGGCCCTATTTTCAAAAAGAGAGTGAAAGAGAAACATTAATGGAGTAATTACCTCTAAGTATTATTCTCTGTGAATATGTGTGGCGTGTACAGATATTCAGATATTTGACATATACAGAAAAGTTTTTATGGGGAAAATTGACATTAATTAAATAGGCATTCTACACTGATATTAATTAAATAGGCATTTTACATTTTGCCTACACAAATATGCTTTATGTCTAAATTGAAATCTATTATAAAACAATGAAGAAAATCACTGGCTTACTTCCATTTTAAAAGAAACCTTTCTTTAAGAAAAAAACATTCTTCTGAAAGGCATTTTTATTAAATGTAAACAATAATTTTCTTTGAAATACTCAACATTATCCTAGTCTTAATAAAGTTGACCGAGATAACAATTAGCTCACATATGTAACAGACAAGTTATAAAGCAATTTTTAAAGACTTTCATTATTTCATTCTTGTTATATTATAAAATCCTACAGTCATAGAGTTGAGCAAAATAATTTCTGCCTCTATTTCAGACTAATAAATATTTAAACTTAAAAAAATCCTTAAAAGGGGATTTTATATTTTGTCTTAATTCACTCTGATTATAAACTCTTTATTTGATCACTGACCAACCATCAAAAGACAGTTTATCAAGCAAAGTCATACTGCAAAGTTGAAGCAACCACTGAAACCCTGAAACAGCCTGCTCCCAACCATATCCTACTCCATCAACAAGCAAGGAAAACATCCACTTGTGTCTGGCCCAAAGAGGAACAAGAAATGTTCTCTACAGAGTTGGCAACAACTGCTCCACCAATCCATCCACAGACCACAGATTTACACTGCCAAGTTGAGAGATGAACTGGAGCTGCCTGTACCTTGAGGAAAATAGCAAGTCGTCCCATGAGGAACAGTGTAGCCAGCCTTCTCTATTTCCATTACAGCATGGAAGAAAGGACCACATCCTCATTGCCTAGCTCTGGCTCAGCAGAAGACTAAACAACTGTACCCAAATAGACCTCTACCCCCAGAGGATCAAAAGCAGCAGCCAAGATAAATTGAAAGGAAATTCTTCCTACAGAATCTCTATAACTAAAGAAAGGGGATCAAGCTAAAAAGGACATTAAAGCATTCTGGGTCTTTACATTTCAAGGTCACTGTGACATGATCAAATGGCCTTTTCGGCCTCCTTAAAGACTCTCTTACCTTTCAATATTCTGTTCTCTTCTTATAAAATAATTTGATTGGCTAAAATAATGAAAATTGTGAAATATCTATGTGTGTGGTACAGCATGAATCCAGCAGCAAAGGTAGCTGCCATTTTGCTTGCCTCCTGCTCTGACATATCCCAAGCTTAATCAATTAAAATAATTAGGTTGATATGTCTCAGCAAGCAATACACATTGCCTAGAATTACTCCCTGTCAGGATAAGTATACGGTTCATTCTAAGCAGTTGTACCCCTTTGTGAACATCTCATCATCCTTCTTAAAAATATGCAAAAAAATTTTAAAGGTTTCCCTAAAAAAAATCAGTGCATGGTGAGCCCTATGAGAGGAAGCCATATTTTTATGACCTTTTCTTTCTCAGTCATCTTGAACTTTAATAATATTTAAAAATTTTTTTTATAAATGTTATTCCTGACAGATTCTGGAAAAGAAATGCTTTGACTTTTTTGTGTCTATTTTTTATTGAATCCTGGACATGCGCAAAGAAGAAAAACACAGTTAACTTGGTTTTGCATTTATGTAGCCAGCATTGAGGCTGGCCAACAATGAATGTATACAGGCCCATGTGCACACGGGTGTGACAATAAACACAGATGGGCTGAAGAGAAAGAGGTGAGCAGCACCTCCTTCAGAAAAGGAGGCAATAGGCCTTCAAAATACCATACAATCAGCCTATCCTTTCTGTTCCCTTTTAGATGACTGAAACATGAATTGGGACTTATTAAGGATAGGATGGACAAGAAACAGGTTGTGACTTTGGTGGACTCAAAGTAGATTCTGAGGGTCAACAGGAATTTCAGAAAACATTGTGACTTTATAAAGCTACTCAAAAGGTTAATCTTGCCCTTTGGCCACCTTTATTTGTTTGACACATAAATAAACATCTTTACAGATATGCCAGCCACTCATAAAGCATAGTACTTGATACATATGAGACAAGTTCCCTTTTCCCAGCACTTGCCACCTAGTATCATGCCACCTCACACACATGAAGATCATTAGTAATTCACCCCTCACATCTTTGCTCTCCACTGATAAGAAATTCCAGTTATTCTAAGCTTTCTGCAGAAATTTTTTGGCTTTCGGTGCACATGCTGCTTGAGGGAAAATTATGTTCTTTACTACATTTCAGTAATCATTGAAAATTCAACATCATAAACATCTTACTATATATTTTACAACATATTACAGACTAGATTGGTTATACTAGCTTCCTATGTTCATTCCTAGCTGATCAACTTCTTTTTTTTTTTTTTTTTGAGACGGAGTCTTGCTCTGTCACCCAGGCTGGAGTGCAGTGGCACAATCTCGGGTTCATGCCATTCTCCTGCCTCAGCCTCCCAAGTAGCTGGGACTACAGGCGCCCGCCACCAAGCCCAGCTAATTTTTTTTGTATTTTTAGTAGAGACGGAGTTTCACCATGTTAGCCAGGATGGTCTCCATCTCCTGACCTTGTGATCCACCCACCTCGACCTCCCAAAGTGCCGGGATTACAGGCGTGAGCCACCGCACCTGGCCTGATGAACTTCTAAAACCTTGATTTGCCAGTTCAGAAATGGGAAGTTTAACTTCTCATTTATACTCTCTATCTCATCATTGTCAACCCTAGACAAGGATGTAATTTAAATTTCATTGACTTCAAATGCCTGAGCAGGAAGAAAAAAAAGCACTTCCCCAAGCTAAGACCATAGTACTCTGCATCTCAGAGGCTCCAAATTTTAACCAAAAACCAATGAAAATGTTAACAGTTAAACTCAGAGAACCTTGGGCTTCACACAAACCAATGGTTACTATTCATATACAGAAGGATAGTATAGAATGAATGAATAGCATTCATCTTCAAAAGGCTATTCAAAATCATAGGATCATGTTCCATATACTACTACTAAGATTCCCCACATTAAGCTTAAGAGTTATTTTAGTTTCATTCTATAATCAAACAAAACTAATTTCAGTTAAACCCATGTTTTAGGGTTTACTAATTCACGAATTTAAAGGGAATTTTCACCTATATCTGTAGTGCTAGTTCCGTACAAAAGAAATGAAAATGAACTACTACCTTGTGGTATCTGTGAGACTCAAAAGGCACTCCAGACCAAATATCACTATTATCAGTCAGCCAAAATAACTAGAACTCTTTCCATCAAAATTATTTGTTTGGGTTAAGCCATTAATCATTAGAATCCCTTCTTTGGGTTAACCCTTGTGAAAATTCCCAGAAGAATGGTAGTGTTTCTGAGATACTATAACAACTAATGCCTTCACAGTGCCTATGATATTCAATGATATGGAAATCACATGCCTATGAAATGGATTTCATATACCTATAAAAATCCTCACAGGGACCACCCTGGTCCAGGCCCTCTCATCTAACATCCAAATTACTGAAACAGTCTTTCTCATTTCTCTACATGGCAGGTTCTTCTCCTTCCAAACCATCCTTCATCCTGTGATGAAGCAATTAGAACTAGTGTGGATGGATCTACTAGAAAGTAGAAGTACTAAATCCCTTTAAAACTGTTCTAGAATTCAGTCCTTTCACTAAGTCACAAATTTATCACTAAAAGCACAGTAGTCCCAAAATAATTAACTGCCAGTCTCACAGGTGTCACATCAATGTTCAGGCCATTGAGCAGAAATTTTTCCTAATTTAGGGCACTAATTTCTGTTAATTTCACAAAACTGGCAGATAATTAGTACTTACAATTTGCCAAACACTTCATAGCTGACAGCACCCAATGAGGAAGTTCTTCTGAAGGAAAAAGAAAATTTGTACTCAATTCCATATAACTCAAGACATCATATACATACTTGGTATCATAAGAATGTATTACTTGCCCAAGTAATATGAACCATATCTGCTAATCACAAATCACCAATTTATGTTATTAGAACATTTAAAAGATGGAAACCTTTCCTTGTCAGCAGTGTTATAACATGCACTTACATAAATAATGCCTACAGATTTCTCTAAGGACACAATGCACCTTTTTAAAGCTATAGTAAAAAGAAAAAAATGTATAGTTTGCTCCAAACAAACAAACAAACCAAAAGACAAACCAATTATTTTAAGAATTACAAAAAGAAAAAGAAAAGAAAAAATATTAGTCGTCAAACACATTTGTGAAACAAGTTCATCAAACACCACCAGCCCCTCAAAAAGGGTAATTCTGTAGGTCCAATATAAGTATCATTTTACATGTTTCCATTTTCAAAATGCTTTAGGCCAAGAAAGTTCCACTGACATATTAATGTTAGGCTATTAGTATTAGGACAACCTTTAAATAATAGTAACTGAACATTGCTACAAAAAAAATCCCAGCTGAACCATTTGGTACAGAATCTCTTCCCTCCACGCCCTGCCACAGACATCTGATGAGATGGGCTAGCACTCAGGCTGCCACTTCATCTTCTCTATTTCTGTAAAACTGCGAAGACACTTGTTGAATTGTGTTAGATCTAATGAACTGGAGTCTTGTAAAATGCTCTCTTCTTTCTTAAGATCTTACTTAATAAAATGAAAGATGATTGATCATCTAACTGATAACTAAAAATATTAATTTGCTACACTCAGAGAATGTGGAAGAATTTTAGATGTATTTCAAAGGCTGCACTCTTCCCTTCATTCTATGGAACTTAATTTTATATGTTGATATTAACCTCAAAACTCATAAAGTCACCACAAACTTATTTGTCTCTCATTGTCCTCCATTCCTCATATAGTGACTATAAAAGGAGAAGTGTTTCAGGTCTGAAGACAGGTTCTGCTCCTGTCAGGAAACATGGCATAGAAAAATCTCTTCCCCTCTCACCACTGCTCAGGCTATTCTGCTACATTCTGTCTGCTTCCCAGGAGCCTCCAGCCCTAAATTTAATCATATTTTTAAAAAGTCAAGAAGTATTATGCCATCTTCCCACATCCAAAGATCATCAAGTTCCAGCCAATTCCCAGCATCGAGGGTTTGAACTAAAGGAAGAACAAATCAATGAGCCCATCCAAATCTGGTCCTTATCCACAGAAAGATTTAAAATCAGTGTGGGGACTGTGGTCCACTATCAGTACCCTAACCACATTTTTACAAACCAAAAACCATGTTAGGTGGCTGTTATATGGTTCTTTTGTTTGTTTGTTTGTTTGTTTTTTCTGATTTGTAAACTGGTCTAGGGTGGGAAATATAAAAAATCAAAGCAATATCAACATTTCAAAAACTACCTTATTAAAAAGAACCAAGACTATTCCAGAAAATCTAACACAGAGAAGCCAAAACAAAAACGTGAGAATTCTAAATGCAGTCAGACCCCAGGGCCCACCTGAAAACTGACTCTAACTCTTGGTTATGTCTTGAATATTCTCACTTTTCAGAGATTTCCCTGGGAATACGAAACCACTTAATGCCCAAGGTGGCTAACACTGAACTAGCTTCTGGATGGATTTTGCTGAGGCTCTCATTCCTAGATACTCATCTTCCTATGACATTCCCTTATTCCAAACAATTTGTTAAAAGGTATTAGAAAGAATATACGTAATGAAGGAACAAACTTATTCAGGGTTTAGGGAAGGGTCAGAAAGGAGCTGATGGACCTGTGCAGCCAATATATTATGTCAATAAGTAACAAAATTATATTTATGCACTTACTTGACTTGTCATCAAGAATAACAACTCCCTGCTTGCTAACACTATATACATTATGGATGATGAACTTCGAATTGACAAGTTTGACGTCTAAAACTTCTTCTAAGGAATCCAGGCCAAGAATTTTCTGTAAGCTAAAAGATAAGTAATTATATTAATTAGTTCTGTCTTTAATATTATATTTACTCAAAAACCTGGTACTACAAAAAATCAATCTTTATAATGCTTTATTTTCATGCATTGCACCCAATCTTTGCGGGGCAAAAAGGGTAGAAATGGAGTACAATAAAACAAATGTAAAAGATATCCTTTTGCTATTAACATTTTGCTTCACAGATTTAGTAACACACCAAATGACAAGAAAGTAATTTTGTAAGTAAAAATACTACAACATAAAAACTAACTTATCCAATGATAAGAAACTACTATTAGCATATCTTCATGAGGAACAAAATTTTGCTGTATATGATTGTTAACTTTATACATACAGTACATCAGTATCTAGGAGACCAAATTTTCTATTATGTGTCTTATTACTCTTAAGAACTTTTAAACTCCTAACTATTATGTAAATAGCAGGAGATAATCCCCAGAATTCAGTTAAACTATGTTTGCTGATCACAACTGCAAATAATGCAAAGTTGAGATTTTTATACATAATTTCAGAAAATTAAATATGCAGAGAGTGAAGAAGTAGCAAAATAGGAAACAATATCTCTAAAATTTCTCATTAATATCAAATGTACATACTATGATAATGTCATAGACTTCCATATCTCTTCTACATTGGCCTCTGTCAGCTGTCTGCGGTGGACAAGACGGCAAGCTGGCACCTCTCCAATTGCAATACTGTGACGCTTGTACCACATCTCAGAATTCTAATGGAGGGGGGATGTAAGAAGGGAGGGAAGGAGAAACGGTAGAAAGACAGTGAATAAATATTTCAATATAAGGTGGTGGGATTTTTATGAGAAATGTCTTTGATTTGGTTACTTGTAACTTGATTTAAAATAATAATTAGAAATATAAACTAACTTTCTTTACATGGACCTCAGAGAAGTAAAGAGTGATTCTTAAGACTAGGTCATGTTATAAATGAATATTCATGAATTACAAAAGAGCTATGGCAGTAAGTATGGCATTAACTAGCTAATTTTTCCTGTGGACGTTTCAACTAATCAGTGAAATAGCAGTGAAATAAAATGTTATCAATTCAAAATTAAGGAATACATATCTAAATTCATACACTGTACAGACTGATTATTGAAAATGGAATTAAAATGTATTACTTTTGAGGACTGTCTATTTTTTATAAGCAAATATCAAGTAAGTGCAATGTTCGAAAGTAGCCCCCAAATCTTAGCCATCTGCAAAAGGCTCCACAAGGACAGCTGAAGATGGCAAAAGGAACAGAAATTTTTTTGTTGTTTGCTTTTTAGCATTACACCTCAGTCCTGGTGGTCTTCTACTGGGGGTATTTTAAGGAAAAAATGTGAAAAAAAGAGGCAGTCAATTCTACAATGAGCTTCGGTTTTCTAAGACTAGAAGAATCTACCTTTGCTTATATATTTGGTCAGGGGCTAGTACACAATATTCCACATCCTAACCTTCTTACCCTCAACTGGCAATAATAACAGTTTAGGAGGAAGAGACAAAGAGGAAGAAGAGTAGTAAGTTATAGAATGTACAGGAAAAGGGGATTACAAGAGAGTTTTAACAGAAACCTGCTCAGTCTGAACATATAAAAACAGCTGCCATATACAATTGACTCTTTGTATTTATGGGTTCTGCATCTATGGATTCAACCAACCACAGATTGAAAATATTCAGAGGAAAAAAATGGATGGTTGCATCTGTACTGAACATGTAGCATTTTCTTCTTCTTGTTATTCCCTGAACGAGGTGTCCTCAACCCACAGGCCACAGACTGGTATCAGTCCATAGCCTATAAGGAACCAGGCTGCACAGGAGGAGGTAAGCGTTGGGCAAGTGAGTGAAGCTTCATCTGTATTTACAGCAGCTCCCTGTTGTTCACATACTGCCTGAGTTCTACCTCCTGTCAGATCGGCCGCATTAGATTCTCATAGGAGCGTGAACCCTTTTGTGAACTGTGCATCTGGGGGATCTAAGTTGTGTGCTCCTTATGAGAATCTAATGCCTGATGATCTGTCATTGTCTCCCATCATCCCCAGATGGGACCATCTAGTTACAGGAAAACAAGCTCAGGGCTCCCACTGATTCTATATTATGGTGAGTAGCATAATTATCTCATTATATATTAAAATGTAATAATAATATAAATAAAATGCACAATAAATGTAATGCACTTGAATCATCCCGAAACCACCCCCACCCCCACCCCAGCAGCCCTGGTCCATGGAGAAATTGTCTTCCATGAAACCCATCGCTGGTGCCAAAAAGGTTGGGGACTGCTGCCCTAAACAATACAGTACAACAACTATTTACATGCAAGAGTGAAAAACTGCAAGAGTCATTCTTTCCTTGTTACTGGTCTCCCAGCTGTTGGCAGGTACAATTTTGTTTTAAAGTACCTTTAAATTATTGTTCATAAAGGACCACAGAAAGACCAAGCCTAGGAGTTCATGGATGATTCTCCCTGCTGCCAGCCCTTCCATCTTTCAGTCATGGCACTTACCATCACAACTGGCCTCACTGGGATGTTCTCTTGTGAAGTGCCTGGTGGGAGATCATTCCATTCTGGAAATTTAATAACATCCTTTTGGTTTGGGGGCTTCTTTGGATATGGTTTCAGGGGTGAAGAAGGAGGAAATCTAAAACCCAAGAAGAAATTCTCTATTACTGCAGTCAGTGGGAGACACAGATATTTTAACAATAGTCTCCACTTTGGTGTATCTGAAAATTTATACAATAATTTGTACAATATTTATACAATAATTACATAAATTTTAATTTTTTAAACTGCTCTATACCATACCTGATAAAGAAAAGAAAGGTGATTGAATACATATTTTTTATCAGATAATATTTTTCTGCAGTCTTGTTAGAAAAGGATACAATGCATTACATTGCACTGCAAAAGCAATGTAAGAACTCTAGTTCTTAATGTTGACATAAAAGGCAGCGGGTTGTTGACTTTTATTTTGACTTTTTATTTACTTAAGCCAAAAAAACAGCTTAAAAATCTTACCCATGTTATCCACAGAAAAAAATCATACAAATAACTAAAGACCTTATCTCAAAGCAAATGCAGAAATAAAGAATTATAAAATGTCTATAGTGTTCAAGGGAAGTTTATATGAAGGTGAATCTGGAGACTCACCAACGAGAGTACTGAAGGAAACAGAATGTGTCACCTCAAAACATTCCTCTTTGACATAATTTTTTGGGGCTAAAGGCCATTTGAAGCAAATATGGAAAAGTGCTTTGTCTTTCCTCTGTTTGCCTAAGAGCAGAGTATTATTAATATAAATACAAAAAGTCTATCTTTCCCTCTTTCCTGCCTCAAAACAGTAGGTAAATTCTCCTTTACAACCTTTATCAGCTTAGAGACTACACCAGAGGCATCTAAGCAGACTTCATTAGTTTCCCCATAAATTTACCTTCCCACACCTTCCTGCCTTTGGAAGCCTTAAACTGCTTTCATGTGTCCTGACGCTTCTCTAAAATTTATTGCTCTTTGTTGAAGACCATATAAGCTGGGACTCTAAGGCACTGCATCTAGTTATTTTTCTCCCACGGGATGTGCACTGCACACATTAACAAACTTGCTTGTTTTTCTCTTGTTAATCTGTCTTTTCTTGCAGGAATATGTCCCAAGTATGAACTTCTGAAGGTTGAGGAAAACTATGATTTCTCATCTTCAAATAGAGAAACATTTCAAAAACAGTCGCAATAGATTTGAAAAGGAATGACAAGTGGAGAAAAGTTGCATTTCATCTTTTCTGAAAAGAATATCCAATAACTATTTTAAACATCAGTTTTGGGTCAGTTAAAAAAAGAGAGTTCTGGAAATCAGTAAATTAAGTTAAAGATAGTTTAAAGTTTGGTAATCAAGTTACCAAGGCAGGTGTTCCCAAAAGATTCCAAAATATAAACTAAATGAATCTCTATAGCCAAAGCATCTTTCTTTATAAATAAAGGGTGGCTTATAAAAGTCCAATTTTATTTCCTACAAGTCAACAATCCCAACAAATGCCCATTTCCAGACAAAGTACAGCATTTATGCATATGTATGTGCACATATGCTCACATACAGGTAGGATATTGAATGTAATTGCCGGAGTTCACAGATCACCCACTTCTCAGTTCATTCAAAACTAAACGCAATCCCTACTCCCATCCCACCACTAATGCCCTCTGTTTATTCTCCCACTTCATTCCCTCGACTATGGCATAAAAATTTTTGGACCTGAATTCCAGGCTTTCTCACAAACTCTCTATGTGTCTTTTGGAAAGTATAAGTCTCTCTAAATAATAATTTATTTATTTGTCAAATGAAGGAATTAAATTGGATGACCCATAAATTTTCTCCTAAGTTCAAAAAGATGCTTCTTATATTCCCATAACCAGAAAAAAGTAGTATCTTCCAAAGACCAAAACAGAATTTGTTACATGCAAAACTGTGACTGAAGAAATACCAGGAAATCACCTTTTTCCTCCACACTAAGAAGATGAGATCTTTGCTGTCAGTAATATCTGCAGTTACCAATAGAAGGTGTGCTATCTATTTTCACAGCAGTCTGACAACTTTGTCTGAGAAAAAATGCAGAAGAGCTCCCTCCAGTGGAGTACTTCTATTTCGGGCATTGAAAGTTAGCAATTTAATCCTAATATTTTAATAATGTAATATTTCACCTGTTAAAGATGATCCAGTTCAAATGCCACATTTTTCACTCAGAGAAATTAAGGCTCAAAAGAGGAAAGCAACTAATTTAAAAGCCTCACAACTGGCCAAGAGAACAAACCATCTTACACAAAGGATTTGCAAGCCTTTTATTAAGAAAATTATAAAATTTTTACACAAAAAAAAGACAGTGTGCCCCCCTAAAAAGAAAGAAAACTATAAAATTTTATTGAAAGACATTAAAGAAGAACTAAATTGATAGCTATATTATGCTGGTGAATAAGATTCTTTCTTAAACTCAGGTTCAAGCAATCCTCCTGTCCTTCTGTTTCAGCCTCCCAAGTAGCTGGGATTACAAGTAGTTGCCACTGTGCGCAGCTTGGTGAATAAGATTCCATATCATACAATGTTAATTTTCCCCCATGAAGATACATAGTTACAAAGAAAATTTAATAAAAATATTAATATAAAAATTTTTATGAAACATCATAAACTTATTCCAAACCAGGCACGGTGGCTTACACTTGTAGTCCCAGCTACTCGGGAAGCTGAGATGAGAGGATCACTTGAAGCCAGGAGTTCAAGACCAGCCTGGGCAATAAAGCAAGACCCCCATCTCTAAAGTAAAAAAATAAGAAACATGATCAACTGATTCTAAAATTTATATGAAAATGCAAAGGCCCAAAAATAAGACATTCTTAAAGAAGAAAAACAAAGTGAGGTGACTTGTCCTATCAGATATCAAGGCTAACATAATACGGCAATACTGATGGCAGAGACCATAGTTCCTCAAGCTCCGCACTGTTGACATTTAGGGCCGGATAGTTCTTTGTTGTGGGGAGCTGTCCTGTGCACTGGGGGATGCTGCTAAGTGCAAAGCATCCCTGGCCTCTACTCACTGGATGTTAGTAGCACCCTACACACAACACACACACCTGTTGTGACAACAAAACATTTCTCCAGACATTGCCAAATGTCTTCCGCAAAATGGCCCCCAGTTGCGAATCATGGGCCTAAACAAAGACAATTCAAAACAAATACACACTACTCTTTAGAAACATGATTTATGATAGAGCAGACATTACAGATCAGTGGGAAAGTATGGACTGTTCAATAAATAGTACTGAGCCAACTGGTTATCCATTTGGGAAAAATGAAATTGCATCCCGGTTCAGCCTGCCATATTTCCAAAGGTGTTTACAATCATACCTCCTAACCATATGCTCTTTTGCAATATGATCTTGCCACTACTGTATCAAGAGGCAGAATGTCTTTCTCTACCCTCTTCAAGTCTAGGTGAGCCCTGTCTAACTGCTTTGATAAATACAATAAGGAAGAAGCACTAGCCTAACTGGCTAGAACTCTCTTCCTGCCTCTTGAAACTCTCACTCTTGTATAACTCATTATTATGAAGCTCCCTCTTGGAAACCAGCCATCTTATAAGAAGTATGACTACCGTGAGCCCACCATGTTGTCAAATACCTAAGCAACAGGAAGAGGCCCTAGAAGATGAGATACTGCAAGGAAATAAACTGAGGTAAAGGAGCACCAAAATTCCAGATCTGCAAATAAACAAATATTCCTGGAGGTGGATTCTCTAGCCTCAGCAGCCGCAGCTGATGCCCACCTAAGCAACCTTCCAAAATTCCTGATCCACACAATTATGTAAAAACTACAATGGGCCGGCACAGTGGCTCACACCTGTAATCCCAGCACTTTGGGAGACCAGGGTGGGTGGATTGTCTGAGGTCAGGAATTCGAGACCAGCCTGGCCAACATCGTGAAATCTCGTCTCTACTAAAAATACAAAAATTAGCCGTGCATGGTGGCGTGTGCCTGTAATTCCAGCTACTCGGAAGGCAAAGACAGGAGAATTGCCTGAACCCAGGAGGCGGAGGTTGCAGTGAGCTGAAATTGCACCACTGCACCACTTCAGACTGGGCAACAGAGAGAGACTCCACCTAAAAAAAAAACAAAAAAAACAAAAAAAAAACTAAAAAAAACTACAATGGTTATTTTAATCCAGTAAGTTTGACATAGTTTTATTACACAACAGATAACTAGAAAAGAAATGTGTGGTATCTGCAACAGGATCGGGCAGTGAAATGGATGCATGAAGGGCCTCAGATGGACTTCTTAATAGAGGTTGAAAGAACAGTAAGGAAGTTGTTGTGAAACAGTATGGAAGGTGGAGAAAAAAATCTGTGTTGCACAGTGGCATAAATTTCAGTACAACTGTCACCTGTGGTAATAGGGAAACTAGAAAAGGTGGATCTGGTGAACAAATTTCCCAGGATGAATGATGAAAATGACAACTGGTTTCTTTTATAACAGCTGCAATAACCAGGTGTGGATTGTGCCAATTTAAGAATGATGAGGTGGATAAATTTGAAAAGAAGAGCTTTATTTCTCATAAAGGGTTTCAGCCTGTATGCTGGCCATCCCACAGGATGGGAAACAAAGCCTCCAACAGCAGCTGAGAGCAAGCACTTTGAGGGAGGGGTAAAGGGAACAGGAATTTATGCTGAGTGAGGTAGCCAAATATGCATATTTAATAAGCTAAAGGAAGAGTCATGAATATTTATGAAAGAAGAAATATGCACATGTGCAATTGCGCTTCATGCACCTTTCATGGGTTGCATGTTCAAAAAATGGTGGCATTAGCATGATCTGAAAATGGAGTTTTCAGCCCACTGATGTCAAAAGATGAAGCAGAGGACACAAAACCATCACCGTGTATCCTCCACCAGTCAGCCAAAACCGGTCTGGAGATGGTGGTCAGTTTTTAGCAAGGGATGTATTGTGAAATTGCAAAAAAAGTAGGAAGAGTCCAGTCACAGCCTCAGATGATTGGCTTAAGATGATAAAGCAATGAGTCATCTGTTTCTTGTTCTCCAGAGCTGGTTTCTGTTTATTTCTTAGGAAAGAAATCTGGTTAAAGGTTACTAAGGAAGGGACATACTGAGGCTTGTCCAACCCCCTATCCCATCATGGCTAGGAACTCAGTTTATAAGGTTTCTTTTTTGTAGAATCCTTTTTATTTATTTATTATTTCAATAAGTCTTGAGGGACAGGTGGTGTTTGGTTACATGAATAAGTTCTTCAGTGATGATTTCTGAGATTTTGGTGCACCCATCACCCGAGCAGTGTATACTGTAACCAATGTATAGTCTTTTATCCCTCATCACCCTCCCACCCATTCCCCAAGTCCCTAAAGTCTATCATATCATTCTTATGCCTTTGCATCCTCATAGCTTAGCTCCCACTTATAAGTGAGGACACGCAATGTTTGGTTTTTTATTCCTGAGTTACTTCACTTAGAATAATGGTCTCCAATTTCATCCAGATTGCTGCAAATGTCATTATTTTGTTCCTTTTTATGGTGGAGTAGTATTCTATGGTGTATATTTATACACACCATATTTTCTTTATCCACTCATTGATTAATGGGCATTTGGGCTGGTTCCATATTTTTGCAACTGCAAATTGTGCTGCTATAAACATGTGTGTGCAAGTGTCTTTTTCGTATAATGACTTCCTTTCCTCTGGGTCGATACCCAGTTGTGGGATTGCTGGATCAAATGGCAGATTTACTTTAAGTTCTTTAAGGAATCTCCATCCACACTGTTTTCCATAGTTGTACTAGTTTACATTCCCACCAGCAGTCTAAACGTGTTCCTTTTTTGCCACATCCATTTCAACATCTTTTTATTTTTAATGGTCATTCTTGCAGGAGTACAGTGGTATCACATTGCGGTTTTGATTTGCATTTCCCTCATCGTTAGTAATGTTGACCATTTTTTCATGTGTTTGTGGGCCATTCGCATATCTTTTTTTGAGAATTGTCTACTCATGTCCTTAGCCCACTTTTTGAAAGGATTGTTTGTTGTTATCTTGCTGGTTTGATTGAGTTCCTCGTACATTGTGGATATTAGTCCTTTGTCAGGTGCGTACTTTGTGAACATTTTTCTCCTACTCTGTGGGTTATTTGTTTACTCTGCTGATTATTTCTTTTGCTATGCAGAAGCTTTTTAGTTTAATTAAGTCCCATCTATTTATTTATTTGTCTTTGTTTTGTTGCATTTACTTTTGGGTTCTTGGTCATGAAGTCTTTGTCTAAGCCAATATCTAGAAGGGTTTTTCTGATGTTCTGCGATTTTTATGATTTCAGGTCTTATATTTAAGTCTTTAATCCATCTTGAGTTGATTTTTGCATAAGGTGAGAGATGAGGATCCAGATTCACTCTCCTACATGTGGCTTGCCAATTATCCCAGCACCATTTGTTGAATAGGGTGTCCTTTCCCCACTTTATGTTTTTCTTTGCTTTGTTGAAGATCAGTTGGCTGTAAGTATTTCACTTTATTTCTGGGTTCTCTATTCTGTTCCATTGCTCTATGTGCCTATTTTCACAGCAATACCATGCTGTTTTGGTGACTATAGGTTTATAGCATAGCTTGAAGTCAGGCAATGTAATACTTCCAGATTTGTTCTTTTTGCTTAGCCTTGCTTTGGCTATGTGGGCTCTTTTTTGGTTACACATAAATTTTAGGATTGTTTTTACTAGTTCTGTGAAGAATGATGGTGGTATATTAATGGGAATTGCATTGAATTTGTAGATTGCTTTTGGTAGTACAGTCATTTTTACAATGTTAATTCTACCCATCCCTGAGCATGGAATGTGTTCCATTTGTTTGTGTCATCTATGATTTCTTTCAGCAGTGTTTTGTAGTTTTCTTTGTAGAGATCTTTCCCCTTCTTGATTAGGTATATTCCCTAAGTTTTTTGGTGTTTTTTTTTTCTTTTTTTTTGGTGGGGGGTACTATTGTAAAAGGAATTGAGTTATTGATTTGATTCTCAGCTTGGTCACTGTTGGGTTATAGCAGTGCTACTGATTTGTGTACATTAATTTTGTATCCTGAAACTTTACTGAATTCATTGATCAGTTCCAGGAGCTTTTTGGATGAGTCTTTAAGGTTTTCTATGTATACGATCATATCATCAAGAAACAGTGACAGTTTGACTTCCGCTTTACCAATTTGGATGCCTTTATTTCTTTCTCTTCTCTGCTTGCTCCAACTAGGACTTCCAGTACTATGTTGAATAGAAGTGGTGAAAGTCAGCATCCTTGTCTTTTTCCAGTTCTCAGGGGGAATGCTTTCCACTTTTCCCTGTTCAGTATAGTGTTGGCTGTGGGTATGTCATAGATGGCTTTTATTACCTTAAGGTACATCCCCTCTAGGCTGATTTTGCTGAAGATTTCAATCATAAAGTGATGCTGGATTTTGTCAAATGCTCTTTCTGTGTCTATTGGGATGATCATGATTTTTGTTTTTAGTTCTGTTTATGTGGTATATCACATTTATTGACTTGCAGATGTTAAACCATCCCTGCATCCCTGATATGAAACCCAATTGACCATGGTGGATTATCTTTTTGATATGCTGTTGGATTCGGTTAGGTAGTATTTTATTGAGGATTTTTGTATCTATGTTCATCAGGGATATTGGTCTATAGTTTTATTTTTTGTTATATCCTTTCCTGGTTTGATATAAGGGCGATAATGGCTTCATAGAATGATTTAGGGAGGATTCCCTCTTTCTCTATATTTTGAAATAGTGTCAATAGGATTGGTACCAATTCTTCCTTGAATATCTGATAGAATTCAGCTGTGAATCCTTCTGGTCCTAGACTTTTTATTGTTGCTGGCTATTTTTTTCTTACCATTTGAATCTCGCTGCTTGCTATTGGTCTGTTCAGAGTTTCTATTTCTTCCTGGTTTTATCTAGGAGGGTTATATATTTTCAGAAATTTATACATCTCCTCTAGGTTTTCTAGTTTGTGCACATTAAGGTGTTCCTAGTAGCCTTTAATGATCTTTTGTATTTATATGGTATCAGTTGTAATATTTCCCATTTTGTTTCTAATTGAGCTTATTTGGATCGTCTCTCTTTTCTTGGTTAATCTTACTAATGGTCTATTGATTTTGTTTATCTTTCCAAAGAACCAGCTTTTTGTTTCGTTTATCATTTGTATTATTTTTTGTTTCAATTTCATTTAGCTCTGCTCTGATCTTTGTTATTTATTTTCTTCTGCTGGGTTTTGGTTTGTTCTTCTTTCTCTAGTTCCTTGAGGTGTGACCTTAGATTGCCTATTTGTGCTCTTTCAGATTTTTTTATGTAGCCATTCAATACAATGAATTTTCCTCTTAGTACTGCTTTTGCTGTATCCCAGAGATTTTCATAGGTTGGGTCACTACCATAGTTCAGTTCAAATAATTTAATTTCCATCTCGATTTTGTTATTGACCCAACAATAATCCAGGAGCAGGTTATTTAATTTCCATGTCTTTGCATGGCTTTGAGGGTTCCTTTTGGAGTTGATTTCCAATTTTATTCCCCTGTGGTCTAAGAGAGTACTTGATATAATTTCAATTTTCTTAAATTTATTGAGACTTGTTTTGTGGCCTATCATATGGTCTATCTTGGAGAATGTTCCATGTGCTGATGAATAGAATGTATATTCTGCACTCACTGGATAGAATGTTCTGTAAATATCTCTTAAGTCCATTTGTCCTAAGGTATAGTTTAAGTCCATTTTTTTTTTTTTTTTTTTGAGACGGAGTCTCACTCTGCCACCCAGGCTGGAGTACAGTGGTGCGATTTTGGCTCACTACAAGCTCCGCCTCCTGGGTTCACGCCATTCTCCTGCCTCAGCCTCCCGAGTAGCTGAGACTACAGGCACCCACCACTGCACCCAGCTAATTTTTTGTATTTTCAGTAGAGACGGGGTTTCACTGTGGTCTCGATCTCCTGACCTCGTGATCTACCCGCCTCGGCCTCCCAAAGTGCTGGGATTACAGGCATGAGCCACCGTGCCCAGCCCCAGTCCATTGTTTCTTTGTAGATTTTCTGTCTTGATGATTTGTTTAGTGCTGCCAGTGGAGTACTGAAGTCCCCCACTGTATTAGTCTGTTTTCATACTGCTATAAAAACTGCCAGAGACCAGGTAATTTATAAAGAAAAGAAGTTTAATTAAATCATAGTTCTGCATTGCTGGGGAGGCCTTAGGAAACTTACAATCATGGCAGAAGGGGAAGCAAACGTGTCCTTCTTCACAAGGCAGCAGGAGAGAAAGAGCAAACAAGAGCAGAGAAAATTGCCCTATAAAACCATCAGATCTCATGAGAACTCACTCTCAGGGGAACAGCATGAGGAAAACTGTCCCCAGGATCCAATCACCTCCCACCTGGTTCCTCCCTCAACACATGGGGATTGTAGGGATTTCAATTCTAGAAGAGATTTGGGTGAGAACACAGAGCCAAACCATGTCACCCACAATTACTGTGTTGCTGTCTATCTCATTTCTTAGGTCTAGTAGTAATAGTTTTATAAATTTGAAAGCTCCAGTGTTAGGTACATATATATTTAGGATTGTGATATTTTTCTGTTGGAACAGTCCTTTTTATCATTATATAATATTCCTCTTTGTCTTTTTTAACTATTGTTGCTTTAAAGTCTGTTTTGTCTGATATAAGAACAGCTACTCCTGCTCGCTTTTGGCATCCATTTGCATGGAATATCTTTTTCTACCCCGTTACCTTTAGTTTATATGAGTGCTTATGTGTTAGGTGAGTCTCTTGAAAATAACAGATACTTGGTTGGTGAATTCTTATCCATTCTGCCACATTCTGTATCTTTTAAGTGGAGCATTTAGGCCATTTACATTCAATGTTAGTACTGAGAAGTGAGGTACTATTCTATTCATTGTGCTACTTGTTGCCTGAATACCTTGTTGTTTTTTTTCACTGTTTTACTGTTTTATAGGTCCTGTGAGATTTATGCTTTAAAGAGGTTCTATTTTGGTGTATTTCATGCATTTGTTTCAGGATTTAGAGCTCCTTTTAGCAGTTCTTATAGTAGCTTGGTAGTAGCAAATTCTCTCAGCATTTGTCTTTAAAAGACTGTATCTTTGCTTTGTTTATGAAGCTTAGTTTGACTGGATACAAAATTCTTGGCTGATAATTATTTTGTTTAAGGAGGTTAAAGATAGGACCCCAATCCCTTCTAGCTTGCAGGGTTTCTGCTAAAAATCTCCTGTTAATCTGATAGGTTTTCCTTTGTAGGTTACCTGGTGCTTTTGCCTCACAACTCTTAAGATTCCTTCCTTCATCTCGACTTTAGATAATCTGATGACTATGTGCCTAGGTGATTACCTTTTTGCGATGAATTTCCCAGATGTTCTTTGAGCTTCTTGTATTTGGATGTCTAGATCTCTGGCAAGGCCAGGGAAGTTTTCCTTGATTATTCCCTCAAATATGTTTTCCAGACTTTTAGATTTCTCTTCTTCCTCAGGAAGACCAATTACTCTTAGGTTTGGTCATTTAGCATAATCCCAAATTTCTTTGAGGCTTTGTTCACTTTTTTAATTCTTTTTTTCTTTGTCTTTATTGGATTGGGTTAATTCAAAAGCCTTGTCTTCAAGCTCTGAAGTTCTTTCTTCTATTTGTTTGATTCTATCACTGAGACTTTCCAGTGTATTTTGCATTTCTCTAAGTTTGTCCTTTATTTCCAGAAGTTGTGATTGTTTTTTATTTATGCTATCTGTTTCTCTGAAGATTTTTCCATCCATATCCTGTATCATTTTTTAAATTTCTTTAAGTTGAACTTCCCCTTTCTCTGGTGACTCCTTGAGAAGCTTAATAATCTACCTTCACAATTCTTTTTCTGGCAATTCAAGGATTTCTTCTTGGTTTGGATCCGTTGCTGGTGAACTAGTGTAATCTTTTGGGGAGTGTTAAAGAACCTTGTTTTGTTATATTACCAGAATTGTTTTTCTGCTTCCTTTTCATTTGTGTAGATTATGTCAAAGGGAAGATCTGGGGATCAAGGGCTATTGTTCAGATTATTTTGTCCCATGGGGTGATCCCTTTGAGAGACAACACTAGCTGGATTTCCTAGGCCGACTAAGAATTCCTAAGCCTAGCTGAGAAAGGTGACTACATCTACCTTTAAACATGGGCTTGTAACTCAGCTCACACCCAACTAATCAGGTAGTAAAGAGGACTCACTAAAATACAAATTAGGCTAAAGCAGGAGGTAAAGAAATAGTCAAATCATATATCACCTGAGAGCACAGGGGGAGGGACAATGATCAGGATATAAACCCAAGCATTCCAGCAGGGAGCAGCAACCCCCTTAGGGTCCCCTCCCATTGTATGGGAGCTCTGTTTTCACTCTATTAAATCTTGCAACTGCACACTCTTTTGGTCCATGTTTGTTACGGCTCAAGCTGAGCTTTTGCTCACCATCCACCACTGCTGTTTACCACTGTCGCAGACCGGCCACTGACTTCCACCCCTCCGGATCCAGCAGGGTGTCTGCTGTGCTTCTGATCCAGCGAGACACCCATTGCCGCTCCCAATCGGGCTAGAGGCTCACCATTTTCCTGCATGGCTAAGGGCCCAGGGTTCGTCCTAATTGAGCTGAACACTAGTTGCTTGGTTCCACAGTTCTCTTCCATGACCCACAGCTTCTAATAGAGCTATACCACTCATCGCATGGCCCAAGGTTCCATTCCTTGGAATCCATGAGGCCAAGAACCCCTGGTCAGAGAACAAAAGGCTTGCAGCCATCTTGGGAGCAGCCCACCCCCATCTTGAGAGCGGCCCGTCGCATCTTGGGAGCTCTAAGAACAAAGACCCCCTCCACCCCCCGTAACATCTGGTGGCCCATATGGGGATTCTCCAAAGCAGTGAGTAATATCGGACCACTTTCGCTTGCTATTCTGTCCTATACTTCCTTAGAATTGGAGTAAAATACTGGGCACCTGTCAGCCAGTTAAAAACAGTAGCATGGCTGCTGGACTTAAGACTCAGGTGTGAGGCTATCTAGGGAAGGGCTTTCTAACAACCCCCAACCCTTCTGGCTTGGGAGCATTGGTCTGCCTGGAACCAGCTTCCACTTTCACAATTTTCCTGGGGAAGCCAAGGGCTGACTAGTAGCAGAAAGCTGTCATCCCGAACTCCTGGCATTAGCCAGTTGAGATCACGGCACAGCCAGAAGTCTCTATTCAACCAGCCGCCCATGTATGCGCCCCACCTTTCCTTCTGACCCATACCTCCTGGGTCCCAACCATGACTTTCTTGAAAGTGTAGCCCCCAAATTCTCCTTACCTCTGAATCTACTTCCTTTGATCCCTGCCTTCTAGGTACTAATGGTTCAGACTTTCATTCCCTCTAGCAAGTTGTATCTCCAAAGGGATCTAAAGAAGCTCTATGCTGCATCATTAGGCATCTAAGCTATGAACCCAGGGAGTCTTGTCCCCGGTGTCCCTCCAATTTAGGTATACAGCTCTTGACATGGGCAGTTATGTGGGACCTGTTCCCCACCACCCTTGCAGGGCCTTAGAACTGATAACCCAGTACTTTAACAACTGGAACTGGATCTACAACAACATAATAGATCAGGATGAAAATGAATTGAGTAAATTACAGGGAGGCGCGTATTCCTATAGTGGCAAATGGGGGCAACAAGCAAACGTCCTTCCACTGTGTTTCCAAAATCCATCTACAAGGAGATAGAGAGGAGGAGAGAGAGAGAGAAAGAGAGAGAGACAGAGAGGAGAGAGAGAGAGAAAAACAGGAGACAGAAAGCGAGGAGAGAGAGAGACAGACAGAGAGGAGAGACAGAGAGGAGAGAGACAGAGAGAGAGACAGAGAGGAGAGAGAAAGAGACAGGAGAGAGAGACAAAGGGGGGGAGAGAGAGAGAGAGAGAAAGAAAAGAAGTAGTAAAGAAAAAAGTGTACCCTATTCCTTTAAAAGCCAGGGTAAATTTAAAACCTATAATTAATAACTGAAGGTCTTCTCCGGGACCCTATAACACTCCAATACCACTTTGTTGTCAGTATAAACAAGAGCGTAGCCCAAAAGGACTGAGGCCACTGACAACCCACAGCCTTCCTATCAAAAATCCTTAACCCAGTAACCCGTGGATGGCCCAAATGCATTCAATCTGTAGCAGCAACTGCTTTGCTAGCAGAAGAAAGTAAAAAAATAACTTTTAGGGGAAACCTCATTGTAAGCACACCTCACCAGTTCAGAACTATCCTAAGTCAAAAAAAGCAAAAAGGTAGCTTACTAACTCAAAAATCTTAAAGTATGGGGCTATTCTGTTAGAAAAAAGGTGATTTAACACTAACCACTGAAAATTCCCTTAACCCAGCAGACTTCCTAACAGAGGATTTAAATCTTAATTACCATACAAAGGTCCAACCAGACCTAGGAGGAACTCCCTTCAGAAAAGGAGGACAGATGGTTCCTCCCAGGTGATTAAGGAAAAAACACAATGGGTATTCAGTAATTAATAGGGAAACTCTTGTAAAAGCAGAGTTAGGAAAATTGCCTAATAACTGGTCTGCTGAAACGTGCAAGCTGTTTGCACTCAGCCAAGCCTTAAAGCACTTACGGAATAAAAACAAAAAAAACTCTATCTCAATCCTGACTCAAAAGGTTACCTACACCCTCTCTGAAATAAATTTGCATAAGAACTGTTGTTTATGGGAATACATCTTAATGGGGCAGCTGGGTTATGAAATACTCAGGAACCCAGCTCAGCTCTAGGACTCACCCCAGAGCACAAAGGCAATGTTGGGCACGCTGGTAAAGGACCACTAGAATCCAGAAGCCTGGAACCCTTTCTTTGTGGTCAAGAAAAGCAGGAAAAGGGGTGCAGGACTGCTACATTGGTAAATGTAACTAATCTGATAAGCAGAGGTCCATGGGTGGTTACACACCCTGGAAAGGAATAAGCATTAGGACCATAGAGAACACTCTAGGACTATGCTCGTCGGAAAAAGACTAGGGGTCCTGGCATCCCTATGTACTTTTTTCAGACGGGAAACGTTCCCCTCAAGGCAAAAATGCCCTTAAGATGTATTCTGGAGAATTCAGCCCAGTCAGAGTGCATGTACCTTTTTCCCTCTCAGACTTGAAGCAAATTAAAACAGACCTAGGTAAATTATCAGATAACCCTGATGGCTATATTGATGTTTTACAAGGGCTAGGACAATCCTTTGATCTGACATGGAGAGATATAATGTTACTGCTAGATCAGATACTAACCCTAAATAAGAAAAGTGCCGCCATAACTGCAGCCCGAGAGTTTGGCGATCTCTGGTATCTCAGTCAGGTCAATGATAGGATGACAACAGAGAAAAAAGAACAATTCCCCACCAGCCAGCAGGCAGTTCCCAGTGTAGACCCTCATTGTGACACAGAATCAGAACATGGAGATTGGTGCTGCAGACATTTACTAACTTGCGTGCTAGAAGGACTTTAAAAAACTAGGAAAAAGCCTATAAATTATTCAATGATGTCCACCATAATACAGGGAAAGAAAGAAAATCCTATTGCCTTTCTGGAGAGACTAAGGGAGGTACTGAGAAAGCATACCTCTTTGTCACCTAACTCTATTAAAGGCCAACTAATCTTAAAGGATAAGTTTATCACTCAGTCAGCTGCAGACATTAAAAAAAAAACTTCAGGCCGGGCATGGTGATTCACGCCTGTAATCCCAGCACTTTGGGAGGCTGAGGCAGGTGGATCACGAGGTCAGGAGATTGAGACCATCCTGGCTAACACAGTGAAACCCCGTCTCTACTAAAAATACAAAAAATTAGCCGGGCATGGTGGCAGGCGCCTATAGTCCCAGCTACTCCAGAGGCTGAGGCGGGAGAATGGCGTGAACCCGGGAGGCAGAGCTTGCGGTGAGCTGAGATCACGCCACTGCACTCCAGCCTGGGCAACAGAGTGAGACTCCGTCTCAAAAAAAAAAAACTTCCAAAGTCTGCCGTAGGCCCAGAGCAAAACTTAGAAACCCCATTGAACTTGGCAACCTCGGTTTTTTATAATAGAGATCAAGAGGAACAGGTGGAACGGGACAAATAGGATAAAAAGAAGGCCACTGCTTTAGTCATGGCCCTCAGGCAAGCGGACTTTGGAGGCTCTAAAACAGGGAAAGGTTGAGCAAATCGAATGCCTAATAGGGCTTTCTTTCAGTGCAGCCTACAAGGACACCTTAAAAAAGACTGTCCGAATAAAAATAAGCTGCCCCCTCGTCCATGCCCGTGATGTCAAGGGAATCACTGGAAGGCCCACTGCCTCAGGGGACAAAAGTCCTCTGAGTCAGAAGCCACTAACCAGATGATCCAGGAGCAGGATTGAGGATGCCCAGGACAAGTGCCAGCCCATGCCATCACCCTCACAGAGCCCCAGGTATGCTTGACCATTGAGGGACAGGAGGTTAACTGTCTCCTGGACACTGACGTGGCCTTCTCAGTCTTACTCTCCTGTCCCGGCCAACTGTCCTCCAGATCTGTCACTATCCGAGGAGTCCTAGAACAGGCAGTCACTAAATACTTCTCCTAGCCACTAAGTTATGATTGGGGAACTTCACTCTTTTCACATGCCTTTCTAATTATGCCTGAAAGCCCACTCCTTTGTTAGGGAAATACATTCTAGCAAAAGCAGGGGCCATTATACACCTGAACATAGGAAAAGAAACACGTTTTTTTGTCCCCTACTTAAGGAAGGAATTAATCCTGAAGTCTGGGCAACAAAACGACAATATGGATGAGCAAACAATGCCCGTCCCGTTCAAGTTAAACTAAAGGGTTCCACCTCCGTTCCCTACCAAAGGCATTACCTGCTTAGACCCGAGGACCAATAAGGACTCCAAAAGATTGTTAAGGACCTAAAAGCCCAAGGCCTAGTAAAACCAAGCAATAGCTCCTGCAATACTCCAATTTTAGGAGTACAGAAACCCAACGGACAGTGGAGGTTAGTGCAAGATCTCAGGATTATCAATGAGGCCGTTGTCCCTCTATACCCAGCTGTACCTAACCCTTATACTATGCTTTCCCAAATACCAGAGAAAGCAGAGTGGTTTACAGTCCTGGACCTTAAGGATACCTTTTTCTGCATCCCCGTACATTCTGACTCTCAATTCTTATTTGCCTTTAAAGATCCTTCAAACCCAACATCTCAACTCACCTGGACTGTTTTACCCCACAGGGTTCAGGGATAGCCCCCATCTATTTGGCCAGGCATTAGCCCAAGACTTGAGCCAGTTCTCATACTTGGTCACTCTTGTCCTTCGGTATGTGGATGATTTACTTCTAGCCACCCATTCAGAAACCTTGTGCCATCAAGCCACTCAAGCGCTTTTAAACTTCCTCACCACTTGTGGCTACAAGGTTTCCAAACCAAAGGCTCAGCTCTGCTTACAGCAGGTTAAATACTTAGGGCTAAAATTATCCAAAGGCACCAGGGCCCTCAGTGAGGAATGTATCCAGCCTATACTGGCTTATCCTCATCCTAAAACCCTGAAGCAATTAAGAGGTTCCTTGGCATAACAGGCTTCTGCCGAATATGGATTCCCAGGTACGGTGAAATAGCCAGGCCATTATACACACTAATTAAGGAAACTCAGAAAGCCAATACCCATTTAGTAGAATGGACACCTGAAGCAGAAGTGGCTTTTCTGGCCCTAAAGAAGGCCCTAACCTATGCCCCAGTGTTAAGCTTGCCAACGGGGCAAGACTTTTCTTTATATGTCACAGAAAAAACAGGAATAGCTCTAGGAGTCCTTACACATGTCCGAGAGACCAGCTTGCAACCCGTGGCATACCTGAGTAAGGAAATTTATGTAGTGACAAAGGGTTGGCCTCATTGTTTACAGGTAGTGGCAGCAGTAGCAGTCTTAGTATCTAAAGCAGTTAAAATGATACAGGGAAAGAGATCTTACTGTGTGGCCATCTCATAATGTGAACAGCATACTCACTGCTAAAGGAGACTTGTGGCTGTCAGACAACCATTTGCTTAAATATCAGGCTCTATTACTTGAAGGGCCAGTGCTGCGACTGTGCACTTGTGCAACTCTTAACCCAGCCACATTTCTTCCAGACAATGAAGAAAAGATAGAACGTAACTGTCAACAAGTAATTGCTCAAACCTACGCTGCTCGAGGGGACCTTCTAGAGGTTCCCTTGGCTGATCCCGACCTCAACTTGTGTACTGATGGAAGCTCCTTTGTAGAAAAAGGACTTCAAAAGGCGGAGTATGCAGTGGTCAGTGACAATGGAATACTTGAAAGTAATCCCCTCACTCCAGGAACTAGCGCTCAGGTGGCAGAACTAATAGCCCTCATTCAGACACTAGAGTTAGGAGAAGGAAAAAGAGTAAATATATATACAGAATCTAAGTATGCTTACCTAGTCCTCCATGCCCGTGCAACAATATGGAGAGAAAGGGAATTCCTAACTTCCAAGGGAACACCTATCAAACATCAGGAAGCCATTAGGAAATTATTATTGGCTGTACAAAAACCTAAAGAGGTGGCAGTCTTACACTGCCGGGGTCATCAGAAAGGAAAGGGAAATAGAAGGGAACCGCCAAGTGGATATTAAAACCAAAAGAGCCGCAAGGTGGGACCCTCCATTAGAAATGCTTATAGAGGACCCCTAGTATGGAGTAATCCCCTCTGGGAAACCAAACCCCAGTACTCAGCAGAAGAAATAGAAAGGGGAACCTCACGAGGACATAGTTTCCTCCCCTCAGGATGGCTAGCCACCGAAGAAGAAAAAATACTTTTGCCTGCAGCTAACCAATGAAAATTACTTAAAACCCTTCACCAGACCTTTCACTTAGGCATTAATAGCACCCATGATATGGCCAAATCATTATTTATTGGACCAGGCCTTTTCAAAACTATGAAGCAGATAGTCAGGGCCTGTAAAGTGTGCCAAAGAAATAATCCCCTGCACTTCAGGCTATACATTTCAATCTCTGTATCTTTAACCTCCTTGTTAAGTTTGTCTCTTCCAAAATCAAAGCTGTAAAACTACAAATCGTTCTTCAAATGGAGCCCCAGATGCAGTCCATGATGAAGATCTACCGCAGGACCCCTGGACCGGCCTGCTAGCCCATGCTCCGATGTTAATGATATTGAAGGCACCCCTCCCAAGGAAATCTCAACTGCATGACCCCTATTACGCCCCAATTCAGCAGGAAGCAGTTAAGAGTGGTAGTCGGCCAACCTCCCCAACAACACTTGGGTTTTCCTGTTGGAAGCGGGGACCGAGAGACAGGACTAGCTGGATTTCCTAGGCCGACTAAGAATTCCTAAGCCTAGCTGGGAAAGGTGACTGCACCTACCTTTAAACACGGGGCTTGTAACTCAGCTCACACCCAACTAATCACGTAGTAAAGAGGGCTCACTAAAATACAAATTAGGCTAAAGCAGGAGGTAAAGAAATAGTCAAATCATATATCGCCTTAGAGCACAGGGGGAGGGACAATGATTGGGATATAAACCCAGGCATTCCAGCAGGGAGCAGCAACCCCCTTAGGGTCCCTCCCATTGTATGGGAGCTCTGTTTTCACTCTATTAAATCTTGCAACTGCACACTCTTCTGGTCCGCGTTTGTTACAGCTCGAGCTGAGCTTTCGCTCGCCGTCCACCACTGTTGTTTGCCACTGTCGCAGACTCGCCACTGACTTCCACCCCTCCAGATCCGGGAGGGTGTTGGCTGTGCTTCTAACCCAGCGAGGCGCCCATTGCCACTCCTGATAGGGCTAGAGGCCTGCCATTGTTCCTGCATGGCTAAGGGCCCAGGGTTCGTCTAATCGAGCTGAACACTAGTTGCTGGGTTCCACAGTTGTCTTCCGTGATCCACTGCTTCTAATAGAGCTATAACACTCACCGCATGGCCCAAGGTTCCATTCCTTAGAATCCGTGAAGCCAAGAATCCCAGGTCAGAGAACAAAAGGCTTGCTGCCATCTTGGGAGCGAACCGCCACATCTTGGGAGCTCTAAGAACAAAGACCCCCCCCATAACACCTCGATGTGGTACTCTCCCCTTTTCCCTAAGGATGGGCTTTCTGAGACCCAAATTGCAGTGATTATGTTATTTCTCTTCTGGGTCTAGCCACCCAGTGCATACTGGGCTCTGGACTGGTACTGGGGAGTGTCTGCCAAGATTCCTGTGATGTGATCTGTCTTCAGGTCCCTCAGCCATGGATACCAGCATCTGCTCAGGTGAGGGTAGCAGGGGAGTGAAGTGGACTCTGTGAGGGTCCTTGGTTGTAGTTTTGTTTAGTGACTGGTTTTGTGTTGGTTGGCCTCCAGCCCAGAGGTGGCACCGACTACCCTAAGACCATCACGCTACAAGAAGCACAACCCACATGGAGATAACCTAGAGAATGAAACCTCATGTAGAAAGAGAGGTCAAGCAGCACAAAGACACATTTGTGAGCAGAGAAAGAAGCCATCTTAGAAGTAAATCTTCTAGCCCAACTGACACCACCTTTATTGGAAGAGAAAAACTACTAGTTGAGCTCTTTCTAAATGCTTGCCACAAAACCCATGAGTAAAATAAAATGGTTACTTTAAGTCACTAAAGTTTGGGGTAGATTGTTTCTCAGCAATACAAAATCAAAACAATTCCTAACTCACAGCATGAATAAAAAATCATGGGCAAAACCATTAAACATAAGGCACAAAAATATCTCTTATTCTAAGATAAAAGAAAATATATCTCTCTGACTTTGAGTAATGAAGGGACTTGTTTTAAGAAAGGTATTAAGACCACACAACATAAAGGAAAAGACTGATAGATTCAACTACATTAAAATTAAGAACTTTTCTGTTCATCAAGATACCATAAAGTGAAAAAAAGAAAGATCTTTGTAATCCATATAACTGATAAAGTGTAAATATCCAGAATACATATATATATAAAATGGATATTTTACATATATACAAAAAATGGATATTTTACATATATACAAAAAATGGATATTTTACATATATACAAAAAATGGATATTTTACATATATACAAAAAATGGATATTTTACATATATACAAAAAATGGATATTTTACATATATACAAAAAATGGATATTTTACATATATATAAAAAATGGATATTTTACATATATAAAAAAGTGGATATTTTACATATATAAAAATGGATATTTTACATATATATAAAAAATGGATATTTTACATATATGAAAAATGGATATTTTACATGTATATAATGGATATTTTACATGTATATAATGGATATTTTACATGTATATAAAATGGATATTTTACATATATATAAAAAATGGATATTTTACATATATATAAAAAATGGATATTTTACATATATATAAAAAATGGATATTTTACATATATATAAAAAATGGATATTTTACATATATGTAAAAAATGGATATTTTACATATATGTAAAAAATGGATATTTTACATATATGTAAAAAATGGATATTTTATATATATAAAAAATGGATATTTTATATATATATAAAATGGATATTTTATATATATAATGGATATTTTATATATATAAAATGGATATTATATATATAAAATGGATATTTTATATATATATAAAATGGATATTTTATATATATATAAAATGGATATTTTATATATATATAAAATGGATATTTTATATATATATATAAAATGGATATTTTATATATATATATAAAATGGATATTTTATATATATATAAAATGGATATTATATATATATAAAATGGATATTTTATATATATATAAAATGGATATTTTATATATATATATAAAATGGATATTTTATATATATATATAAAATGGATATTATATATATATATATATATATGTATTTTTTTTTTTGAGATGGAGTCTCGCTCTGTCACCCAGGCTAGAGTGCAGTGGTGCAATCTCATCTCACTGCAACCTCCGCCTCCCAGGTTCAAGCAATTGTCCTGCCTCAGCCTCCCAAGTAGCTTGGACTACAGGTGTGTTCCACCACGCCTGGCTAATTTTTGTATTTTTAGCAGAGTCGGGGTTTCATGATGTTGGCAAGGCTGGTCTCGAACTCCTGGCCCTCAGGTGATCCGCCTGCCTCGGCCTCCCAAAATGCTGGGATTACAGGCATGAGCCACCATGCCCGGCCCAGAATATATTTTTTTAAACCACAATGAATCTATAAGAAAAAACTTCTGTGAAGAAAGGCAAAACACATGAACCAGGCATTTCCAGATGTGGAATTAGGAACGGTGAATAAGCATAAAAATATACTCAACCTCATCAGTAATCAAGGAAATTCAAGATAACATCATGAAACAGAATTTCACACACATCAAATTGGCAAAAGTTTAAGTCAACATCAAATATTTTCTGCTACTGAAATAAAAATTAGCATACATTCTTTTATGAAGGATGTCTTTCTCAATAAAACTGACAACATTTAAAAAGAGCAGAGCTCCCTCTAGTGGGCTAAATTTCATTTTGCTTTAAAAACTGTAAATTTAATCCTAACATGATCATGGATTCCAGAATTATAAACTCCCTTAGAAAACATCTAGAACAAATTACACATTTGTACACTGAAGAAATTAAGGCCAGAAAAGTTACTGGCCACAGCTAATTGTCCAACCAAACAAGCAGGTCTCCTAGTGCCACCACCACTGCCAAATATTGGCTGGAGAAAAGCAATTTAAAAATAATTCATACCAGAACTATCCTCTGGTGAATTTACTTGTAAAAAAATTAGGATTTATTACCTAATAAATCAATAAAATTATTCTAAGTCATCTAAACCACAAAGAAACATAGTTATAAATCTTAATAAACTTGATAAATGATAGCTCTCTCAATGATTTAAAGCCCTTTTAAGAGATTAACTATATACTGTGGAAGCATCAGCAGAAATTTGCAACATCAACAGCTTTGGCCAGCCTGCCTCCTTGCCTTACTAACTTACAGACTTTGTACCCAAAAACAAAAAGCAAACAACAATACAAAAAAACACAGCCAGATATTGTTTATTATATGGGCTGATCCTTCTGAGACTACTATTTCCCAGAAATCCATGATTTATGCAAAACCATAGCAATTTGTAGGGTTTTGCTGTGCTCTGTAAACCCATTCAACATATTTCTTGAGCCCATTAGTGGTATATATCACCTAAATGCTGAAAAACTGCTAATGATTACATTTCACAATACTTTCTGAAAGTATGTCAGGAACATAAAGTGTTTGAGGAAAGGAGAATGGGAGATGAAGCTGGAAACCAAACTAAGGAAGGCTTTAAAATCCAAACTCAGAAATCTTTCCTTATTCCACATGAATAAAGATTCCATTGTAAGTAAAGGATCAAGTGAGCATTTTTAAGGAGAGAGGTGAGCTTATCTGAAAGACACTCCTACCTTAAATTAACAATAGTTATTTAGAAAATAAATTCCATTTGCAACAGAAAAAAATCTATAAAATATCTATGACTTAAAAATATATACATATACAAGATTTACAAGAAAAACTACAACCACTTAAAAAAGCACAACCCCACAATAAGTGGGGTGATTATTGCACCAAACCTCACAATAGGTGGGGTGAAAACTGCACCGAAATAATCACCCCAGAAATACGTGGGGTGATTATTGCACCAAAAAACATGAACTACTTAGATATAAATATAACAGGCAGGGCGCAGTGGCTCACGCCTGTAATCCCAGCACTTTGGGAAGCCCAGGCGGGCAGATCGCGAGGTCAGGAGATCAAGACCATCTTGGCTAACTCAGTAAAACCCCGTCTCTACTAAAAATACAAAAAATTAGCCGGGCGTGGTGGCAGGCGCCTGTAGTCCCAGCTACTATGAGGCTAAGGCAGGAGAATGGCATGAACCCAGGAGGCAGTGAGCTGAGATCGCGCCACTGCACTCCAGCCTAGGCAACAGAGCGAGACTCCGTCTCAAAAAAATAAAAAATAACAAAATATGTTCAGGATCTATATACTCAGGAAAGCTACAAAAAAAATGCTGAGAGATTAAGCACCTAAATATATGATTTCACTCAAAATCCCAGCAAGAATTTTTATAGGAATAAACAAGTTGATTCTAAAATGTATATGAAAAAGAAAAAGAACTAGAATAACCCAAACAATCTTGAAAAAGAACAAAGTTGGAGGACTCACATTACCTGATTTCAATGGAGACAAGCTACACATGTAGAATGGAATGGTATATGAATTAAGTCAGAGGACTCTATATGGCATTGTATCCCCCTAGGAAGAATACAGGTACTGGGAACCAGAGGGTGGAAGCAGGAGTGGCCCTACTTACCATCCCTCCCTGTGCTTCCCATCTCTATAACCCTGGGCTCTGCAATTAGCAGTCTTGTTACTCAAAGGGACATATTCTTGACAGGGGACATAGTAAGGGTAATTCGGACTCCTTGTGGCCAGGGAGCAGCAGGTGAGAAGAGAAAAGGAATCACTATCTTGGCAGAGGTCATGGATCCTGATCAGCAGGCAGGAGACTTGCATTTACACAATCGGGGCAGGGAGAAACACCTGTGGCACTTCCTGGAGATCTACATGGCACTTCCTGATACTTCCTTGTCCCACTGTAACTGTGAATGGGTTTGTACAGAAACATTAGCTCAAAAAGTGCATGATTACCATGGGTCCAGATCTTTAGGAATGAAGTTTTGGGTCACACTACCAGGTAAGGCACCCAAGGCCTGCCAAGGTGATGGCTGACAGTAAGGGGATTGAGGATGAAGAGTCAAGGAGGGAGAGAATGAGTACCAGCTGCAGCAATGAGACTAACTGCAACAATAGGGGCTATAGTCTTCCTAGTAATTTCCATCTTCTAGGTTTCCACTCAAGAAGAAAGCACCAACGTGTGGGCAAGCGGATCTGTGAAGCACAAGAAATGGACTGTGCTGGCCACAGGGGTGCACAGCTCACATTTCCCTCCAAGAAGCCAACAGCTCCCAGCTGCTCTACCTTTCACACTTCCCCAGGCTGCTTCCAGCCCACCAAGGAGCACAGCAAGGTAATGAGCCAAGATAATCCTTCCAGAAGACCTAAGACTCCTCTAACAGCATCCTTTGCTTGGGAACTCCCCATCAGCCCGGGGAAATTTTCAGAACTCTGGCATGTGGTCTTAGGCTCTTGCTACCCAATTCTTTCCCCTCTGCTTTCCCTGAGGTCAGGCCTTCATCACAGCCTATAGGCTCACTCCATTGCCTCCTGTTCCCTTCCCCATTTATCCTTTCCTGGTGCCCCACCCCAACCCCTGGCATTAAATCTCTTGCACATCTAGTTCCCTCTTGGCATCTGCTTCTCTTCTCAGAGGACCTGAATTAATGGAGTCTCCTATTAGTTTGTACTTATTTATGTGTAATGAATTCAGATCAGTGCAAACAATGTAAGTACCTGCCACATATCAGACACCAATAGGTAACAAAGATACAAGAATAAACAACAGTCTTTGCCCTCAAGAAACTTAGAGTCTAACAACTATGCCCTGTGAGCCAAATCCCACCACTTGCTTTATTAGATGTAAAGTCTTACTGGTGGAACACAGCCATGTCCATTCATTGACACACCGTGTATGGCTGCTTTCTCCCTACAACTGCAGTTAAGCAATTCTGACAGAGGTTATATGACCTGCAAATATTCACTATCTGGCCCTTTTCAGATCAAGTTTGTTGACCTGGGTCTGGTGGATACAGAGATAAAGGAACACTTATTTGCTTGTTGTATAGCCTTCACCAGGGTAAAAAGTCTGTCTGTCATGTTCCCACTGTATCCCCAACAACTGGCTCATTCAATTTGAGCGCAAGTTACAGTAGACTTGGTAAATACCTTGTATTAGTCCGTTTTCACACTGGTATAAAGAACTACCTGAGACTGGGTAGTTTATAAAGAAAAGAGATTTAATTTACTCACAGTTCCACATGGCTGGGGAGGCCTCGGGAAACTTAAAATCATGGCAGAAGGCAAAGGAGAAGCAAGCACCTTCTTCACAAGGTGGCAGGAGAGAAAGAAAGAGCGCAAAGGGGAAAGTGCCACACTTTTAAACCATCAGATCTCGTGATAACTCACTATCACAAGAACAGAAAGGGGGAAATCCTCCCCCATGATCCAATCACTTCCCACCAGGTCCCTCCCCTGACATGTGGGGATTACAATTCATCATGAGATTTGGGTGGGGACACAGAGGCAAATCATGTCATACCTACATCTATTCTTGGTGACCAGTATATCCTAAAAACAGAAATGTTAGCAGTCTTACTTTGTAGATGAGGTCACAGAGATTCAGAGAGTGTCAGCATTTTGCTTAAGATCACATGAATGGTAGTAACTGAAAGCTGAGATTAGACCCCAGGCCTGCCTCATTCTAAACCTGTGTTTGTTATAGTCCTTCCATACTAAGCTCACATTATACTTAACTGCAGTTCACCTGATATGGGGAGGACTGAGCGACCTTAACTGGGGAACAGAGGTAGGGTGATTATTGTTTAACTCCTTCACAGTAAGAAAGGGAACTCACTGACTAACCTTTGAACTTCTTTGTCAATAAATACTGGGCATTATGCTGGGTGTTGAGGACACAGAGATAAAAGGCAAATTCTTTCACAGCCTTATCTCCCACAACTGCCTGTGTAATAATACCTAACTTGTTTACTGGGTTCCCGCGCCCTTGATCACCCTGACCAACCTGTCTCCCTTCCTTCCCTGACACACACCTGTTGATGCATCAAGACTCAAGTGTCACCTCTACAGCAAACTATTCTCTGACTGATTCAAGCAGAGTTAATTCCTCAGCCCTCCTATAACAATGAATTCACATACATTGCAGCATGTGAAACAATAAATTCGAATTTATCTGTTTGTCTTTCTAACTAAACTATAGATAGGGGCATGCATCAAAAGTGTTTAGCACCATGCCTGGCATACAACAGGAACTCCATGATGCCTGAGAAAGGAGAGGAGGAGGAGCGGGGGGCACTGGAAGAAGCAGCATATGTGAGGATCTAATTAACAGAGACCCAAAAACACAAAACTGAGCTAAGAAGCCGGAAAAGAAGTGTTAATCAAGTGACTGGGGAAATGCTGACTGGGCACTAGCTGCATAAAATGCTTAAGCTGACTGTGCTTCCTTATGTTCACAGGAAACATTTGGTGGGCCTCTCCCATTCCTAGTTTGAGAGCTTGTCAACTCCACAAATTCAGGGAATAGTATACCCCAGCTTTCAACAACTTTTATAAATCTAGTCTTAACAACCAACATCTCAAGGCAAGTTACCACTCTTCTCAGCAAGTTATAGTTTAGAACTGATTAATGCCTATATGATATTTATTATTTTGTTTCTAGGTCAATAATATCTGAGAACTACTCTTGTTCAATCCCTGTTCTCTCCAAAAGAGTGTTCTCTTCTGTGTAAATTGGGAGCTTTCAGTCAGCCGTGCTCCTTTCATATTTCTGGAGTCCTTTATTCCATTTCCCATTTAAACTCATTTATGCCTCCTGTTCCATTATTGGAACGCTAAGCATGTGGGAGTCATCTCTATCCTACTGCTCAAGGTCACCACCAAGGTCTGATTGCAAAAATTCAAAAAATTGCAAACTCAGGAATAAAGAGGTTAAGGACACTAGTGGATAATAACTAGGCATCATGAATTCTCAGCAAAGAAACCTGGGTAAGGATATTAAAAAAAAAAAAATTTCAAGGCCAGTTGGTAAGACCAAGTGTTTAAAACAAATAAATATAAAGGAAAAGGATAAAGAAATCAGCAGGAACTATGACCCCAAATGAAGGATCAGGATAGAAGAATAAGCCAAGGATTTGAAATTATCATGAGTTAATCACCAAAAAGCCTAAAAAAGGACATTATAAAACAAAAGTCTATCAATAACCAGGAATTACCTTTTATGACTCAGGGCAATATATTTCAACATTCTATTTAACACACCTACATGTACTAGTTCTTTTGCAAAGATGGCAGTGATAACATAACCCCAGAATCAGTTTGACTTATCAGCTTAATACATAACTTTGAACCTTGGGTCCACATATAACTGGCCTACTACTTATACTTGGTAGACTCTGCTCCTGTGCTTCAGTGCCTACAAAGGATCCTGAACTCAAATCCATCCCCCATATGTGTGATTGCTACAGATCAATATGATCTGTTGCTTTGCTTTCACATACACCTAATAATCTGTTGCAGTCACAAACACATAATAGTCATTGTGCTATTTCCTAGGCCCAAAAAGCTGCCCCAGTCTTGCTCACTCTACAGCCATTGCTTGTTATATCCATCTGGGTTCTTAGTTGCAACTGTAAGGAACAGAAACAAATTCTGGCTGATTTAACCATAAAGGAATTTGGAGATACCAAATAGAACACAAAATCAATTGGACAGCTGGAGAAACAAGATGGGGGTGGCGGATAAGACAAAGGAGGAAAAGGAGGCCACCCAGCACACACAGAAGGAAGCACAAGTGAGTTCATGCTCCAGGAACAATCTGGTCCTAAAGCCACTGCCAGTAGCTCTGGATGCCTCTGTGTACTTCTGTCCTTGCTCCTGCAGTCCACCACGTCTGTCACAGGAGGATTCTAAGCTGTCCCTTCCCCTTTGCATGCCTCATTCAAGATTCAAAGTCCTAAGGAGGAACATACAAATGACCAAGGAGAAGACATGCCTGAGCCCTCACTGCCAGGGGTAGGAAGCAGGAGTGTCTCACCCCTGTCGGTTTCCACTGTAGGGCACAGGGCCCTGCCTCCCACCAACACCCACACAAATGAGGATTCCTACAAAATAGAAAAGGAGTTTGGCAAGAAACAGAAATAGAAAAGAAATGCCTGGCAGCAACCAAGTTGTCCCTATGTATATTTTCATCATTATCCCACAACAACCTGGGCATTCATTCTTGACCTTTGTGGGAGATGTGGGTACAGACTCTGAGACAGTCACCCAGCTCCAGGGACTCCAAAATCCTTGAGAGATTACCTAGGAACAAACCCATCACAAAGACTTAGACACCCACTAAACACTGCAGGTATGTTTGAAGAACTGTTCATTGGCTTGAAAACAGTTACAGTTACATTCCAAGCCTCTGTAAGCAGATGCTAAACATTAACAAAGATTCTAAATGTAACTAGCAATTTCAGATTAATGAACAATATGTTTAAAACTTTGTTCAAAAATAATCAGACTTCAAACAAAGCTTACGGACTACATACAGAGCAGTTACAGGGTCTAGCCTGAAATTTGCCTATAAAACACAGGCCCTTCCTTCCTTTTCAGCCCCACGGCTAGCATTCTCATCTAGGCAATATCGCTTTCACCAGTTACCTTAAACGCCTCACCAGCTTCTCTGCCTTACAATCTATTCTGTCCCTATTATTCAATTAACTCTGTTCTAGAACAAAGACTCCATCACTGCTCAAAACACTAACAGTAGCTGCCTTCTCTGTTTCTTTTTTCTTTTTTTTTTTTTTGTTTTTTGTTTTTTTGTTTTTTGTTTTGAGAGGGAGTCTTGCTCTGTTGCCCAGGCCTGGAATGCACTGGCACAATCTCGGCTCACTGCAAGCTCTGCTTCCTGGGTTCATGCCATTCTCCTGCCTCAGCCTCCCGAGTAGCTGGGACTACAGGCACCTGCCACCACGCCCAGCTACAATTTTTTTGTATTTTTAGTAAAGACGGGATTTCACTGTGTTAGCCAGGATGGTCTCGATCTCCTGACCTCGTGATCTGCCCACCTCAGCCACCCAAAGTGCTGCGACTACAGGCGTCAGCCACTGTGCCCGGCCTTTTTTTTTTTTTTCTTCTTTAAGAGACAGGGTCTCACTATGTTCCCCAGGCTGGCCTTAAAAATCCTGTAGCACACCAACACGGCACATGTATACATATGTAACAAACCTGCACGTTGTACACATGTACTCTAGAACTTAAAGTATAATAATGAAAAAAAAAAATCCTGAGCTTAAGGAATCCTCTGGCTTCAGCCTCCTAAGTAGCTAAGACTACAGGCGCATGGCACTATGCCTCGCTTTAATAACTTCTCCTTTTGAAATAAAACCCTACTCCATAGTCAGAAATGTAAGAAATTCCACCAAATGTATCCCTCATGATTTCCTGACCTAAGATTTCTGTTCCAGCCGGGTCATCCTCCTCCCTTTTCTCCCAGGAAGCTTATTTGTGTGTTTTTGACTGACAGCCTTGATCTTGCCATCTTTCCTTTTCCTTCCCATCCCTTCTTTTTATCCAGATCCTGCACTGTTTAGCCGACCCAGGCTGAAGTCCTGCTCCTCCTCCGTCTCCTTCCCCTTCTCCTTCTCCTCCCCATCCCCCTCCCGTTCCATAAGGTTCCAAACACTCCAGTCCACACCAACTGGATCACAGACACAATTCCTACAATGGCCAGGCAGATAACATAATCATGATACAGTCTGGTATAATATTATAGGGAAATGGTGGGGAATGTGGCCACTGGAGTGAGTTTGCCCCATCTAAAGACTTTCCGGTTCATAATGTATTAAGACACTGTGCTAGAAGTTAATAATGTTAAGTGTCTATGAGAAAGAGAACTGAGTGGCTGGGGGAGGGATATGTGAGGAAGGCTTTTCATTGCATATGCCCTTTTGCACTTTGTAAATTTCGAACCACATAAATGTATTATCTTCACAAAATATACAAAATTTAAAAATAAAAAGGAGATAGAAAAAACTTGATGACTAAACCACAATACTGGTCAAACAAAATAGATATGTCAACCCAATGACTGCCAGTGTAACTGATTATTTGTTATGGGTTATTTTAGGTAATTAATTAAATACTGTCTTGATTCTGCTAAGTAGCAGAATCTTTTTCATACAGACACACACACACACACACACACACACACACACTCTCTCTCTCTCTCTCTCTCTCTCTCTCTCTCTCTCAAAAGAGATTATAAAGTCAGGCAGATAAAGAATCACATTATATTTCCTTTTTAGATCCTTCACTGCCACGGATTGGAAAACATGTGATAGGTACTCCATACCTGGAAACATAAAAGTTTAGAACTAAAAAGGATCTTAAAGATCTAGTCCTCCCTGTCATTTTTTTCTTTTTTATTTTTTCTTTTTTTTATGAGACAAGGTCTCTCTCTGTCACCCAGGCTGAAGTACAGTGGCATGATCATGGCTCACTGCACCCTTGAACTCTGGGACTCAAGCTATCTGCCCCACTCAGCCTCTGGAGTAGCTTGGTCTATGGTACATGCCACCACTTCACCTAACTAAACTTTTAACTTTTTGTAAAGACAGGGTATCACTTTGTTGCCCTGTCAGTTTATATTTGAGAAAACCAATGCCCAGTAAGGCTAAGAACTTATCCAACTAATCACAGGACAACAACCCATGACGATGAAATGAGTAAAAACAAAAGAAAAATAAAATCACACTAACAAGTTTTGTGCTTTCCTAGAAAAACAAAAGATGTCCACTAGAGGGAGGAAGTAGTCCATTAATTTAAAGGTGAGGTATCTAAAACGGGTCCAAAAGACCTATTGGGTAGTGATGAAAGAATTTTTCCCAGGGCCACAGAAAATGACTTAAGGGCCACCTCCCTCAAACAACTTAAATTTGAGTTTCTTTCACTGGAGGTACAAATACAGGTTTTGCAAATCTCTAGCTTAAGAAAGTTATTAGCATATGGTAAAATAAAATTTTTTTTTTTGGTGTATAGCCCTATCAAGTTTAACACATGTATACACTTGTGTATCTACCACCAAAATCAAGAAACAGAACTATTCCATTACTCCCGAAAACGCTCCTTCCTGCTCTCCCTTTACAGTCGCACCCTTCTGCCACCCAGCGGTGCTACATTGTATGGATGTACAATAGTTATCCATTCACCCATGGAAGAATGTTTAGGTTATTTCCAGTTACTGGCAATCTATAAATATTCACTTAACGAGTTTTTGTGTAAACATTGTTTTTGTCTCTCTAGGATAAATACCCAGGAGTAGGAATGCTGAATCATATAGTCAATGTACTTATTAACTTTAAAAGAAACTAACTTTTCCAAAGTGACTAACAATCTAGGTGTCCAACAGCAATGTATAAGATTTCCAGTGACTGCATCCTCACTAGCACTAGATATCATTAGTATTTTTATTTTAAACATACTAATAGATACATAGTTGTATCTCCCTAGGGCTTTAATTTGCATCACCCTAATGTATACTACATCAAACATCTTTTCAAATGCCCATCTGCTAACTGCATACTTTTGGTGATATGTCTTTTCAAGTCTTTTGCTCATTTTTCAATTGGATTGCTTGTTTACTTACTGTTGAGTTGATGAGCTCTTTACATATTCTTGATAGCACTCCACTGTCACATATGTGGTTTGCAAATATTTTCCCCATCTGTAGCTTGTCCTCTCATCCTCTCATCCAATGTCTTTCACAGAGCAAAAATTGTTCATTTTGATGAAATCCAGTTTATCATATTTTTCCTTTATGTTTGGTGCTTTTAGTGTCATGTCTAAAAACTCTTTGCCTAATACCAAAACAAAGATTTTTCTCCTGTTTTTCTAAAAGTTCTGTAGTTTTATATTTAAATCTATGATCCACTTTGAACTAATATTTGTATGAAGTATAAGGTTTATGTTGAGGTTCTTTTTTTATTTTGGCACATGCATGGATGGATGCCCAATTATTCCAACATAATTTGCTGAAAATACTCATCTTTTCCCATTAAATAGAATTTACATCTTTGTAAAAAAATCTATTGGCATATTTATATGTATCTGTTTCTGGACTCTCTATTCTGTACCACTGATCTATATGTCTTTCACTTCACCAACACCATAGTATTAACTTCTATGGCTTTCTATACTAAGCCATAAAACTGGGTAGTATGATTCCTCTGCTTTTTACATTAAGAACTGTGAAAGTAACATTATTCAATAAATCTGGCGATAGCTACATAACAAACTTTAGTTTCAAATTAAAATCAGTATTTTGAAAATAGGCCAGAAAAGCAAGAAAGTATGAGAGAAAAGGAATAGAAAGAAAGAGGAAGAAAAAGAGAAGTTGAAACATGAGAATGACACACACAGAGGTAGAAACAAAAAAGAAAAAAGAGAAGGAAAGAAAAAAAGGAATGAGACAGGCAGGAAATAAAAAGAAAATGGTCCCTACATGTTAGATCTCAATCCCCACCATCTGAGCTGTGAATTTCTACCTGTAAGCCATGAAAACCTTCCCAGTTCAACCACCCACCAGAGCTAGCACCAGTGATGAGAGCAAGTCAGGAGCCATGTATAGGCTCCATGCCAGAGAAACCTTTCCTGCTAAAGGGCTACAACAGGACAAACACTTTTCTCATTAAATAATCCAAAACAATTATCATAATATACATTTTTATTTGTATAGAACCCACTAAGTTAGGTTTAAATAATATTACGTAATTGTTCACATACACAGATGGGCAGAAGCAGTAAGTACAGAATTTCTTTAATTAGAACATTCTTGGTGTTTTGTTTAGACATTTTAAAGGGGAAAGTGTCTGAGGATTAAATATGTACCCTGTCTACCTCATAGAATTGTCGTAAAGATCAGAGGAGATCATAAAGATTAAATGACATCACAGAAGTAGAAATGTTTCATAAACCAAAATTTCTTATAAACATATAAAGTAGTATAATTCAATCTCCTCATCCATTAGAAGTTTAGGGTCATGAAGCTTTAAGACACAGACAACAGCACCTGGTTCAACCATGAGCACCATTTAGTGAAATCTAAAATTGTTTTCACCAGCAGCAAACCCAGAACTCTTTCTAGTAATTGCTGTTGGTTAACAGGAAAGAAGTATAGTGCTGAGTACATCTCTGTAACATCTCATTATTATTATAGGCATTCAGATATTATGAACTTGCTTTCCTTTCTTATACACTAAAATTCACTCCTCCCTTCAATTTTTCTATACTGAACATCTTGAGTCTTTAAAAAAAAATTACAAATTTAAATGCATTCACAGAACAAATATGACATGCATTTCTTAAATCTAGAAATCATTTTTGACATATTCCAAAATAAGGGCTTTACTAATCATCTTTGTTATAAAATTCTCTAACATATATATGCAAATTCCCTCTCTTCAAAATATACAAAAAGAACCCTTATATTTTAGGTAGCTTTCTCTAACAAATAGATAAAGGAAACCACCTCTCTTTTGCTATATTTATATAAGTATTTAGGTTATGTTTCCCTTGCCTTCTTTATTTGAGAAGAACTTCTTGAAGAAGACAGTTCATCATTTAATACGTATTACATGGTACTTAATGCATTGCAAGAACTTTGTGAATATAAACGTGTTGATTACACCAAATGTTTCTTGCTTATTCTGTGTGTTTACTCTTTCATTCACTAATATATTTGATAAACTAAGTCAACCTCATGTTGTGAAAATAGAGGCAGCCTGGCATAGGCTTCAGAGATGAAGACCTCATTTCAAATCCTGACTCTTCTACCACTACCTGGATTACTTTGGACCAGTTAGTTATTTTGGCTTTATTAATTTCCCAATCTTTACAACTAGGATACTACCATTTCCACCTACAGGTGTTGAGTTAAATAATGAATTATGTGATGAGGATGGAACAACATAGAAGCTCTAGAACATTAGTTCCTTCCTTTCCAGCAAGAACCCTTCAATGTCCATTCCATTATTCTCAGAACTACTTACAAAATGTTTCCCTTCAGACCAGCCCACCCAGGCCCCCCACCACCAATGCCAGCACCTGCATATACCACCCAGGGACCTGAGGACCATCACACCTTGCCCACTACCACCACCCAAGGGCACACATACACCACCCAGAGCGGCAGGACCAGCCTGCCTGGCATCTACATCATCAGAAAAGCCTTGCCACAGCCTCTGCCAACAACCTAAGCCATTGAGGAACTCACAGACACCACTGGCATTGATTACAGCCAAAGAAATAATAGAGACTAAATTACTGTGCATACCCAAAATCAAAGGGAAGGCACTCTAACCAGCCAACACTATAGATAGATCTACAGGAAAAAAGTCTTTACCTACAAAAGCCAATCCATAAAACTAGAAGAAGCAACTGTTCCACCAGATACACAGATAACAACATTGAGACATAAAAACAATGAAAAGGCAAGGAAACATGAAACCTCCAAAGAGACGCAATCATTCCCCATTAACATCTCAAAGAAAAGGAAATCAATGAAATGTCTGAAAAAGAATTTCAAATAATGATTTCAAGGAAGCTCAATAAGATACAAAATAACACAGACAGACAATACAAAGAAATAAGGAAAATAGCTTATGATCTGAATTATAATTTTTTTTTTTAAGAGACAAGGTCTCACTATGCTGCCCTAGCTGGACTCAAACTCCCCTACTCAAGCAATACTCTCACCTCCTGGGTAGCTGGGGCTATAGGTACACACCACCACACCCAGCTCTGAATGAGAAATTTAATAAAAAGATAGTTATAATTAAAAAGAACCAAACAGAAATCCTGAAAATTAAGGATTCAGTAAATGAAATAAAAAAGCATACAACCAACATTTCAATAGGCTAGACCAAGCAGAAGAAAAACTTTCTCGATTTGAAGACAGGTCTTTTGAAATAACCCTGTCTGATAAAAATGAAGAAAAAACCAACCCAAATGTCCAACAATTGATAGACTGGATTAAGAAAATGTGGCACATATACACCATGGAATACTATGCAGCCATAAAAAATGATGAGTTCATGTCCTTTGTAGGGACATGGATGAAGCCGGAAACCACCATTCTCAGCAAACTATCGCAAGGACAAAAAACCAAACACCACATGTTCTCACTCATAGGTGGGAATTGAACAATGAGAACGCATGGACACAGGAAGGGGACCATCACACACTGGGGCCTGTTGTGGGGTGCGGGGAGCAGGGAGGGATAGCATTAGGAGATATACCTAATGTTAAATGACGAGTTAATGGGTGCAGCACACCAACATGACACATGTATACATATGTAACAAACCTGCACGTTGTGCACATGCACCCTAAAACTTAAAGTATAATTAAAAAAATAAAAATTAAAAAATAAAGAAAATAAAGAAAGCCTACATGACATATGGGATTACCATTAAGCAAATAAATATGTGTATCTTGAGCATTTCAGAAAGTGAAAGATGGCAAAAGGCATAGAAAACCTATTTAATGAATAAATATAAGCAACGAATTGGAAAACCTAAAGGAAATGGATATATTCATAGACACATGTAACTTACCATGATTGAACCAGAAATAAATAGAAAATCTGTAATAGATCAATAACAAGTAACAAGATTGAATCACTAATAAAAAGTCTCCTAACAAAGAAAAGTCCAGGACTGGACAACTTTACTAATGAATTCTACCACACCTTTGAAGAGGAATTAATATCAATTCTTATCAAATTATTCCAAAAAAATGGAAGAGAAGGAAATTCTTTCTAACTCATTCTATAAGGCCAGCATTACCCTGATACCAAAACCAGACAAAGATACAACAAAAAAAGAAAAAAAGTGGCCAATGTCCCTGATGAACATAGATACAAAAATCCTCAACAAATTACAAGCAAACCAAATCCAACAACACATCAAAAAGGTAATATACAATAATCACATGGGATATAGCTCAAGGATGAAAGGAAGGATCAGTATACACAAATCTGCCAGGCATGGTGGCTCATGCCTATAATCCCAGCACTTTGGGAAGCTGAGGCCAGCAGATTTCTTGAGCTCAGGGGTTCAAGACCAGCCTGGGGAACATGGCAAAACCCTGTCTCTACAAAATTTTTTAAAAAAATTAGCTGAGCATGTGGCGTGCGCTTGTAGTCCCTGCTATGCAGGAGGCTGAGGTGGGAAGATCACTTGAGCCTGGGAGGTTGAGGCTGCAGTGAGCCAAGATCGCACCACTGCACTCCAGCCTGGGTAACAGAGCAAGACCCTGTCTCAAAAAGAAAGAGAGAATGCAGTGAAAGAAATAAAGATTTACTTATATATATATACATCACAACAACAGAATGAAGGACAAAAACCATATGACCACTCAATAGATGCAGAAAAAAAGCATTAGATAAAATTCAACATCCATTCATAACAAAAACTCTCCATAACTTAGGTACAGAAGGAATATAACACAATAAAAGCCATATATGACAAACTCACAGCTAACATCATTGAACAGAGAAAAGCTGCAAGCCTTTCCTCTAAGAATTAGAACAAGATAAGATGCCCAGTTTCACCACTCTTACTGAAAATAGTACTGGAAGTCCTAACTAGAGCAATTAAGCAAGAGAAAGAAATAAACGACATATAAATTGGAAAACAGGAAGTCAAGTACTCCCTTTTCACAAACGACATAAACTTATATAGAGAAAATCCTAAGATGCCACTAAAAAATTCAGAACTGATAAATTCAATAAAGTTATAGGATACAAAATCAACACACAAAAATCAGTAGCATTTCTATACACCAATAACAAACTAGCTGAAAAGAAATCAAAAAAGCAATCCCATTTATACTAGCTACAAAAAAAAAATACCTAGGAATAAATTTAACAAGGAAGTGAAAAAATCTCTATAAAGAAAACTACAAAACCCTGTTGAAAGAAATTGAAGAGAGACACAAAAAAATGGAAAGACATCCCATGCACATGGCTCAGAAGAATTTAATACTGTTAAAATGACCATACTACCCAAAGCAATCTACAGATTCAACGCAGTCTTTATCAAATTACAAATGACATTCTAGAGAACAGAAAAAAACAATCCTGAAATTTGTATGTATCCACAAAAGACCTTGAATAGCTAAAACAATCCCAAGCCAAAAGAACAAAGCTGACAGCATCACACTACCTGACATCAAAATATACTACAAAGCAATAGTAATGAAACAAAATGGTGTTGGTATAAAAATATACATAAACCAAAGGAACAGAAAAAAGAACTCAGAAATAAATCCATGTGTTTACAACCAAATGATTTTCAACCAAGATGCCAAGAACATATATTGGGGAAAGGATATCCTTTTCAATAAGCTAGAAAAACTGGATATCCTTATGCAGAAGAATGAAACTAGACCTCTATCTCTCACCATGTATAAAAGTCAACTCAAAATGGATTAAACACTAAACTGTAAGACCTGAAACTATAAAACTACTAGAAGAAAACAGGGGAAATGTTTCAAGGACACTGATCTAGGCAAAGACTTTATGGGTAAGACTACAAAAGCACAGGTAACAAAAACAAAAATAGACAAATGGAACTATATCAAACTAAAAAGCTTCTGCATAGCAAACAACACAATGAAGAGTAAACCCGTAGAATGGGAGAAAATATTTGAAAACTATTCATCCAACAAGGGACTAATATCCAGAATATACAAGGAGCTCAACAACAAAACTCAAATAATCCAATTAAAAAATGGGCAAAGGATCTGAATAGATATTTCTCAAAAGAAGACATACAACTGGCTGATAAGTATGTCAAAAAAATGCTCAACATCACTAATCATGAGGGTAATGCAAATGAAAATCACAAGGAGATACCATCTCACTTCAGTTAGAATGGCTATTGTCAAATCTAACCTGCCTCTCGCTCATACTCTCCTCCTCTGTTTTCATAACTTGGCAGTAGTACTCTTTGCCCAAGGAAAGCAGTTAAGACACAGCAGGTAGGACACCAAATGCTCTTTCGTGGAGCACTGTAATAGAAGCCTGCATGTATGCAACGGCCGGCTGTACACTCATTAGCTCACTCTCAATTCAAGGCACGGGCACCTTAACAAATGATTTACATGTCTAAACGGATTTCATCCCAGCTTAATCTAGGTAATTGGCAAAAGTTGGTGGTTAACTTACACAACTTCCACTCAGGAAAATGGAAAGCCATAATGAACTTTCAGGTAGTAAATGGTGAAAAAAAAAAAAATACTGCTCCATTTATGACTCACAAGAATTCTATTAGAGAAACTGGAGGAAAAAATAATTATTTAATGGATGAATTTAATATGTCTTGTGTACTCTATTTTTTAAAGGGGGATACATGGTTAAGTCTTAATATTGAAGTGAAACATGTTCTGGCAGTTAGTGCTGGGTAGTCGGCTCCTATTTTACTCTGCTGGGACTCATAAAGCCTCCTGGGACTCGATGGGAGGTACCCAATTTAAGGTCACAATAGAATAGAATGGAAGTTACTCATCCAGAGAATCTTTCAGAAGTGTTCTAGCTAAATCTTGATAGGGTACAAGCAATTAAAGTTTCCCAAGAGAAATAATCATTTAAGAATTCCCAATAAAGTATGGCATGTAGAATCAGGGCTAAAATTTCCACTGCCTGATGCTATTAAGTACTAAGGTCTCAGAATAGGTCAAGATTATCCAATATCCTAATTAAAAGTGGGATCAGCAACGCCAAAACTAACCACCAAGTGGACAGATGACTAATTGCCCAGATGACAATACTGATATCTGGACTCAAGAGACTGCTGATGAAACTCCATGAGGAAGTTAGATCCTAATGCACAGCAATGTCTGTTCTTCACCCTATGCACTCACGACAGACAGTCTCACCCTGCTCTGCCTTTCTCAGCAGCTAGTCCAAGAGGGAGACAAAGAAATGGTTCAGGTATGAAAGAGCCAGGTTGTCTCTGTGCAAAGCCATGTGTCCCAGTGGAATGCCCTCACTGAATATGCTGCAATCACACTTATTTTTCAGCTGGAGTAAAGGAAAGCACGTAATAAGGGTCCATATTCTCCATTCCTTCTTTTAATCCGTGTAGATAACTCAACAATTCCTTTATGGACCTGTGTGACTTCATTCCTCTTTAGTCTTCTCCCACACCTGATCTGAGGTTGCTCTCCTCCACCTCCAGCAATAAAACTGCCAAGTATGCAGTAAGAAGTGAAGTGCAAGACAAGCAGCCTTTATTTTCCCTTGGATTATCTGGCGGTAAGTGTCCACATGATAAAATAGCACTGAAACATGAGCAAAAATGTTTGCAGAAAAGTGGACTCACATTGTCGGGCTTAATCTGAGACATCAGGGAATTCTAGCATAATTCTTCACATGGGCCCTGAGCTGTTTAAAGATCACACACACTCTGCTACTAACCTCCTGAATATACCAATCCCCATTGCTCAGAAAAGCTGAACCCAGAGCTACTGTTTCACCATTTCAGATTCTCCAGGAGAAGTACTAAGTTATGGCCACCATTTCCCAGGTGAGCAAAAGGCATGAAAAGATTACCTTACTGAAACATCACTGCAACAAAACACAGCTCTGGTATGCTCTAAGAAGCCAAGAAAAATCCCAGCTGGTTTTATTGCAGCAACACATTCAGTTCTCCACTCAACAAATCACAACTAGACCCACTGTTCAGTGAACAAGGTAAATTCTTACACATCAGGAAGCTTCAACAGACTTGGACCAGATTCACTCATCTCCCCAATTCCTCACCTTCCAGGTTTACATGTTGCCATTACCTGTATAAGTGACGATTGTCTTCAAAATCTTCCTCACCCCATTTTCCCTTGATGTCTTCAATAACGTGATTCTTCAGGAATTTTTTTAGCAGCTGGACCGTTTGTTTGCGGGTCACTTCAGGGCCGAAGTTTTGACTGCACCTCAGCAGCTCATGCAGCCAATCCACAGCTTCGGCCGCTGTGAAACAATGCTCATAGCTCTTGAAACGACAGCGATGTTTCCGTAACGGCATCTTAGCACGAAAAAGCTCCACGGTCTCATTCCACTAGGGGAAAGAAAGAGAATGGCATTTAGTAATCAACTGATTTTTTTAAGATTACTACATCTCAAATAATTAAAGCAAAGAATGCAATTTTTCCACTTAAACTGCTTTAATAACAGGTAGAGCCTTGAAAATGTTTTATTTACAGGCTTCAAACTCTAATAAAGAAAAGTTTGGCAGAATGGATGGTGGCAATGGCTGTACAACACTGTGAATGTTCTTAGTGCCATAGAACTATATATATAAAAAACAGTTAAAATAGTTTTATATTATATATATTTTACCATAATTAAAACAAAAATAAAAACTTTTTTTTTTTTGAGATAGAGTCTAGCTTTGTCGCCCAGGCTGGAGTGCAGTGGCGTGTCTCTGCTCACTGCAACCTCCGCCTCCCAGGTTCAAGCAATTCTCCTGCCTCAGCCTCCCGAGTATCTGAGATTACAGGCGCCCACCACCATGCCCAGCTAATTTTTGTATTTTTAGTAGAGATGGAGTTTCACCATGTTGGTCAGGGTGGTCTCGAACTCTTGATCTCAAGTGATCCAGCCGCCTCAGCCTCCCAAAGTGCTGGAATTACAGGAGTGAGCCACTGCACCCGGCCTCAAAAATAGAAACTATTGATAGGAAAAAAAACTGTAAAGAAAATGCAGCTTTTCAAGGGTGGTTCATCATTTATTCATTCAAGAAATATTATTTATTGAGGAGATTGCCATCAAGTTGTCCTATTAATGGATTTTTACATAAACAAAGAACATACAGTAAATAATGATTAAAACTAAGCCCACTGTGCAAACTTTGCTTTTTGGAGTCCCCTGTTTAATGACTTTACCTTCATTCAGCAAATATTTCTAGGTTGCTTATTATGTGAAAGGCATTGTAGGAGGAGGAGGAAAAGAGATGAAAAAGATAATACAGTGCCTGATGTCAAACAGCTCAAGGCCACAAAGATAAACCTTTGAAAAGTGATGAGCCAGTTTTTGCTTACATGCAAAACAAAGCTTTTTGAAAGAATAGCTACTAGATACCTCAAATAATATATATTAGTTTAAAACTACCTCATGGTTCCTTTGAAAGGACCTAGAAGTTTAAGTGTGCATGACATCTTCAGATACCACACTGAAAAGTAGACTGGGTAGAGAGAGCTCAGGCTCTGAAGTCAAACACTGCTGGGTTGAGAGGCCTATTCTACAACAGACCAGCAGGGCAAACTGACTCATTGCTAGACAAGCCTCCATTACTCCCGGTGTAATGCAGTACCCACATGACAGGGTTGTTACAAAGACCAGATGAGATAATGTTGATGCAGCCTATCACAGTGTCTGTCACGAAAGAAGTGCTTAATAAACATTAGCCATTATAGCATCATTGCTGCTGTATTTATTAATATTATCAGGGTGGATGTGGCTGTCAGAGCTGAGTGAGTACGTTGGAAAGACCCCAGAATGGAGTCTCCATTGGCCATTAGTCCAGCCTCTGCCAATAACTATGTGGCTTTGGTGCAGTTAACACTTTTCTCTAGGAATTTGTCCTAAATAAAAATATGGCCCTAGAAGCTCAAAAAATCTCAGATTTTGGGAGTCAAAAATCATGGAAATTAAAATGAGAGGTCTGCTAAGAAACAGCACACCACACACTGATTGGATCCACGTCAGTTAAGTCCAGGGAATATATATCCCATTGCTTCCACTTTATTTAGGAACCTCGTTTTGTCAAATCAAGTACATACTAACTCACTGTAATACACTGCTGGCCATGCTCACCACACAATGATCCTAATCTTCAAGTATAAGAAACACTGGACCACTTCAGGATAACAGAATCAATCCCTGAGGAATGGGGAAAACAAGAGGTATGGAGTCAGACTTGAGTTCAAATCCCAGTTCTGCCATATACTGGTTGCACAGGCCCTGGCACATGGTTGAGAACTAAAAAAAATCCAGTTTCCTTCCACTACAAGATGCCACTAGGCGGCAGGTGAACTGCCATGTCTCATAGCATCCTTGAAGACAAAAACCAGATGTCTCTCTTAAATGTTACTTTCAAATAACTTCATGACAATTCAGCTTCTTTCTCCTTATATCTGTGAAGTTATATCAGTGAGGAGGAAATCAGGAAGCAAATAAATGACTTTTTTGTTCTCATTAGACTATATATAATATGTCCCAAACTTGTGTCCCCATTGTGTCTTTGTATATATGTAATCCTCATAATAACCATCTTTCAGAAGGAATTAAGAAATTTACTCAAATCTACCCAGCTAATAAGTGGTAGAACCAATTTGTATATTCAAATCTGTATCTTGAATTTTAACAAATCTATGTTCTACCTACAGTCTGCTGAAAATACAAAAATGTTAAAGGGAAATAATAGTCTCATCTCCATATTGTTTTAAAGCTAGCTCTAGAAAAGAATCTCATAAGTACTTGTTTAATAAATGCTTATATAAGATGTGATCTCTTTTTTTTTTTCAGCCACTTTACTTTTAGGGATTCACCATGTAGAAGCAGAAATATAACGGATTAAAAAGCATTTACAGGCCAGGTGCAGTGGCTTACACCCCTAATCCCAGCACTTTGAGAGGATGAGGTGGGCAGGTCACTTGAACCAAGGAGTTCGAGACCAGCCTGGGCATCATGGGGAAACCCCATTTCTACAAAAAATTTAAAAATTGGCCAGGTGTAGTGGTGTGTGCCTGTAGCTGCAGCTACTTGGCAGACTGAGCGGGGAGGCTGAAGTGGGAGGATCACTTGAGCCTGGGAGGTCAAGACTGCAGTAAGCCATGATTGCACCACTGCCTTCCAGCCTGAGCGACAGAGTAAGACCCTGTCTCAAAGAAAGATAAAAGTATTTACAAGTTAAATTTTATTTAAACATGTTGAATTATATTTAATAAACCTGAAGTGTTTTTTCAGAGAAAGCATTTATAAGCATTTTATATACTTATAAACATAAGTATATTTATGCTTTATAATCAGAGAAAAATTAGAACTAATTTGCCATTTTATAATCAGAGAAAAACTAGAACTAATTTGAATAAAATTGACTGAAGCGTGGAATAGCCACAAAACAAAATACTATCAATAGTTCCAGACAGAAATAGATACCATAAATATAACAAAGTGGAAGAAAAACGTACAAAACACTATATATAATCTGATCCTATCTGCTTTGGTATATGCATATGAAAAGCTAAATGAATATACAACAAACTTAAAAATAAAGGAAAGTCATCTCTTTTGAAGAAGGAATATAAGGCAACTTTTATTGTGTAACATATTTCTAATTTCTTTCTACATAATTATTTCAACATCTTTTTAGGAACGTAGGCTCCCTGCCAGTCCTCCTAAAGTCCTTAAAATTCATAGTCATATTCTCATTTTCTCTTACTCTTCTCTTTCAAGTCTGTCACTTTATAAACTCCGAATCTTTTGTCTCTCACCTCTCTTCCTATTTAAATCAGATTTTTCTGACGTCATCTTTTTCTTTAAACTGTATTTCTGATCTCAGAGTTGTTTTTTGTTTGTTTTGCTTGTTTGTTTGTTTTTGCCCAACCTTGGGTCATGTTTTCCCTTCTAATCATGACTTTTCTTCCAGATTTCTCTTCATACTCTCTGCTGCCCAACCACCTGAGAAACTATTATCCTATTTCTCTTTTATTTTTGATGGCTAACCTTCTCAGCCACATTCATAATTCCTGAGCATACAACAGCAGGAGCTTGAGGGACAGAAGTGGGGTTTGTGTATGCATGTACCCCGGATGTGTAGCACAGTGTGTGACCCACACTAGGTAGTCAATAAGCAAGTGCTTAATCGATCTTTCACTTTTTCTACTTTTTTTTTTTTTTTTGAGACGGAGTCTCACCGTATAGTCCAGGCTGGAGTGCAATGGCATGATCTCAGCTTAATGCAACCTCCGCCTCCCGGGTTCAAGCGATTCTCCTGCCTCAGTCTCCCAAGTAGCTGGGGTTACAGGCATGCGCCACCACACCCAGCTTATTTTTATATTTTTAGTAGAGATGAGGTTTCACCATGTTAGTCAGGCTAGTCTTGAACTCCTGACCTCAGGTAATGCACCCACCTCAGCCTCCCAAAGTGCTGGGATTACAGGCATGAGCCACCACACCCAGCACTTTTTCTACTTTTTTTAACCAACTTCTCAACCTCAAGAAATTTAATCCCACTAATTGCTAGTCATGTCTTCCTCCTGGCCAAACTGAAATAGCTTTTTATTCTTACGTTAATCTTTCTACTTCTTTTGACACTGTTGTGAGTCATGCTCCAAATTAAGTTAGTCCAAATTTAAAATCTTTTTTAACTTAAAAACACACAGAAACAAGGCAAGCCACTGAGTAGGATAAGATATATCTATCATTTCCAAACAAAACAAAAAAAATCAATAAGAAAAAGACATTCCAATTACAAAATGAAAAAAAAATTTAAACAGGTATATCATAAAAAAAAAGATCTTCAAATGTCCTATAACATATACAAAGATGTTAAACCTCATTAATTATCAGTGCAATGTAAAAGAACTCGACAAGTCAATATCACAACATGGCTGTCAGAATAACTAAAATGAAAGACAGGTGGATCTACTGATCCCACTTTTGGGTATTTGCCCAAAACATTTCAAGTCAAGATGTCAAAGAGATGTCTGCACTCCCATGTCATTTACTATTTACAAGAGCTAAGTTATGGAATCAACCTAAAAGTCCATCAACAGATAAATGAATAAAGAAAATGTGGTATACATATACAATATAATACTATTCAGCCTTTAAAAAAAGAAAGAAATGTTGTCATTTGCAACGACATGGATGGAAGTGGAGAACATTATACCAAGTGAAATAAGCCAGGAACAGAAAAACAAATAATGCCTATTCTCATTTATACGTGGAATCTAAAACAATTGAGTTCAAAGAGGCAAAAAGCAGAATGGTGGTAACCAGAGGCTGAGGGGAGTGGGGAACGGGGAGATAATGGTCAAAAGGTACAAAGCCTCAACTAGACAGGAAATTATCTTTTTTATTTGAGATATCTTGACATCATGGTGAAGATATTAATAATAATGTACTTTCAAAATCTGAGAGTAAATTGCAAGTGTACAACAAAAAAATGTTAAGTATTTGAGGTGATGGATATGGTAATTAGCTTGATTTAATTATTCCATTGAATTCGTAAATCATAACATCATTTTGTACCCTATGAATATATACAACTATAATTTGTCAGTTTACAACTTACAAAACTAAAATTTTTTTTAGAGACCTAAAAAATAAGAAAAAAGGTAGGCAACACTAAGTGCTGGTAAGAATGTGAAAGAACTAGAAATCTCATACACTGCTGTAAGGAATGTAAATTGGTGCGACCAGTTTGGAAAACAGATTGGCAATATCTACAAAAGCTAAATATCTGAACACCTTATAACTCAGCAATTCTACTCCTAAGCATATACCCAACAGAAATCCATATATATGCTCCCCAAAAGACACATTGTTCATAATGGCACTATCCATAATAGGCAGAAACAACCCAAATGTCCATCAACATAATAAGTTATAATATATTCACCAATAGAATGCAGTGAAAATGAACGAACTATTGCTACATGCCATAACATAAATGAATCTCAGAAAATAATATTGAGATGAACAGGCCACATATGAAAAGTAAATACTATATGATTCCATTTACTTGAAGCTCAAAAGCAGGCCAAACGATCCATGATATTTAAAATAATGATAGCAGTTACCTTCATAAGGAGGTAGGGACCAAGTGGGGGAAAGGAGACTTCTGCGGTGCTAGTAATATGATATTCCTTGATCTGAATGTTGGTTACATGGGATGCTCACTTTATGAAAATTTGTTGAGTTGTACACTTTTTATACAACTCAACAAATTTTTTGAGCATTTTTCTGTACATTATGCCTAATTAACACCTAAAAACAAAAACACATACATACACATATGCACATGTTCACATACTAAAATTATTACCCACATGAAAGTTGGCAAATATGAACTGGTTGGTTGGGGTGGTAAACTGGATGTGGAAGAGAGTAGGGAGGTTGGAGAAGAAACCAAGTGAGTGGATGAAGGAGGGAAAGTATGTAAACAGGAAAAGCAGAGCAAAGGCTAAATAATGAATAGTAGAAAGGAAGCCCATAAAGAGTCCAAGAACGCTGATTTAACTTCTCTACCTATCCACCCACTTTACAAGGTTATTGTAAGATCAAATGAGATCATGACTATAAAAGTCCTTTGTTAAAAATGCGTTCCTCAAATTTAAGGATAATATATAAAATGTCCAGGATATCTCTTAAATTATAAGGTTCAATCTATTCTAGAGCTGGAAAAAATCTTTGGGACAAAATCAAGACCTTAGCAGGATACACAACTTAGCAAATGTCATTCAGGTACTTAGTCTGTGAATAAGATCTGGAATCCTGTGCTACGGACTTTTCTTCAAGTAGTCATTTCACTATACCAAGTACCTATGGATATTACCATACCTTTAAACAATTTTCACATATTTTTAATCATTGATTATTGATTTTTTTAATACATGCCCTGATACCTAGCTTTCATTTATCATTAGATTGTTGTACCGAAAAGGCATAATCAAGTATGTAGGGCCGGGGGAAGGGGTAATAAAAAAGATTTTTGTTTATGTTGGTTGAACAATCATAATCATGAACTAAAATTACCTAATGCATAATACCTTATGCATTACATAAACATAATGAAGGCATGGCTCTCTGGGACCCAATATTTCCAAATATCACTAGGTATATCCACTAATTGACCCAGTCTGGTTAGCAGTTCTGTTGTTCTTTTAATTACAGAAGTAATAACACTCATTGAAACAAACAAATTAAATACAGAAGTATACACAAAAGAGTTTGCATGTCTTACTCCATACCTATCACATACAGACACATAGACAGAATTTTTCCTTTGTAGGTGTGTCATTTATTGTTGTTTGCCATTTTAAAAAATGAGATCAATCATGTTGTATATGTTATCCTAAAACACGCTTTTGCACCTAACAGATACCTCCCTGCGTCATACCTGCAGATCTAGCCCATTCTTAAGAATGTGCCATAATTTATTCTGCCATTTTCTAACAAATGGTCATCCAAGTTCTGCCCAGTTCAATTTTTACAAATATGTTACAAGTTATACTTGTTTATATAACCTAAAGTACCAAGGCTTTTGTTTACTTTTGATAGACTTCTAAAAAGTATCAGCATATTTAAATCAGTTGTAGCAATTCACACTTCCACCAACAATGTGGGAGCCTAAAGCCTTACACTTTGGCCTACACTAGATGTTATCATTTCTTTCATTTCTGCCAATCTATGTAAAAGAAATGATAGATCCATATTTTGTTTGCATTTTCATATCTTTACCTTTAGTCATATTCATTTCTTCTTCTGAGATTTGCCATTTTTCTATTGGGTTATCTCTTTTTTAAAATCAATTTTAAGAACTGTTTAATCTGTTAATGTTTAAAGGGCACAGAAGTCAGGAAAGTTAATCGATTTTGTTCAGCTCAATATCCTCACAACAAAGACCAGTGCCTGACATATAGTATACCCATTTAATATGTACTGATGAATATAGAATATTAAACCTTTTTGTTATATGTTACAAATGTTTTATCTTAGCCTATCAATTTCTTTACATAGTCTCTAGCTATACAATGATTTTGTTGTAGATGTTGATGTTTTTATAAGGAAATAATTATCTATTTTCTTTATCAGTTCAGGGTTTATTCTCTTAAGAAAGCTTCCCTATCCTGAGGTATTAAAATATTTATCAAAATTTCCTTTTAATATTTTAGAGGGTATGTTTTTTAATATGTAAACCTTTAACTGAATTTTATATGGTGGGAGGCAGGGGATCTCTATTTTTTTCTGGATGGAGAGTTGTGTTAGTCCATTCTTGCGTTGCTGTAAAGAAATACCTGACACTGGGTAATTTATAAAGGAAAGAGGTTTAATCAGCTTACGGTTCTGCAGAGTGTACAAGAAACATGGTGCCAGCATCTGCTCAGTTTCTGGTGAGGCCTCAGGAAGCTTTTATTCAAGGCAGAAGGTGAAGCGGAAGCAGGCAGAAGGAGGCACATAACACAGCAAGGGGGGAACAAGAGAGAGTGAGGGACAGGGTGCCACACTTTTAAACAATCAGATCGCACATGAACTCAGAGTGAATACTCACTCATTGTCATGAGGACAGCAACAGGCCATTCATGAGTGATCTGCCCCAGTGACCCAAACACCTCCACTAGGCCCCACCTCCAACACTGTGGATTACATTTCAACATGAGATTTGGAGGGGATAAACGTCCAAACCATATCAAGAGTCAATTATGCCATGCTTTTCTAAATGAACAGAAATATTATTAAGTAACCTTACATATCACACTTCTTGATTGTTTCTATCCCACTGAGCGACTATCTGTTCCTGTGTAATACCATACAGTTGTCATTACAGTCAATTAATACCAAGTATAAATCCCTGGTAGGACAAGGCCCCTGTCTTCTTTGTAAGGGAATGTGAAAACTTCTTTCTTTTTTTATTTTTTTTGAGACAGAGTCTCGCTCTGGTGCCCAGGCTGGAGTGCAGTGGCGTGATCTCGGCTGACTGCAACCTCCGACGCCCTGGTTCAAGTGATTCTCCTGCCTCAGCCTCCCAAGTAGCTGGGATTACAGGCATGTGCCACCACACCCAGCTAATTTTTGTATTTTTAGTTGAGACGGGGTTTCACCATGTTGGCCAGGATGGTCTTGATCTCCTGACCTCGTGATCCACCCGCCTCGGCCTCCCAAAGTGCTGAGATCACAGGCATGAGCCACCGCACCCAGCGTGAAAATTTCTTTTTGTGAAGTTCATTTCTTTTTGTGAGGGAAAACTTTTTTCAGTTCTCAGAATTTTACTCTTCAGCATGAGCTTTCAATTCATTGCATTCTCCCACACAGGAAAAAAAAATCCATTAGGATTCAGAATGGATTAACTGCTCTATTGCTACTGACTTTTATTTCATACTAGAAAATGTCTAATAAAACATCTTTATCAAAGTCTCATTGCCCCTTTTAAAAAGAGCATTTATAAATAGACTTTTGAATTTACTCATTTTGATTTTGAATGGCATTTATCATTATGGGTTATATTTCCTTAATATATGAAATACTTTAGATTTTTTAAAGCCTACTGAGGTCACTTTGGTCTCTGTTCCCACTTATTTCCAAATATAACTAAGGGGTTATTTGGCTACTCTGCTCAGAAAGAAAAATAAGTATCTTTAAATAATCTAACAATATACCATTCTCAGTCACTTTTGGAAACAAAATATCCTCTGTCAATAAATAACAAGAAAGAGCTTGAGTTTTTTTTTCATGACATTATATTTGAAGAGAATCTTTACAACAAATGGAACAAAACAGATTTGTTTTATGATTTTAAAACACTTTTTGTTTTGCTCTACTTATTAATTTCAGTCCCCTAGTTTCTCAGGAAAAAATAAAATCACACAATTGTTTTTTCTTAACATGATGAGGCAAACTATAAGACATACACCTACTGCTGTGCATCCTGTTCTTTTCTCCAGGATATTCCATTTCATTTCTTCTTAGTACCAAAAATATTATGATAGCGGTGCTATAAAGAAAACTGACTGGTCTGGGAGTTCAGTGACAACCACTCCTAGATCTACTTGCACTTGCCACAACCTCGTTGTGTGATCTTGCCATTCTAACTCTCAGATTCAATGAAAGCTGTATGTCTTTTAAAATTTATCAGTTGCATCAGACCATATATATAACTCAGAATAAGTTCAAAGATTTAAGCAGTTTCTAGAAAAAAAATTTTTCTCTCTACTTGAATGAACTATTTATACCAAGTTTACAAAGATGAAAGTTATTTCAGTGAAAATGTATAAATGGATAACTAGCTTCACATTTATCATGAGTTGGGGCTGTCATTTGACTTTTGTCATAACATTTTACCTAATCCACAAAATGTTATTTTCAAATAAGACTTTGGTGCTTTAGAAAAAGCACCAAAGAGCTTTTTCTAAAGCTGTACATGCTTTGAGAAAGTAAAGTGAGCCATGAAAGGAGAAAATAAAGGCCTAGTTTTTGTATCCCAATAGATTTTTACCAAGCTTCCCCTGAAGAAAGTTTAGAATGAGCATGATGGGAAAAGGGAGAAATTGTATGCTGCAGATAGAGGGAGGAAAGGCCAACTAGGTCCAACAAGTAAAAAGAGGACTAGTCTCAAACTATTAAATATATGATTTACCTAGCAAAAGCTTTAAGTCACAGCTGAATTACACTGGGGAAACAATTACAGACTTTACAATGGAAAGAAGCATCTTCAATGTTGGCTGCAATCACTGACAGCAGGAATACTCACTTTTGAAAAAAAAAATTGGCTATTGTTTTCTGTTTTCCACATCTTAGTTTAATATTATGTTCCTCAAACACTATGAAGTTGAGAACTGAATTGATTACCTGGGAAATTCTGGTGAAACTGAGGTGTTTGTTTCATTAATTATCCATGTCATTTATCTTCTTAACTTAATCAACCTAAATTTAGCCTGAATATTATTTGTTAGGGACTGAAGACTTCTAGAGAGCAGAGAGCACCTTTTTTTAATTAAACAAATTCCTTTGATAATATTTTAATGTGACTCAAGAATCCAGCACTATCTATATATGGACCCTCTGCATCCATGAAAAGAAGTACCTCATACAATTCTGTGAATATGAGACTAAAATACAATTCCAATTATGAGGTATTTTTTTTTTAGTCTAATGCAGGAAGAATGAAGACTAGTCACGTCAAGAACCACAGCCTTGCTATGTTTTCCTTGTGTAAGTGCTGTAAATAAATTGGTGAAGGGAATGATCAAATGCCTTATTTTCCTCCCTAAAGTTAGACTTATCAATATTCTTGACCCCAGATCATTCTGGTGTCTATACTGTATAGAGTGTTCGCAAAGATGAGTGCAATGATTCTTCCCATCCTCTCCACATGCACCTCTGTGGCTTTGCCACCCTGCCCATCAAGAAGTGGAGTTGAATTTCTAGAATCTGGATTTAGCTGTTTAACTTGCTTTGACCAATGAGATTTGAAGAAAAAGTCACAAGCTGAAACTTCCTTTTAGCTACGTTGGAACCATGAGACCACTACGTGAAGATGCCTCCGATAACCTGTTAGAGATATCTGGCCCAGGTAACAGCCAGGACCAAGTCAAGCAGCCATCTTCCATCATCCAGTAATAGCCAAGTCACATTATTTGTGGCACATGAGTGACCTCCACAAAAGAACCATTGACATGAGTCTAGCCCAGATTACTGATCCAAAGGATGAGCAAATAAAATGCTTGTCTTTATGCCAAATAAAACAATGTCACAGACTCTCCCAATCTCCTTATTATTTTTTTTTTTTTTTGAGATGGAGTTTCGCTCGTTGCCCAGGCTGGAGTGCAATGGCGCGATCTCAGCTCACTGCAACCTCTGCCTCCCAGGTTCAAGAGATTCTCCTGCCTCAGCCTCCTGAGTAGCTGAGACTATAGGCGCATGCCACCATGCCCAGCTAATTTTTGTATTTTTAGTACAGACGGGGTTTTGCTGTGTTGGCCAGGCTGGTCTCGAACTCCTGACCTCAAGCGATCCATCCCCTTAAATCATGTAAAATTTCATGAGTATGTGCCATGTGCAGTTTTCTGTGAAGAAGATCCTTAATCTTCATCAGATTCTCAAAGCGATCTATGAGCCAAATTTAAAAAGTAAAGACCCATCAGCCCCAACTATGATTTCTCTTCCAGAAGCTGGCCTTCTCAGCTCTGGCTTGACTTACTGGTATAGTGTGTGGCTGGCTTTGGAAAGAAAAGGAAACTCTATTTACATTATCTGTATCCCAGCATCCTCACCTCTTCCATGAGTCTAGCTGAGTAAGAGTTTGGATGTTAGTTCCCATCTTTTCCTGTGTATTCATTATAATGCATGGAACTATGAGAGTAATTCCCATGTTAAATGTGGCCAGAGAGGTCGGCAGACCAAGGAGCAAGTTACTGTCCTCCCAAATTACCATTACACTTCCACAGAAAGTCCTCTAAAAACTTGCCACAGACATTACCAAACTGTCACCCTTTATTGTTCCAAGTCAAAGCAGACCAAGTACACCTCAATACCAAAGCTTTTCTCCCAGAAAAAAAAAAAAAAAAAAACAGGAACTCAGAGTCGGCAAAGACTCTCCTAAAACATCTGTCCTGGCCAGCTCTTCATCTGGATCGGTGCTGACAGAAACAGAAACGCCAGGGGCCGGAAATGCGGCCAGCGCGATGCCCCTCTGTTCTGGGCACCGTTTATTCGAATACCCCGTCAGGTATCATCAGGTGTCACTCAGGAAGGAGACACGCCCTGCCTGGACTGCCGCGAACGCTGAGCGTTACGGGGTACGTGGTGGCCCCTCAGGTTACCGACCGGGTCGGTTAGATTCCAGAGGACAAAAGGCAGGGAACAGCCTGGTCTTGGGGTCTTTAAACAGAGAGGCGCCATCTACTGCCGAGAACCCAGTCAACATCTCATGGACAAAGCTGCACTAACCCCCGGCCGGCTGAGCTCTGGGCCCCGTTAGCCTTTCTTTGAGGCTCGTCCACTAAAAGGCAGCCCCAGTAGTCCCAGCTGAAATGCTCCACACCCGAGCCCCGCTGGCCTGCGGAAGCGAAGACTGACAAGCACTCTGTCCGCGCGCTGAGTGGGGGCTCGCGGCACCGGGTGCTCCGCCCAGGCCCCAGCACACTCACTCACCAGCCTGGTAGCTCGGTACGGCCCGGGCCCCACGATGCGATGCTCCATGGCGCGTAGGCAGCAGCGGCCGCAGCCGCGCCAGCGCTGATCCCCGCCAGCCGGAGGAGCAGCAGTTTGAATCCCAAGCCCGCGGGCTGCGGGCGCTGATTGGGCGGCGCGGCAGCACGTCACCGGAAATGCGCGGGGAGGCAGGCGTCTTCTCCGAGACCCGCGGCGCTGGGAGCTCCGCGTGCGAACTTGCCCGGGGCGAAATCTGTTGCCCACCCTGGTCCCACCGTGCGAGCACACCTAGGCAGGTGCGACTAAGGGGCCGGGGGCGTCTCCCCAGCGCTGGAAAACGCTGTGCAGCGCCCTTCCCAGATTTCTGCGTCCGCGCAACACAAACACACGCAACGCTATCTCTACAAAAGGGTCAATAATAGGTGTTATCCAGCGACCGAAACCCAGCTTTGGGCCGCGTGGATAAATACCTGTCCTCCCTACCAAGTGCACTGTGAGCCTGGAGGTGCTGCTAACGCTGGGAGAAGCGGTAGTGAAATGAAGCGAGGCGACAGCTTTTACCAGTGTAGGGACATTTAAAAACGGGATAGAGAGCACAAGGAGCGTAGACAGTGTGTTAAGGGCAATAAAGAGCGGGAAGGGAGCCCCGATTCCTCTTCTGTTTGTTCTCATGATAGTCTTTTCCCCTTTAATTTGAGTTCTATGTTTTGTATTGGGCTGATACTTTTAGTCCTCGGCAATAGGGTTGTGAGTCCTTTTTTGACTGCTTAGAATTTTCCCCCTGGGAATTGCTAGTCCGATTTGCAATCTTTCAGAGGGACAAATGAAGTAACTCCATATACTTAGGACTCTGTACACCTACTCAAATTTGGTCATCTCGGTAAGTACCCAGGACAAGACGTTGAAGGAGTGAAGGTGTGCCATTCCAAAATATGCCTAATTGGTATATTGATTATTTCGAGCGGAAAACATTGGAGAAATGGTAGTTTCAGAAAGGGCAAGCTGACCTGCCTCTTCGATGCAGCAGGCCACAAAGATTTCTCTGGGATGGGCATCCTCTCCCTACCACGGTGAGAAAATAGCCTTTATCACCAAAGGCTTGGAATTGAAGGCTGCAGTGGACCTGAATAAACATTCTTAACGAAGTAACCCTATCTTCCACTAGGAGATATAGGAGATTTTTTACATATATCTTCTAGTGACTCCCTAGAAAATGTTACTGCCTTTGTGAGCTGTGGAAGTTAACTCGAGTCACAGGGCACCAAAATATGTTAGCAGCTGCCCATATCCGAGACACGGCCCCAAAGTATGTTACAGGCAGTGAATTCCTACAGATCTGCAGCAACCTCAATTCTTGACTCCTCAGAAGAAAGAGTTCGACTGAGGGGCATAAGGCAAAAGGAGAGACCAAGGCAAGTATTAGAACAGAAGTGAAGTTTATTAAAAAGCTTTGAATGAAAGGAAGTACACTTGGAAGAGGGCCAAGCCAGTGACTTGAGAGATCTAGTGCGTAGTTTGACCTTTTGACCTGGGGTTTTATACGTTGGCATACTTCTGGGGTCTTGCTTTTGGGGCTTTGCATTACTTCTCTCCTGATTCTTCCCTTAGAGTGAGCTGTCCACAGGCGCATACTTGAGCCCACTTGCCCAACTCCTAAGATCTTATCGGGAAGCTGCTGATCAACAGTTCAAGTGTTTTCTATTAGGAGACTGCCTTTCCCTGGTGCCGGCTGTGACCAACTATTATTTTAGAGAGACAATTAACAACCACCTGACCATCACCTGATGGCTGCCTGACATTCCTGATGTGTGTGTGTATGAGGGGGAGCCCTCTCCTGCCCTGCTCATGCCTGACTAGCTACCTACTGTAACACCTTAACCAGATTTTCTTTGTCATGGCTTTTCTTCTCAAATTTATCTCTCTTTACCTAAAAAAATGAATAAAAGCATCTTACTTTGGCCACTTCTTCAGACTTCACTCTCTTGTGAAGATCCCCATGTGCACATAAAACTAATAAAATGTGTATACTTTTCTCCTGGTAATCTTCCTGGTGTCAGTGTGGTTTCTAGATACAACTGGAGAGCTCATTAAGAGGTAAAAGGGAGCTTGGAGGTGATCTCTGGCTCCCCTATAACATCATAAGAAAGATCTAAGTAAGGGATTGGACCACCTCTTCTCATCCTCAAAACCACACCACTACCACCACCCATTTGCTGCCTTAGGTTTTTATTTAGCCCAAGAAATGTCCTGAGATGATACATATATATTGCTTTTGTAATTAGAAAAAGCAATTTAAAATTTTTTTCTTACTTCCAGTAAGTGAATCCTTATCAGAACTTTTTTTCTTTTAACCTCTAAGCTCCATGGAAGAGATCTTCTTGTCCTTGGCAAGGAATATAAAGAGATACTTGTGTCCTTGACACAAGAAGCAGGAGAAAGGGAATTTTAAAGCCTTGTCTGAGACCTGCCACCACCTATCATGGTGGTGAAACTAGAATCTGATACAAAACATTATGTCCAGCATTATGCAGCTTTCTAGTTCGGTAAGTATCACAGACTGTGAAATTCCATAGATCTGGATTTCAATAATGACTGGTACTGCTTACCAGTGGAGTGACTTCAAGCTAATTATTTAATTTCCATCTACTCACTGGTAAACTGGGAATATTAATGATTATCTTGCAGAGTTGTAAGGATGTATGTAAAGTGCTAAATATAGTGCCCAGCATGTATTTAAAGTGCCCAGCATATAGCAGTAATAAAAAGAACTATATATTTTTTTAAAAAAATCATGCCAGCTTCTTGAGCATTTCCCAAGAGCCTGTTATTAGCCATAGACAAGATGGCTGTTACTAGAAAGGCATACTTCCAAAGGATCTACATATCAGAAGACACAAAGAGTCATTGCACGGGCCAGGGACATCTCCCCAACGCTGGACAATGCTGTGCAGCACCCTTCCCAGACTTCTGCACTCACGCAACACAAACACACACACTATTTCTCTACAAAAGGGTCAATAAAATGGTGTCATCCAGCGATGCCTCATGCCTATAATCCCAGTACTTTGGGAGACCAAGGCAGGTGGATCACTTGAGCCCAGGAGTTCAAGACCAGCCTGGGCAACATGGCAAAACACTGTCTCTACTAAAAATACAAAAATTATCTGGCTGTGGTGGCACGCTCCTGTAGTCCCAGCTACTCAGGAGGCTGAGGTGGGAGAATCGCTTGAACCTGGGAGGTGGAAGTTGCAGTGAGCCAAGATCGCCCCACTACACTCCAGCCTGGGTGACAGAGTGAGATCTTGTCTCTAAATAAATAAATAAATGCCTCAAAGAAATCGAGGTTTTACATTTGTTCATTCACTTATTCAGCAAGTATGTAAGAATACACTACTGTGTGTCAGGTATAATTCCAGTCTGAAATCATGCAATAGATAAAATGCAGCTTCTAGGAGCTGACTCCTAAGTAGAGGAAGGGATGACAAGCCAGCTATAATACATTCAAATATGTATTATATATCAGGTGGTGATTGAGTACTGGGAAGAAAAGTAAAAGACTAAAGTGGAGAGGGTGGTAGGGGGAAGTTGCTGTTTTGGTTCAGGTGGTCAGAGAAGGCATCTTTGATGAAATGACATCTGTGTAGACGATCTGAGTAAAGTAAGGGGTAGTTGTCTGGGGAAGAGCTTCTAAGCCGAAAGAATGAGCAGCCCATGAGAAACTTCCAGGAGACATGGGAAGGAGGTTGGTGCTGACTAAAGTGAGGGAGTAAAAGGGGCAGTGGAGGAGATGGAGTTGAATACAGAGTGGAGTGGGGCTTTCAGACCACATTATGGGCCATGGGATTCTGATCCTCTTCTGAATTAGTGAAAATATATTAGAAAGTTTTGATCAGCAGAGTGATCAAAACAGATCACAATCACTCTATTGATCTTTGGCCAATCATTTTGGCCAAATCACTCTGGCCATTGCGTGGATACTGGACTCGGGTAGGCATTGAGGGTGAGAGAGGAGGCAGGAAAACCAGTTGAGGAAGCTGCTACAATACCTCACTGGAGAAAGTAAACATATTTGCTTGGTATGGTGCTTGGCACATAGTGGCATTCAACAACTATTTACTGAGTGAGTAAATGAGTGAGCAAATGTATTGCTCATGTAGTGTATTCTTACATAAGCTTTAGAAGTTATTCATTTCTTAAAGATCAATTTGATTCATTCATTCTGTTTGCCATTTCTCATATGAATATGGGCAACAAAATAATAGCTAGCTTTTACATTTTTATTTTAATGTATCAAATTTGTTTTTAAAACTCTTACTTTTTATCATTAAAGTCCTCTGAGATTTTGAGTTTGGGAAAATACAATCTGCACATACTCCATGACTTGTGTTATAATTGCCCCTCCACCTCCTGCCGCCTCACACACCATTACAGTACAAAGTTAGCATAATAAAACCTGTGCCAAGGAATATAGCTAAATGGATTTTCATATTTGAGAATAAGCTCAATTTCTGACACATCGCAGCTATGCCATGTAGCACATATGGTGAAGTATAATTCTCTACACCTCAGAAAGAGACGTAATGAAAAAAAATTTTAATTAACATTGATCTGGCCAAGAAATATAGGATGAATTAAAGGAGGAAGATTCTGAAGATAGGAAAGCCATTTGGAAGACAGCTGAAGGAATATAGGCATGGAATTCCATGAGTAATAGAGTGTTATGAGAAAATACCCACATAATCTTGAGCAAGACTCACCTTCTCTGATTATCAGTTTCCTCATCAGTAAAATAGAAATAATAATGGTACTTGCTTCATAGGGTTGTTGAAAGACTTAACTGAGGAAATATATACAAAGCTCTTAGAATTTTGTTTCCCTTATATGGTAGGCAGAATTCTAAGAAGGCCCCTATTTCAGAAAAAGAGAACATATATGTACATAATATACATATATGTACAGACAGAAAGAGACAAAAACAGACAGAGATTTATTAAAAGGAACTGGCTCACATGACTATGGAGCCTGATGAGTCCCAAGATCTGTAGTTGGGAAACTGAAAACCCAGGAGACATGATGGTGTATTTGCAGTCCAAGTTCAAAGATCTGAGAAACAGGGCCAATGGTATAGCTCCAGTTTGAAGTCTGGTAGGCTTGAGACCAGGAAGAGCTGATGTTTGTTTCAGTTTGAGTTTAAAGTCAGGAAAAAAATTGTTCCAGCCTGAAGGCATTCAGGTGAAGAAATTCCCTCTCATACAAGAGAGAAACAGTCTTTTGTTTTATTGAAGCCTTCCACTGATTGGATGAGGCCCACCTATATTAGAGAGGGCAATCTACTTTAGTCTATTGACTTACATGTTAAACTATCAAAAATACCCTCAAGAAATACTCAGAATAATGTTTGACCACATATCTGGGCACCCTGTGGCCCAGTAAAGTTGCACAAAAAATTAACCATTACAGCCCCTGAGATCCCCAGCCCCTGATATACATAAACCTTCTTCCCATTATTCAACCAAACACTAATCTAGACACTGCTGTAATGGGATTTTGCACATGTAATTAAGGTTGTTGATCTTGAGGTAGGACAAATATCTAGATAGGCCTACTTAATCATATGAGCTCCTTAAAAGGAGAGAAATTTCTCCAACTAGTTGTATAAGGGAAGCCAGAACTAAATTCCACCAACCTGAATGAGCTTGGAAGCAAATTTTCCCCTAGAGCCTCTACAGGAGAACTCAGCTGGCTGATGCCTGGATTTCAGCCTCCCAATACCTGATACATTGAACAGAAAGCAGCCACACTGTGCCAGATTTCTCACCTACTGAACTGTGAACTAATAAATAGGTGTTGCTTAAAATCCAGTTAATCTGTAGTAATTTCTTATGTACCAACAGAAAACTGATACACATTTTACATACAAAACTCTGAAATGCTTGTTCTAGTTACTCTATGGCTGGAGTAGGAATGGGAGAAAAAAATCAATATTTAATGAGTAATTATTTACAAGGGATGAGGGAGAAGAAAACGTCAAAGATGGCTCTAAATATATTCTGGAAAGCTGGCAAAAAAAAAAAAATTGTGCCATTAACCATAAGGAAAGAAGAGTTGTCTGGGTAAGCAAGAAGGAACATGGAGAAGGGGTCTCAGACTTTCCTGTGCATAAGAATTGTCAAGGTTCTTATGCATAGTAAAGCGCATAAAACTCAATTTTATGGATTCCACCCACAGAGGTAGCTAGAAGTACCTAGATTCCATAGCTAATTTGCTGTTTGACTATTTGCTAGTAGCTCCAAAGATCCATGACATGTACAGATTTCTAATTTTGATGAATCAAAAACTTGAAATCCCCACCTTGGGGGATGGAGTGTAAGAGAATATCATCCAGCTTGTAATTAAGCCCATCCAGCCACCTGGAATCCTCAGCTCAATATGGCTTTCTACTTTTCTAATAGAGAAAAGTAGAGTTAATCTCTACTTTTCATGCCAATGCATGTTACCGGAAAAAATATTTTGTTATACTGATATTGGATAATTCACACAAGCCATTGGACTTATTCCTTATACATGCCAAAGGCCAAAAGAAGTCGATACTTGGACATGCAGCATTCAAATGAGAATGAAATATCCAAAGAGAAATAACCCATATTTGAAAATACTAGATGAAGAGGTTGGGTACAGTTGGGGAAGTTAGAGGGAGGAAGAATAGAGAGAGGAACAGAGGACCTTACCAATGTCCCATTTCAAGGCTTTTGGTTTATGGCCTTGACTGACCTGTTTCTCTGGCCCTCATACTACTGCCTCACCCCTGTGTCTAGACTTATCTTCCTACACCTGGCTCTTCATGTACCACAATCTCTCAGCCTTCCCTGGGCCCGTGATAAATCTTATGACAGGGGCTTGTCCCATTCTTGGCTCCAACCCTGGAGACTAAAGTTCTGGACATTCATCAAAGACCTTCTCCTCTATTTTACTTTTAAAGGCACAAGATTCAAGTTTCTGCCTCAGCAGAATTACAGATCATTACATATTACTGAACTTTGGGGCAGCTGACAAATAGTCAAACAATATATTGTTTGATATCCAGTATTAGTAGATCAGTTGTCTGGCCCATGGCACCTAAGCTCAGTTTTAAAAGAAATGAAAAAAGTAAGATAAAATTATTGGCATTTTTTAAAGATTCATCACAAATGGTCCCTGAAATAGCAAGTGTACTTAATTTAGCTGGGGGGAAAAAAACTCAATTAAAAGTTTAAAAAGGAAGTTAGGGTAGAAGGGTGGGGAATATATAGAACTTTTGGGAAACACTACTGCCAGATCCTACAGACACTTAGAAGAAGTAAGGTGCTCAAGGCAGAGGGTGCTTCCTTCAGGGCAAGATATTTAACAGGAAATTTCTTACACCTGGAATCAACAGTAGAGCATCCTGTGTGCCTAGGCCCATGGACCACACGCACATGCAAGAACCCAGAATCAGAAGTGGAGAGTAGCCGGGTGCACAATCTCAGTGACTGGAGGATTGCTTGAAGCCATGAGTTTGAGACCAGCCTCAGCAAAATAGCGAGACACTTGTCACTACAAAAAAAAAAATTTTTTTTTAATTAGCCAGACTTGGGGGCACACACCTGTGGTCCCAGTTACTGAGGAGGCTGAGGTGGGAAGACTGTTTAAGTCCAGGAGTTTGAGGCTGAAGTGAGCTATGATCATGCCACTGCACTCCAGCCTGGGCAATAGAGCGAGATTCTGTCTCTAAAAAATAAAAAATAAATTTTAAAAAATGGATAGTGGTCGGCGTCACTAAGCCAGAAACAGGATGAAATTGAGATTGTGAGCAAAAGCAGTTGGGGAACAAGGAAGGTCTGTGAGCTGGGGTTGGGGCAGGGTGTCTGTATGTGTTGGGCTACCTTGAAGGGCTAACAAAGGCAACAATGGTGATTGTGTTCGCCCCCAACACTGCTGCTCTTATTTTCTTGCACAGCCAAGCAACTGAAACTTGAAAGGTTATAAAAATATAAAAAACAAAATCATTTTAAGCTTTTGTCCTTACTGATGATGATTAGATTTTATATTTTTCTTTTATTTATTCTTAAAGGTTTTAATGAGAATTCAAATGTAGGCTTATCATTTAATCATATTCAATGTTTTGAATCTGATAAATCCTCTGTGGTATAAAAATACACATTTTATTAAAAGACTTTTTAGAGTAGTTTTAGGCTCACAGCAAAATTGAGAGGAAGGTTCAGAGATTTCTCATATACCCTTTTACCCACATGTGCATAGCTTCTCTCATTATCAACACCCTCCACCACAGTGGTGCATTTGTTACAACTGATGTTTTAACTTTTCACTGGGTTATAATACATTGATATATATTTCTTTTTTAGTAGGAATCTAAGTCCCTTCCCAAATCTTATGTGAAATTGTAATCCCCAGTGTTGGAGGTGGGGCCTGCTGGGAGGTGACTGGATCATGGGGGTGGTTTTCAATGGTTTAGCATCATCCTCCTAGTGCTATTCTCCTGAGGGAGTTCTCATGAGATCTGGATAAAGGGTATAGCACCTCTCCCCTTTCTCTCTTCTTCCTACTCCCACCATGTAAGATGAGCCTGCTTCCCCTTTGCCTTCTGCCATGATTGTATGTTTCCTGAGGCCTCCCTAGAAGCTGAGCAGATGGCCAGCATCATGCTTCCTGTACAGCTTGTGGAACTGTGAGCCAATTAAACCTCTTCTTTATGAATTATCATCCCAGGTTTTTCTTTATAGCAATGCAAGAATGGACTAATACACACATATGGAGAAAAGTACACAAATCTTCTTTATATTTCTTGGTGAATTTCACAACCTAAACACATCCTGTAACCAGCACTCAGATCAAGAAACAATATATGAAGAGTATCCCTCCTCAAGCAGTTCCACAGTGTAATGGTGAACACTCTGGATTCTGAATCCAGCTGTTCAAGTTCAAGAAACAAAGGATGACCAGCACCTGAGAAGACCCTCTCATGGCACTGCCAGTATCTACTCGCTAAGGGTAACTGACACAGATATTTTACTGTGTAAGAAAAAAGAGAAGCAAAAAAGACTATACAGCAGACCAAAAAGGGAACAGACGCTGAGACACAAGTTACTAGGAATTTAGTCCCTCTATGTTATAACCCAAAAACCAATGTTGGAAACTTAAGGAGAAAAAGATAAAAGGATTTTATTTAATAGACAAAACCCTTATAGTATCCAGTTTCAGACTGGATCTACCATTTGTGAATTTTCCTGTTTCAGTTAAAACTAAAGAGTGACTTTCTAGACATTGAAATCTGTTTGACTGCATTTTCCTGTCTAACTTTCTCTGAAAAGCCTCTGGCTTGCTCCTGGAATTAATTCGCAGGGCAGTGGTGTTATTCCAGCTCCAGCGAGGGATTAGTAGAGAGTGGCTCTGCAGAATTCACTATGAAGTTGCCTCCAAATCTGTCAACAAACCAGAACCCTGGAGAGTATTTTAAAAAGAGTTGCCAAGGCCTGACTTCAGAGCCCTTGAAAGTAGCTGCTTTTAGGAGGGAAGGACCAGAAGAGTTACCACAGAAATGTCTTTTTTTTTCTTTTTTTAAGATAGGGCCTCACTCTGTTGCCCAAACTGGAGTGCAGCGGTGTTATCTCTTGTCTCACTGCAGCCTCTGCTTCCCCGGCTCAAGCAATCCTCCCATCTGAGCCTCCCAAGTAGCTGGAACCACAGGTGCACGCCACCATGCCCAGCTAATTTTTGTATTTTTTGTAGAGATGGGGTTTTGCCATGTTGCCCAGGCTGGTCTTCAACTCCTGGGCTCAAGAGATCTGCCCACCTTGGCCTCTCAAAAGTGCTGGGATTACAGACATGAGCCACCGTGCCCAGGCTTTTTTTTTTTTTTAAGACAGAGTCTCACTGTCACCCAGTGACATCACTGAAATGCAGTGGTACAATCATAGCTCACTGCAACCTCAAACTCCTGAGCTCAATGATCCTCCTTCCCCAGCCTCCTGAGTAGCTAGGACTATCACATCTGGCTAATTTGTTTTCTTAATTTTTGTAGGGAAGGGGTCTTGCTATGTTGTCCAGGCTAGTCTTTAACTCCTGGCCTCAGGCAATCCTCTCAACTCAGTGCTTGGATTACAGTATGAGCCACACTGTCCAGCCAGAAATGCCATTATTATCTGATCTCCTCCTGCAAGCTACCTGAGAGCTGAAAGTGGGGTTCTGCAGGCCTTGCTAGTAAATGTCATGAGGACCTGGGCAGAATCCTAGGAGAGAATAGCTCTTGCTGTTCTTCTGTGCTTGAAGCTCAAGCTATCAGAAGTAGCATCTTAAAGGAATATTAGATAAAAGTCATAAAGAGATTCAAGTCCAGTCTTCAAACTGAACCAGGAAAAATACAGAGCCGAAGGAGATGGAAACAGAGGAGGTACAATCAGAGAGGATGTTGAGGCAGAGCCTGGAGCAGCTACAAGCTGCAGTGCAAATAGCCAGAGCCAAGTTTTGACCGTGAACCTTTAAAGAGATAAGGACCACAGCTCCATCTACTGAGAGTTCTTGCCACAAAATTTGAAGCTAAAGCTGACCATACCTCATCATTGTGATCCAATTACCAATTTACAGGAATGCAGAGGATAGAAGAAAAGAGGGGTGGGGTACAACGAGCAAAGTTTTATAAATGTGGGAAATTCTATACATGATCAGGTGTTTGCAATTGCAGGAAGAGGGAATGTGACTGATGGAGGGAGAACCCATAAAATATTTAAGACAAATTAACTAATCACAGTATGTGGACATTATTTAGATCATTACTCAATGAACTATAAAAATAATGAAAACAAAACATTTTAAAAGCAATTATGAGATAACTGGAAGTTGGAATACTGAATCGCTATTTGAGGATAATCAGAAATTATAGTTTAAATTTTTACACATGATTGTTGTATTGTGGTTATTTAAAAAATAAAAGAAAATAAAAACCTCCTAAATCTTTTAGGGTACTGATTCTAGATCTGGAGCAGGCATCAGAATCACCAGGAGGACTTATTAAAACACAGATGATTGGGCCATATCCCCCAAGAGATTCTGATTCAGTAGGACATTGTTGGCACCTGATAATTTCCATTTCAAACAACTTTCCAGTAGATTGTGATGTGCAAGTCTGGAGATCACATGCTAAAAACAATTGTTTCAGATATATATTTTGAGATATGCATGATTTAAGGATACAATTTCTAAGATGTGCTTAAAAATCATATGGAGGAATGGGCATGGGTGGAGACAGACGAGATTGCCTGCAATTGATAACTGCTGGAGCTGGAAGATGATGGGTATATGAGGGATTATTGTTACTTTTCTGTCTACTTTTATTATGTTTGAAATTTCTGTTTTGAAAAGATTTTTTAAGATAAAGGAACACAAAAACCAATAAAGCATTTGATAAAATTCAACAGCCATTCCTGATTTTAAAAATCAACCGTGGATGCTTGGTATCAAAAAAACCTCTCAACAAACTAAGGAATGGACAGGAATTCCTCAACCTGATAAAAAGTATCTATGAAAATCCTACAGCTAACATTACAATTAATGCTGAAAGACTGAATGCTTTCTCCCTAACATCAGCAACAAGGCAAGGATGTCTGCCTTCATTATTATTTTTTTTATTATATCCATGTAACTTTCTGTATTGTCTTTTAAAATTTAATTTAATTTTTTATTATACTTTAAGTTCTGGGATACATATGGAGAACATGCAGGTTTGTTACATAGCTATACATGTGCCACAGTGGTTTGCTGCACCCCTCAACCCATCATCTACATTAGGTATTTCTCCTAATTCTATCATTCCCCTTGCCCCCCACCCCCCAACGGGCCCTGGTGTGTGATATTCCCCTCCCTGTGCCCATATGTTTTCATTGTTCAACTCCAGCTTATGAGTGAGAACATGCAGTGTTTCGTTTTCTGTTCCTGTGTTAGTTTGCTGAGAATGACGGTTTCCAGCTTCATCCATGTCCCTGCAAAGGACATGGACTCATTCTTTTTTATGGCTGCATAGTATTCCATGGTGTATATATGCCACATTTTATTTATCTAGTCTATCATTGATGGGCATTTGGGTTGGTTCCAAGTCTTTGCTATTGTAAATAGTGCTGCAATAAACATATGTGTGCATGTGTCTTTGTAGTACAATGATTTATAGTCCTTTGGGTATATACACTGTAATGGGATTGCTGGGTCAAATGGTATTTCTGGTTCTAGATCCTTGAGGAATTGCCACACTGTCTTCCACAATGGTTTAAGTAGTTTTTTTTGTTTGTTTTTTTTTTTTTTTTTTAGACGGAGTCTTCCCAGGTTGGAGTGCAGTGGCGTGATCTCAGCTCACTGCAACCTCCACCTCCCAGCTTCAAGCAATTCTTCTGCCTCAGCCTCCCAAGTAGCTGGGATTACAGGCACCTGCCACCACGCCCAGCTAAATTTTTATATTTTTGGTAAAGACGGGGTTTCACTATGTTGGCCAGGCTGGTCTCAAACTCCTAACCTCGTGATCCACCCACCTTGGCCTCCCAAAGTGCTGGGATTACAAACATGAGCCACTGCAGTCAGCCAGTTGAACTAATTTACACTTCCACCAACAGTGGAAAAGCATTCCTATTTCTCCACATCCTCTCCAGCATCTGTTGTTTCCTTTTTAATGATCGCCATTCTAACTGGCATGAGATGATATCTCATTGTCGTTTTGATTTGCTTTTCTCTAATGACCAGTGATGATAACCTTTCTTTCATATGTTTGTTGGCTGCATAAATGTCTTCTTTTGAAAAGTGTCTGTTGATATCCTTTGCCCACTTTTTGATGGGGTTCTTTTTTTCTTATAAATTTGTTTAAGTTCTTTGTAGATTCTGGATATTAGCCCTTTGTCAGATGGATAGATTGCAAAAAAACTATTTTTTTGCTTCCCATTTGCCTGGTAAATCTTCCTCCCTCCCTTTATTTTGAGCCTATGTGAGTCTTTGCATGTGAGGTGGGTCTCTTGAATACAGCACACCGATTGGTCTTCACTCTTTATCCGATTTGCCAGTCTGTGCCTTTTAATTGGGGCATTTAGCCTGTTTACATTTAACGCTAATATTGTTATGTGTGAATTTGACCCTGTCATTATGATGCCAGCTGGTTATTTTGCCCATTAGTTGATGCAGTTTACAGTGTCGATGGTCTTTACATTTTGGTTTCTTTTTGCAGTAGCTGGTACCGGTTTTTCCTTTCCATTTTTAGTGCTCCCTTCAGGAGCTCTTGTAAGGCAGGCCTGGTGGTGAAAAAATCTCTCAGCATTTGCTTGTATGTAAAGGATTTTATTTCTCCTTCACTTATGAAGCTTAGTTTGGCAGGATATGAAATTCTGGGTTGAATCAGAGAAATGCAAATCAAAACCACAATGAGATACCATCTCACACCAGTTAGAATGGCGATCATTAAAAAGTCAGGAAACAACAGGTGCTGGAGAGGATGTGGAGAAATGGAGCACTTTTACACTGTTGGTGGGACTGTAAACTAGTTCAACCATTGTGGAAGACAGTGTGGCAATTCCTCAAGGATCTAGAACTAGAAATACCATTTGACCCAGCCATCCCATTACTGGGTATATACCCATAGGATTATAAATCATGCTGCTATAAAGGCACATGCACACATATGTTTATTGCGGCACTATTCACAATAGCAAAGACTTGGAACCAACCCAAATGTCCATCAATGATAGACTGGATTAAGAAAATGTGGCACATATACACCATGGAATACTATGCAGCCATAAAAAAGGATGAGTTCATGTCCTTTGTAGGGACATGGATGAAGCTGGAAACCATCATTCTCAGCAAACTATCTCAAGGACAGAAAACCAAACACCGCATGTTCTTACTCATAGGTGGGAATTGAACAATGAGAACACTTGGACACAGGGTGGGGAACATCACACACCAGGGCCTGTCATGGGGTTGGGAGAGGGAGGATGGATAGCATTAGGAGATATACCTAATGTAAATGACGAGTTAACAGGTGCAGCACACCAACATGGCACATGTATACATATGTAACAAACCTGCATGTTGTGCACATGTACCCTAGAACTTAAAGTATAATAAAAAGAAAAAAAAAAGAAATTCTGGTTTGAAAATTCTTTTCTTTAAGAATGTCAAATATTGGCCCCCACTCTCTTCTGGCTTGTAGGGTTTCTGCAGAGAGATCTGCTGTTAATCAGATGGGCTTCCCTTTGTGGGCAACCCATCCTTTTTCTTTGGCTGCCCTTAACATTTTTCCCTTCAATTCAACCTTGATGAATCTGACAATTATGTGTCTTGGGGTTGCTCTTCTCGAGGAGTGTTTTTGTGGTGTTCTCTCTATTTCCTGAATTTGAATGTTGGTCTGCCTTGCTAGGTTGGGGAAGTTCTCTTGGATAATATCCTGAAACATGTTTTCCAACTTGGTTCCATTCTCCCTGTCAGTTTCAGGTACACCAATCAAATGTAGGTTTGGTCTCTTCACATAGTCCCATATTTCTTGGAGGCTTTGTTCATTCCTTTCATTCTTTTTTCTCTAATCTTGTCTTCTCACTTTATTTTATTAAGTTGATCTTCAATCTCTGATATCCTTTCTTCCACTTGATTGATTCAGCTATTGATACATGTGTATGTTTCATGAAGTTCTTGTGCTCTGTTTTTCAGCTCCATCAGGTAATTTATGTTCTTCTCTAAATGGGTTATTCTAGTTAGCAATTCCTCTAACCTTTTATCAAGGTTCTTAGCTCCCTTGCATTGGGTTAGAACATGCTCCTTTAGCTGGAAGGAGTTGTTATTACCCACCTTCTGAAGCCCACTTCTTTCAAATGTCACACTCATTCTCCATCCAGTTTTGTCGCCTTGCTGGTGAGGAGTTGTGATCCTTTGGAGGAGAAGAGGCATTCTGGTTTTTGGAATTTTCTTCCTTTTTGCATTGGTGTTTCCTCATCTTCATGGTTTTATCTACCTTTGGTCTTTGGTGTTGGTGACCTTCGGATGGAGTTTCTGTGTGGTGTTCCTTTTTGTTGATGTTGATGCTATTGCTTTCTGTTTGTTATGTTTCCTTCTAACAGTCAGGCCTCTTTTCTGCAGGTCTGCTGGAGTTTGCTGGGGGTCCACTCCAGACCCTGTTTGCCTGGGTATCACCAGCAGATGCTGCAGAACAGCAAAGATTGCTGCCTGCTCCTTCCTCTGGAAGCTTTGTCCCAGAGGGGCACCCACCAGCTGCCAGCTGGAGCTCTCCTCTATGAGGTGTCTGTCAACCCCTGCTGGGAGATGTCTCAAGTCAGGAGGCACAGGAGTCAGGGACCCACTTGAGGAGGCATCTGTCCCTAAGCAGAGCTCAAGTGCTGTGTTGGGAGATCCACTGTTCTCTTCAGAGCTGGCAGGCAGGAATGTTTAAGTCTGCTGTAGCTGCCCCAGTAGCCACCTCTTCCCCCAGGTGCTCTGTTCCAGGGAGATGGGAGTTTTATCTATAAGTTCCTGACTGGGGCTGCTGCCTTTCTTTCAGAGATAGCCTGCCCAGAGAGGGGGAATCTAGAGAGGCAGTCTGGCTGTAGCAGCTTTGCCATGCTGCAGTAGGCTCTGCCCAGTCCGAACTTCCCGGCGGCTTTGTTTACACTGTGAGGAAAAACCACTTACTCAAGCCTCAGTAATGGTGGACACCCCTCCTCCCACCAAGCTCAAGCATCCCAGGTTGGCTTCAGACTGCTATGCTGGCAATGAGAATTTCAAGCCAGTGGATCTTAGCTTGCTAGTCTCAGTGGGGGTGGGATCCACTGAGCAAGAACACTTGGCTCCCTGGCTTCAGCCCCCTTTTCCAGGGGAGTGAAGACTTCTGTCTCACTGGCTTTCCAGGGGCCACTGGAGTATGAAAAAGAAAAAACAAAAACAAAAAACTCCTGCAGCTAGCTCAGTGTCTGCCCAAACGGCCACCCAGTTTTGTGCTTGAAACTCAGGGCCCTGGTGTTGTAGGCACCTGAGGGAATCTCCTGGTCTGTGGGTTGCAAAGGCCATGGGAAAAGCATAGTATTTGGGCCGAATAGCTCCAACTGTCATGGCATGGTCCCTCCTGGCTTCCCTTGGCCAGGGGAGGGAGTTCCCTAACCCCTTGTGCTTCCTGTGTGAGGTGACACCCTCCTGCTGCTTCTGCTCGCCCTCTGTGGGTTGCACCTACTGTCTAACCAGTCCCAATGAGATGAACTGGGTACCTCAGTTGGAAATGCAGACATCACCCGCCTTCTCCATTGGTTTCCCTGGGAGCTGCAGACCAGAGCTGTTCCTATTTGGCCATCTTGCCCCAATCATCTGCCTTCATTATTTTTATTCAACATTGTATTGGTGGTTCTAGCTAGTGCAGTGAGACAAAAAAAGAAAGAAAAATTCTCCAGGTTGGAAAGAATAAGTAAAATTGTCTTTCTTTGCAGAAAACATTATAATCTATGTAGAAAATCTTATGAAGTCTAGAAAATAGCTACTAGAATTAATAAGAAAGCTTTGTCATTTTCAGGATATAAAATCAATAAACAAAAATCAGTTGCACTTCTATATGCTATCAATGAACAATCAAAAATTTGAATTTTTAAAAATGTCATTTGTAATACCATCAAAAACCCAAGGGGTTAAATATCTAGGGATAAATCTTATGAAGGATGCGTAAGACTGCACACTAAAACTATAAAACACTTAAAAAATTAAAGACATAAATCAACAGGGAAATATATAATGTCCATGGATCATAAGACTCATAAAACAAAGATGTCTTGTCTCCAAAAATTGACTTATAGACTTCATGCAATCTCAGTCAAAATCTTATCAGAGATGAGATTTGCCATAGAAAACAGCAAGGTAATATCAAAATTTATAAGGAAATGCAAAGGACTTAGAATAGCCACTTGAAAATGAAGAACAAATTTGGAGGACTAACACTCTCTGATTTCAAACTACAGCAATCAAAAGAATGTGGTGGCATTGGTATAAAGATAGACAGACAAATGGAAAAGAAAAGAGTCCAGATATTAATGTATTATACTCCCAACATTTATTTGTAAATAAATTATTTGAACACAAAACACAAATATTCTATATAAACTGGAAATATTATACATTATAGAAAGATTGCCGACACTGCCAACAAAAGCCTATTGAGCCCTCAATACCCCAAATTTACTGTTCTACTAGTATTACCATTGAATGTCACCACCACACTTAAATATGTTAACAAATTCTCCCATTCTTGGGTCTAATTGGCAAGCCCACCTGCTAGGAAATTGGAGGAGGAATTCTCTCCACTGTACCACTGGGGACCATCCCTGTAGCCAAGGATAGGAACTCTAGCACGGTAGGGGCTAAATAATTGTAGGGCTCTGATATGGTTTGACTCTGTGTCCCCACCAAAATCTTATGTTGAATTGTAATCCTCAATGTTGGGGGAGCCACCTGGTGGGAGGTGACTGGATCATGGGGGTGGATTTTCCCTTTGCTGTTCTTGTCATAGTGAGTGAGTTTGCACGAGATCTGGTTGTTTGAAAGTGTGTAGCACGTCCCCCTTTGTTCTCTCTCTCTCATGCTGGCCATGTGACAATGTGACTGCTTTTCTTTTCCTTCTGCCATGATTGTAAGTTTCCTGAGGCCTCCCCAGAAACAGAAGCCTGGATAGCCCACAGAACCATGTGCCAATTAAACCTCTTTTCTTTATAAATTACCCAGTTTCAGTTTTAGTTTCAGGTAGATCTTTATAGCAGTGTGATAAAGGACTAATATAGGCTCTCTATTGTAAGAGTTCCTAGGAGCATATTTCTTTCTAAATCTGCATTCTATCCCAACTTGGGAGCCCCAGGTGGGTTTCTTTTCTTCCTTAACTAATATTGAGAATAAATACCTATTCTGCTCTTAGTCATATTACCACATGGAGAGACTTCCTTAAAGCAGTAGTTCTCAAGCTTGTCTGCACATTACAATCACCTGGGGAGTTTCAAAACTACTGATGCCTGTGTTCCACCTCCACGGATTGTAATTTAATGGTTCTGGGATCGGGGAGCATAAGATACCCAAGTGATTCAAATGTGCAATCCAGCTTAAGAACCATTGCCCTTGAGGAGTATTTCTAGCCTTGTAACTTGTCTGAACAGGGGGTTTAGGAGGTAAAACTGGAAAGCATGTTTCAGACACTTCTGGGTTATCTGCGGGATCTGACTGCCTGCAAATTCTACCAGTTCTGTACTGCTGTTCTGAGCCATCAATTTTATAAGAACAGGCCTTACGCAAGGGGCAGAGGGAGCAGTAAGTGGGAGAAGTCTACTCTTGCCCAGGAGTGACTATGACAAGATAATTATGTCTAACTTAGGCATGAGGAAGTATCAGCAAGCTTGTTTAGTCATAGACCTAAAGTCATCTAACCACTTACCTGCCCAACTTTTTATTTGAAAAAATTTCAAAGGCACAGAAAAGCTAAAATGATCCAATGACACCTATGTACTCTCCACCTACATACATAAATTGTTAACATTTTGTTCCAGTTGCCATCTCTCTCTCTATCTCACTCACACTCCCTCTGCATGCACATGCATGCACATTTTTAATTTTTATTTATTTATTTATTTATTTATTTATTTATTTATTTATTTATTTATTTTTTTGCTGAACATATACAGCTGACACTTGAACGACATGGGTTTGAACTATGCAGGTCCACTTTGGTGAAATTTTTCAATTGTGCCTGCCTTTCCTGCCTCCCCTTCCACCTTCTCCAACTCTTTCACCTCTGCCACCAGAGACAGCAAAACCAACCTTTCCTCTTCCTCCTCCTGTTCAGCCTATTCAGTGTGAAAACAATGAGGATGAAGACCTTTATGATGATCCATTTCTACTTAATAAATAGTAAATATATTTCCTCTTCCTTATGATTTGCTTGATAACATTTCTCTAGCTTAATTTATTATAAGAACATAATAAATAATACATATAACATACAAAATATGAAAGCTATTCGTAGTCGAGTTTTTGGAGAGCCAAAAGTTATATGTGGATTTTTGACTGCACAGGGGATTGGCACTCCTAACCCCCATGTTGTTCAAGGGTGAACTGTATATGTCCACAGGTATCTGCTAAGAATGAGGGAATCTTCTACTCAACCACAATACCACTTTTACACTTACAGTTTAACACTGATAACATAATATTATCTAATATATGGTTCATATATAAATTTCTTCAATTTACCTCAAAAATTTCTTTATAGCTATTTTAAAGGCCACATACTGCATTTGGTTTGTTTCTTTACTCTCCATAATGTAGAATAATCTCTTTCCTTTTTACTAGACATTGACACTTTTGGAAACTTCAGAACACTTGTGTCATAGAATGCCCTATAATGATTGTTCCTTATGATTTAATTCATGTTGAACCTTGAACAAGAATAGTATGTTGATGATTTTATGCACTTCCTATTGCATCACATCAGGAAGAATGTGGTGTCACTTTGTCCCATTATCTAATGCTAAATTTAATCATTCAGATAGGGTAGTGCCCACCAGATGTCCCCATTGTAAAGATAGCTTTTTCCTTTATACTTAATAAGTAATATGTGGGGTGATATTATGAGACCATACAAATATCCTGTTCCCCAACAAACTTTCACTCAATGTTTTTTGACAATCCTCACATGTATGAGTTAGTACATTGGTGGTTTCAAATAGTGATTTTCTAATTCTACCATTCCTTCTACATTTTTAACAGGTATTCTTCTGTTAAGAGCTTTTCTCACTATTAGAAATGACAAAGGGAACTTTACCACTGACCTCACAGAAATACAAAAAACCTCCAGAGACCATTAGAAATTATGCACATAAACTAGAAAACCTATAAGAAATGGATAAATTGCTGAAAACATACAACCTCCCAAGACTGAATCAGGAAGAAATTGAAACCCTGAACAAACCAATAATGAGTTCTGAAATTGAATCAGAAATAAAAAGCCTACAATCAGAAAAAGCCCTGGACCATACAGACTCACAGCCAAATTCTACCAGACATATGAAGAAGAGCTAGTACCATCGCTACTGAAACTATTCAAAAAAATTGAGGAGGAAGGACTTCTCCCTAACTCATTCTATGAGGCCAGCATCATTCTGATACCAAAAACTGGCAGAGACACAGAAAAAAAAGAAAAAGAAAAAGAAACTTCAGGCCAATATCCTTGATAAACATAGATACAAAAATCTTCAACAAAATACTAGCAAACTGAATCCAGCAGCACATCAAAAAGCTAATCTACTATAATCAAGTAGGTTTATCCCTGGGATGCAAGGTTGGTTTAACATATACAAATCAATAAATGTGAATCACATAAACAGAACTGAAAACACAACCACATGATCATCTCAATAGATGTAGAAAAGGCTTTCAATAAAATTTAACACCCTTTCATGTTAAAAACATGAACAAACTAGGCATTGAAGGAACACACTTCAAAATAATAAAAGCCATCTATGACAAACCCACAGCCAACATTATACTGAATAGGCACAAGCTGGAAGCATTCCTCTTGAGAAGCAGAACAAGACGAGGATGCCCACTCTCACCGCTCCTATTCAACATAGTACTGGAACTCCTAGCCAGAGCAATCAGGCAAGAGAAAGATACAAACAGGAAGATAGAGTGTTAAACTATCTCTGTTTGCGACAATAGAATACCCCATAGTCCTAGAATAGAAAAAGAAACCCCATAGTCTTTGCCCAAAAGTTGCTAGATCTGATAAACTTCAGCAAAGTTTCAGGACAAAATATTAGTGTACAAAAATGAGTAGCATTTCTATACACTAACAACTTCTAAGCCAACAGGCACATTAAGGACACAATTTATTTCACAATAGCCACAAAAAAATAAAATACCTAAGAATACAGCTCACCAGGGAGGTGAATGATCTCTACAACGAGAATTATGAAACATCATTGAAAGAAATCAGAGACCACACAAATGGAAAAACATTCCATGCACACGGATAGGAAGAATCAATATTGTTAAAATGATCATACTGCCCAAAGCAATTTATAGATTCAATGCTATTCCTATCAAACTACCAATGACATTTTTCATAAAATTGGAAAAAAACTATTTTAAAATTCACATGAAACTAAAAAAAGAGCTTGAATCATCAATGCAATCCCAAGCAAACAGAACAAAGCTGGAGACATCAAATTTCCCAACTTCAAACTTTACTACCAGGCTACAGTAACCAAAACAGCATGGTACTGGTACAAAAACAGACACATAGACCAATGGAACAGAATATAGAGCCCAGAAACAAAGCCACACACCTATAACCATCTGATCTTCCACAAAGTTGACAAAAACAAGCAATGAGGAAAGTAATTCCTCAATAAATGGTGCTGGGATAATTGGCCAGCTATATGCAGAAGATTGAAACTGGACCCCTTCTTTCACCATATACAAAAATCAACTCAAGATGGATAAAAACTTAAATGTAAAACCTAAAACTATAAAAACCCTAGAAGAAAACCTAGGAAGTACCATTCTGGACACAGGCCCTGGCAAAGATTTCATGACAAAGATGCCAAAAGCAATTGCAACAAAAACAAAAATTGACAAGTGAGATTTAATTAAAATAAGTAAACTAAAGAACTCTGCACAGCAAAGAAAGAAGAAAGAAAGAAAGAAAGAAAGAAAGAAAGAAAGAAAAGAAAGAAAAAGAAAGAAAGAAAGAAAAAGTAAGAAAGAAAGAAAGAAAGAAAGAAAGAAAGAAAAAAACTATCCACAGAGCAAGCAGACAACCTACAGAATGGGAGAAAATATTTGCAAACTATGCATCCAACAAAGGTCAAATATCCAGAATCCATAAATAACAAAAAAATCAACAAGCAAAAAACAACCCATTAAAAAGTGGGCAAAGGAAATGAACAGATACTTTTCCAAAGAAGATGGATGCATAACTAACAAGCATATGAAAAAATGCTCCACATCACTATTCATTAATGAAATGCAAATCAAAACCAAAAGGAGACACCATCTAACCAGTCAGAATGGCTATTATTAAAAAGTCAAAAAGGTAACAGATGGTGGAGAGGTGCAGAGTAAAGGGAATGCTTACACACAACACAGTTGGTGGGAGTGTAAATTAGTGCAGCCACTGTGGAAAGCAGTTTGGCAATTTCTCAAAGAACTTAAAACAGAACTACAATTCAACCCAGCAATCCCATATATATATATATGGTATATACTCAAAGTAATATAAATCACTCTACCATAAAGACACATATGAGCATGCATATGTTCATCACAGCACTATTCACAATAGCAAAGACATGGAACCTAAATGCCTATCAATGGTAGACTGGATAAAGAAAATGTGATACATATACACCATGGAATACTGTGCAGCTGTAAAACAGAATGAGATCATGTACTTTGCAGCAACGTAGATGGAGCTCGAGGCCATTATCCTAAGTGAACTAACACAGGAACAGAAAACCAAATACCACGTGTTCGCATTTACAAGTGGGAGCTAAACATTGAGTACACATGGACACAATGAAGGGAACAATAGACACCGGGGCCTACTTGAGGGTGGAAGGTTGGGGGAGGGTGGGGATTGAAAAACTATCAGGTACTAGGCTTATTACCTGGGTGATGAAATAATCTGTACCTCAAACCCTGAGGCACCTACCTATATAACAAACCTGCGCATGTGCCCCTGAACCTAAAATAAAAGTTAAAAAAAATAGTTTTTCTCCCCCACTGCCTGTTTTGAGTATAATTATAAACTCAGGAATTCTGTTTACTTAATGAATTATAATCCATTATCGTCATTTTTCTTTTTTAAGCCAGATCTTGTGTCATTTTGATATATCCCCATTCATCTTTGACTAGTGTCTTTATTTTCGCTACAACAAGGTGTTTCAAACTCATCTTGTATATTGCCTGCTCCAGACCTGGAAATAAACATTTCTCTAAGAAGCCCCTCATTCTTTTTAATAGGAAATGGTGTTTCTTTCTTTTCAGTAGTGACAAGGAAGTTCTTATCGGTATCTGCCTGGCTCCTGCATCTCTCTCTAAGTTCATTACAAACTCAGGCAGAGGAAAAATAAGGTGTTATTGATTCACACCTTTTAAAATAAGGCATGAATTGATTCACACCTTTTCTCTTATATTTCTCTATTGATCCAACAAATATTTTTTGAATTATTACATTGTGCAGGGTTATGCTAAGCACAGGAGATAGAATTTTAAGCAAGACACAGACAGTCCTGGTCTTCATGGAGCTTACAGTCTTAGTGGGGAGGACAAATGTGAATCAGGTGATCATACATTTGATTTTTAATCAAATTTTGATCAAATTTTTGATTTAACTAAAAATAGGGTAAGTGCTCCCAAAATAGACTGAGTTCTAGGCATGTAACAAGGAATCTGATATATCCTGGGTAGTTAGGAAGAGACTTCCCTAAAAATATAAACTGAGACTAATGTCTGAAAAATGGGTAGAAGTTACTGAGGCCAAGGGTGAGGGGTTTATGTGCTTGTTAGTGGGGAGATAGAGCCTGGAGGAAGGTAGTCAAGCGAGAAGGTTCCAGAAACAGGCAGATAAACGTGGACTTTTGTTTTTGTTTTTGTTTTTTAGAGACAGCCTGGGTATTAAGATTACAGGTGTCAGCCACTGCACCCAACCCCTAAAACTTGAACATTTGAGAAACCAAAAGAATATTTAGGTCTTTATACAGCAGCTATAGCTAAAAGTCTGGGCAGATGCTGACTCCATAGAGCCTTGAGGGTTTTCTTCTTTTTTTTGTTGATGTGGAGTCTCGCTCTGTCACCCAGGCTGGAGTGCAGTGGTGCAATTTCGGCTCACTGCAACCTCTGCCTCCCAGATTCAAGTGATTCTCCTGCCTCAGCCTCCTGAGTAGCTGGGATTACAGGCATGCGCCACTACACCCAGCTAATTTTTTTTTAGTAGAGACAAGGTTCCACCATGTTAGTCAGGATGATCTTGAACTCCTGACCTCAGGTGATCCACCCACCTCAGCCTCCCAAAGTGCTGAGATTACAGGGTGCACCACTGCACCTGGCCAAGGGTTTTAGTCTTTATTCTCAGTGTAATAGAAAGCTATGAAAGGACTTAAGCAGGATAGAGGCATAACCAGATCTACATTTTAAAAGGAATATTGTCTAATACAAAAAAGATTAGCTGGAGCAAGGCAGGATGTTAGCATTCCAGCTGGAAGTCTCTTTGCAATAGTGTAGAGAGAGCTGACAAGTACTGTGTTCTAGGGTGGTGTCCGTGAAATGTCACTGTCACTTCCCCCCACTGAACAAGCACACACCCTTTTTTTTTTTTTTTTTTTTTTTGGCCCTCTAAGGATTTCTACAGACAATGGGAAATCTGGTTAATGGGCTTCTTGCTAAGCTCTCTGTCCCTCCGCTACTCTCTCTGTTCCCCATTTTTCTTTTATGCCTAGTAGAGAAACACAAAAGCGAGACTGAAATTGATGAATTGATGATGAGACTTTATGAACACAAACTCAGTAAACAAATAGACTCCAAAAGTCTTCTAAAGTAGTGGGGGGGGTCTCTGAGGGAAGGAACAGAAACGGAACAGGAGCTGGCAACTTATGTGAATCTTTGGAAGGGAGAAGGAGAAGGTAGGTGAGAGGGTAAAGGAAGGAAGTGCCTAACAGAGGACTTACTTTCATTCCCCCCTTACTCCAAAGGATCTGCTCCTTTGCCACCATAAGATGTGGCACCACTAAAAATCTGCTCATCCCAGCACTGGAAATGGTTTGAAACAGAGAGCAGTGGTAATGGTTAAGGGTTACCACCAAAAGGATGTTGAGGAAGGTCTGAATTTTAGGAGTGATAGCTGGGAGGACAGCCAGAGACTAAATGGAATGATTCTTCAAAATTATATAAAATTATTATGCTATGTGAAAATATTCTAACAGATTTTTAAAAACTCAAATGTTTCCCAACTCCTTTTACAATGCTAGCGTAACTCTGACATCAAATCTGATGGTCATAATAAATGCAAAGGGGAAGGGATAACACACAAAAGTTATGAGCTTAACTATTTTGAAGTGAACAGTTCAGTAGCGTGAAGTGCATTCACATTGTTGTGCAACCAATTTCCAGAACTCTTTTCAATTTGCAATGTTGAAACTCTGTACCCATGGAACAACTCCCCACTCTGCCTTCTCCCCAGCCCCTGACAACCACCATTCTACTTCCTGTCCCTATGAATTTGAATATACTAGGTACCTCATGTAAGTAGAATCACATAGCATTTGTCTTTTTATAACTGGCTTATTTCATTTAGCATAATGTTCTCAAGGTTCATCCATATTGTAGCATGTGTCAGAATTGTGTTCCTTTTTAAGGCTGAATAGTATGATATTGTATGTCTATACCATATTTTGTTTATCCATTTATCTTTCAATTTGTTGCTTCCACCTTTTGGATATTGTGAATAATCATGCTATGAACATGGGTGTACAAATATCTCTTCAAGACTCTGCTCAGTTCTTTTGGATATATACCCAGAGTGGAACTGTCAGTCAAATGCTAATTCTATTTTTAATTTTTTGAGGGACGATCATATGTTTTTCATAGCAGCTGAACCATTTTATAATCCCACCAACAGTGCACAATGGTTTCAGTTTTCTGCATCCTCTCCAATATTTGCTATTTTCTGTTTTTTTTTTTTTTTTTTTTTTTTTTTTTTTAATAGTAGCCATCCTGGTCAGGCGTGGTGGTTCACGCCTGCAATCCCAGCACTCTGGAAGGCCGAGGTGGGCAGATCACGAGGTCAAGAGATCAAGACCACTTACTCAGGAGGCCGAGGCAGGAGAATCACTTGAACCCGGGAGGCAGAGGTTGTAGTGAGCTGAGATGATACCACTGCACTCCAGCCTAGGCAACAGAGTGAGACTCCATCTCAAAAAAAAAAAAAAAAAATAGTAGCCATCCTAATGGATGTGTGTCTATAAATTTTAACTATGAAATGATGTTCATTTTGTTTATGTAGAAATTAGAGATGTAGAAAAAATAGGCCGGGAGTGGTGGCTCACACCTGTAATCTCAGCACTTTGGGAGGCTGAGGCAGGCGGATCGCCTGAGGTCAGGAGTTCAAGACCAGCCTGACCAACATGGTGAAACCCCATCTCTACCAAAAATACAAAAATTAGCTGAGCGGTAGTGGCACGCGCCTATAATCCCAGCTACTTGGGAGGCTGAGGCAGGAGAATCGCTTGAACCCGGCAGGTGGAGATTGCGATGAGCCAAGATCATGACACTGCACTCCAGTATGGGCAACAGAGTGAGACCATGTCTCAAAAAATAAATAAATAAAAAATAAAGTAAAATCGAGTGTTTTTAAACGTTTTTAAATGTTACATTTTAAAATTAAAAAAGCAAAAGTTTGCTATGTAAATATAAAAAGAGCCATTGTTTTTAAAAATATAAAAACTTTAATAGAAAATTGAGCAAACAACAAGCAAAGGAAGAATGCCAGGGATGAAATAGAAGTAGCTAAGAACTGTATGAAAGAGCTGGTTTTGGGTGATAGAGAGCCAGGGCTGGAGGCTTCTCTAGCTCTCTGGTTGCTTCTAAGGTAGTCATGAGGGTGAAGCAGTCTCATGCCCCTATTGCAGCAGGGAGGTGTCAAGGGCACTTTTGTTCTGCTCTGCAGGGACTATAACTCCAATTGGTTGATCTGTTTAATACAATAAAATAGAGGCCAGACAGCCAGAGGAAATATTTCCTTTTCTAATGCCAAAACCGATATATTGGGAATGCTCCAGGGAAGACAAGGAAAAGAATCGAGTCCTTAAAAAGCTCTACCAACATGTCTGAGATGGCTGAACTACACATTTTCTTTCAGAGAATGAATACTTGGGCTATTTGGGGGTTAAAAAAAAAGGATATTAAAGGACTCTCTTTAGACTGCAATGCTAGACTGAAGTTACCTGCACACACATCATTTATCAAGCTGATAATGCAGCACATCACCTGGAGCATTCTGAAGGTGCAGTAGTGCTGCATGAAATCTAAAACTGCAGTGGTTTGAAAAGATGGCCTCAGAACACTTTGAAATACCTCCCATTAAGAGGCGGGCTCTATGTTTCCTCCTGTGAATCTGGATGAGCCTGTGACTCAGCCAAAAATGTATGACAGAAGTGATGCCATGTGATTTCCAGTTAGGTCCCACAAAGCCCTGCAGCTTCCCCTAATTTTCTTGGACCACTCTCTGTTCAGATGTTCCTTCACTGGATACACATCCTTGGAGCCCAGCCACCATGCTGTAAGGAGCCAAGGTGTGGAAAGGCCAACTACTGGTACCCCACTGACTGTCACAGCAGAGCCCAGCCTTCAAGTCATCTCAGCCCAAGTACCAGATGTAAATCAAGCAGTCATCAGAGGATTCCAGGCCTCAGTCTTTTAAGACACTCCCAGCATTCTGAGTCTTCCCAGTTGAGGCCAAACATATCATAGCATAGAATAGGGATGAGCACATATGCTATGTCCTGTCTGCATTTCTGATCTATGGAATCTGAGAGCATAACAAATGGTATCTCCCATTTTGTTTCTTATCAAGCTTATTTGGATTTTCTCTCTTCTTTTATTGATTAATCTTGCTAATGGTCTATCAATGTTATTTATCTTTTCAAAGAACCAGCTCTTTGTTTTATTTATCTTTTGTATTGTTTTTGTTTGTTTCAATTTCATTAGTTCTGCTCTAATCTTGGTTATTTCCTTTCCTCTGTTGGGTTTGGGTTTTGTTTTTGTTTCTCTAGTACCTTGAGGTGTGACCTTAGATTGTCTGTTTGTGCTCTTTCAGACTTTTTGATATAGGCATTTAGGGCTATGAACTTTCCTCTTGGCACTGCCTTTGTTGTATCCCAGTGGTTTTGATAGGTGGTGTCACTATTGTCATTCAGTTTGAAGAATTTTTTTTTTTTTTTTTCCTGAGACAGAGTCTCGCTCTGTCACCCAGGCTGGAGTGCAGTGGCGTGATCTCCGCTCACTGCAAGCTCCGCCTCCTGGGTTCACACCATTCTCCTGCCTCAGCCTCCCGAGTAGCTGGGACTACAGGTGCCCACCACCGCGCCCGTCTAATTTTTTGTATTTTTAGTAGAGATGGGGTTTCACCGTCTCAGTGATCCACCCACCTCAGCCTCCCAAAGTGCTGGGATTACAGATGTGAGCCACCACGCCTGGCCGAAGAATTTTTTAATTTCCATCTTGAATTCATTTTTTTACCCAACGATCATTCAGGAGCAGGTTATTTAATTTCCATGTATTTTCATGGTTTTGAAGGTTCCTTTTGGAGTTGATTTCCAGTTTCATTCCACTGTGGTCTGAGAGAGTGCTTGATATAATTTCAATTTTCTTAAATTTATTGAGGCTCATTTTGTGGGCTATCATATGGACTATCTTAAAGAAAGTTCCAGCTGGGCATGGTGGCTCATGCCTGTAATTCCAGCACTGTGGGAGGCCGAGGTGGGTGGATCATGAGGTCAGGAGTTCAAGACCAGCCTGACCAAGATGGTGAAACTCCATCTCTACTAAAAATACAAAAAAATTAGCCAGGTGTGGTGGCAGGCACCTGTAATCCCAGCTACTTGGGAGGGTGAAGTAGAGAATCACTTGAACCTGAGAGGCAGAGGTTGCAGTGAGCTGAGATCGCACCACTGCACTCCAATCTGGGTGACAGAGCGAGACTCTGTCTCAAAAAAAAAAAAAACAAAGGTCGCTTCCAAGATGGCCAAATAGGAACCGCTCCAGTCTACAGCTCCCAGTGAGATCGACACAGAAGACGGGTGATTTTTGCATTTCCAACTGAGGTACCTGGTTTATCTCATTGGGACTGGTTGGACAGTGGGTGCAGCCCACGGAGGGCGAGCTGAAGCAGCGTGGGGTGTTGCCTCACCAGGAAGCACAAGGGGTCAGGAGATTTCCCTTTCCTAGCCAAGGGAAGCCGTGAGTGACTGTACCTGGAGGAGCGGTACACTCCTGTCCAAATACTATGCTTTTCCCATGGTCTTCACAACTGGCAGACCAGGAGATTCCCTCCCGTGCCTGGCTCAGCAGGTCCCACGCCCACGGAGCCTTGCTTGCTGCTAGCACAGCAGTCTGAGATTGACCTGGGATGCTGAAGTTGGGCAGGGGGTGGGGCATCCGCCATTACTGAGGCTTCAGTAGGCAGTTCTATGCTCACAGTCTAAACAAAGTGGCAGGGAAGCTTGAACTGGGCAGAGCCTACCACAGCTCAGCAAGGCCTACTGCCTCTCTAGATTCCACCTCTGCGGGCAGGGCATATCTGAACAAAAGGCAGCAGACAGCTTCTCCAGACTTAAACGTCCCTGCCTGATAGCTCTGAAGAGATCAGTGGTTCTCCCAGCATGGCGTTCAAGCTCCAATAATGGACAGACTGCCTCCTCAAGTGGGTCCCTGACCCACCTCCCAGTAGGGGCCAACAGATACCTCATATAGGCTGGTGTCTCATACTGAGACACCTCTCAGTAGGGGCCAACAGATACCTCATATAGGCTGGTGCCCCTCTGGGACAAAGGATCAGGCAGCAATATTTGCTGTTCTGCAGTCTCTGTTGGTGATAGCCGGGCAAACAGGGTCTGGAGTGGACCTCCAGCAAACTCCAACAGATCTGCAGCTGAGGGGCCAGATGGTTAGAAGGAAAACCAACAAACAGAAAGGAATAGCATCAACAGCAACAAAAAGGACATCCACACCAAAACCCCATCCGCAGATCACCAACATCAAAGACCAAAGGTAGATAAAACCACAAAGATGGGGAGAAAACAGAGCAGAAAGGCTGATGATTCCAAAAACCGGAATGCCTCTTCTCCTCCAAGGAACACAACTCCTTGCCAGCAAGAGAGCAAAACTGGAAGGAGAATGAGTTTGATGAGTTGACAGAAGTAGGCTTCAGAAGGTCGGTAGTAACAAACTTCTCCAAGCTAAAGGAGCATGTTCTAATCCATTGCAAGGAAGCTAAAAACCTTGAAAAAAGGTTAGGCGAATTGCTAACTAGAATAACCAGTGTAGAGAACAGCTTAAATGAGCTGATGGAGCTGAAAACCACAGTACGAGAACTTCGTGAAGCATACACAAGCTTCAATACCTGACTCGAACAAGCAGAAAAAAAGATATCAGTGATTGAAGATCAAATTAATGAAATAAAGTGAGAAAACAAGATTAGAGAAAAAAGAGTGAAAACAAGAGAACAAAGCCTCCAAGAAATACGGGATTATGTGAAAAGACCAAATCTGCGTTTGATTGGTGTACTAAAAGTGACAGGGAGAATGAAACCAAGTTAGAAAACACTCTTCAAGATATTATCCAGGAGAACTTCCCCAACCTAGCAAGGCAGGCCAACATTCAAATTCAGGAAATATAGAGAACACCACAAAGACACTCCTCAAGAAGAGCAACCCCAAGATACATAATTGTCCGATTCACCAGGTTGAAATGAAGGAAATAATGTTAAGGGCAGCCAGAAAGAAAGGTCAGGTTACCCACAAAGGAAAACCCATCAAACTAACAGCAGATGTCTTGGCAGAAACCCTACAAGCCAGAAGAGAGTGGGGGTCAATATTCAACATTCTTAAAGAAAAGAATTTTCAACTAAGAATTTCATATCCAGCCAAACTGAGCTTCATAAGTGAAGGAGAAATAAAATCCTTTAAAGACAAGCAAATGCTGAGAGATTTTGTCACCACCAGGCCTGCCTTACAAGAGCTTCTGAAGGAAACACTAAACATGGAAAGAAACAACTGGTACCAGCCACTGCAAAAACATGCCAAATTGTGAAGACCATCAACACTATGAAAAAACTGCATCAATTAACAGGCAAAATAACAAGCTAGCATCATAATGACAGGATCAAATTCACATATAGCAATATTAACCTTAAATGTAAATGGGCTAAATGCCCCAACTAAAAGACACAGACTGGCAAATTGGATAGAGTCAAGACCCATTGGTGTGCTGTATTCAGGAGACCCATCTCACATGCAGAGATGCACATAGGCTCAAAATAAAGGGATGGAGGAAGATCTACCAAGGAAATGGAAAACAAAAAAACAAACAAACAAAACAACAACAACAACAACAACAAAAAAGAGGGTTGCAATCCTGGCCTCTGATAAAACAGACTTTAAAGCAACAAAGATCAAAAGAGACAAAGAAGGCCATTACATAATGGTAAAGGGATCAATGCAACAAGAAGAGCTAACTATCCTAAATATACATGCACCCAATACATGAGCACCCAGATTCAAAAAGCAAGTTCTTAGAGACCTACAAAGAGACTTAGACTCCCACACAATAATAACGGGAGACTTTAACACTCCACTGTCAATATTAGACAGAGCAGCAAGACAGAAAATTAACAAGAATATCCAGGACTTGAACTCAGCTCTGGACGAAGCCGACCTAATAGACATCTATAGAACTCTCCACCCCAAATCAAGAGAATATACATTCTTCTCAGCACCACATCACACGTATTCTAAAACTGACCACATAATTGGAAGTAAAACACTCCTCGGCAAATGTAAAAGAACAGAAATAACAACAAACTGTCACTCAGAACACAGTGCCATCAAATCAGAACTCAGGATTTAAAAACTCACTCAAAACCGCACAACTACATGGAAACTGAACAACCTGCGCCTAAATGACTACTGGATAAATAACAAAATGAAACCAGAAATAAAGATGTTCTTTGAAACCAATGAGAACAAAGACACAATGTACCAGAATCTCTGGGACACAGCAAAACCAGTGTGCAGTGGGAAATTTATAGCAACAAACGCCCATAAGAGAAAGCAGGAGAGAAAGCAAGAGAAAACAAATTCAAAGATCAGAGCAGAACTGAAGGATATAGAGACTCAAAAAACTCTTCAAAAAAAAAAAAAAATCAATGAATCCCAGAGCTGTTTTTTGAAAAGATCAACAAAATAGATAGACTGCTAGCCAGGCACATAAAAAAGGAAAGAGAGAAGAATCAAATAGACACAATAAAAAATGATAAAGGGGATATCACCACTGATCCCACAGAAATACAAACTACCATCAGAGAATACTATAAACACCTGTATGCAAATAAACTAGAAAATCTAGAAGAAATGAATAAATTCCTGGACATATATACCCTCCCAAGACTAAACCAGGAAGAAGTTGAATCTCTGAATAGACCAATAATAGGTTCTGAAATTGAGGCAATAATTAATACCCTACCAATCAAAAAACAGTCCAGGACCAGATGGATTCACAGCCAAATTCTACCAGAGGTACGAAGAGGAGTTGGTACCACTCCTTCTGAAACTATTCTGATCAATAGAAAAAGAGGGAATCCTCCCTAACTCATTTTATGAGTTTTGGCATCATCCTGATACCAAAGACTGGCAGAGACACAACTAAAAATGAGAATTTTAGGTCAATATCCCTGATGAACATCGATGCAAAAATCCTCAGTAAAATACTGGCAAACCGAATCCAGCAGCACATCAAAAAGCTTATCCACCACGATCAAGTCGGCTTCATCCCTGGGATACAAGGCTGGTTCAACATACGCAAGTCAATAAATGTAATCCGTCACATAAACAGAACCAACGGCAAAAACCACATCATTATTTCAATAGATGCAGAAAAGTCCTTCAACAAAATTCAACAGCCTTTCATGCTAAAAACTCTCAATAAACTAGGTATCGATGGAATGTATCTCAAAATAATAAGAGCTATTTATGACAAACCCACAGCCAATATCACACTGAATGGGCAAAAACCAGAAGCATTCTTTTTGAAAACCAGCACAAGATAAGGATGACCTCTCTCACCACTCCTATTCAGCATAATATTGGAAGTTCTGCCCAGGACACTCAGGCAAGAGAAAGCAATAAAGGGTATTCAAATTGGAAGAGAGGAAGTCAAATTGTCTCTGTTAGCAGATGACATGATTGTATATTTTGAAAACCCCATTGTCTCAGCCCAACATCTCCTTAAGCTGATAAACAACTTCAGCAAAGTCTCTGGATAGAAAATCAATGTGCAAAATCACAAGCATTCCTATACACCAATAACAGACAGAGAGCCAAATAATGAGAAAACTCCCATTCAAAATTGCTACTAAGAGAATAAAGTACCTAGGAATCCAACTTACAAGGGATGTGAAGGACCTCTTCAAGGAGAACTACAAACCACTGCTGAAGGAAATAAGAGAGGACCCAAACAAATGGAAAAACATTCCATGCTCATGGATAGGAAGAATTAATATCGTTAAAATGGCCTTACTGCCCAAAGTAATTTATACATTCAATGCTATCCCCATCAAGCTACCATGACTTTCTTCATAGAATTGGAAAAAACTACTTTAAACTTCATGTGGAACCAAAAAAGAGCCCACATAGCCAATGCAATCCTGGGCGAGAAGAACAAAGCTGGAGGCATCACGCTACCTGACTTCAAACTATACTACAAGGTTACAGTAACCAAAAGAGCATGTTACTGGTACCAAAATAGATATACAGACCAACAGAACAGAGGCCTCAGAAATAACACCACACATCTACCACCATCTGATCTTTGACAATCCTGATACACACAAGCAATAGGGAAAAGATTCCCTATTTAATAAATGTTGTTGGGAAAACTGGCTAGCCATATGCAGAAAACTGGACCCCTTCCTTACACCTTATACAAAAATCAACTCAAGATGGATTAAAGACTTAAATGTAAGACCTAGGACCATAAAAATTTTAGAAGAAAACCTGGGCAATACCATTCAGGACATAGGCATGGGCAAAGACTTTATGTCTAAAACACCAAAAGCAATGGCAACAAAAGCCAAAATTGACAAATGGGATCTAATTAAACTAAAGAGCTTCTGCACAGCAAAAGAAACTATCATCAGAGTGAACAGGCCACCTATACAATGGGAGAAAATTTTTGCAATCTATCCATCTGACAAAGTGCTAATAACCAGAATCTACGAATAATTTAAACAAATTTACAAGAAAAAAACAACCCCATCAAAACATAGGCAAAGGATATGAACAGACACTTCTAAAAAGAAGACATTTGTGCAGCCAACAGACATATGAAAAAATGCTCATCATCACTGGTCATTAGAGAAATGCAAATCAAAACCACAATGAGATACCATCTCATGCCAGTTAGAATGGTGATCATTAAAAAGTCAGGAAATGGCTGGGTGCGGTGGCTCACGCCTGTAATCCCAGCACTTTGGGAGGCCGAGGTGGGCAGATCATGAGGTCAAGAAATCGAGACCATCCCGGCCAACATGGTGAAACCCCGTCTCTAATAAAAATACAAAAATTAGCTGGGCATGGTGGTGCATGCCTGTAGTCTCAGCCACTCAGGAAGCTGAGGCAGGAGAATCACTTGAACCAGGGAGGTGGAGGTTGCAGTGAGCTGAGATCGTGCTACTGCACTCCAGCCTGGTGACAGAGTGAGACTCTGTCTCCAAAAAAAAAAAAAAAAAAAAAAAAAAAAAAAAACCAGTCAGGAAACAACAGATGCTGGAGAGATTGTGGAAAAATAGGAACACTTTTACATTGTTGGTGGGACTGTAAACTAGTTCAGCCATTGTGGAAGACAGTGTGGTGATTCCTCAAGGATCTAGAACTAGAAATACCATTTGACCCAGCAATCCCATTACTGGGCATAT